>NC_000005.10:66359807-66984807 GCF_000001405.40 Homo sapiens
GTTCAGAGAGAGGGAGAACAAAGTTGCTATGGTTGAAAAACAAAACCACATTTTTTTCTATAAGGTATCAGAAGGTGGATCTGGACTTCAAGTTCCAGAAGCATCAGAGATAGACTAGAAGATTCTAGGCTGTTGGGGAGGAAAAAGATGTATTTTCCTGGCAGGAGTTCCTTCTAGGATTTAGGGTATAAACTACTCTATCGTCATATGCTCTTATCACTGTAATGAAACAGTGGAATCTCCTTCTCTTCTGTCCATTTTTCTTTTCTTCGCCAACTATGTACAGAAAGGCCTGGGTGAGGTGGGGGAGCGATGACATCACTCTTTTCTGTCTCTAGGTTGAGCAGAAGCCAAGTTGAAGGCTGGCTCCTATTTTCCGCAATTAGATCTCACTTTGTTGGGGAAATTTTCCAATGTGCCATTCTATTCTGAGCACCACACTTCTATTTTTATGGAGGAAACTGAAAGGTGTCTATCAAGTCTGAAGGGGTAGGTGAGTTGTCATAGAATACTGACCTCCTTGTTTCTAAAATGCACAAGGGGAAAATAAAGTCATTCACAACTGGTACCAACACACCAAAAATCAATCTTACGTTCAGAGTGGAGTTCAATGGAATAAGCAGACTTCTGCAGCCAACTCCTGCAACAACTTGCTGCCTTGGTTTTCTTGATTGTAAAATGGGGACGAGAATAACAATCCCAATTAAATTACTGTTAGTTATTTCAACTCCTAATAGCAATAACTGATAGCATTTTTTTGAGTGTGATGTGCCAGGTGCTGTCCTTCACAACCACCCTCAGAGGCAGGCTTTATTATTTCCATTTTAGAGGTAGAAGAAACTGAAACAAAGGGAAGTTAACTAACCTAAGGTTGCATAGCCGAGAAGTGCAGGACCAGGACTTGGATGGACTCAGGCAGTCTGACCCGGGTCAGCCAGTCCCTAATCATACTTTCATCTGGGCTCAATAATAAAGACTTGCAAATGCTGCTTGCTGGCGAGTAGTATGAGGTTATCTTCTGTAGAAGTGAAGTGAAGTGAAGTGATACAGGAAAAGTGAATTTTCCTGATAAGGGAAGATTTATTCTGTAGGAATCTAAGTTTAATATTAGCCATTTGACAACATCTTTTCATGAACATTTCTCTTTTCCTCTATTCTTAAACAGAGTGTGCAAAAAGTGACATAGCCATTTGTATGTAACCTATCCCGTGAACCATGTGCCAAACCTGTTCTGATGCCTTGCTGGCATCCCCAGGCACCTCCATCTCCTACTAACCAATGTTAAAGGGAAAAAAAAAAACCTCAGCAAGTTAAGTTTAGCAGAGTTTAATTGAGAAAAAACCAATTTGCAAATTGGGCAGCTTTCAAAACCAGAACAGGTTCTAGGAACTCTGGCCAGCAACACGGTCAGACAGTATTTATGGATAGAAAACGGAAGTGAGGTGTACAGCTTAATTGGTTACAGCTTGTGCTTGCCTTATTTGAATCCGTTGGTTGCCTGTGAATGACTGAAGCTCAGCTGCTGTAATGGGCTGAGACTCAGCTGTTTGTTACAAAAGTATATTCCTAAATTAGGCTTTCAGTTAGTTTCCACACTAAGCCAGGCTGCAGTTCCTTGCTCTTTATGAAGGACCCAATTGCAGATGCAAGCTCAGGCTAAATTTAGATCAATTTAACACCAAGGGGAAAAGCATTGATATTGACCCATTTTCCTGTTTATATAACTGAGGCACAGAGAGGTTAAACAACTGGCTCTGGGTCACAGAGCCTGGATCGAGCCTGGACTTTAACTTAAGCATTTTGGCTCCAGGGCCCTGTGCTCCTCCTGACCGACATTCTGAATTATGACACGGTGGAGTCTCCATGGCCTTCTAGTGGCAATGACCACCTTTGCTGTTTATTGATCCTTGGCTCTGTGTCAAATACTGTGCTAGAAATGCTAGAATGAGCTTGTCCATCCCGCAGCCTGTGGGCTGCATGCAGCCCACGATGGCTTTGAATGTGGACCAACACAAATTCGTAAACTTTCTTAAAACATTATGAGATTTTTTTTCTTTTTAGGTCATCAGCTATAATTAGTGTTAGTTTATTTTATGTGTGGCCCAAGATAATTCTTCTTCCAATGTGGCCCAGAGAAGCCAAAAGACTGGACATCCCTGTGCTAGAAGCTTGATGTGCTGCATTTCACTCAACCCACTCCACAATTCCTCTGAATTAGGTACTGCTGTAATCCTGTTTTAGAGCTCAGGGAACGAAGACTTAGAGAAATTAACTAACTTGCCCAACAAAACATGGCTAATAAGTGGCAGAGTTAAGGTTCAAGTTAATAGGTAAGCACCAAAACTTGGGCTCTTTCAACTATGCAACTCTGCTTTTCCATACGGGCCTCAATAAAACAGATGTTCACGGTTGCTGGTGATTCACACGAGGTTTGCCCTCCCAGGGGGCTGGGCACAAGCTCCTTTGCTGCCTTCTTTCTGCTCAGCTGCTTCTACCTTCCCCAGAGTTCCAAGTCTTGGTCTCTCTCGCTCAGCAGTTCCCTGGCCTGATGGGATGCATAGAGACTGAGCCGTGCCAGTCAGTGCTGGTTATATCCAGTTCACCCTCAGGCTGAGTCTGTCATTCAGTGATTTTGCAAGATGACCTCAGAACTGGTCCCCATCCCCATCTCTGTTCTTTCATTGGGGCAGCAATTTAGTATTTAAAAAAAATCTGTTAGGAGCCATTATTAGATAGTGCAATTCACAGATACCTGGGGGTAGTCACGTGCTCCTTCGTGCAGTAGCACTAGGGTTATTGTTTCTACGAGGAACGGGGTCAAAGTCATGCTAACAGAGGGATATGCCTTCTTCATATGGAATCAGACAATGTTGTCTTCAGAGAAAAATTAGTCCTCATGCGGCAGGCGTAAACCTTTAAGTTTGAATTAGGGTGTTCAAGAATGCAGGCTTATTTGGTCCTGGGAGCCCACCCAGGTCGGGTTTGTTGTGAACACGGTCATCCTTTTTCCCATGGTCCTTAGATGTGGTGATTCTCTGCTGCCTCTGGGCTGTGCTTGACACATAGACAACTTTGGCTTTGATTCTAGTCCAACTTGCCATGATGTACTATGCAGTCATTTTTCTCTGGAGTCTTTTTTCTTTTCCACTGGGGCTGCCAGGACTTGGCTCATTTTTGCTTTTATAATTATACCACTGAACAACTGATCTCTATTCCTTCATTTCTTTCTTTCTTTCTTTGTCCCTCCTTGTCTCCCTCCTTTTCACCCTTTTCCTCCTTCTCTCTTTCTTTCCCTTCCACTCTTCAACACAAATCTGAAGGAAAATATCTAAAAATAAGGAGATTCTAATCCCTTTAATTTTTTTGTAGAAACCCTATTTATGTTTACCAAATATCACTTCTCTGTGGGCTTAGGCTTTTAAGACAAAAGGCAGACATATTTGCAGGCCACTTCTGTTTTCCACTCTGCCACATGTTTCCTACTGACTGTAGATGTACTTCGGAGATATTGCAGATTTGGTTCCAGACCACTGCAATAAAGCAAATATCTCAGTACAGGGAGTCACACGATTTTTTTTGCTTTTCCAGTGCATGTAAGTTATGTTTACACTATACTGTAGTCTATTAAATGTGCAAGAGCATTATGTTTAAAAAACAATGTACATACCTGGATTAAAACATAATTTGTTGCTAAAAAATACTAACAATCATCTGAACATTGAGCGAATCACAGTCGTTTTGCTGGTGGAGGGTTTTGCCTGGTTATCGATGGCTGCTAACTGATTGGGGTGGTGGTTGCTGAAGGTTGGGTGGCTGTGGAAAGTCCTTAAAATAAGACAGTAATGAGGTCTGTCATGTTGATTGACTCTCTTTCACAAAAGATTTCTCTGTAGCTTGTGATGCGTTTAACAGCATTTTACCCATATAGTAGAACTTCTTTCAAAATTGCAGTCAGTCCTCTCAAATCCTGCCACTGCTTTATCAATTATGTTTAAGTAATATTTGAAATTTTTTATTGTCATTTCAGCAGTGTTCACAGCATCTTCAGGAATAGATTTCATCTCAAGAAGCCACTTTCTTTGTTCTTCCACAAAAAGCAACTCCTCATCCTTTAAAGTTTGATCATAAGATTGCAATTCATCTTATGGGTCTAATTGTAGTTCTTTTGCTATTTCTACCACATCTTCAGTTACTTCCTCCACTGAGGTTCTGAACCCCTCCAAGTAATCCATGAGGGTTAGAATCAACTTCTTCCAAATTCCTGTTAATGTTGATATTTTGACCCGTTTTTGTGAATCACAAATGTCCTTTATGGCATGTAGGATGGTGAATCCTTTTCCGAAGGTTTTCAATATACTTTACTCAGATCCACAAGAGGAATCACTATGGCAGCTATGGCCTTACAAAATTTATTTCTTAAATAATAAAACTTGCAAGTCAAAATTACTTCTTGATCCATGGGCTATAGAATGGATGTTATGTTGGCAGGCAAGAAAACTACATTAGTCTCCTTGTACATCTCCATCAGAGCCCTTGCATGACCAGGCGCATTGTCAATGAGAAGCAATATTTCGAAAGGAATCTTTCTATTCTGAGAAATAGGTCTCAACCAGGGGCTTAAAATAGTAAACCATGCTGTAAACAGAAGTGCTGTCATCCAGGCCTTGTTTTTCCATTTATAGGGCACAGGCAAAGTAGATTCAGCATAATTCTTAAGGGCCTTAGGATTTTCAGAATGGTAAATGAGTCTTGGCTTCAACTTAAAGTCACCAGTTGCATAGCCCCTAACAAGAGAGTCAGCTTGTTCTTTGAAGCTTTGAAGCCAAGCATTGACTTCACCTCTCTAACTAGGCAAGTCCTAGATGGCATCTTCTTCCAATGTAAGGCTGCTTCATCTACATCAAAGATCTGTTGTTTAGGGTAACTACCATCATCAATAATCTTAGCTAGACCTTCTGGACAACTCTCTGCAGTTTCTCATCGGCACTTGCTGCCTCACCTTGCACTTTTATGTTACGGAGATAGCTTCTTTTCTTAAACCTCGTGAATCAATCTCTGCTAGCTTCACACTTTTCTTTTGTAGCTTCCTCACTTCTCTCAGCCTTCATAGAATTGAAGAGTGTTAGAGCCTTGCTCTGGGCTAGGCTTTGGTTTAAGGCAGTGTTGTGGCTGGTTTGATCTTCTATCTAGACCACTTAAACCTTCCCATCTCAGCAGTAAGGCTGTTTTGCCTTGTTATCATTTATGTTTTCAGTGGAGTCACACTTTTAATTTCCTTCAAGAACTTTTCCTTTGCATTAAAAACTTGGTTGTTTGGCCCAAGGTGCCTAGCTTTTTGCTCATCTTGGCTTTCAACATGCCTCCCTCAAGAAGCTTAATCATTTCTAATTTTTGATTTAAAGTGAGATATGTCCAGGCCTGGTGCAGTGGCTCATGCCTGTAATCCCAGCACTTTGGGAGGCCAAGGAGAATGGATCGCTTGAGGTCAGGAGTTCAAGACCAGCCTGTCCAACATGGGGAAACTCCGTCTCTACCAAACTACAAAAATTAGTCAGGTGTGGTGGTGCATGCCTATGGTCCCAGCTACTTGTGAGGCTGAGGTACGAGAATCACTTGAACCCAGGAGGTAAGAGTTGCAGTGAGCTGAGATCACACCACTGCACTCCAGCCTGGGCAAGAGAGTGAGACTCTGTTTCAAAAAATAAATAAAAAGAAGAATAAATAGAGATATGTGCAACTCTTCCTTTTACTTGAACAATTAGAAGCCATTATAGGATTATTAACTGGCTTAATTTCAGTATTGTTGTGTCTCAGGGAATAGGGAGACCAGAGGAGAGGGGAGAGATAGGGGAATTGCCGGTCAGTGGAACAGTCAGAACACAGACAACATTTACTGAGTAAGTTTACCATCTTATATGAGTACAGTTTGTGATGCCCCAAAATAAAAATAATAGTAACATCAAAGATCGCTCCTTGCGGATTACCATTGTGGGAGGGGAAGAAGGTGACAGAGTCCCAGTCACTTCATGAGGTTCAGCCAAGACAGTTAGAAGGACCCTGGTTATCTTGGGATGCCAGCAGATGTGGAGGGAATCTACAGACCAGCTATGGCCAAGAGGATTTCTCATCCCTTCAGACCTCATTAGCACTGAGGTCACTGACTTACCTCCCTCCCATAGGTGGGCAAATAGCCTAAAGGACAGGAGACAGGGTGTTCCACATTTATTTATCCAGCAAGTTCTATCAAATAAGCCTCTGTGACAGCCAAGACTTTTTTTTCATTTTCCTTTTATGCAAAAATGAATGAGTTAGTTCTTGCCCTTGAGAAGCTCAAAGTCCAGCATAAGAAGCAGAATTTTATGCAGAAAATTATAGTCCCTAGGGCTGTGTGCGTGTGTACGTGTGTGTGTTGACTATTTTCTTACATTTCTGTCTCTGCCCCAGCCTTCTCGAGGATATTGGAGATATTCTGCCCTGCCTGCCACCTCTCACCTCCTCTTTCCTGGAGCAGGAGGAGTGACTTACCTGTTTGCTGGGAAGGGGAGAAATTAACACCCACTGCTCCACGTGGGAAAGAAGGATGTATTAAATTAAAGGTCTCCATTCTCAAATGGCCCTTTTCCTTCTCTTTGAAAACAGCTTCCTCTTAGCAGGTATGCACGCATGCATTCTCCTCTGTGTGACAAGAGATTTACTCTGTCATGGGAGGCCTGAAGTGCTCCAGCAGCTCCGGGTGACCAGGTGAATAAGTCAGGACAAAGACAGGGTGAGCGTACTGGGGGTGTGTGGCATATTAGGAAGCTCGTTTGGCTGCAGGTGCATCGCTTTTCCATGTCCAGCTTTATCTGTTAAGTAATGAAGCTGATATTGTGAGCTCCATCTCTCAGACTCATGTGCATTTCTCAATTGATTCCAAAAGCACAGTGGAGGGGTGACATTTGTAGTTTCCCTTAAATCCTATCACGGGATGAGCACCATACAGAAATATGAACAGAGGGCTATGGGGTCAAAGAGGAGGGAGTACTAGTCAAGAAAGCCTTCACAGAAAAGGTGACAATTGAGCTGGGACTTGAATGGAAGGCATTAGCCAGATGTGACCCAGGAGCTTTACAGCCTATCTGATTGTTTTTTGTCCCCACCTCAGCCTTAGCGCAGAGCAGGGGACCCAGCAGGGGCTTCATAGCTGTCTGTGGAATAGAGAGATGACAACCCCTGGAGAACATTCTCTGAGAGCGATGGAGGAGCCCTGGGAAACATGGGAGGGCCACCCTTCTGTCACACATAACCTACCACCTCTGATGGCCTGAGGGCCACATGAATGGTGCACAGCAAGAAGCACAGGGCTCTGCCTCATGACTGATCTCACAGGAGGATAGCATGCAAAGCTCTGGGTGGAAGAAACTCAGAAAGCAGAGACAGTGGGGTGGAGTGTGAGGAAAATCTAGGGCTGAAAGTTCAGAAGTCAAGAAAATGCAGGAGCTACATATGTATACATGTGCCATGTTGGTGTGCTTGTACCCTAAAGCTTAAAGTATAATAATAATAATAATAATAATAATAATAATAATAATAAAGAAAATGCAGGAGCTTAACGTGAAGGGCTTTGAAAGAAATTGTGTGCTTGGAAGAGAACCAAGGAGAGCAATTCAGGTGACATGGAGTCAAGACTTTTCTTGAAACAGAATGCCAACTTTGTTAGAGGATTTCTCCTGGGAATTGGTGGTGGGTAAAACATTAAAGGACTCAAGGAAAACCCACTGCACAGGCAGACAACCAACTTTCGTGGAAAACCAAGGACTAGAAAATTATTATTGAAAATTTGTTTTCTTGTGGTTAATCATTCCACATTTGAGAGCTGGTGGTTTTTCATTGATGTAATTAGTGATTACATTTTCTAGAGGACATTTTTCATGTCAAGCAGACAGTGACTTCAAAGATGAGGAAGGATGGAGCTTCATGGAGAGAAAAAGAAGTGCCATGCTAACACAGTGAAGGGGTGAAACTGGATTTGACAAAAGCACCCTCTTGCATCATCAGCTACCTTTAAGAATCAGTAAACATGAGCTAATTTTTGAAATATAGTTGCAACTCTGTGATAACACACCCTTTGGGATCTCCAAGTGACTTGGCTGTGTGGAACTTTGCTGGTTCAGTCCAAGTTCACCTAATCTCTCTCTCTCCTCCAGTATATACTGGTATTAAAAATAGTCTCTATCCTAACGGGGGAAGAGGACGATAACAATACAGCGTGACAAGTGTATAGATAGATAGAATAGGATGCTATTCTTACCCCTAAGGGGACTTAACCAAGCCCGGAGGAAGGTGTCTGAGATGAGCTACAGGAGGAGTTACTGTGATTTATTACTTGGTGGTGGCTGTTAAATTTTTCCTTGGAGCTAATGCTTTGAATCTGCCCTTCTCTTTATGTCACTCCTAGCTCTTGACTTTTGACCACCTGCCTTATGAATCTGTTTGGGGCTATTAATATCATCAGTATCAGCAGTGTCCTGGCTCCTCTGTACCCACTTCCTCACCCTTCATTGTCTCAGCTGGCCCTCGTGATGCCTGTGTGACAACTGACCATGGGTACCTGGTATGACCCAAGGGCCTTGTTCCATTTAGGCCCCTTGTGTATTAATTAGGCTCTCCCAGACTTGAGGACCAAAGCCATGCTCCAGGATCGGAAGGCTATGTGAAGGTCCCTGGAATTAAGGGGACAGCAGATGTCTCAGCAGCTGTGCACTCAAGACTCCTGGAGATCTGGGACATGGTTCTGGAGTGATCAGCTTGGCATTTCCTTATAATAGAGGCTCTGGCTCCTGGCTCCAGTGACTCTCTTGTGCTTGATGGTTAGCCTGTCAGTCTTGGAGCTGTCACTGCCTCTGCTGCTGCTGTTTTCCCCTGCTCCTCCTTCCCCCTGTCTCTTGCATGTGAGCATCCTCAAGGAATTGCTTCCCCAAATTCTGGGTCTAGTTGGCATTGCTTGGGTAGCAGCTTTTCTTTTCTTCTTTTGTTACACTATTTTACCAACGTCTATATTAAAGACACAGAGCAGCAGCTTTTCTTGATACAAATATGACAATGTATGTGCCAGGAGCCACCCCATGTCTGCTTTGCCCAGAAGGGGACCCAGGGCATTCCAGCAACCTAGGTCTCCACCTAGGACTGTCTGGTCCTGGGGAGGAGTTTCCATTCCTGACCACACCCTTGGTGCCAGAATGTCCAAGTATTCTGATCACAGCTCACAGAGTTTAGCCTGTACTAGGATTTTGACAGGATTCTCTACGTTGCATCCCCAGTCTTGATTTCATCCTCACTGTGACATCATAGTTCACTGCCATTAACATTTTATTAGGTTGGTGCAAAAGTAATTGTGGTTTTTGCCATTAAAGGTAAAACCTAATACCTTCTCAAGCTATTATTCTTCTAAAACAACACAATCATGCCTTAGGATGGACCCTGAGAGCTACTTCTTTTAGGCTTGGTGATTGACTGGCCCTGCCTCAAAGGCTCTCAGCCTGCCAGTCCATGGCTCAGCTTTGACTCCTCACATGCTCTGGGCACTTACTCGCTGGGCTTTCTTTCATCTCAGCAGACTTCATCTTACTCCTATCACTCTACTTGTTACAGTTCTAGGTTATATTTCTTTTAAAAAATTTGCATCATATCACCAATTTTCATCTTTTTCTTTTTAAATTTCATAAATATTTTACTTTATTTATAGAGACAGAATCTCACTATGTTGCCCAGGCTGATCTCAAACTCCTTTACGCACATGATCCTCCTGCTTTTGCCTCCCAAAGTGTTGGGATTATAGGCATGAACCACTGCACCCAGCCAGTTTTCATATTTTAAAATGGGAAATAGAAAGTCCCAAGCTAGGGGTGCAGCCCAGGGGCTATCCCAGGCACAGACAAGGTAGGCCATCTCCATAGAGCCCAGATCCCCCATACGATCCATATGATCTTCCGCCTCTTCCTGGAAAGCCTTCTAGGTTGCAAAGCCAGCCATCTGGGACAGCCACACCACATGACACTCTTTTAGAAACTCTGCAGAGATGAAGAAGAAAGATTCCATCTAGAGGACAATAAGTACAGCCTCAAAAGTAACTCAGTAGAGCTACTGGATGTGGCTGAGTTATTAAAGGCCATTCAGGGTGTATGCTAAGGTGATTTTTGACCATCATAGGAGGTCTCCAACTTTCTGCTACTGGCCAGGTCTGCAAGCAGCACATATTATGAACTTAAGGGGATACGGGTAGTGTTTCTCTAATTTCAATCTTTCATACACTCATCTTTATCATTTTGACTTTACATCACCTAGACTATGATTTGTATTTATTATTATGCTATTATTATTAACTTGTTTAAATCTACTGAAACAACTATAACATAATATTCACTTTTGTCTTATTATAATAAGTAGTATCTGTGGAATCATATTTTTGAATATATTACTTATGTTTTTCCTAATTAATATTAAATACATTCAGAACAATTATTATAATAAAATATTTGCTTGTGTACACGTTAAGCATTAAGTCCTCTTGTATACCTACATGGGGACACATACCACACCTTGTAAAACACAGCCATAGAGGAACTTTAAGTGACTGGAATGGAACACTTTTTATCTTAGCAGACTCCATTCTATTCAATTGATTCATCTCCACTTGAGAGGACTTCCAGAGGATTCTCCTTGATGCAGCCATTCCTGATGCTTTGTCACTGTGGAAACCAAGGTCACTTTCACCAGGAACTTTAGTTCCTTACATGTGACAGACTTCAAACTCTCTCAGCTCAACAAATATTTGCTTGCTCACTATATGCAAGGTGCCATGCGAGGTGCTATGGATGGGGCACTCACTCATGGCCCTACCTCTAAGCAGCTCCCTTCCTCTGTGACGTTACAAGGAAAGCATATTTCCAGAGGACGATGGCAAAGAAAAGTTACTATGATGTGATGCTGTGCCAGAAACCCCACTGAGGAAGTCTGTGGCTTAGGCTGGAGGTCTAAAGGGAACCTCTACCTCCCCTAAAACCCAAACCTTCTGACCACTCTTCAGCCCATCAAAGGATAGAAAATGAAACAGGGAGCATGGGAGAGAAGAGGAGAGAGAGACAGATGGCTAGACCTCCTCAGGTCCATTTACATCTACCACAAGGTCTAGTCATGTCCTAGAATTTCCAGTTCAGAGCCTCCCACCACCATCCCTGCATGGGGAGCAAAAAGAAAGGATAACGGAGAAGCCTATCTGGAGAAAGTGTCATTGAGGCAGATCCCTGAAGGGGGTAATGTTTCCAAATTCATAAGAGGATTTAAAGCCCCCTTTAAGGACAGAAATGTTAGTTCTTTCTGCCATTACCTCTCTGGTCAGCCTCCATTCATCTGATATCTAAGTAGAAATTAAGTCCATAAATATCCACAACAGAAAATTATTATGGTAGGGATCCCTGGAACAATCTTCCCTATGGCCTGGGTAGCTCTATGAAAATGCCACTGTGCAATGAGACTTCCTGTCTTTGGTCACCAATCTGTCTTGTAGAGTAGGAAAAGTACGTAGCCTTAGATATGAGCCTGGCTAATGCACTATTGGAATACTGAAGTTTGATTTTGTGCCAATGCCATGATAAGCATATTACTGCATGATCGTCTCCTAGCTGTGTGTGTATATTTTGTAAGCCTGTATTTGAAAGTGTCACTCAGCAACAGTCAGGACCATACTCAGGTGGTCTCATTTGAGGAGAAGCCCAATGTCCATCTCTTGGGGTCAGCTTAAGCCAACAGGATCTGTGTTGGGTCCTGGCCACTGCTGTTTCACCTGCTGGGACTCCATGAAATGTTAAGATGGCATCACCTGTCCCTTTCTGCCATCAATGTGAGCATAACTGCCTAGGTGGTAAGAAATTATAACCCTGAACTCCTAACTTCATCTGGGGACACTTCCTTTTCCTCTCCACTGGGTCTGGGGAGAATAGGAAGTAGAATGAAAGCTTAATTGGTTTTTTGCCTGCACTGTGAGTCTGGCTCTTTTTGTAAACTCCCATTAGACACAAGAAAAAGAACCCACTTTATTTCTGCCACAGGAATGAGCAAATTAGTCCTTAAGCAGATGAATGCAACATCAACTCTGTCACCAGCTCACCAGCTGTCTAAGGAGAATGGATGACTCTTTAGACAACAACAACAAACACAGCACTTCTCACACTTGTGAGAGACTCAACTGGAAGTTGTCTGCAAGCTAGCAATTGCTAAAGGCTACTCGAGACATCTGTCACTTGAAGGAGATAGTCTAAGGGACACGCTCCACGTCACTTTCACTGAATCCTCTAAGTACCATTTGTATATTAATTCAGGAAGCAGCAAGTGAATGCTTTTGAGGTCCTTAAAGAAAAGTCTAGCAGGAGTTAAGACTGAATATTATGCTTTTGAAAGTCTTGAGAGTTGATGGAACAAAGGTCATTTTGCAAGTGTCTTTGTATTTTTTGTATGTTTATTTTTGAAAGTGTTACTGGTTATACGAGTCATGTTACATTTCCTAAAATTCATTGATAGGAAAAAAAAATCTTTGACCAGATTAATGTATTAATTCTCCCACCAAACCTTTATGGAATGTTTTTTTGTGCACCAGGCTCTGGGCTAGGTATTGGAAAATGGAAGAAAAAGTATGTTTTCTTTTGTCTGAAAGAAACTCTGGGTAGCCCAAGCTGCATTCGTTTTTGCTACATCTGGCAGGAGCACCAAACTAAATTTAGTGTTCAAGTACATTAACTACTACTTCCCACGCACAACTGTTTTATTTTTGTTATTAATAAAATGAACTCTTCTTATTTTTCTTATTGAAAAAACTATATTGTAAATAGTTATTTCCCACTGTAAAATTTTCATATAGTACAGAAAAGTTTGTCAGCTCTCTCTTCTTTATACATCCTCTAATTGTACTCCTTAGTGACACCATTAACTGGGTGTTATCCATGAGTCCAGCTGTAAAATACACATACACATTCACTCTCACACACACTTGTGTTTTATGCTAGATGTTACACACACACACACAAACACACACACACACCCCGAGAGCAAGGAGATTGGAATGGAGTACCCCAGGTGCAGGCAATAAGGAGGTGCATTGTTATAAAAGAATTGTAAAAAATAACACAACCTTCTAAAAGTAAATATGCTTTTTTTTTTTTTTTTCTGTTGCCCAATCTGGAGTGCAGTGGTGCGATCTCGGCTCACTGCAACCTCCACCTCCCTGGTTCAAGCGATTCTCCTGCCTCAGCCTCCTGAGTAGCTGGGACTACAGGTACCCACCACCACGTCCAGCTAATTTTTGTATTTTTAGGAGAGATGGGGGTTTCACCAAGTTGGTCAGGCTGGTCTCGAACTCCTGATCTTGTGACCTGCCCACCTCAGCCTCCCAAAGTGCTGGGATTACAGGTATGAGCCACTATGTCCAGCTGTAAATATACTTTTTATCAGTGCCATGCACCACTAATTCTGAACAATGTCAGGGATAAAATACTCCTCCTTATGAGGTAAACTTCTGTCCCCAGTCCCCCTCCCCTGCTGCTAAACTTCTGAATATACACACATTTATACATAGGCAAACACATTTATATAGGCAAATGTATAAAAGTATATGTGCACAACATATATCTTTTGTAAAACACAATTGGGATAATATGTATTATTCTTGAAATATTTTTCTATTTATTTATATTGGACTTCTTTCTACATCATTTCTTATATATCAAAATCTTTCTTAATGACTGTCATATATTCTATCATATGAATGTACCATAAATTTTCTATCCAAGTCCTCTATGTATATATATATTTACTATTACCATGAAAGATAGATGAGTTTTGTTAATCCAGACTGATAGTCTTTTTCTTTTAGTAGGTACGTTTACCTCATTTGTATATTTTTAAATAACAGATATATGGGTTACATCTAATTTTGTCACACTATTTATTTGGTTACAGTATGTTTATATTTTCTATTTATATTGTTTCCTTACTTTTTTTTTTGCTATTTGTTCTGTGCTTTCTTTTTCCTTGTCTTCTAATAATAATATTTGAAATTTTGATATAGTTAAACTTCTAATTTTTGTTTTATCAATCTTGGACAGTTTTCATACCACATCATAAAGGAAGAGGAAAAGTTATATTTCATACTTTCTTCCAGCTCCTTCCCCTCATCTTACTTTTTATTATTTTTTTATACTACCGAGATTTATAAAGTATATCAAGCTGAGCTCTGGGAGCGTTATTATACACTCAGTGCTCACCAACACTTCTTTCATCCATGACTTTCCCATTCATGACATGACTTTAAACACTTTTTACTTATCTTTGGGTTGGGTTGGCTAGATTTTATCATCAAGTGTCTTTTTTTTTTTTTTGAGGACTCATGTATGTGCTATGTTATTAGAGTTTTACATTATTAAAATTATTTTTCTGCTACTTTTAAACATAAAACATGTGTTTCTTGGGCCACACATTTTTTTCCCCATCAGAATTCTGTAGAAATTGTTTCACCAACTTTTTGCACTGAATGTTGCCATCGAGAAGACTGAGGTCAGGGATTTTCTCTTTTTGGGGAACATGCTTTTAATTTTTGAATGCCTGTAGGACTCTTTCTTTATTCTTAACTTCAGGGTCCTCACTAAGATAGGGTTCAAACTTGAGACTGTATTTTTCCTTGAACAAAAATTGTATGTTCTACAGATTGTAGTCAGTAGATTTTTATATTTTTCTGTATTTCAGGTTTGCTTTTTTATATCTTTGAATATTTGTTTCTCCACATTAGGAAGACCGTAGACATGAAGAACATCCTTACAATGACTATATTTTCTGTATCATCTATTCTTCTGGCTACTTCTAATGCAAGTATCTTCTCTATAATCTCTTTCATCATCTGTTATTTTCCATTTAATTTTGTATGAATTTCTTGAGCTATACCTCCATATTCCTGTTTTCAGTATTATATTTTCTTCTTGCTACCTCTAATGTGACTGATTTCTATTCCTATGTTGGTATTATTTTAAATTTCTTCCAATACTTCTTCAGTTCATTTTAAAATTTCTTTTTATTCTTTCATCCTATAATCTTTGATTCTATGGTTTTTTTCTTTACTTTCTCCAAAGAACCTAAGTTCTGTTTCTTTATAAATAGAGTAAAAGAATATACAATTTCCTTATCTTTTCTGAAATGATTCTTTTTTGGAATAGGTTTTTTTTTTTTTAAACTGCTTTTTTGGGGTAGGTTTGTTTGTTACTTTTTAGGTACTCTCTTTACATTTTGCATCCTTTGTGCTAATATGTGAAGAGGACAAGTCTTTACAGGAGGATGTGATCAGGGAAAGCCATGGATGTTAACCTGGGAAATGTCTTATCAGAACTCTTTTTAGATTTCTCTTTCTCTACCCTGAGGACACATCTCACCCCAGTTTTCTGATCTTCCGCAGTTGGGGAGAGCAGATTATCCAGATAGGAGGTCATTGCTGCTCTCAATGCAGCTTCCAACTTACAACTGATTGCTTAAACCTTCTTTATAATAAAAATTCAAAAGTACCAAATGATATAGGTTGAAAAACAAGTCTACCCCTACACTTAGCCCCTTCCCCTGAGGTAACCACTCTTGCTAGTTTTGTGTGTATTCTTCTGGACAAAGAGTCTATAGATGTACAACTCTATAGATGTTCAAATAGTAGTACTGTATATATATGGTTGAGTTTTCTCACTTAACAGTGTATGCTAGCAATTGTTCCGTATTAGCATACATGTTATCTGTCCAGTCTTGTTAATGCCACAGGGTGTTCTTTTGGACTCACTCTCAGGGCTTACTGTTCAAGTTCAGGCATTCTCGGCCAGCAGAAGGTTTCCAAATGTTGAGGAGGAAATATCTTCATTTGTTTTAACTTTTTCCGTGTATTCTTCCACCTCATGAGTGGCTGGAGTTGCCAGGAACCCCTGGAGGCCTAGTGAGGGCCAGCCGTCCTCTTGTTTGCAGAAGATAAAAGGACAATCAGTAATCCCTGCTCATAACTACGCTCGTCCAAGCTTAAAATGCTAGACTAGGAGAAACTTGACTGTGATAGCTTGATGAAACAGGTATTAAATGCGAAAGAAGACTATGTAAGTAAATATGGTACTCTAGAGAGCTTTGTTTTCTCTCTAGTTCCCTTTCCTACAAGAGGGGATGAAAACCTTTAGATACCAAAATGTGTTCTGTTTTAGCATGTCAGAAGCTTGGCTTATACAGCTGGCTTCACTCTGTACCTAAAATGTTTTTCATGAAAACAATATAGTTATATCTGAAACTGGGACAAAAAACAAGTTAACGATATCAGATTGATTAAACAAATAGATTTAAGAAGGGCTGAGATAAGCCATCTGAAGTTTTAACCTCTACAGGAGAGGTTTTTTTTTTTTTTTTTAGATGCAGTCCCGCTCTGTCACCCAGGCTTTAGTGTAGTGGCGTGAACTCTGCTCACTGCAACTTCCAACTCCTGGGTTCAAGCGATTCTCTTGCCTCAGCCTCCCGAATAGCTGGGATTGCAGGCACGTGCCACCATGCCTGGCTAATTTTTTTTGTATTTTTAGTAGAGATGGGGTTTCACCATGTTGGCCAGGCTGGTCTTGAACTCCTGACCTCAGGTGATCTGCCCATCTCTGCCATCCAAAGTGCTGGGATTACAGGCATGAGCCACTGCGCCCAGCCGGGAGAGATTTTAAAAGCAAATCTTGGGTCTGATTTCCCAATTTACATCCATTCATGAGGATAGATAGAAATTTCTCCAGGGGGCTATTTGGAATGCGTTTCCTGGTGAGGTAGAAAGGACTCTTCCCTGTGGTGCTTTCAGCTGCAGGAGAATTCAGTATATTGTCTCCACACAAACCTTCTACACAGCCGTTGGTAACTCTTGTTGATCTGTTGGTTGTTGTGAGAATGGAAATATGGTTGGACATTCTTATTTAAAAGGATGTTTTGGCTAGGCACGGTGGCTCACACCTATAATCCCAGAAGTTTGGGAGGCTGAGGCTGGCGGATCACTTGAGATCAGAAGTTCGAGACCAGCCTGGCCAACATGGTGAAACGTCTCTACTAAAATACAAAAATTAGCTGGGCATGGTGGCGGGTGCCTGTAATCCCAGCTACTTGGGAGGCTGAGGCAGGAGAATTGCTTGAACCCAGGAGGCGGAGGTTGCAGTGAGCCGAGATTGCGCCACTGCACTCTAGCCTGGGCGACAGGGCAAGACTGTCTCAAAAATAAATAAATAAATAAATAAATAAGGATCTTTTATTACATGTATAATATGTGCTTATTATATTCCTGGCATTGTGCTAAGCATTTTATATACATTATCTCATTTAACTTTCACAAACAACATGATTAGATAGAGTCAGACACCTGGGATCAAGTTTTGACTCTGCCAGCCCTAATTCTTGGCAAGATTGTTTAACTTCTCTGACTTTCTTTTCACCTGTATAAGGTGGGGCTAGTGATAGCAGTCACCTGGACAGTTGGGAAAATTAAATGAGGTAATGCATGAAAAGCTCCCAGCAGAGTGCCTGGCGCCTAGTCAGCACTCATAAAATGTCTTTTTATATTTGTATTATTACTCTTATTACTCCCATTTTATAAATGAAGAAACTGGGGCCCATGCAAAGGGTGTCTTTTGCCATGTCACTGAGCCAGTAAAGTGGATCTAGGACCCAGACACTGGTCTGGCTGATGGTAGCGACTGACCTTTTACAGATGATACTGCCTGTCCTCTTCCACATATCTAACATCACCTCTCTGGGGCTCAAAGCTTTCTGGGGATACCCTGTGCCCTAACAAGACAACATGCATTTGAATCTCCTCATACAATAGATGCATTCTCAAAGACTGTATTCATGTTGAGTCCTGTTTTCCCTTGGCCTTCATTATATGAATAATTTTATGATTGTGCCTTTCTTTCTTGCTCAATATTTTCATTCAAAGACTCATGAACACATATGAATCTTAGTTTACTCTCTGGAATCTTAATTATTCTTTCAGAGTTTTTATCCATTTACTGCAAAATGTGCCTTAGCTAGAGTTACTCATAGGAGGAGCTCAGGAGCCATTCAATAAATATTGACTGTGACTAAGAGTCTCACTAACATGTGTCCCTCCACCAATTAGTTATTGCATTCCTAAAATGTTTTGCTTAGAACAAAAGATTGTTTTATGTAAGACCAAGTGGGTATTTACATGAGAGTATTGTTTTTGTTTTGATTTCTTTGAAGTATGCAACTAATTATATCTGGAGACAAGAAGACAGCTTTTTTTATTTTAATGTCCTTTTTAGAAGATAGCTCTCAAAATAAATGAAAGTATAGCTGATACTCATTATTCATGGGAATTATGTCCTATAAAGTCATGATGAACACCAAATTAGTGGGTACTAAACAAGGGGAAATACAGTGTTGAATTCCTGAGCATCTCTGGTCATAATATTTTTGTCAATCAATGAGTACATAACTTTGTTTTAGGTGTATGTCTATTTAAAGATATTTAATATATAGTTGATTCATTAACATTGAACTCATGGCCAATAGCACTAACTCATGCCTGAAGGAAGCTTATCTAACACTGTATTTTCTCCTTAAGGCACATCACAGGCTTGCTACACTCAGGAAAACAGCACTACATTTGAGGACCATTTTAAACAGAGAAATCACCAATACACAGCACAGAAATGCAAAAAATGTTTTTTTCCAGGATGACAAATAGGAAGCAGTGCCAGCATGCCTCTCCCACTTTGAAGGACAGAACAGTGTGTGGAGACTCTCACTGTGAACTTTCGTTCCAAGAATCACCATAGGAACTTACCAGGAAAACCAAAATAATAAACAGATCCTTTGAAATAAGTGGCAAACTCCATGAGACAGGCAAAAAACTTTGAGTTCCCAGAGTGGGAGAGGGGGACAGCCTACCTGTGAGCAAACATCCCCACTGGGGAAATCTAAAAATCTAGATCACGGGAGAAGGTTTTAACCTTACTTAGAGCCAGAACAGATTTGGGGAGCAGCATGAAATATAAAAGCAGAAGGAGCAGCAGGAAGAGCCTGGTAAGCCCTCCCAGTCTCCAGCTTGAGCCCAGGGAAGCCATCCCTGACTGTATCTCACAAGGGTTCGTGGGAAAGGCAGCCATGAACTCAGAGAGGGGTTGCAGGTGAAAGAAGCTTCCAACTGAATTTTATGACATAATTTTGAGTGGGCACAAACTCCCTTGAGCAGAATCTGGGGGACAAGTGGGAAGTGCTGCAGATATGCCTGTAAGAGCTGACCGCCCAGCATTGTAGGCAGAAGGAGAGGGGCAGGCCTGAAAGCCATGTGCTTGCTTTCTCAGTGGGGTAGCTTATGGCCTGGGGTAAGGTGTGAGTTCCATGTGCACAGTCTGCCTGGATCTAAACTTGGTGCCATTAGCAAGGCACTGCAAGAGCGAGACCAGACTCACCAACTGCATGGGAGCTGGGTGAGGCCTAGAGCTACTGGCTATTCCCCACTGTCCTTGAAAACTCTACTGCACAGCAGAGGCAGCCATACTCCCCTCTAGGACATAACTCCATTGGCCTGAGAACCACCCCTTCATCCCCCAGAGTGGCTGTGGCAGGCCCCACCCAAGGAGAGTCTGAGCTCAGACCCACCTAACCCTGCCCCCACCTGATGGTATTTCTCTACCTGCCCTGGTAGGTGAACACAAAAGACACAAACTCATGGGAGCTTTATGGCCCCACTCACTGCCTGAGAAACCAGAAGACCTCCCCTGGCCAACTTAGGGAAAGCTCAAATTCTGCTACACTACTGCAGCTAGTGCTCTCTTGCAAGCGCCACCTCCCTGGCTGGAGGCAAACCAACTAGGCCATTACAGCAACTCATGATAGAGTAGCCCTGCGCCCAGAAAGGAGAAAACAACAGCTAACACCACTGCCTGCAACACCCTGGCTAACCAGAAGTCCTGAGTCTATTAGCATTCAAGAAAGCCAGTACACTAAGCCAATCTACAACCGAGGACTCTCACAGAGTCTACATCACTCTCCTGCCACCTCTGTCAGAACAGGTGCTGGTATCCATGGCTAGGATACCTGAAGATGGATCACATCATTGGACTCTTTGCACATATTCCCTAGCACCAGCTTGGAGCCTAGTAGCTCTGCTGGGTGGCTCAACCCAGAAGAGCAATAACAATGATTGCAGTCAAGCTCTCAGGAAGCCCCATTCCTAGGGGAAGGGACAGAGCACCACATCAAGGGATCACCCCATGGGACAAAAGACTCTGAACAGCAGGCCTTGAGTCCAGATCTTTCCATTGGTGAGAAGTTTCTCACAACAGAGACACAATGGGAGTGCTGGGCACAGCAGGGGAAAGTCTGCACCTCTACCCCAACAGGCAGGCAGCCTCTGTAATCATGAAGGGACTTGGAAAAGGAGTCTTTGTTCCCCATTGGCACTCCACTGCAGACATACCTGGGCTGCCCTGACAGGAATGTGCAGCATGGATGCACCTGTAGACAGCCCTCCTGGAACAATCCAGGGTGAGCACAGCCCCACAGGAGGAGAACCCCACAGATTCAGGCCTGCATGAGCAGCAGAGTCATAATTCCTCCCTACTTGGAACATCAACATTCCTATAGATGAAAAAAGCTCCCTGTCTGATCTGAATAGCCAAAACACTGGAACAGGAGTAAAGTTGTGAGGTCAATAGCTTTACTGTTTGCCTGGCAGGAGAGCTGAGGTAGCCCCCACTCTTCACCCTGATAAAACCTCAACACATCTAATTGAGAGCTCCTCCAGCCACCCTCATCAAGGCTGGGACCTCAGCCCACCATTGAGTATTATATCTACTTACCTACCTTAGCAATAAGCGGTGCCTCCCCAGGGTTACCTCTCCTACTGGCCTGAAGTCTGAATCATCAACTCAGTAAATAAAGTACTGGGGTAAAATTAAATAAACGAAGTGTACACCATGAGAACAAGATAAGTTTCAAGACATCCCTGACATTCCAACTCCATAGGAGATAATGAACTTGCCCACACACCAAGAGCATAAATACAACAACCAGCATTGGGGAAAGCCAGTGCACCAAGACACTCTATAACTAAGGAACTCATACAAAGTCTTCACCTCTACAATCATCAAGAAACAAATTAGGCTAAAATAAACACTAAAGTCTGATCCTCAAGAGGGAAACACAAGAAATAAAAAAAACACACATTCCAATCAAAAATAAATTCAAAAACATCTTCAAGAAATAGTCTACCCAAATGAGAAGGAACCAGACAAGTAATTCTGGTAATTTGAAAAAAAGGGTTCTATAACACCCCCAAAATGTCACCCTAGCTCCCTAGCAATGGATTCAAACCAAGAAGAAATCTCTGAGTTGCCAAATAAAAAATTCAGAAAGTTGATGATTAAGCTAATCAAGGAGATACCAGAGAAAGGTGAAAACCAGCTTAAAGAAATTAAAAAACAATACAGGATATCGTTGAAAGATTTTCCAGAGAAATAAATATCACAAAGAAAAAACAATCACTATTTCTGGAAATGAAAGACACACTTAGGGAAATACAAACCGCAGTGGAAAGTTTCAACAATAGACTAGAACAAGTGGAAGAAAGAAATTCAGAGTTTGAAGACAAGGCTTTTGAATTAACACAAACAGACAAAGACAAATAAAAAAGAAGTTAAAAAATTAACAGTCTCTAAGAAATATGGCATTATGGCATATGGCCAAACCTAAGAATAATTGGTGTTCCTGAGGAAGAAGAGAAATCTGAAAGTTTGGAAAACCGATTTGGGGGGATAATTGACAAAAACTTTCCTGGCCTTGCTAGAGATCTAGACATCCAAATACAAGAAGCTCAAAGAATTCCCAGGAAATTCATCACAAAAAGATAATCACCAAAGCACATAGTCATCAGGTAATATAAAGTCAAGATGAAGGAAAGAATCTTAAGAGGTGTGAGGCAAAAGCATTGGGTAACCTATAAAGAAAAACCTATCAGATCAACAGCAGATTTTGATTGGGGTCCTATCTTTAAACAAAATAATTGTCAGCCAACTATTTTGTATCCAGCAAAATGAAGCTTCATAAATGAAGAGGAGACAAAGTCTTTTTCAGACAAACAAATGCTGAGAGAATATGCCACTACCAAACCAGCACTCTAAGAAATGCTAAAAGGAGTTCTAAATCTTGAAATAAAACCTTGGAATCCACCAAAATAGAACCTCCTTAAAGCATAAATCTCACAGGGCCTATAAAACAGTAGCACAATAAAAAACCAAGGTATTTAGGCAACAAGTAACATGATGAATAGAACAGTACCTCACATCTCAATACTGACGTTGAATGTAAATGGTGTAAATGCTCCACTTAAAATATACAGAATGGTAAAATGAATAAAAATCTACAAACAAATATCTGCTGTCTTCAAGAGATTCACCTAACACATAAGGACTCACATAAACTTAAGGTAAAGGGGTGGTAAAAGATATTCCCTGCAAATCAAAACCAAAAGCGAGCAGAAGTAGCTATTCTTACATCAGACAAAACAGACTTTAAAACCACAACGGTAAAAAAAAAAAAAAAAAAAAAAAGACAAAGAAGGATGTTATATAATGATAAAAGGATTAGTCCAACAGGAAGATATTACAATCCTAAATATATATGCACCTAACATGGGAGGTTCCAAATTTATAAAATGATTACTACTAGACCTAAGACAGGAGACAGCAACACAATAATAGTGGGAGACTTCAATACTCCACTGACAGCACTTGACAGATCATCAAGACAGAAAGTCAACAAAGATACAATGGACTTAAACTATACCCTAGAATAAATGAACTTAACAGATATTTACAGAAAATTCTACCCAACAACTGCGGAACATACATTCTTTTTTTTTATTTTTTATTATTATACTTTAAGTTTTAGGGTACATGTGCACAATGTGCAGGTTAGTTACATATGTATACATGTGCCATGCTGGTGCGCTGCACCCACTAACTTGTCATCTAGCATTAGGTATATCTCCCAATGCTATCCCTCCCCCCTCCCCCCACCCCACAACAGTCCCCAGAGTGTGATGTTCCCCTTCCTGTGTCCATGTTCAATTCCCACCTATGAGTGAGAATATGTGGTGTTTGGTTTTTTGTTCTTGTGATAGTTTACTGAGAATGATGATTTCCAATTTCATCCATGTCCCTACAAAGGACGTGAACTCATCATTTTTTATGGCTGCATAGTATTCCATGGTGTATAAGTGCTACATTTTCTTAATCCAGTCTATCATTGTTGGACATTTGGGTTGGTTCCAAGTCTTTGCTATTGTGAATAATGCCGCAATAAACATAGGTGTGCATGTGTCTTTATAGCAGCATGATGTATAGTCTTTTGGGTATATACCCAGTAATGGGATGGCTGGGTCAAATGGTATTTCCAGTTCTAGATCCCTGAGGAATCGCCACACTGACTTCCACAATGGTTGAACTAGTTTACAGTCCCACCAACAGTGTAAAAGTGTTCCTATTTCTCCACATCCTCTCCAGCACCTGTTGTTTCCTGACTTTTTAATGATTGCCATTCTAACTAGTGTGAGATGGTATCTCATTGTGGTTTAGATTGGCATTTCTCTGATGGCCAGTGATGGTGAGCATTTTTTCATGTGTCTTTTGGCTGCGTAAATGTCTTCTTTTGAGAAGTGTCTGTTCATGTCCTTCGCCCACTTTTTGATGGGGTTGTTTGTTTTTTTCTTGTAAATTTGTTTGAGTTCATTGTAGATTCTGGATATTAGCCCTTTGTCAGATGAGTAGGTTGCGAAAATTTTCTCCCATTTTGTAGGTTGCCTGTTCACTCTGATGGTAGTTTCTTTTGCTGTGCAGAAGCTCTTTAGTTTAGTTAGATCCCATTTGTCGATTTTGGCTTTTGTTGCCATTGCTTTTGGTGTTTTAGACATGAAGTCCTTGCCCATGCCTATGTCCTGAATGGTAATGCCTAGGTTTTCTTCTAGGGTTTTTATGGTTTTAGGTCTAACGTTTAAGTCTTTAATCCATCTTGAATTGATTTTTGTATAAGGTGTAAGGAAGGGATCCAGTTTCAGCTTTCTACATATGGCTAGCCAGTTTTCCCAGCACCATTTATTAAATAGGGAATCCTTTCCCCATTGCTTGTTTTTGTCAGGTTTGTCAAAGATCAGATATTTGTAGATATGCGGCGTTATTTCTGAGGGCTCTGTTCTGTTCCATTGATCTATATCTCTGTTTTGGTACCAGTACCATGCTGTTTTGGTTACTGTAGCCTTGTAGTTAGTTTGAAGTCAGGTAGCATGATGCCTCCAGCTTTGTTCTTTTGGCTTAGGATTGACTTGGCAATGTGGGCTCTTTTTTGGTTCCATATGAACTTTAAAGTAGTTTTTTCCAATTCTGTGAAGAAAGTCATTGGTAGCTTGATGGGAATGGCATTGAATCTGTAAATTACCTTGGGCAGTATGGCCATTTTCACGATATTGATTCTTCCTACCCAGGAGCATGGAATGTTCTTACATTTGTTTGTATCCTCTTTTATTTCCTTGAGCAGTGGTTTGTAGTTCTCCTTGAAGAGGTCCTTCACATCCCTTGTAAGTTGGATTCCTAGGTATTTTATTCTCTTTGAAGCAATTGTGAATGGGAGTTCACTCATGATTTGGCTCTCCGTTTGTCTGTTGTTGGTGTATAAGAATGCTTGTGATTTTTGTACATTGATTTTGTATCCTGAGACTTTGCTGAAGTTGCTTATCAGCTTAAGGAGATTTTGGTCTGAGACGATGGGGTTTTCTAGATGTACAATCATGTCGTCTGCAAACAGGGACAATTTGACTTCCTCTTTTCCTAATTGAATACCCTTTATTTCCTTCTTCTGCCTAATTGCCCTGGCCAGAACTTCCAACACTATGTTGAATAGGAGTGGTGAGAGAGGGCATCCGTGTCCTGTGCCAGTTTTCAAAGGGAATGCTTCCAGTTTTTGCCCATTCAGTATGATATTGGCTGTGGGTTTGTCATAGATAGCTCTTACTATTTTGAGATACGTCCCATCAATACCTAATTTATTGAGAGTTTTTAGCATGAAGCATTGTTGAATTTTTCAAAGGCCTTTTCTGCACCTATTGAGATAATGATGTGGTTTTTGTCTTTGGTTCTGTTTATATGCTGGATTACATTTATTGATTTGCGTATATTGAACCAGCCTTGCATCCCAGGGATGAAGCCCACTTGATCATGGTGGATAAGCTTTTTGATATGCTGCTAGATTCGGTTTGCCAGTATTTTATTGAGGATTTTTGCATCAATGTTCATCAAGGATATTGGTCTAAAATCCTCTTTTTTGGTTGTGTCTTTGCCAGGCTTTGGTATCAGGATGATGCTGGCCTCATCAAATGAGTTAGGGAGGATTCCCTCTTTTTCTATTGATTGGAATAGTTTCAGAAGGAATGGTAGCAGTTCCTCCTTGTACCTCTGGTAGAATTCGGCTGTGAATCCATCTGGTCCTGGACTCTTTTTGGTTGGTAAGCTATTGATTATTGCCTCAATTTCAGATCCTGTTATTGGTCTATTCAGAGATTCAACATCTTCCTGGTTTAGTCTTGGGAGAGTGTATGTGTCCAGGAATTTATCCATTTCTTCTAGATTTTCTAGTTTATTAGCGTAGAGGTGTTTGTAGTATTCTCTGATGGTAGTTTGTATTTCTGTGGGATCGGTGGTGATATCCCCTTTATCATTTTTTTATTGTGTCTATTTGATTCTTCTTTTTTTGTTTATTAGTCTTGCTAGCAGTTTATCAATTTTGTTGATCCTTTCAAAAAACCAGTTCCTGGATTCATTAATTTTTTGAAGGGTTTTTTGTGTCTCTATTTCCTTCAGTTCTGCTCTGATTTTAGTTATTTCTTGCCTTCTGCTAGCTTTTGAATGTGTTTGCTCTTGCTTTTCTAGTTCTTTTAATTGTGATGTTAGGGTGTCAATTTTGGATCTTTCCTGCTTGCTCTTGTGGGCATTTAGTGCTATAAATTTCCCTCTACACACTGCTTTGAATGCGTCCCAGAGATTCTGGTATGTTGTGTCTTTGTTCTCGTTGGTTTCAAAGAACATCTTTATTTCTGCCTTCATTTCATTATGTACCCAGTAGTCATTCAGGAGCAGGTTGTTCAGTTTCCATGTAGTTGAGCAGTTTTTAATGAGATTCTTAATCCTGAGTTCTAGTTTGATTGCACTGTGGTCTGAGAGATAGTTTATTATAATTTCTGTTCTTTTACATTTGCTGAGGAGAGCTTTACTTCCAAGTATGTGGTCAATTTTGGAATAGGTGTGGTGTGGTGCTGAAAAAAATGTATATTCTGTTGATTTGGGGTGGAGAGTTCTGTAGATGTCTATTAGGTCTGCTTGGTGCAGAGCTGAGTTCAATTCCTGGGTATCCTTGTTGACTTTCTGTCTTGTTGATCTGTTTAATGTTGACAGTGAGGTGTTAAAGTCTCCCATTATTAATGTGTGGGAGTCTAAGTCTCTTTGTAGGTCACTAAGGACTTGCTTTATGAATCTGGGTGCTCCTGTATTGGGTGCATATATATTTAGGATAGTTAGCTCTTCTTGTTGAATTGATCCCTTTACCATTATGTAATGGCCTTCTTTGTCTCTTTTCATTTTGTTGGTTTAAAGTCTGTTTTATCAGAGACTAGGATTGCAACCCCTGCCTTTTTTTGTTTTCCATTTGCTTGGTAGATCTTCCTCCATCCTTTTATTTTGAGCCTATGTGTGTCTCTGCACATGAGATGGGTTTCCTGAATACAGCCCACTGATGGGTCTTGACTCTTTATCCAATTTGCCAGTCTGTGTCTTTTAATTGGAGCATTTAGTCCATTTACATTTAAAGTTAATATTATTATGTGTGAATTTGATCCTGTCATTTTGATGTTAGCTGGTTATTTTGCTCATTAGTTGATGCAGTTTCTTCCTAGTCTCAATGGTCTTTACATTTTGGCATGATTTTGCAGTGGCTGGTACCTGTTGTTCCTTTTCATGTTTAGCACTTCCTTCAGGAGCTCTTTTAGGGCAGGCCTGGTGGTGACAAAATCTCTCAGCATTTGCTTGTCTGTAAAGGATTTTATTTCTCCTTCACTTATGAAGCTTAGTTTGGCTGGATATGAAATTCTGCTTTGAAAATTCTGTCCTTTAAGAATGTTGAATATTGGCCCCCACTCTCTTCTGGCTTGTAGAGTTTCTGCGGAGAGATCCACTGTTAGTCTGATGGGCTTCCCTTTGAGGGTAACCCGACCTTTCTCTCTGGCTGCCCTTAACATTTTTTCCTTCATTTCAACTTTGGTGAATCTGAGAATTATGTGTCTTGGAGTTGCTCTTCTTGAGGAGTATCTTTGTGGCATTCTCTGTATTTCCTGAATCTGAATGTTGGCCTGCCTTGCTAGACTGGGGAAGTTCTCCTGGATAATATCCTGCAGAGTGTTTTCCAACTTGGTTCCATTCTCCCCGTCACTTTCAGGTACACCAATCAGACGTAGATTTGGTCTTTTCACATAGTCCCATATTTCTTGGAGGCTTTGTTCGTTTCTTTTTATTCTTTTTTCTCTAAACTTCCCTTCTCGCTTCATTTCACTCATTTCATCTTCCATCACTGATACCCTTTCTTCCAGTTGATTGCATTAGCTCCTGAGGCTTCTGCAGTCTTCATGTAGTTCTCAAGCCTTGGTTTTCAGCTCCATCAGCTCCTTTAAGCACTTCTCTGTATTGGTTATTCTAGTTATACATTCTTCTAAATTTTTTTCAAAGTTTTCAACTTCTTTGCCTTTGGTTTGAATGTCCTCCCGTATCTCGGAGTAATTTGATCGTCTGAAGCCTTCTTCTATCAGCTCGTCAAAGTCATTCTCCGTCCAGCTTTGTTCCGTTGCTGGTGAGGAACTGCATTCCTTTGGAGGAGGAGAGGCGCTCTGCTTTTTAGAGTTTCCAGTTTTTCTGCTCTATTTTTTCCCCATCTTTGTGTTTTTATCTACTTTTGGTCTTTGATGATGGTGATGTACAGATGGGTTTTTGGTGTGGATGTCCTTTCTGTTTGTTAGTTTTCCTTCTAACAGATAGGAACCTCAGCTGCAGGTCTGTTGGAGTACCCGGCCGTGTGAGGTGTCAGTCTGCCCCTTCTTGGGGGTGCCTCCCAGTTAGGCTGCTCGGGGGTCAGGGGTCAGGGACCCACTTGAGGAGGCAGTCTGCCTGTTCTCAGATCTCCAGCTGCATGCTGGGAGAACCACTGCTCTCTTCAAAGCTGTCAGACAGGGACATTTAAGTCTGCAGAGGTTACTGCTGTCTTTTTGTTTGTCTGTGCCCTGCACCCAAAGGTGGAGCCTACAGAGGCAGGCAGGCCTCCTTGAGCTGTGGTGGGCTCCACCCAGTTGGAGCTTCCCAGCTGCTTTGTTTACCTAAGCAAGCCTGGGCAATGGCGGGCGCCCCTCCCCCAGCCTCGCTGCCACCTTGCAGTTTGATCTCAGACTGCTGTGCTAGCAATCAGTGAGACTCCGTGGGTGTAGGACCCTCCGAGCCAGGTGTGGGATATAATCTCCTGGTGCGCCATTTTTTAAGCCCGTCGGAAAAGCGCAGTATTCGGGTGGGAGTGACCCGATTTTCCAGGTGCCATCTGTCACCCCTTTCTTTGACTAGGAAAGGGAACTCCCTGACCCCTCGCGCTTCCCGAGTGAGGCAATGCCTCGCCCTGCTTCGGCTCGCGCACGGTGCGTGCACCCACTGACCTGTGCCCACTGTCTGGCACTCCCTAGTGAGATGAACCCGGTACCTCAGATGGAAATGCAGAAACCACCCGTCTTCTGCGTCACTCGCGCTGGGAGCTGTAGACCGGAGCTGTTCCTATTCGCCTATCTTGGCTCCTCCGGAATGTACATTCTTTTCATCAGTACATGGAACATTCTCCAAGACAGATCATATGATAGGTCACAAAACAAGTCTAAATAAATTTAAGAAAATCAAAATCTTATTAAGTATCTTGTCAAACCACAGTGGAATAAAACTGGAAATTAACTCCAAATGGATCCCTCAAAATTACACAAGTATATGGAAATTAAATAATCTGCTCTTGAATGATCTTTGGGCTAACAATGAAATCAAGGTGGAAATTTAAAAATTCTTGAACTAAAGGATAATAGTGACACAACTTATCAAAACCTCTAGGATACAGCAAAAGCAGTGCTAAGAGGAAAGTTCATAGCATTAAATGCCTACATTAAAAAGTCTGAAAAAGCACAAATAGACAACCTAATGTCACACCTCAAGGAACAAGAGAAACAAGAACAAACTAAACCCAACACCAACAGAAGAAAAAAAATAACAGATTGGAGCAGAACTAAATAAAATTGAAACAAAAAAATGCAAAAGATAAATGAAACAAAAAGTTGCTTCTTTGAAAAGATAAATAAAATTGATAGATCATTAGTGAGATTAACCAAGAAGAGAAGAGAGATCCAAATAAGCTCAATTAGAAGGGAAACAGGAGCTATTACAATCAATACTACAGAAATACCAAAGATCATTCAAGGCTACTATGAATACCTTTACACACACAAACTAGAAAATCTACAGGAGATGGATAAATTCCTGGAAATATACAAACTTCCTAGATTAAATCAGGAAAAAATAGAAACTCTGAACAGAACAGTAACAAGTCGTAAGATTGAGTCAGTAATAAAAAAAAATTTGCCAACAAAAAAAGTTGAGGACCAGATAGATCCACAGCTGAATTCTATTAGACATTCAAAGAAGAATTTGTACCAGTCCTATTGAAACTATTCCAGAAGACAGAGAAAGAGGTTATCCTTCCTAAATCATTCTGTGAAGCCAGCATCATCCTAATACCAAAACCAGAAAAGGACATAAAAAAAAAGGAAAACTGTAGACCAATATCCCCGAGGAACATAGATGCAAAAATCTTCCACAAAATACTAGCTAACTGAATCCAACAGCATATCAAAAAGATAATACATCATGATCAACTGGGTTTCATACCAGAGAAGCAGGGCTGGCTTAACATACATAAATCAATAAATGTGACACATTGCGTAAACAAAGTTAAAAACAAAAATCATATGATCATTTCAATAGCAGAAAAATCATTTGACAAAATCCAGTATCCCTTTATGATAAAAACCCTCAACAAAATTGGCATAGAAGACATACGTCAAAGTAATACAAGCCATCTATGACAAACCCACAGCTAACATTATGTTGAATGGAGAAAAGTTGAAAGCATTCCCCCTGAGACCTGGAACAAGACAAGGATGCCCACTTTCACCATTCTATTCAATATAATTCTGAAAGTTCTAGCCAGAGCAATCAGACAAGATAAATAAATAAAGGGCATCCAAATTGGAAAAGAGGAAGTCAAACTATTGCTGTTTGCTGATATGATTGTATACCTAGAAAACCCTAAAGACTCATCTGAAAGGCTCCTAGATATGACAAATGAATTCAGTAAAATCTAAGGATACAGAATCAATGTACATAATAAATGAGTAGCACTGCTATACACCTAACAATGCCGAAGCCGAGAATCAAATCAAGAACTCAATCTTTTTTAACAACAGCTGCAAACAAACAAACAAAACCAACTTAGGAATGTACTTAACCAAGGAGATGAAAGATGTCTGCAAGGAAAGCTGCAAAACACTGAGGGAAGAAATCATTGATGACACAAATGGAAACACATCCCATGTTCATAAATGGGTAGAATCAATATTGTGAAAATGACTATACTGCCAAAAGCAATCTACAGATTCAATGAAACTCCCATTAAAACACCATCATCATTCTTCACAGAACTAGAAAAAACAATCCTAAAATGTGTATGGAACAAAAGAGAGCCCACATAGCCAATACTAAGTAAAAAGAACAAATCTGGAGGCATCATATTACTCGACTTCAAATTATACTACAAGCCTATAGTTACCAAAACAGCATTGTACTGGTATAAAAATAGGCATGTAGACTGATGGAACAGAATAGGGAACCCAGAAATAAAGCCAAATACTTATAGCCAACTGATCTTCGACAAAGCAAACAAAAACATAAAGTGGGGAAAGGACACTCTATTCAATAAATGGTGCTAGTATAACTGGCAATCAACATGTAGAAGAATGAAACTGGATCCTCATCTCTCACCTTATACAAAAATCAACTCAAGATAGATCAAAGACTTAAATCTAAGACCTGAAAAAATTCTAGAAGATAATAGAAAAACTCTTCTAGACATTGGCTTAGGCAAAGAATTCATGACTCAGAACCCAAAAGCAAATGCAACAAAACAAAAATAAATACACGGGACCTAATTAAACTAAAAAACTTCAGCACAGCAAAAAGAACAGTCAGCAGAGTAAACAGACAACCCATAGAGTGGGAGAAGATATTCCCAAGCTATGCATCCGACAAAGGACTAATATTCAGAATCTATAAGGAACTCAAACAAATCGGCAAGAAAAAAATAATCCCATTAAAAAGTGGGCTAAGGACATGAATAGACAATTCTCAAAAGAAGATATACAAACAGCCAACAAACATATGAAAAAATGCTAACATCACTAATTGTCAGGGAAATGCAAATTAACATCACAATGAGATACCACCTTCCTTCTGCAAGAATGGCCATAATTCAAAAAATCAAAAAATTATAGAGTTGATGTGGATGTGGTGAAAAGGGAACTCTTCTACACTGCTGGTGGGAATGCAAACTAGTACAACCGCAATGTAAACAGTATGGAGATTCCTTAAAGAAATAAGAGTAGAACTACCATTTGATTCAGCAACCCCACTACTGGGTATCTACCCAGAGGAAAAGAAGTCATTATGTGAAAAGGACACATGCACATACACGTTTATAGCAGCACAATTCGCAATTGCAAAAATATGGAACCAACCTTAATGCTCATAAACCAAGTGGATAAAGAAAATGTGATATATATATATACACACACACACCATGGAATACTATGCAGCCATAAGACAGAATGGAATAATGGCTGTTGCAGCATATTGGATGGAGTTGGAGGCCATTATTCTGAAGTAACTCAGAAATGGAAAATCAAATATTTTATGTCCTCACTTATAAGTGGGAGCTAAGGTATAAGGATGCAAAGGCATCAGAATTATATAATAAACTTTGGGGACTTTGGGGAAGGGTGGGAGTGGGGCTGAGGGATAAAAGACTACATATTGGGTACAATGGACACTGCTCGGGTGATGGGTGCACCAAAATCTCAGAAATTGCCACCAAAGAACTTATTCATGTAACCAAACACCACCTGTTCCCCCCAAAACTATTTAAATAAAATTTAAAAATTGTAAAAAAAATGCAAAAAATGTGGTACCAAACATACTGCAAAAAGAACACTTGTCTACAGTGTGAAAGGAAAATAAAAACTTGAGACCCCAAACTCATGTTGACAAAGGGAAAAGTTAAGCTTGGAAACTGAGTCACACAAAAAGACTGCCTTTTTTGTTGTTCCTAAACAGACGGCTGTAAGATAGAAGGCCACACATTTCCCCAGGCAGCCTCCCTCACTCTGACAATGTAAATTAACAGCACATCTTCACAGGTACAGGACAAAGACAAGACTAGAAATTGTCCCTCTGCCTACCCAGGAGACAAATGCATATTTGACTTCTTCCACTACCCTATGTTTATCTTACCTTATGTAAAATGCACATTTATGAGAATGTGACCACTCACCTCACTACATACCCTTTCTCTTTTTTTTTTCTTTTCTCTTTCCCCTCCTGCCCATTTTTCCCCCTTTAAATATTGAAGCCTTCAAAACCCTCTTTGGAAAAAGTGGGGGCCACAGATCCTACTGTGACTTGTGTCTCTTTTTCCTGGGTGCATCCTCAACCTTGGCAAAATAAACCTCTACATTGATTGAGATCTATCTCAGAAACTTTTCTGGTTTACAACATTATGAGAGTTGATACAGGAAGGCCTTGTGGACCTCAACTTGGGACCTGTGTATTGGGCAGCTCAAATTTTTCACTGTTCTGCACATGCCCATGAACGACTGTGAAAGCCCCCAACCTTGATTCTGAGGTCACAAGCAGATTTTAGTAAGTAGGCAAATTTGCAAATTTGGAATCCATCAATGATGAGGATCAACTGTATTTTGCTTTTGAAGTATCGCTTTTTGCCCAGCTTTAAGTTTTAACTTGTGGACTTTGGTAGATTGATCTCACCAGTGGCCTTCATATTGGTCTCCCAGTGTCAGACCCCACCCTGCAACTCTTGGTTCCCTCCCACTTTGATTACGGGCTTGGATTAATAAACCTGATATGAGCAGAAGCTTGAAAAGCACATGTGCATTTTCTCTTTCTCTTTTGGACCTCAGCCATCACCGTGAGAACATGCCGGGCTCACCTGAAACAAGGGTAAGAGAGAAATGGAAAGCAGAGTTGTCCCATACGAGACCATTCTAGACCAGACAACCCTGAGCAGCCCACTGGTTGCCCACAGAAGAATGAGAGAGCCCAGTTGAGATCACCCCAGCCCTGTTCTGGATCCAGAGACCACGAGAAATAATCAGTCATTTTTGGTTTAAGTCACTATGTCTTGGATGGTTTGTTGTACATCAGTAATGAACTGATACGAGACTTGAGCATCTCTAGTTTCAATTTAGGGATGTTAGCATTCAAGATCTTCTGGAAGAGCACCAGGCAGCTATTGATACTACAGCTACAGATCAATGTCTCTGTCTTTCCATCATGTGGAAGGTGGAAAAGGAGCTCAATCATTTCAACATAGAACAGGGCTTGAGTAGAACTGAGAGTATGGCTTTTCACATCTAGTTTTCCCAGGCCTTGATGAGTAGGTGCTCGTTCCTTTTTTTCTTTTTCTTTTTCTTTTTTGAGATGTAGTCTCGCTCTGTTACCCAGGCTGAAGTACAGTGGTGTGACCTCGGCTCACTGCAACCCTTGGCTCACTGCAACCTCCGCCTCCCGGGTTCAAGCAATTCTCCTGCCTCAGCCTCCTGAGTAGCTGGGACTACAGGCGAGCACCACCACGCTCAGCTTATTTTTGTATTTTTAGTAGAGATGGGTTTTCACCATATTGGTCAGGCTGGTCTGGAACTCCTGACCTCAGGTGATCCACCCACCTTGGCCTCCCAAAGTGCTGGGATTACAGGTGTGAGCCACCACGTGCTGCCAGTGTTCATTCTTTTAATTGAGCTTTAGCTTGATTAAAACACAACATGTTATTTTTAAAAATTCCACTGATAATGGTAGTTATTTTATTAATTTTGCACTGAAAGAAAAAAATCAGGCAGGAAAAAGGAGGGGTAGAGGCGGAAAAAAGGAAAGGAAATAATTTCTCATGTTCCAGCCTCAGAACATGAAGGGAAATTCACAAAGGGTACAATACATCGATAACTACAGTATATTTCTCTAGAAAAGCTGCCGGCCCCAAGGCATAATAAAAGTTACACTTAAGAAGACCACAGGCCTTTTAAAAGTCACATTTTGAATCAAAATAATTTTCTTATAAAATATTAATTCTCAAAATGAGTTGTAAAATATGAACACAAAATGGCTTAGGCTATTTTTATTTCTGGCAATAAAGCTAAAAATTCTTAGAGAAAATGACAGCTACTAGAATGTAATTCTCAGAGTCAATGAGTGAAAATGTGAGTCTGAAATTCACTCAGATTTGATTGAATCTTGGAGTGCACATTTAGTGAGCAGCAGCAGGCTCTGTGCTAGGCACTGTAGGGCTCACCCAACCAAGCTGTCAGAGAAACCTCAAAATACAGCTGGAACTCAAAATGCAGTTTCAATGAAACTCATCATTGTTTGGTTGCTCTGAATTTATTTTCTGGACACTGAATTTTAAAAATGAAAAGGTAGATATGAACTAAAGACACAAACTAGAGGTAATTATTTAAAAACAGAAAAAACCCAAACTCACTTATTAAAGAACAGCTCTCAGTGGAACTGAAAATTCTTTAATTAACTGAAAATTACCTTATGAAAATTTATGCGAATATGATACTTTTCAGTTACTGCCAAAAGGATCAGTTGCCAGTCTTATGAATTTTACTATTGAGGTTTTGGGTACAACAAATATTCATTTTATGATGCAGTCCTATAACAGTATGAGTCCCTGAAGTCAGACTCTCTGGGCTCAAATCTTAACTTTAGCATTTATAAAATATAGATTTTAGGTAAGTTTCTTAACTGCTCTGGGCATCAATTTCCTAGTATGTTAAATGGAGATATTAATATCACCTGCTTCATATCTTTGCAATGTGCATTAAATGAGATGATATATGTAAGTGTTCATTCTATGTTAACTATTAATAAGTATACATTAGCTGCAACCAAGAACAAGGCCTTTCTCTGACATTTTCCAAATCCATTCTCTGACCCATCCCTAGTGTTGGTTCCAGTTCCATCCATGTAAATGCCTTCCTCTTCTTTTCCCCAGTAGTAAACGGATTTCAGGTATTACTATGGGAATCCCACCAGGTACACTTCCCTCCCTAGAACATGTGAAATCAAACACTAGTCCTTCCAGATTTGGCTGACCACACCTAAATCAGCTTCTTGGAGTGGGAGACTAGAGGAAATGGGGACCAATGGTCTCAAGACTGTTCAAAGAACCTGTTCCCGGGCTGCTGCTGAACCCTATAATGCCACTCTCCTCTCCTCCCAAACTTTGCCCATCTCTTCCTGCCTCAACTTCCCTGCTTATCTGCCTCAACCTAGAAATCCCCCCTGGTTGCTGGGTCTGCAAATTCCCTGCCCAGGGATGGGCCCTATTGATGACAGAGTAAACTGAATGTACATCCTTATTTTCCTCCTAACACTTTTTCAAATCTATTTAAGTGCAATTCCAGCCCAGAGCCTCTGGCAACTCCCTATTGGACTTGCTGAGCCAACCTCCTGATTGACTGTCAATAGATCAATTCTCATCTTGCCTTATTTAACGTATATGCTCTCTTGAGCTCTTGTTACATAAGCAACATAAAGTGTGGGGTGTCACGAGGGGTAAAAAGTAATTTAGAGTTCTAGGATGAGGTACAATTTGGAAAGGCCTGACTTCAGCTGACCCAGCCTCTGGCCATAATTCCACATCGCCGTCCACACTGACTGTCATCAATCTTTCCTCTTCCAATTAGCCCCCTTCCCTAAAGAACAGTGACTCACCCACAGTTACATGGCATCCAGTACCAAAGCTAATTAGAAGTTAGGTCTCCAAGCAGTGCCTTTCCTTAGTAAAAATTCCTTGTGTTTTCAGAAACTGGGGTTTAAAACAAAGCAAAACAAAAAATGCTGTGATAGAGGATAATGATGCCCCTTTGTGAAATGGAATCTGCATTTGCATGCCAGCATGTTTGTTTGGGATTAATAAAAAATAAAGGAAGACTGAGGCAGGCTGTAATATTATTTAAATCATAATAACAGTAATGGCTAACATTTATTCAGCATGTACAATAAGCCACACGTTGTGGCAAGAGCTTTCCATATTTTATCTGTTTGACTGCCACCACCCTCACAACAACCCTATTTTTCATTTAAAAGACCTATAGTAGTGCTTACCATGCACTCGATAAACAAAGAATAATACAGATGTGACAGGGATAATATTTTCCAAATATTAAGCCAGTGCATTGGAATTTTTCTCCTCTATAGTCCCCGGTAGCCATTTTCTCCCTTATTTTGTCCCTGAGAAAGGGGCGGGATTGTTTGATGTGACGTAGGAAGGTGAAGGATAGAAAGAAAGAGGAAGAGGAAATCCTTTTCCCTCCATCCCCAGGGGCTGTGGGAAGAAGAAGGGGATCATATGGGGGAACAAAGTGATAGAAACATGAGGCCTCTGACTGCTTCCTCTGGCTGGAGTCCAGGGGGATGTGTGAATGTGTCTTTGTGGCGGGACGAAGGAACACTGTTAGTTGAGGTAAAAGTTGAAATCAGAGGAGATCCTGGTGACACATCCTGTTTGGGACTCAGGGTGAAAACTGCCTTGCTGAATGAATGACAACCTGAGCAGCCAGGCTGTAAGGCAGAGAGAATGCCTGGACCCTGAATGGCATGAAACAGGTCAGCAGTGATGACTGACTAGCTCCCTACTGTTCATGCCATTGTCTTCCTAAGTAACAGAATCCCAATTTGGGGGTAATCATTGACTCAGTTAAAAGACTACTTTTCTCAGTCACCATTGCAGCTGGAGTGGCCATAGAACTAAGTTATGGACAATGGAATGTAAGCAAAATTTGAGTGGAACTTCTGGGAAGGCCTCTTAAAGGAAGCCAGCCTAGTAGGGAGATCTTTCCCATCCTTATTTCTATTATGTCCTATAAATTTCTATTGCATTATGCCCAGAAAACCAGACATAATGGCTGGAGCGACAGCTGCCATCTTGTCCCACAAGTTGATCTTGAGGACAGAAACATGTGCAACAAAGCAAACAGAGAGATAGCCTGGCTCCATGATGGCTTCATGGAACCACCACACAAACCCTGGATTATCTCCCTCTAGAGTTTTTAAAGTAAGAGACTTAGGCCTCATGCTTTAACCCATCACTATTTTAGTTTTTTGTTAGCTAGAGCTGAATATGATACTAAGAGATAGAGCCTACTTCGTGTCAGGCTGAAGAGATTGTGGAGCAGGTGGGCATGAGGAGGTAAGTTCACAGTGATTGAGGTGAAGTAAAACTGCAGCTAAGGGCTGAGAGGCTGGCTGCTTAATCTGGGGATTGAATGGGAACCACAGCAGATTCCAGGAATTCACAGTTCCAGCAAGGGCCCAACTGAGGCCGAGTCAGCAGAGAAGGTTCACCAGGCTCTGATTTAGCCAAGGGAATGGACAACATGAGAGACAGACACCGCCATTGGATAGCAATGGCCACCTTGCACCCAGGTGAAGAAGGGGAATCAGACGAATCAGTAGACAGCACAAGGGTAAGCCCAGGTGGATCAGATTTCCCCAGAAAGCTCCCCAAAGGCCAGCTGTTACCATGAGAAGGAGAAACGGGAGGGAGAGAAATGGTGAAAGATTTGGTGTTAATCTGAGAGAGACTGAATTAACTAAAGAAACTGTTATAAATGTTGGACTGGGCTTATTCTCACTGGATTGGACTAAATTTGTTTTCTTCCCCTACTATCCAGTTGGCAGTGAAAGGTATGAAAAGGATCAGTTCAGACACAGAAAAAACAGATACTAGATACATTTGTTTCGTGGCAGTGAAAGATATGAAAAGGATCAGTTCAGACACAGAAAAAACAGATACTAGATACATTTGTTTTGCATATCTGAGTATGGTGCCTAAATTGGCTTCATCATAACAAAGGTAATTTTACCTCCATTTCACAGACGAGGAAACAGAAACTTGGAGTTCAGTAAATTTAAAGTCACACAGCTATTAATCATGCCCATACTTAGTATTTCTATGTCTAACAAATTTTAGGTATGGGGATCCAACCTGCTTCAGTACAAGAGAAGAAGGATTGGGTAGTTTGCACAGCCAGAGTTTACTTGCTTTGTTTGTTTGGTGTTGGGTAGTGGATTGAATTAGAATTCATTTTCAGAGCCTCTCCAAATTCTAAACTCCTTTCTGCTAGATTATGCAGTATTTAGGAACTCAGTGATCTTGATCTCACTCCAAAATATATCAGCATATGGATATAAACCTATCATTCTTGTCCACTGAGATTGTCAACATATACCTGATTTTTTAAATGAAAGTCAAAAGCCTATAGATTGGCTCCATACACAAAGTGGCAAAACTGAGTCTAATAGATTTAAGGGATGCTGATTTATCAGGGTATAGCTAAAAGGAAGTGAGAATGGCAAATCCTAAAACGCTGGCCTTGGATCCTTGAGCAAGTCCCCATGGCTATGTTTTTCATTTTTCATGCATTTATTCATTCATCAAATTTTTTGTTTGCCTCCAATAAGCCAGGCACAGATTGAGTGGGGAAGAAAATAACTAGGAATAGCGGATAGAGGCTGATCTCTCCATGCCCTATTATCTCTTTGTCATTTCTGCAACCTTTCCTACCTCAAATATGCCAATTATTCCAGAAAATTCTATTCAAGCCCTCAAAATAGAGAACATCTAAAATACAAACATCTTGTAAATTAAATGCCTAGGGTAAGAGAAAAGGGAGAGAAATGAATACATAACACCTCCCAAAGGAAGGATTGCTCTCACTTAAATTCTAGGCTTCCATTCTATAAGTTATCAGTAATATCTGTATTTATGATTTATATACTTGATTTATATATTTATAATTATGATTTATGTATATTTATCTAGAAAATGTTAAATTATTAATAGTATGCCCTTTGGCCTAACAATCCCGATCCTAGGAATTTTTTTTTTTTTTTGAGATGGAGTCTTGCTCTGTTGCCCAGGCTGGAATGCAGTGGCACGATCTTGGCTAACTGCAACCTCTGCCTCCCAGGTTCAAGTGATTCTCCTGCCTCAGCACCCCAAGTAGCTGGGATTACAGGATTGTGCCACCACACTCTGCTAATTTTTGTACTTTTAGTGGAGACGGGGTTTCATGATGTTGATCAGGCTGTTGTTGGTCTCGAACTCCTTCCTGACCTCGTGATCCACCTGCCTTGGCCTCCCACAGTGCTGGGATTGCAGAAGGAATTTATCTTTTTATTATTATTATTATTATACTTTAAGTTCTGGGGTACATGTGCAGAACGTGCAGGTTTGTTACATAGCTATACATGTGCCATGGTGGTTTGCTACACCCATCAACCCGTCATTTACATTAGGTATTTCTCCTAATGCTATCCCTCCCCTAACCCCTAGCCTGTGACAGGCCCTGGTGTGTGATGTTCCCCTCCCTGTGTTCATGTGTTCTCATTGTTCAACTCCCACTTAAGAGTGAGAACATGTGGTGTTTGGTTTTCTGTTCTTGTGTTAGTTTGCTGAGAATGATGGTTTCCAGCTTCATCCATGTCCCTGCAAAGGACATGAACTCATCTTTTTTATGGCTACATAGTATTCCAAGGTGTATATGTGGCACATTTTATTTATCCAGTCTATCATTGATGGGCATCTGGGTTGGTTCCAAGTCTTTGCTATTGTGAACAGTGCCACAATAAATGTATGTGTGCATGTGTCTTTATAGTAGAATGATCTATAATCCTTTGGGTATATACCCAGTAATGGGATCGCTGGGTCAAATGGTATTTCTAGTTCTAGATCCTTGAGGAATCGCTACACTGTCTTCCACAACTGTTGAACTAATTTACACTCCCACCAACAGTGTAAAAGTGTTCCTATTTCTCCACATCCTCTCCAACGTCTGTTGTTTCCTGACTTTTTAATGATCACCATTCTAACTGATGTGAGACAGTATCTCACTGTGGTTTGATTTGCATTTCTCTAATGACCAGTGATGATGAGCATTTTTTCATATGTTTGTTGGCTGCGTAAATGTCTTCTTTTGAGAAGTGTCTGTTCATATCCTTCATCCACTTTTTGATGGGGTTTTTTCTTGTAAATTTATATAAGTTCTTTGTAGATTCTGGATATTAGCCCTTTGTCAGATGGATAGATCGCAAAAATTTTCTCCCATTCTGTAGGTTGCCTGTTCACTCTGATGATAGTTTCTTTTGCTGTGCAGCAGCTCTTTAGTTTAATTAGATCCCATTTGTCAATTTTGGCTTTTGTTGCCATTGCTTTTGGTGTTTCAGTCATGAAATCTTTGCCCATGCCTGTGTCCTGAATGGTATTGCCTAGGTTTTCTTCTAGAGTTTTTATGGTTTTACATCTTACTTTTAAGTATTTAATCCATCTTGAGTTGATTTTTGTATAAGGTGTAAGGAAGGGATCCAGTTTCAGCTTTCTGCATATGGCTAGCCAGTTTTCCCAACACCATTTATTAAATAAGGGAATCCTTTCCCCATTTCTTGTTTTTGTCAGGTTTGTCAAAGATCAGATGATTGTAGATGTGTGGTGTTATTTCCGAGGCCTCTGTTCTGTTCCATTGGTCTATATATATATGTTTCAGTACCAGTACCATGCTATTTTTGTTACTGTAGCCGTGTAGTTTAGTTTGAAGTCAGGTAGCGTGATGCCTCCAGCTTTGTTCTTTTTCTTAGGATTGTCTTGCCTATACAGGCTCTTTTTTGGTTCCATATGAAATTTAAAGTAATTTTTTCCAATTCTGTGAAGAGTCAGTGGTTGCTTGATGGGGATAGCATTGAATCTATAAATTACTTTGGGCAGTATGGCCATTTTCACAATACTGATTCTTCCTATTCATGAGCATGGAATGTTTTTCCATTTGTTGGTGTCCTCTCTTATTTCCTTGAGCAGTGGTTTGTAGTTCTCTTTAAAGAGGTCCTTCACATTGTTGTTTTCCTAGGTATTTTATTCTCTTTGTAGCAATTGTGAATGGGAGTTCACACATGATTTGGCTCTCTGTTTGTCTCTTATTGGTGTCTAGGAATGCTTGTGATTTTTGCACATTGATTTTGTATCCTGACAGTTTGCTGAAGTTGCTTATCAGCTTAAGGAGATTTTGGGCTGAGACGATGGGGTTTTCTAAATATACAGTTATGTCATCTGCAAACAGAGACAATTTGACTTCCTCTTTTCCTAATTGAATACCGTTTACTTCTTTCTCTTGCCTGATTGCCCTGGCCAGAACTTCCAATACTATGTTGAATAGGAGTGGTGAGAGAGGGCATCCTTGTCTTGTGCCAGTTTTCACAGGGAATGTTTCCAGTTTTTGCCCATTCAGTATGATATTGGCTGTGGGTTTGTCATAAATAGCTCTTATTATTTTGAGATACGTTCCATCAACACCTAGTTTATTGAGTTTTTAGCATGAAGGGCTGTTGAATTTTGTCGAAGGCCTTTTCCGCATCTATTGAGATAATCGTGGTTTTTGTCGTTGGTTCTGTTTATGTGATGGATTACATTTATTGATTTGCATATGTTGAACCAGCCTTGCATCCCAGGGATGAAGCTGACTTGATCATGGTGGGTAAGCTTTTTGATGTGCTGCTGGATTTGGCTTGCCAATATTTTATTGAGGATTTTCGCATCGATGTTCATCAGGGATATTGACCTGAAATTTTCTTTTTTTGTTGTGTCTCTGCCAGGTTTTGGTATTATGATAATGCTGGCCTCATAAAATGAGTTAGGGAGGATTCCCTCTTTTTCTGTTGTTTGGAATAGTTTCAGAAGGAACGGTACCAGCTCCTCTTTGTACCTCTGGTAGAATTCAGCTGTGAATTCATCTGGTCCTGGGCTTTTTTTGGTTGGTAGGCTATTAATTGCTGCCTCAGTTTCAGAACTTGTTATTGGTCTATTCAGGGGTTTGAGTTCTTCCTAGTTTAGTCTTGGGAGGGCATATGTGTCCAGGATATACTTATCCATTTCTTCTAGATTTTCTAGTTTATTTGCGTAGAGGTGTTTATAGTATTCTCTGATGGTAGTTTCTATTTTTGTATTATTGGTGGTGATATCCACTTTATCATTTTTTTATTGCATCTATTTGATTTTTCTCTTTTTTCTTCTTTATTAGTCTTGCTAGTGGTCTATCTATTTTGATCTTTTCAAAAAAACAGCTTCCGGAATCATGATTTTTTGGAGGGTTTTTCGTGTCCCTGTCTCCTTCAGTTCTGCTCTGATCTTAGTTATTTCTTGTCTTCTAATAGCCTTTGAATTTGTTTGCTCTTGCTTCTCTGGTTCTTTTAATTGTGATGTTAGGGTGTTGATTTTAGATCTTTCCTGCTTTCTCTTCTGGGCATTTAGCGTTGTAAATTTCCCTTTACACACTGCTTTAAATGTGTCCCAGAGATTCTGGTATATTGTGTCTTTGTTCTCATTGTTTCCAAAGAACATCTTTATTTCTGCCTTAATTTTGTTATTTACCCAGTAGTCATTCAGGAGCAGGTTGTTCAGTTTCCATATAGCTGTGTGGTTTTGAGTGAGTTTGTTAATCCTGAGTTCTAATTTGATTGCACTGTGGTCTGAGAGACTGCTTGTTATGATTTCCATTCTTTTGCATTTGCTGAGGAGTGTTTTACTTCCAATTATGTTGTCAATTTTAGTGCAGTGTGGTGCTGAGAAGAATGTATATTCTGTTGATTTGGAGTGGAGCGTTCTGTAGATGTCTATTAGGTCTGCTTGGTGCAGAGCTGAGTTAAATTCCGGGATATCCTTGTTAACTTTCTGTCTCATTGATCTGTCTAATGTTGACAGTACGGTGTTAAAATCTCCCATTATTATTGTGTGGGAGTTTAAGTCTCTTTGTAGGTCTCTAAGAACTTGCTTTATGAATCTGGGTGCTCCTGTATTGGGTGCATGTATATTTAGGATAGTTAGCTCTTCTTGTTGCATTGATCCCTTTACCATTATGTAATGGCCTTCTTTGTCTCTTTTGATCTTTGTTGGTTTAAAGTCTGTTTTATCAGAGACTAGGATTGCATAGGATTGCAGCCCCTGTTCTTTTTTTTTTTTTTTCTTTCCATTTGCTTGGTAAATCTTCCTTTATCCCTTTATTTTGAGCCTATGTGTGTCTTTGCACGTGAGATGGGTCTCCTGAATAAAGCCCACTGATGGGTCTTGACTCTTTATCCAATTTGCCAGTCTGTGTTCTTTAATTGGGGTATTTAGCCCATTTACATTTAAGGTTAATATTGTTATGTGTGAATCTGATCCTGTCATTATGATGTTAGCTGGTTATTTTGCCCGTTAGTTGAAGCAGTTTCTTATAGTATCAATGGTCTTTACAATTTGGTATGTTTTTGCAGTGCCTGGTACCAGTTTTTCCTTTCCCTGTTTAGTGCTTCCTTCAGGATCTCTTGTAAGGCAGACCTGGTGGTGACAAAATCTCTCAGCATTTTCTTGTCTGTAAAGGATTTTATTTCTCCTTTGCTTATGAAGCTTAGTTTGGCTGGATATGAAATTCTGGGTTGAAAATTCTCTTCTTTAAGAATGGTGAATATTGGCCCCCACTCTCTTCTGGCTTGTAGGGTTTCTGCTGAGAGATCAGCTGTTCATCTGATGGGCTTCCCTCTGTGGGTAACCCGACCTTTCTCTCTGGCTGGCCTCAAAGTTTTTTCCTTCATTTCAACCTTGGTGAATCTGGCAATTATGTGTCTTGGGGTTGCTCTTCTCGAGGAATATCTTTGTGGTTTCTCTGTATTTCCTGAATTTGAATGTTGGCCTTCCTTGCTAAGTTGGGGAAGTTCTCCTGGATAATATAGTGAAGAGAGTTTTCCAGCTTGGTTCCATTCTCCCCGTCACTTTCAGGTACACCAGTCAAACGTAGATTTGGTCTTTTCACATAGACCCATATTTCCTGGAGGCTTTGTTCATTTCTTTTCACTCTTTTTTCTCTAATCTTGTCTTCTCACTGTATTTCATAGGGTTGAACTTCAATCTCTGATACCCTTTCTTCTGCTTGATTGATTCAGCTACTGATACTTGTGTATGCTTCACAAAGTTCTTGTGCTGTGTTTTTCAGCTCCATCAGTTCATTTATGTTCTTCTCTAAACTGGTTATTCTAGTTAGCAATTCTTCTAACCTTTTTTCAAGGTTCTCAGCTTCCTTGCATTGGGTTAGAACGTGCTCCTTTAGCTGGGAGGATTTTGTCATTACCCACCTTGTGAAGCCTGCTTCTGTCAGTTTGTCAAACTCATTCTCCATCCAGTTTTGTTCCCTTGGTGGCAAGCAGTTGTCATCCTTTGGAGGAGGAGAGGCATTCTAGTTTTGGGAATTTTCAGCCTTTTTGCACTGGTTTCTCCCCATCTTCATAGATTTTTCTGCCTTTGGTCTTTGGTGTTGGTGACCTTCAGATGGGGTCTCTGAATGGGTGTTCTTTTTGTTGATGTTGATACTATTCCTTTCTGTTTATTAGTTTTTCTTGTAACAGTCAGGCCCCTCTGTCGCAGGTCTGCTGGAGTTTGCTGGAGGTCCACTCCAGACCCTGTTTGCCTGGGTATCACCAGTGGAGGCTGCAGAACAGCAAAGATTGTTGCCTGTTCCTTCCTCTGGAAGATTTGTCCCAGAGGGGCACCCGCCAGATGCCAGTGTGAGCTCTCCTGTATGAGGTGTCTGTCAGCCCCCTACTGGGAGGTATCTCCCAGTCAAGATATTTGGGAGTCAGGGACCCACTTGAGGAGGCAGCCTGACACTTATCAGAGCTCTAATGCTGTGCTGGGAGGTCCGCTACTCTCTTCAGAGCTGTCAGGCCGGGTTGTTTAAGTCTGCTGAAGCTGCACCCACAGCCGTACCTTCCCCCAGGTACTCTGTCCCAGGGAGATGGGGGTTTTATCTATCAGTCCCTTACTGGGGCTGCTGCCTTTTTTTCAGAGATGCCCTGCCCAGAGAGGAGGAATCTAGAGATGCAGTCTGCCTTGCTGAGCTGCAGTGGGCTCCGCCCAGTTTGAACTTCCCATTGGTTTTGTTTACACTGTGAGGGTAAAACCACCTACTCAAGCCTCATCAATGGCGGACGCCCCTCCCCCAACCAAGCTGGAGCATCCCAGGTCAACCTCAGACTGCTGTGCTAGCAGTGAGAATTTCAAGCCAGTGGATCTTAGCTTGCTGGGCTCTGTGGGGTGGGACCCACTGAGCCAGACACCAGAGGGAATCTCCTGGTCTGCTGATTGTGAATACTGTGGGAAATGCACAGTATCTGGGCCAGAGTGTACTGTTCCTCCCAGTACAGTCTCTCACAGCTTCCCTTGGCTAGGCAAGGGAAATCTCCTGACCCCCTGTCCTTCCAGATAAGGCAACGCCCCACCCTGCTTTGGGTCACTCTCCATGGGCTGCACCCACTGTCCAACCAGTCCCAATGAGATGAACCAGGTACCTCAGTTGGAAATGCAGAAATCACCCACCTTCTGTGTCAGTCTTGCAGGGAGCTGCAGACTGGACCTGTTCCTGTTCAGCCATCTTGCCAGCTCTCCCCCTTTTTCTTTTTTTTTGAGACGGAGTCTCACTCTGTTGCCCAGGCTGGAGTGCAGTGGCATTGTCTTGGCTCACTGCAAACTCCAGCCCTGGGTTCAAGTGATTCTTCTGCCTCAGCCTCCTGAGTAGCTGGGATTACAGGTATGAGCCATGACACTCAGCTAATTTTTGTATTTTTAGTAGAGATGGGGTTTCACCATGTTGGTCAGGCTGGTCTTGAACTTCTGACCTCAGGTGATCCATTTGCCTTGGCCTCCCAAAGTGCTGGGATTACAGGTGTGAGCCACTGTGCCCAGCCAAAATTTATCTTTATAGATATATTTGAACATGTGCCAAAAGATATTTGCTATAGCATTGTGTAAAATAACAGAAGTCAGAAATAATCTAAGTGTCCATGAATATGGAACTGATGAAATAAAGTATATTTCTATAGTGGAATACTCTGCAGCCATCAATAAGACTGAAGTAGAACTAGAGATCGACTTTTACAGATCTTACATGGGGCAATTTTAGCACTTTGTTAAGTGAGAAAATTCAAGGGTCTTCTGTATGTCAATATGATGCTATTATTTGATAATAGCCCATGAGGTGGGAAAATTTATAAAGGAAACAAAAAAAGAAAGAAATGTTTCTTTCTCATTATTGAAAAGCTAGATGAAAAACCCTGAATTTGTGCTGTATGCCCTGAACATGAGTCTAAAAGGCAAATTGGTTCCTTATATTAATATAGATCTCTACAGTCAGCTAAACGTTTTAATGCTTATGATGTGGCTGAGATAAGCAGGGGCATAAATCAGGAGTCAGACTGCCTGTGGGTTCCCACCAGGTACTGTCCTTGCTTTTTCTCTGGGTGAAGCAGGAAGGAGTGTGAGGAAAGCAGAAGAGAGTTCAGAAGAGTCTGGTGGAAACAAAATGGGGAAGGGGCGGTAGAAAGCGTGAGACAAGGGCACTACACGCCTTTGTCTCTCCATCGATCTCTCTCTGGTCTCTATCTGGTCTCTCTATCTGATCTTCTCTCAGCAGGAACACCTCCCAGTCTGGAGATGCTGTGGATCTCTCTCTGGTCTCTATCTGGTCTCTCTATCTGATCTTCTCTCAGCAGGAACACCTCCCAGTCTGGAGATGCTGCCCCATGGCCCATATTTGGAGCTGATGTGCTGAAGGATAGAGAGGAAGAGAAAGCTGTAGTTCCTCACCAGAGCCAAGCAGCCCCTCTGAGAGGGTGAGTCAACCAGGCATCCCCACAGCCTGTCCCAGCAACTTTATGTGCCTGGCATTTAGGGTTCATTAATCATTCAGTGGGACAGATTCATTGTAGCCAAATAGCTCTGTGTCACCATTTCCCTTGTGAATAGAATGTGAACATAATTAAATATTTGCAAAAGGTGGGCGACAGATGGGCTGTTCAGAACAGCCTCATTTATGGTCATTAAATCAGCCTTTTTGAGAAAGAGCACCTGGAATGGGGATGGTCTCCTTCTGGGAAGGAATTGTAAACCCCACACTATCTGGTGTCCGGTTCAATGAGCTTTCCCAGAATCCCAAGCGACTTTCCCACAGTCCCCCGCCCAGGTCCCCAGGTCTCCCCTCCCTAACCCACATGCCACTGTAGATCCTACTTTCTTTCTCTCCCTGTCTCTGTACACAGGGACTCATCCAATACCGCTCAGGTCCTTCACTGCAGAGGAGCAGTTTTCAGCTCTTGGAGAGCAGACAGTAGGGGATATGGGCCCTTACCTCTGGTGGCATGATGCATAGTCACCTCTGCTTTAGCTTGGCCCATTCCTGAACCTTCTTCCTTTCTTAATTGTGCTTGGGAGTGAGGTACTAAACTACAAATATTGGTATACAGCTCGTTTGTGGAAGTAATAAACAGCTCTCATGAGAAGGCTGATGTGCATTAGGCTCTGCGGGCATGGAGATGTCCCAGAGTCCTGGAATCTGCATGTCTGAACTGCAAGGGATGATGGAGGCCTAACTCCTCCTTTGGCATGTTTGGGTCCTAAGTTCAAGAGTTGTGAAGTGCTGTCTAAGGATGCACAGCTGGTCCTCAACACAGCTGCACTGGAAGCCAGTTTGTTCAATTTCAGAGGTGTGCTTAGACACAGTGATTTGATATGTGGGTGGGGTGGGAGGAGGTTAATTTTCCAGGGAAAAGGGAGAGGCTCTACTTTGTGGTTTCTTTTATTCTGTGGTAACATTAGAGCCCTGCAGGAGTCAGACCCAAGGACACTAAATTCCTACATTAAACTCTGAGGGCTCATGCATTCCTTCACTCTCATCCTAAGGCACCCAGTCTCCTCTAGAGCTTCAGCCACAAATGATGCCATGCCACCCTCCCTGCCTCCCTCATGCATCCAGTCATCCCTCCTGAAGGCCTAGGGCCTCCTTCTCTCTGAAATCCTCCCAGCAGCCCCCGCCAGCCTCCACCACTCCTGAGGAGCTTTTTTTCTTTTAGATGGAGTCCCGCTCTGTTGCCCAGGCTAGAGTGCAGTGGCGTGATCTTGGCTCACTGCAACCTCTGCCTCCTGGGATCAAGCGATTCTCCTGCCTCAGCCTCCCAGGTAGCTGCGATATAGGCGTGTGCCACCACGCTGAGCTAATTTTTGTATTTTTAGTTGAGACAGGGTTTCGCCATGTTGGCCAGGCTGGTTTCGAACTCCTGACCTCAGGTGATCTGTCTGCCTTGGCCTCCCAAAGTGCTGGGATTACAGGCATGAGCCACTGAGGAGCTTTTTATACTCTGATGGAAGTGTTGGTAGATTCTGCGTGTCTGTCCTCTCTTTTCAACCTGCTTTAAGGAACTTGCGAGCCATGTTTGAAAAGGACAATGAAGGCTGGTGAAGCACAAGTGCCACAAGCTTCATAGGGGCCTCATGGGGACTAGAATCCCTGCAAATTTGACCTCCTGCTCCATGGCACCTGCTTTTCCTCAGGCTCCAGCAGAGGAAAAGTCACGTGGGTCAGGCCCTGCAGCAGGCGGCTCAGGGGAAAGCTTGAGTGGAAACAGGCTGGCTTGTGCTCCTGTTCTCGCTTGATTTGCTTCTTTTCTTCTTTGTCCATCTCTGACTTGCAGCCTTTAGCTCCAAGCTGATTTCTGCTGCACCATCTAGGAGTGTGGCATTAGAGGAGATGGGCTACTGGGAGGTCTAAAGTTCCTACTTCTGCCACTATCAACTATAGGCCAAAATATTGAGGAAAAAGAATAAGATGAGAGATTTCAGTGAGATGTGGGAAAGAACTTTTCAATCATTCTGGTACCTACAGCCATCAGCACACTCAGAATTTTTGAAACTCTATCCAGAAAGCCTTAAGGGATGGCACAGGAGGAATCTGTATCATTTAGTTTAGGTGTGATTCTGTTCTGAGGTGGAAGGATATATTACAGCTGTGTTTTCCAAACATGGTATTGTATGCATCCAATGAATCATATATGTATTAGTCCGTTCTCACACTGCTGATAAGTACATACCCAAGACTGGATAATTTACAAAGAAAAAGAGGTTTAATGGACTCACAGTTCCATGTGGCTGGGGAGGCCTCACAATCATGGTGGAAGACAAAAGGCATGGCTTACATGGTGGCAGGTGAGAGAGAGTGAGAGCCAAGTGAAAGGGGAAACCCCTTCTAAAACCATCAGATCTCGTGAGACTTATTCACTACCATGAGAACAGTATGGGGGGAATTGTCCCCATGATGCAATTCTCTCTCACCTGGCCCCTCCCACAACACATGGGAATTATGGGAGCTACAATTTAAGATGAGATATTGGTGGGGACACAGCCAAACCATATCAATGTATAAAGTGTTAGATGATATATGGATCAACATTGCTTATTTTAATATTAAATATCCTAATTTTAATTAACCAAATAAATATCCTAATTTTAATATGTATTAGAAAAAAGTATAACTAGCACAACTAAATTCTAATTTTATAGTTATTATAGCCTAGGATGAGGCTAAATAAAGGTGAATCAATGTATAGTTGATTTAGGAAAAAATATTAAATGAATACAATTATAGGCATGATGCAGGAATGGCAAAAACCACAGAGGTGGCACACAGAGGGCAGAAGCCAGGGAAATGGTGGGCTCTGTGACAGAGCTCCCACCCTAGTTTCTCGCTCCCATAACCCTTGTAAGAGTCTCAGCATCATTTAGATATTGAAGGTCTCCTTTCACCAACTGTCAGTGTTAAAGGCATCGTGACAGGAAAGATTTTGCCTGGCTAATGTGAATTTCAGGTGCTTGGTGAGGAGGCCCCTCAGCCCGACCTGGGTAATGAAGAGCTCTTCTCCCTGGCAGCGGAGGCTGCTCATCATCTGCCATGCAGCGTTGGGTGCACAGCCACTGATGAAGATAGAATGACCAGGCCTGCAGCATTATTAATGCCAGCGTCGGATCTTTGAGCATCTGTAAGTGAAACAGTGACATGCCCTTCACTTAAGCCCAGGAGGACAATGAAAGCTAGCGTGCAGCTTGGATGCGAGCCAGAATCAGGCCTGTTGTCAGAGTAAAGAAATTCATTAAAGAAGATCTCATAGCAAGGGCTGAAGAGAGGAAAAAAAGAGGGGGTGGGTGCTGATGGAGAGGCAGCACATTAAAACTTTGTCCCTTGTGACAGGATGCACAAATGTCCCTGCCGCTTGAGGAGATTTATGACACAGAGGCCTGGGAGGGTTTTGTGAATGCTGCTGATTACCTAGCCACACATCTGTCAACCCTCCTACTCCCAAGTCATAGGCCCATTTGCCTTCTAGAATCAGAAGAAAGGGCTATCATGACATCTCTGTACAGGCAGTAAGATGGTAGAATTCCCATCAGGAGGGTGTGCACCCAACAGAGAATGAAGGCATCTCAAGTCCAGTACAGATAGTAAAATGATAGTTTGGGATCCAGATGTTAGTATGCCTCATACAAGTTTGCAAACTTAAAGGGGCAAGGCAAGTCATATAACTTGAAGTGTGCCAGGAATACAGGTGATAGGAAGCGCCAGAGATCATGCCGCCCACCTGGAGGGCTCCGTGCCCCATTTAAAGCGCAGCCACTGCTTAGCACCAGCCAATTGTTTCAATAAGGGAATTCAGGTCTTTGTTCCTAGGCCTCCTGAGGTTTCAGGAAAAGCTAGACATAGATATTTTTAAAATATATAAAATCTTCCAATTTGAAAACATTTAATTTACAGTTAAAATTTTTTTTTTGAAATCTTAAAAAAAAAAAGAGAGAAAATACTAGGTGGATCAAACAAAACATATCCATGGACTGAATCTGGCCTGTGGGCCTCTGTGGTAGGCAGAATAATGGTTGCCCAAAGATGGCCATGTCCTAATCCCCAGAATCTGTGGATGTGTTATGTTACATGGCAAAGGAAAATTAAGGTTATAGATGGAATTTAGTTGCTAGCCAGCTGACCTTGAGACAGAGAGGTCTCTGGATCACACAGGTGGGCCCCATGTAATCACAAGGATCCTTAAAAGTGGATGAGAGAGACAGAAGAGTCAGAGACAAAGTGATCTGATGTGAAGAAGACGCAGTGCAACATTGCTGGCTTTGAAGATGGAAGGGGGCCATGAGCCAAGGAATGCAGGAAGCACTGGAAGCTGGCGAGGGCAGGGAAACAGATTCTCCCCTCCAGCCTCCAGAGAAGAACACAGCCCTGTTGATACGTTGATTTTAGTCCAGGAAAACCTGTTTTGGACTTCTCCACTACAGAACTGTAAGGTGATGAGTTTGTGTTGTTTAAAACACCAAATTTGTGTGAATTTGTTATGGCAGCAATAGGAAACTAGTACAGTCTGTATTTTCAAACTCTGATATAGAGATTGAGAGGGGGAATGGTAAATACAGTGAAAATAGAGGAATACTGTAAAACTATTTGTTTTACAAATAGAAAAAATATTTGTCTTTTCTAATAATGAGGGATAAGTGCAGAGGATAAATGCTAGGCTTGGCTGCTTAAGTTCCTTAGTGGCCATTTTGATTAAAAAATACCTGCCCAGTTAAGCAGATGCATCTGAACTTTTGACTATGAGACACCAAGGCCAATACCCGGGGCAGTTTTTGGATCAATGGCTCAGGGGATCTCTAAGTCAATAGTACCCAGTTTACAGTGGCAGAGATCCTTAGTGTTTACCACTATCTGTGAGGTCTGCTGTATTTCTCTGCCTCCCTTGTGGCTGGGTTGGGGCCATATGGCCAAAGGGGTGTGGGCAAAAGTGACAGAGGCTACTTTGAGGCCTGATCCTTCAATAATCCCATATGATTGCCTCACTCTTTCCCCACTATGGTCACCCTGGAGGCCTTGTATTCCAGATGATTAAGCTACAAGATAGAGAAGGGCTGTTCCACCTGTGCCATAAGCAAGAAATATACTTTTGTTTTGTTGAACCACTAAGATTCTGGGACTGTCTGTGGCAACATTATGTACTCATTAGTTACTGAGTCTACAAAATGAACAAAACAAGATGGCAGAGTGGATGTGGAGAGACAAGTGAGTTGAAAACCCAGGAGAGATGTGTGCAATGGTTCAGAGTAGGACCATGTTTTGCCAAGTGTGATCTGTAAATCTCTAATGAAGACTGAACACAGGTAGGGGGCAAACAGAACATTAAAAAAAAAGTTCATAAGCATGCATTTATTTGACTATGTATTAGAAAATATTTTATCCAGCCTATATATCCGCCCTGTAATTTCATAGATATTTTTTGCCTAGGAGTCAACTAGGAGTTATATATTTTAGGTATAAAAATTATTAAATAAAAATATACAAGTGGTATATAGGTATGGAAGAAAAATGTGAAGGTGGCATTCGAATAACTGAAATTTGGGGACGATGGAAGTAGGCATAGGAAAATAAAGATGGGTTGCAGTATATCACTGGAAAGAAAAGACAGCCACCATGGCCACTATAGGTCAGAAACATTTTTTAGATCTAAAATTCTAGGACTTAAAGGAGACCTAAAACTACCAGCTCCTTGTTGCCTATAAAATCATGTCCCACTTCTTATTCCTGGCATTCAAGACATTCTAGATATCTGATATCTAACAATAGCTTAACTTGCCAGTTTAATTTCTGTTGATCTGTGTACATGATTCTACCCCCGAATTCCACCCAACTTGTAAGGCACAGCTCAAATCCCATTTCCTCCATGAAGCTTTATGATATTGCCCCCAAATAAAAGTGATTTTACCTTCTTTAAAAGTCTTAGGGCACCTATTCCTGGTACCACCCAGACATTTGGTCTTTAAGTAGAGTTACTTGTGTAAGCATCTTGCCTTCCCATTTAAATTGTAAGCTCCTGAAGAAGATTAATTTCATTAAATTTTTCGTACTTCCTGATAATTTTCAGGAACATCAACATATTCATTGTTACTTTTTGTTGTTAAGACATCTGTTTCTCATACTTCAGAGCTTTTCAAAACACAAGCCAAAAATTGCTAGATATAGCAGAATTGAGCTTTCCTCTGACATGAGGATAATTTATTAAGCTTTATGTTTGAAGAAATGTCTAGGCTTTAATGAAGATGGCTGTTGGGAATTTCACGAGGTTTGCTATTCTGTAGTTTATTAAAATGGTCAGACTGTTGGTGAAATGTTTTCAGGCAGGGTGTTCAAATAATAGCAACTGCTTAAACAAATAGACCTCAAATTTAAATAACAGAATTTTATTTCTCACTTATCTAATAGTCAAAGCAAGTCAGCTTTCCTTGACTGACTGGAATGTGGTCGTCAGTGTGTGGTTCCTTCCGTCTCATGGAAGAGAATGGCTTAGCCATTCTCTAAGACCTTGTCATGTGTATCCAGCTGGCAAAGATAAAACAGAATGTCAGGCGATGACAACAGGATTGCAACTCACAGCCCATGGGTGAAAACTAGTTACATGGCCACAGCTAGATGTTATAGGGATAGGAAATGTAATCCCTAGGTTCTTTCCATCACAATTCCTAATTGTGCATGCTCTCTAGTCCATAGTTAAGAATTAGGACAGCCCACTAGCTGTCTTCCAGGTTTACCCACCACTTAATTTGACTTACAAAGAAATGTGGAGGGGTTTGGGAAATAATTGGAACAACAAAGGAAAACACGAGGGAATAAGATGACCTGAGAAACAGGTGAAACATAAACAAAGCCCATCTGGAACCTTAAATTGCTCTCTTAATATTTTTAGGAGATGAAGAAAGCTCAGGTACTGGAGTGCAGGTATGCTGAGTTCTGGAATGGGAGAAGCATGGAGGGAGTGTGGCTCCTTTAGTTTGTGTGTTTCTAAGTAGATTTATTTTGGGATTCCCGTCAAGTGGAGGAGTAGAGTTGCCAGGCACTTCCATCTGGACAGCTGGCCAGGATATGCTGCTTCTGTGATTGTAACTACTGGATGTGGGAGAAAAGAGCAAATAGCACTGGCACTCAGGTAGAACACTATTTTCTTTCATTGCATTTTCACCTGTTCTTTTATTTGAACTTTAAAATAATTTGGTGTAATAGGGAATGTTACCATTTAACAGATTAGAAAAGTGAGGCATGGAAATGACCCAAGACCTCTCATTAATGTCTGAGTCAGGACTAGACCCTAAATTTCCCAACTCTACATTCAAGGCCAATTCTATTACAACACAATCTACTTTCTGGGAAATGGTTGGTTTTAGGCAAACATGAGAAACAGGTCAATTCTGTTCTCCAGTCTTCCAGATTTTCTCTTCTATATGCTTTTGCCATCTCAAAGATCAGTTCCCTAGTTTCAGTCAACACTTGCTCTTATTCCCTTGGTTGTGCTAACTTGTCCCTCTCCTATGGCCATTGGCTTTTTTTCCTAGGCTAAATCTAAAGAGATGTGGCTCTATGAGTGGGCATCCTATGGGAGGATCTTGGGAGCATGAGGGCCTGTTCCAGCACCTATGAAATGTAATTAGACAATCACATGCTCCATAAAGCCAGTTCTGCCCTCAGCCAGCATTGTCAGAACCATCACTTCTTGCCAAAGTAGAAATCACACAAGTCAAATTTTATAGCTGTGAAGAATTTTAGAAATCAGCCAATCTAGCTGTTTATGTTTTGGCAATAAATATATGAGTACTTGAAAGACATTCCATTCCACTAGTGATCAGAACAATGCAATTAAAACGAAAAGGTAGTTTTCCCTGTCAGATTGGCAAAACCAAAAATTTATCCAGTGTTAGAAGGGGTTTGGGAAAATTGGCTCTCTTTTTATATTGTTGTATGTGTAGATTAGTAAATTTTTTTGGGGGGGGGTGGTACTTTGGCACATTTCAAAGCAAAAATTTAAATATTGGTGGACATAGCAATTTTACATCCAAGAATCCCTATACCTACGGAGGTCCATAAAGTTATTTATGTTCATAAATAATTGTGATTAATTATAATGAAAAAATAGAGAAAACCTAAATGTATTTCAATGGAGGAAGGGTTAAATTAATTATGGAACATTTATATTGCCATATTGTGAAATTTTGTGAAATTATTAAAAAGAATGGGTTAAAAATGTAAAATGGTACAATTGCTTTGGAAAACACTTGGCAGTTCCTCAAAAAGTTAAACAAAGAGTTACCATATGACTCAGCAGAATATACCCAAGAGTACTGAAAACATATGCCAGCATAGAAACTTGTGCATGAATATTCACACAGCATTATTCATAATAGCCAACAAATAGAAACAACCCAAATGTCCATCAGTTGATGAATGAATAAGCAAAATGTTGTATATTCATAAAAAGAAATATTATTTAGCCATAAGAATAAGTATTGATGTATGCTACAGTGAGGATCAACCTTGAAAATATTAAACTAAGTGAAAGAAACCAGGCACAAAAGGCCACATATTGTATGATTCTATTTATTTGAAATGTCTGGAAGAGGCAAATCCATAGAGACAAAACACAGATTGATAGCTTCCAGGGACTGGGGAGAGGAAGAGAATGAGGAGTGACTGCTAATTGGTATAGGGTTTCTTTTGATGATCATTAAAATATTCTGGAATTAGATAGTGGTAATGGTTGCACAACTTTGTAAATAATATACTAAAAACTAATGAACTATACACTTTAAAAGGGCAAATTTTATGGTATTTGAATTATATAATATCTCAGTAAAAAAGAATGAATTAGATTTAGTTGTCTGAAATTGAGAGATGTCTCTGGTCCATTGTAGGGTTAAGGAACAAGTTGTGGAACAGTATACAGCCTATTCTTACAACATAACAAAACAAACTATATCAGTCATGGTCCAACCAGAAAAATAGAAAGCCCTTTAAATATTTAAAACAGAGGAAATTGAATTCAGGGAATTGATTGAAAAGGTAAAAGGTACCCTACAAACTTAAGAGATAATATTATCAGAGCCCAGATGCTGAGGCCACTTATTGTGAGCAGGAACCACAGAGGGTCTTTCCAATGGGAGCTGAAGCCATAGAAAAATTGCAGCTACCACCAGAGATGCCACAACAACCAGGGTGACGGGGAGAAAGGCTTTTGGCTTCTCTCTTCCTCCCACCCTCCAGTCTTACCCTATCACCTTGCCCCTGCCTCCCCGCCACACACACACACACACACACACACACATTGTTCATATCTACTTGGAAGCCAGAGGGAAAGAGAACCTGAGAAACAGTTCCCAGAATAGAGAAAATGTGGACCAAAGCATGGATATAAAAACAAACAGGCAGTTTCCCTACATGATCAACCCCTTTTGCAACCTGGCATTTATTCTTATTTGCCTAGCGAGGCATTTGTCATACAAATCAAACTGTTCTCACTCTCTCCCAACAAGGGGAGACCCAAGGTCCCACTGGTTGTCATATCCATTTCAAGTGCATGATTTCCAACTGAAATTATCCTTCCCAAAGGTCTGGATGCTGCTTCTCCTAGTCTAGATGCCTATTGACTTAGTTGAAAAGTTAAATATCACCAACAATCATCATTTTAAAAAAAGGGAAAAGGAAAGTAAAAGGAAATAATTGAATAATATAAACCTAACAAAAATATTTATAGCTGCTAGGGTCCTCATTTCTGTCATTGGTCATGAGACAACAGTTAATTTTTATAACTTCCTCTTTCTATCACCCATTCTCTGCCACCTTGCCCTTACTCAGCACACCACCTGGTTGGGGTCCTTGACCTGCTGGGGCAACTGAAAACACAATTCCTAAAGACTCTGAGTCTTTAGTGGCCATGCCTTTGTTGGATTGTTGTAGTCTTCTATTGATCTTTACTTGGAAGTAATAAGAGGCATCTCAGCATATCTTCTGGCTCCAATGATGGCCTCTTTACCTCCATTGTGTAGTAACAACCCAATTTCCCCCTTGTTAATTTAAATCGATTTCATTTTCTGTGTTTTGGTGCAGTGACATGAGGAAATCCAAATAGCTAGATGGCGGTTTCCCCTTCTACTTCCTGTCAAAGCAGTCCTCACCTGGAGACAACTCCAAGATTGCAGGAATAGGAAGCAAATCTCTAAGAATAGGTATAATAGTTAATGGGGTCGATTCTTATTCCTTGGTTCCCAGACTCATGTGTTCTGGCTACAGAAGAAAGAGCACCAACAGTTTGTTGCAGTTAAAAGCATATATTGCATTCTATAGCTTGGTACCAAACCTCACACTTTAACTGAGTCTGCAGTGAGCCATTCCATCAGGCCAGCTGCTTCTGGACAATTGAGGAATATGGTAAGGCTGGTAAATTCCATGAGTGTGAAGCCATTGCTGTACTTCCTTCAGTATAAAATGTATTACTTGCTCAGAATGTTATGTGAGATACCATGATGATAAATGAAGAACTCCTTAAGACAGTTCCCTAAGAACTCCATGGACAGTGGTGCTGACAGAAGAATGCAGAGCTCATTATACCAGGGAAGTTTTGGCATCCTGATGTAACTGAGTGTAGGCAGTTGAATCCAAGTTTCAGTCAACCAATCAAGAAAACTGCAGAAACTGTTTCCAGCTGCATGAGCTAGAACATTGTCTGGAATCTTGAGTAAGTGAATCCTTATTGATAAATTCAGCCTCGTCTCATGTTATTTTCTATTCTTGGACTCTCATCCTTACAATTTACTTGCACAGCTGTTCTCCAGGTTCCTGCTCATAAGAATTAGCATGATCTTACATTTCCTTTGGTGCATAAAATATTTTTTCCCAGAACGGATGTTGTTGTCCTCCCCTGAGAGTACAGTGGTGTCTAATTCTATTTATGCATCCAGAGCAATGAGAACTCACAGGAGTAGGTCTGGAGGAGAATAATATCCCATGGCAGGAAGCTGCCTGAGATATGATCATTACATTAGAGACTTTAAGTAAGGGAAGGCTAGCTTCCACAGACAGGAGAAGCTGGTCTGGCTCCACAGAAAGGGGGCCCAGAGGGATTTGTCAGTTCAAGCTTCTAAGCATTGGCAAACTACCCAAATGTCCTCTCAAGACTCGGGATCCCATGTCTTCTCAACTAATGGCCTAACATTAGCCTATGAGATGTGGCTAGATTTTGTGTTAGTTTACATTGTAACTTGCAACGTGCACAATCAGATTTTGGGCCAAATCTTCAGCTGTCCACTCAGTGGTTACTGGAAATAGATTATTTTAAGGATGCTAAAGAAACCCTTTGGTTCTGTAACTGTGCCTGAGCTGATAGTTTCTTTTCTGTAAGTGTTTGGCACCTTTAGAAGCAGGAGCCACCCAATAGCTTATACCTATTGAGTGAACGAGTTACAGTTGTTATTTAATGACAAAGACATGCTCTGAGAAATGCGTCCTTAGGTGTACTTTCACAGACTTAGGTGGTATGGCCAACTGCTCCGACCACCATGGTATATGAGGTCTGTTGTTGACGGAAACATTGTTATGTGGTGCATGACTGTATTTGATCTTCCAAAGCCCTGTCTTAACTGGCACATTATCCCAAGCAACATTTAGGTGACAATTTAAGTAAATGTGTTGCCACTGCCTGCCACATTTTACTTCCATTTGCAAGGATAATCACAATATTTATGCTCTACCAGGTGAGCAACCCAAACCAGAATTTGTCTCTTCCTCCACCTTCCCCTCTTCCTCCCTCCTCTCTCCTCCTCCTCCTCCTTCTTCCTCCTCCTCCTCCTCTTCTCTTTCTTCCTCTTCCTCCTCTTCTTTCAATAGTTTTTGGGGGAACAGGTGGTGTTTGGTTACATGGATAAGTTCTTTAGGTGTGATTTCTGAGACTTTGGTGCACCCATCACTCAAGCAGTGTACGCTGCACCCTGTGTATTATTTTATGCTTCACCCCCTCCCACCCTTCCTCCCAAGTCTCCAGAGTCCATTATATCATTCTTATGCCTTTGCATCCTCATAGCTTATGAGAATATACGATGTTTGGTTTTCCATTCCTCAGTTACTGCACTTAGGATAATGGTCTCCAACTCCATCCAGGTTGATGTGGATGCCATTATTTCATTTCTTTTTATGTCTGAGTAGTATCCCACAGTGTGTGTGTGTGTGTGTGTGTGTGTGTGTGTGTGTGTGTGTGTGTATGATATATATCACGTTTTCTTTATCCACTCGTTGTTTGATGAGCATTTGGGCTGGTTCCCTATTTTTGCAATTGTGAATTGTGCTGCTATAAGCATGCATGTACAAGTGTTTTTTTCATATAATGACTTATTTTCCTCTGGATAGATACCCAGTAGTGTGATTGCTGGATCAAATGGTATAAATAGTTCTACTTTTAGTTCTTTAAGGAATCTCCATACTATTTTCCATTGTGGTTGTACTGGTTTACATTCCCACCAGCAGTGTAAGAATGTTCCCTTTTCACCACATCCACATCAACATCTACTTTTTTTTTAATTTTTAAATTATGGCCATTCTTGCAGGAGTAAGGTGGTGTCACATTGTAGTTTTGATTTGCATTTCCCTGATAATTAGTGATGTTGACTATTTTTTCATATGTTTGCTAGGCCATTTATATATCTTCTTTTGAAAGTTGTTTATTCATGTCCTTAGCCCACTTTTTGATGGGATTATTTGTTTTTTTTCTTGCTGATTTGTTTGAGTTCCTTGTAGATTCTGGACATTAGTCCTTTGTTGGATGTATAGATTGCAAAGATTTTCTCCCACTTCCTGGGTTGCCTGTTTACTCTGCTGATTATTTCTTTTGCTGTGTAGAAGCTTTTTGGTTAAATTAAGTCCCATCTATTTACCTTTGTTTTTGTTGCATTTGCTTTTGGGTTCTTAGTCATGAACTCTTTGCCTAGGCCAATGTCTACAAGAGTTTTTCCAATGCTATCTTCTATAATAGAATTTTTATGGTTTCAGGTCTTAGATTTCTAAGTCTTTGATCCATCTTGAGTTGATTTTTGTATAAGGTGAGAGATGAGGATCCAGTTTCATTCTTTTACATGTGGTGTGCCAATTATCCCAGCACCATTTGTTGAATGGGGTGTCCTTTCCCCACTTTATGTTTTTGTTTGCTTTGGTCAGAGATCAGTTGGCTGTATTTGGCTTTATTTCTGGGTTCTGTATTCTGTTCCATTGGTCTATGTGCATGTTTTTATACCAGTTCCACGCTGTTTTGCCAACTATAGGCTTGTAATATAGTTTGAGGGTAGGTAATGTGATGTCTCCAGATTTGCTCTTTTTGCTTAGTCTTGCTTCAGCTATGCAGGCTCTTTTTTGTTCCATATAAATTTTAGAATTTTTTTTTAGTTCTGTGAAAAATTATGGTGATATTTTGATGAGAATTGCATTACATTTATAGATTGCTTTTGACAGTATGGTCATTTTCACAATATTGATTCTACCCATCCGTGAGCATAAGATGTGTTTCCATTTGTTTGTGTCATCTATGATTTCTTTCAGCAGTGTTTCGTAGATTTGCTTGTAAGAATTTTTCACTTCTTTGGTTAGGTATGTTCCTAATATTTTATTTTATTTTTTTGCAGCTGTTGTAAAAGAGATTGAGTTCTTGATTTGATTCTCAGCCTGATTGCTGTTGGTGTATAGCAGTACTACTGATTTGTGTATATTGATTTTGTATCCTGAAACTTTACTGAAGAATTTGTTTCTTAGTTGAGAATCTGGTTCTTAAAACTTGTGCAAGAACTATATCATCCAGCAAAATAGAAACTTTTCTGGTGTTTAAAACAAAATGAATCTGCAACAAGGTGAATACATTTAACACTACTGAATTGTACACTTAGAAATGGTGAAGATGGTAAATTTTATGTGATGTGTTTTTTAACCACAATTTAGAAAAACAGTGTGAGTCTAGTATAGAGAATTGGTTTCATTCATGAGTAGGAAGTGAAAGAAGCAAATAGGAGAGAAACCATCCAGTGATCAGCAGGAAGCCACTCCTGCCCCTCTGCTGGAGGGACAGAGGGAGGGGATCATGTTTCTGGACCTTCAAATCAAGGTCATCCTCTGGGAGATGGAACCTGGTGGGCCTGTCCTATGGGTTCTGAAGCTGAGGAGGAGGTGCCAGAGAAAGCAGAGAGAGGCTCTTCCTCCCTCCTACCCTCCAATCTTGTGTCAGTGCCTTCCATTGGCAGAGGTGGCCAAGAGCCCATACAAAAGCAGAGCAGGAGAAGGGCAACCAGTTACTTGACGTGTGTGTTAATCTCTTTGTAGAGAGATGTAAATGCACAGAAATAGTCTCCAACAGCAAACTGATAAAAAATAATACACATCATATTCACTAACAATAGTATATTACTAGCCACTGCAGAGACAACCTATAGTCCCTGCCCACAAGAAAATTATCATTTGGGTTCGGGGTTGAAGGAGGAAACGGAGTTATGAAAAAATATAATACAAATAGGTTTTTGAGGTATATACAATATTGAAAGAGCACAGTGAAGAGAACTGTGTTTTCTTGGGGGCCAGGGGTCATCAATGAACACATCATGGAGTGAGTAAAGTCTGACTGGGCTTTAAGGCCTGAGTAAGAAGTTTCCAGGCAGAAAAGGGGAGGAGATATATTCCAGGCAAAGGAATCATCGTGTGCAACTAAACAGTTGTATAAAGATTGATTTGAGTTATTATTGACTAGTTATTCTAAGTATGAGGTTCTATCTGTGATTAAATACATTGTATTAATTTGATCAGATTTCTTTTTTTATTTTGGAATTATCTTTTGTTCTCAAGTCTCAGACATTTTCAGAGGTCCTTAAAAATCCAGTGGACTGTAGCACTAAGCCTGTGGTGTCTAATGTTTAAAACAATCCTAACTGGCCCCAAAGAGAGGAAGCTATAACCATGTCAACAGGCTGTTCCATTCTTCTGTGCCAGGACATGTGAGAGCTCAGTACCTAAGAGGGCATACAAAAGGCCATCTTCCTGCCTCTGCTGATCTCCCACAGACTCCTCTGTAGCACATCTCAGGCCCTTTTCAGGTGGCACACATAGAGCAGAAGCCTCAGGAACTATGCCTTTTTATTTTGGAAGAGAGGATGGTCAGCAACCAAAAATGACAGCTAAGCAGTAAACTGATCCCATGAGTGACCCCTTCACTTCTCCACCTGCACATTGGAAAGCTCCAGGCAACTGCTGGTGATATCAAGGGTAAAGTGGGGAGTAAAGTGTCCTAGCCCTTCCATTCACAAGTTAACACATGCACACACTCCCAAATAATGTTTTATCCAATCTGTGTGTTATGGACTGAATCATGTCACCTCCAAATTTATATGTTGAAGTCTTAACCTATAATGTGACTACATTTGAAGATAGGGCCTATAAGGAAGTAATAAAGGTTAAGTCATAATGGTGGGTCCTTAATGTGATAAACTGGTTCCTTACAAGAAGGGGAAGAGACACCAGATCTCTAAACCTCTTCCCCATACCAGCATAAAGAAGACACCATATGAGGGCACAGTGAGAAGGTGGCTGACTACAAGCCAAGAAGCAAGCCCTTGCCAGAAATCAACCCTGCCAGCAGCACTGCCCAGTCAGTGGTGGTTGTTATGGCAGCCTGAGCTGACTAATACACTGTTCTTTAGATTTAAATGATGTATTCCAAATTACATATAAAGTCCAAAGGGTGTTAGGAAATTGGAAGTTGGGTTTGTAAGCCTTGCAACCTATTATAGTCTCTCTAGTTTCCAGGGATGATCATGAGACAGAAAATATAAAAAATAAAACAAAACAAAAAAGACAAATAATTGTAAATGAAAATCACAAAACTCATAGGAATCAAATGCTAAAAAAAGAGTACAGTGAACAATTAGGAAAAAATTCACTTAAAAATTAATTTTATAAAACAATCTTACAAAGTATTTATAATAATGCTTAAAATATTCAAAGAGCTAAATTTAAAAATAATCCATAATAAAACATAAAACTTTGAAACAGCAACAACAAAGGAGAAATGAAACAATAAGTGAATATGAGAAAAGATTAAATTAGAATATTGGAAATAAAAAAATGTGATAATTGAAAATTTAAAAACCCAACAGATAAGATAAAACTTTAGGCTGGTCACAGTCAAAGATGAAATTAATGGATTTGAATGTAGTATTGAAGAATTCATCAGGATGCAACATAGAGATTGAAGAGAATCTTTTTACAAACGTGAAAGCACATTTGGGGGACAAAATAGATAAATAAGAAACCGTAACAGATATCTAAATAGGGTTTCCAGAAGAAGAAGGGAATAACGAAGAGCAATCTTTGAAAATATAATAGCTGAGGATATTCCTGAATTGAAGAAAAACATGGTTTCGATTGAAAGTGCACCTGAGAAACAAATAGGATAAATAAAAGTAAGCCAACACTGAGACACATTATGGTGAAACTAAAAAATACCAAGGATAAAGCCAAAAATGCACTTACAAGTGATCAGAAAAAAAAGACACTTTATCTACAAAGAGAAACCAGTAAGACTGACAGCAGACTTCTCATCAGCAACAATATATGCCAGAAGACAGTAGATTAATTTCCTGAAAGCACGGGGAGGAATTAATAGTCAACATAATATTTTGCAGTCATTTAAACTATTATTCAAGAGTGAGCGAAAAATAATAAAATTGTTAGAGATGCCACATCTAAAAGACTTTACCATTCTCAGAAATAAATCATTACTTTTCTTTTTTGAGACATGATCTCACTGTCATTCAGGCTAGAGTGCAGTGGCATGATCTATAGCTCACTGTAGCCTTGATCTCCCAGGCTCAAGTGATCCTCCCCTCTCAGCCTCCCCAGTAGCTGGGACTATAGGCACGTACTACCAGGCCTAGCTAATTTTTTTGATTTTTTAGTAGAGATGAGGTCTTGCTATATTGCCCAGGCTGGTCTTGAACTCCTGAGCTCAAGCAATCCTACCTCCTCAGCTTCCCAAAGTGCTGAGATTACAGGCATGAGCCAATGTACCCTGCTTAAAAAAAAATCTTCTTTAGGATGAAAGCAAGCCCAGAGAAAAGGCTGAATTACAGTAAACAATTTTGTGCATACAAATAAATAAGTCTATTTTAGAAAATTGTTTTTTAAAACAAATTTTTATTTTTTTATTTCAATAAGTTTTTGGGGGAACAGGTGGTATTTGGTTACATTAATAAGTTATTTAGTGGTGATTTCTGAGATGTTGGTGCACCCATCACCCAAGCAGTGTACACAGTACCCAATGTGTAGTCTTTTATCCCTTGCCAACCCCCACCCTTTCCCCCGAGTCTCCAAAGTCCAAAGTATATGTATCATTCTTTGCCTTTGTGTCTCATAGCTTAGCTCCCACACATGAGTAAGAACATACAATGTTTGGTTTTCCATTCCTGAGTTATTTCACCTAGAATAATAGTCTCCAGTTCCATCCAAGTTGCTGTGAATGTCATTATTTCATTCCTTTTTATGGCTGAGTAGTATTCCATGGTAATATATATACCACATTTTCTTTATCCACTGGGCATTTGGGCTGGTTCCATAGTTTTGCAATTGCAAATTTGTATGTGCACAATTGTTTCTTGTAGCTATTTATTTATTTTTATGCACACAATTTATTACCACTGGGACGGTTCTTTCATAAAAAGATGGTTCTTTCTTTAAAAAAGTTGGTAAATTTAACAGTTTGTTTAAAAATAATTAAAATTTTTTGTGTGTGTTGAAAATTTGAGGGTTAAAAAAGGATAAATAACCAGATGGGGAAAGGGGGTGGTCATTGTTTAGTTAAAATGTGCTAAGTCCTTTTCATGTTCTAGAGGAGGATAGAAATAATGAACAAATTTAGACTTTGTGAGAAAGTTTATGGCTAAATGTTTATGTGAAAAATTTAAAGATAACTGCCAAAGAAGATAAACAGTTTATAGATGGCAAGCCAGCAGAGGCAGGGAAAGCAGAAATATAGAAAAATGTTATCAATCCAACAGAAGGCAGTAAAAGGGATAGGAAATAAAGATAAAGGATGGTAAGCAGAAACACAAAATGTAGTGGCAAAAATAACTCCAACTCTATCAGTGACCAGAATAAATGTAAGGAGATTAAATTCGCCTATTAAAAGATAGATTATCTGATTGGATTTTTAAAAGAGAAAGACAAGTTATATGCTGCACACAAAAGCTGCACTTAAAGACTGAAAAGAAAGCATGGGAAAAGATATGGCAGGCAGAAACTATGCAGAAGAAAGCTGGGATTTCAAACTAACTTGAATTTAAGGTGGAAAGCAGATGATTCTAAAATCTCAGATTTTCTCTTTCATTTTTCTTGAGGATTCCACAATGATCTACTGCATATCTATTCAGGGTCTCACAGTTATCTCCAACTCAGTTTTGCAAAACTGACATCATTTTCCTTTCTAGGCTGTCTCTGAAGCAGTTACTGGCCCTACTCTTCACACAGCTGCCCAGTTACCTTTGGTCCCCAAGCCTGTCACTTTTCTCATTTGGTCTTGCATTGAGTATTAGGGCAACCAAAACATAGACTGTATTTCTCACCAGGGCCCAGAGGCTTCCTGGAAAAGGCATGAACACTTACCTTTGAGGAGAGTGCCCCACGGGAGTGCCAAGAGCAGAGGCAGGCTCCCTGCAGGCGGATGCAGTCAGCAGCAAAGAAATTGGGACTGAACTTTCCTGTCAAAATTGGGTCCTGTCACCCCTGTCTTCTTTCTCTGATCCAGCTCTACCCAAGAAGGAGCAGAGTGGAGCAGCAATGCTGGCAACGCCAACAGCAGAAAAGAAAGCACTCTGCTGAGTGGTGAGAAGTGGCTTAAGGGGGACAGAGGCTGGGAGAACAGCGAGTGCTGTAAGGGTAGTGGGTGGGTGGTAGGGAGGGAAACTGCTGGATACAGACCCACCACTGTCAGTGTGTCAAATCCTAGCCCATCTGCATGCCTGCCTCAGAGAAGACAGGAAGGGGGAAGCGGGGGCAGGAAGTGTGGAAGCCTCAGAATATTTTGGCCCTGCTTGTATTTGACTATGTCAGTTCCAAAATGTTCACCTCAATCTGGCAGACGACAGTGCCTTTTACAGCAACACAAATCAAATATTCTATTGGGTCGATGCAGAGCAGTCATTAAGCGACCCACCTCGGGGAACTGGATGCATCATTGTCGTCAAACTGGTACTTTGCTGTCAAGCAGGCACACGTCCGACCGCTAAGGCATGGTTATTTCATGACCCAGACTCGACCACGGGGACAGTAGCTGCAGCGCCCTTGTAAACCCCAGCCTTCGTTCTGCATAGATCAGCACTCTGCCTTAATTGAATTACGTAAATATTTATTTTTTAAAATGCAACAATGAGGCAATTGCTTAAACAGAATACATGCATTTTTGGTGGCTCTTTCTCTTCTGTACTTAAGGGGTCAAAGGCAAGGCAACCCTCAAATAGTTTGCAATTCTGGGAGTGGCCAGAACATAGAAAATTGTCTGAAGAGCAAGAAGGAAGCCCCTCACTTTGACAGGCCTATGGGATTCCCCCAGGGGCTTAATTACTCTGCTGTCATGATCCTCTGTTGCTGGCCAGAGACTGAGGCATGGAAAGATGCTTGCACAGTTCGAACACACGCCTTCCCATCCTGGCCCTCGTTTGAAGGGGAAGCAGCTAGGGCCCTGGGCCCCAGGAAGACCAGAGGAGGTAATGGCCCCACCTCCTCCAAGCCCCCAGTGGTGGGCCACTGAGGCCTGCCCATCTGCCACACTGCCTTGGTTTTAATGAAAACTGTCCATGTGCTGCTACTCACTCCTAATTATCTGTGCTCTGGCCTGGCTGGCTGACATGTTTATTTTGTGGCTGCCAGACTGGTGGAGATGGTTCTTTCATAAAGAATCACACCGCTTTCAAGTTGAGTTTTCTTTCTGCCCATCATTTGTTTTTGCAAACATTTCAGGATTAATTGAACACTGTTCCCCCTTCCAACCAAAACACATGCTCGCCTTCCCTGCACAATATGGCGATCTTGGCATTTGATCATCTCTGCACACTTTCATTTCTGAGTCCCCAGTGCTGACAAAAGACCAGTCTCAAGTAACCCCAGGCCGCTGTATGGGAGAAAATTGAGTTTCATTTCAGATTAGCCTCTTCAGTTTCTGTCTCTGAAAAGCTCATTTTCTATAAATCTAAGTTTGGATATCTTCAGGCTCACCTTGAGCATGCAGCTGCATATCTTTTGCTCGTCTTTTTAATTATCACTATGGGTTTGGAAGTTTCTACAATATGTCATGTTTTGAGTAAGGGAAGAAGGAAGAAAGGAGTTAGCTCTGGGCAGACATTAGAAAGTGTCAAATAAAAATCGTTCTTCTCTAACATAATTTCACTATTAAGACGCCACGGAAAAAAAGTAGCTAGGGATTAAAATGACTGTCTCCTTCATTTCTACTGTTGCACACCTCATTTTGTAAAACAAAACAAAACCAAAAAACTTTCTATCAACCCCATTATCACCCACTCTCTCTTTTTAGTGTTGCTTAATCCCAGTTGCACAGAAGAAACACCTGGGTGTTTTAAAATGTACCAATGTGTGGTAGGCAGAATAATGGCCTTCCAAAGATGTTCCCATCCTGACCTCCAGGATCCGCTGCCTTCCAAGTGATTAAGTTAAGGATCTTAGGTGGGAAGACTATCCTGGATTATCCAGGTGGGCTCCAAAAGTAATCATAAGTGTTCTTAAAAATAGAAAAAGGAGGCAGAGGAAGAGAGTCAGAGTGAGATGTTACCATGGAAAAAAGGCACAGAGAGATGCAACTTTGTTGCCTTTGAAGATGGAAGAAGGAAGTCTTTGGAGGCTTGAAAGCGCAAAGAGGCCAGGCACAGTGGCTCATGCCTGTAATCCCAGCACTTTGGGAGACAGAGGTGGGAGGGTCACTTGAGGCCAGGAGTTCAAGACCAGCCTGGGCCACAGACTGAGACCCCATCTCTACAAAAAATAAAAACATTACTTGGGTGTGGTGGCATGCACCTGTAGTCACAGCTACTCGAGAGGCTGAGGTGGGAGGATGGGAGGATTGCTTAAGGGTAGGAGATTGAGGCTGCAGTGAGCCGTGATCATGTTACTACACTCCACCAGCTTGGGTGATGGAGTGAGACCGTGTCTAAAAAACAAAAAAGGCAAGGAAACAGATTCTTAGAGTCTCTGGAAGGGTCTGTAGCCCTCTGACACACTGAATTTAGCCCAGTGAGACCTGTGTTGAACTTGTGACCTATAGAATTAGAAGATAATAAAATTGCATTGTTCTAAGCCGCTAAGTTTGTGGTAATTCATTTGCAGCAACCATGGGAAACTGATATTGTGTACATTTTCTCTAGACTACCTAAACCCAAATTCTGTGAGGTGGAGCTGAGGCATTAATAAGGGTTCAAAGCTCTGCAGGTGATTCTCTTGTGCAGCAGGACTGGCACCGCTGGGTTGCACTGTTTCCAGGTCCTCACTCCTCCCTGCTCCTCAGCCCCTTACAATCTGCTGCTGGGCTCCCAAACGCCTCCGAAGCTCTTCTCACACACCAGTTGCCTCCTTGCTGACAAATCCCCTGGACACTTCTCCCTTCTTACTTTACTTAACACTGGACACTTGACCATTTCCCCATCCTGAAGCAGTCCCCTGTTTCAGCTTCCCAGACATCACACATCTACTGTTTCCTTTGCCTCTCCTGTCATCCTTGTGATTCTCTGGCTGCTGCCTTTCCTTGGACCAATCCTTAAGTGTCGATGCTGGGAAGGCTGCACGTTAGGGTCTGTTCTCTTTTCACTCTCTATACTCTTCCCAGGATGTTTCATCTATCCCTTTGGCTTCTATGTACTGATGGATACCTACCCTAAATCTTTTGCTCTGATCTTTCCTGCCCTTCACAGCTATATATTCAACCATCTATCTCAAGCCCACTATGTCTAATGCTGAACCCATTTTCTCTACCATAATTTCCTTCCCCTGTCTATGATGTTGTTATCCATGTGGCAACTCAAGCCAGAAACCTGGAAAGCATCCTGTCTCCTTCCACTCCCTTGCCTGTTCCTCACTCAAATCTGATGAATCACTTCTCTCCATCCATTCACTACCATCTTGGTTCAAGCTACCTTCATCTCTACCTGAATTATTGCAAGAGCCAAAGCCATCACTCAAAGACAAAAATGCCATGACTCTGTGTAAAATACTTTAACATCTCTCTCATTCCAAGGAATGAACTCCAGCTTTTCACTTGTCTTCAAGATATAGTGGCACTTTGCTCCTATTTTCATGTCCAGTGGCACCTTCTCCCATGCTGGCCTCTATCCTCACCCCACCCTCTCTCCAAACTCTATCTCCAGGCCATTATGGACCACCATACTTTAGTCATCTGAATTCACTATGCTTCCTCTTACCTCAGGCTTTGTACATACCAGTCTCTCTTCCTAAACATATTCTTGTCCCACTCTGGGACTAGCTAAGTCATCCCAGGCATTGATCGCAACCTAGCTGCTGCCATGGACTTTTGTCATTTTTTTAGCTGCTTAGCATCCATTCATCCTTCCTTCAGTATCCTGATTTCCTTCTGGAGAATTAACCCTTTTTTCCTTTGTGTCCCCTTGCTTGGATGGTAAATACATGTGTCAGGCCCCTGTTGCAGAAGCTAAAGGGTGTAAACTTATTTCTCTCATGGCCCTGGTACAAGGAGGTAGATGAGCTGCGACCTAAGCTGGTCAATTAGATGCTTTCTTCCAGGACTTTGAATCTTGCACAAATAGTGCAAGGATGAATGAAATTGAAATCCCTCCATATTAGTGGCAGGGCTCTGACCAGAGTGTTCTGGCTCAGAGATACTCCCTGGGTTCCTGCTTCCTAACCCTTCAAAGCTGCTTTTCTTTCTGCCCTTTATAAGCCTGTTTCCCAGATTTTCTGTTTGTACTCAGTATCCTTACATTAAATTCTTTTATATATAAGTTAGAAAAACTTGGTTTCTCTTAGCTCTTTAACTGTATTTTCTCTGGCTTCGTAGCCTGGATTAAAAGCCTCTCCTATGGGCTTATCCTTCTTATGGTAGTTACTTTTTTTTTATTTTTATATTTTACGGAGACAGAGTCTCACTGTGTCACCCAGGCTGGAGTGCAATGGCGCGGTCTCAGCTCACTGCAACCTCTGCCTCCTGGGTTCAAGCAATTCTCCTACCTCAGCCTCCCCAGTAGCTGGGACTAGAGGCACACGCTGCCATGCCTGGCTAATTTTTTGTATTTTAGTAGGGACGGGGTTTCACCATGTTGCCCAGGCTGGTCTCAAACTCCTGAGCTCAGGCAATCCACCTGCCTCAGCCTCCCAAAGTGCTAGTATTACAGGCGTGAGCCACCACACCCGGCCCTCGTGGTAGATATTACAGTGTATTAAAATGGCACTTTACTTCTCTTTCTCTCCTACTAGACATAAGCTTTTTGAGAGCACGGATAATACCTTGTGTATTATTGTATACCCAATGCCAAGGACTGTGGCTGAGATATAGTAAGCATTCAACAAGCCTTTGAGAACAGTGTGAATGCAGTTTCATCCTTTGATGTGAACAGAATAAATGTGGAAAAGGCTCATAGTCTATTGGTCCCAATGTTTCCAAACAAGCTATTGCCAATTTATTTAAATGATTGCCAAAAGTTTTCATTAAGGCTTCCTCTGCCTATGGGCAAAGCATGTAGACAATTGTGCAAAGTGTAAAAGCAAACCAAATCAAACCCAAACTGAAAATATCAAAATAGAAACTTCCAGGAAAATGAGTAGACATACTTCCCCCTATTCCATCCCCTAAATGCAGCAAGACTTCCTGGACAATATATATAAAACAAACATACGAAGATTCTGAAAGATGGAGAGAAGAAGGCAGACCAATGAGGGACCTCAGAATTCATGCAGTGATGTGGTGGTGAGTTCCCTGAGTTTTCTTTTTGCTTCATATGTCTCAGACTCAGAGCTGAAGAAGCTAGCAACCTGGAAACACTAATGTACACTAATGTATAGACAGAAAGAACTCCAGCAAAAACCTGTTCTGTCTAGGCAAAGGACCAAAAAAGGGATAGCCTAGCAATAGCTGCCCTATTCCAGTCAAACACCATAGAAAACTATGGCCCCATCCCCACCAACACTAGAGAAGGATGAGTGGGGAGCTTAGGATGTTGAGAGGTACCCAACTTTACTCCTGCTGGGGTGCTGTCAGAGAAGGCTGAGTGGGGAGCCAGGACTTTCATCCCCAATGGGTGGTAACGAGCACCTTCTTTTCTCCACATGGTATTAGTGGGAACCACCCAGGGAGCCTGGACTTTCACCTCCACATGGCAATAACAAGGTGTGTATTTCCCCTTCCAGCTGGGGAGGATTTGTGAAGGCCTACTGGGGATGCAGAACTCCCATCCCACCTAACAATAATGAGTAGCTCCCTTCTCCAACCAAATGGAGCCTGTTTTGAGAACATAGACTTAAATGCCCACTTGGAATTAATAAAGTGATGCCCTTGTGTACCCTGCCAGAGTGGTGTCAGAGCAAGCCAACTAAAACAAGGCTTAAATAAGATCCCAAACCACAGTACATATTGTCTAAACTATCTAGGTTTGTTTGTTTGTTTGTTTGAGACGGAGTTTTGCTCTTGTTACCCAGGCTAAAGTACAATGGTGTGATCTCGGCTCACTGCAACCTCCGCTGCCAGGTTCAAGCGATTCTCCTGCCTCAGTCTCCCAAGTAGCTGGGATTACAGGCATGCACCACCACTTGCGGCTAATTTTGTATTTTTAGTAGAGATGGGGTTTTTCCATGTTGGTCAGGCTGGTCTTGAACTCCTGACCTCAGGTGATCCACCCGCCTCAGCCTCCCAAAGTGCTGGGATTACAGGCGTGAGCCACTGCAACCAGCCAAAATATCTAGGTTTTAATAGAAAAAAATAGATTTTTTTAAAATAGAAATTTTATTGAATTTATTAAAAATAGATTTTTAATAGATTCATTATCACAAGAACCAGTGAGCTCTAAAATAAAGAAACACAATCATCAAGATGACACAGTTGTTAGAATTATATGACAAAGATTTTAAAGGAGATATCATAAAAATGCCTCAATGATCAATTACAAATGCACATGAAACAAATGAAAAAACAAAACATCTCATCAAAGAAATATAAAACCTCAGCAAAGAAAGAGAAGCTATAAAGAAGAACTAAATGGAAATTTTAGAAGTGAAAAATATAATAACCAAAATGAAAAGCTCAGTTGATAGACTAAACAACAAAATAAAGACGAGAGAGGAGAGAGTCAGTGAATTGACAATCATAGGAATATCCAATTTTTAAGAATTGTGCAAAATAGATATACATAGTTTCAAGGTATAAGTGATGATATAATGCACTCATAATTTGTAAAGATAAAATCAGTGCACTTAGGATATCCATCTCCTTAAGTATTTGTCTTTTCTTTATATTAGAACCATTTAAATTTTTCTCTTGTAGCTATTTTGAAATATACAATAGACTAGTGTAAACTATAGTCATCCTCTTTAGGACAGACCTAAAGAAGCAAAGTAAAGACTTTGCTTTAGAAACTGAACTAATAATTACCATCCAAAGAAGGTGTATTAGTCCATTCTCACACTGCTATAAAGAACTATCCGAGACTGGGTAACTTCTGAAGAAAGGTTTGATTGACTCACAGTTCTGCAGGCTGCATAGGAAGCATGGCTGAGAGGCCTCAGGAAACTTATAATCATGGAGGAAGATGAAGGGGAAGCAAGCACATCTTACTGTGGTGGAGCAGGAGAGAGAGAGCTAAGGGGGAAGGACCCCACACTTATAAATCATCAGATTTCATGAGAACTTACTCACTATCATGAGAACAGCAAGGGGGAAATCTGCCCCCATGATCCAATCACCTCTCACCAGATCCCTCCCCCAACACTGGGAATTACAAGATTTGGGTGAGGACACAGAGCCAAACCACATCAGAAGGTGAGACAGTATTTGCAGTCTGAACCTAACCAGATTGATGACCTGCTAAAATAACAACAGCAGCAGCAAAATCAACACGCTACAAATGATTTTAACTGAAATGAAAAGTCTACACAACAAAACCTCACATTGTCAGGATGCAATCCCGAATTACTCAATAATCAAAGAACCCAGAAATGTGACCAATTCTCAAGGGAAAAAACAGTCAACAAATGCCAACCCATGTAAACCAGACATTCGATTTATCAGACAAAGACTTTGAAGTATGAGTATGTTCTAATGAGGGAACATAAGCATACCTGAAATGAGAGGAAAGATAGACATCCTCAGCAGAGAAAGAGAAACTATAAAAAGAGCAAAGTTGGACATTTTTAAACTGAAAAATACAATCTCTGAAATTAAAAATGCACTGGATTGGCTCAGTAATAAAATGGAGAGGATAGAAAAGTCAGTTAGTGGGAAGCTAAATCTGCAGAAATTATCCAATGTAAATGACAGAGGAAAAAAATTGTTCTCTTCAGTTGATTAAAATGTGTATGACTATTGAGAGGAAAAACTATAACATTGTTCGGTGGGATTTTCAACATATGCATATATAATACATATGTATATAATACATATGACAACTATGACATAAAGGTCAGCGCTGGAGGCTAAAAGGATCTGTGTGGTTTTAAGACACCTACATTTTACTTGATGTAAAATATTAATTCAAAATAGAGTGTGACAAGTCAGGCAGGTATGTTGTAATTCCCAGAGAAACCACTAAAAAAATAAGAATTCAGAGATATATCCAAAATGCCAATAAATGAATTAAAGTGAAATTTAAACTAAAACATTTAAATTAAACTAAACTCAAATAACCCCAAAGAAGGAAGGAATGAAGAAAAAGGGAAGCAAAAACAGATGACCTACACAGAAAACAAATAATAAAATGAAGACCTAATCAACCATATCAAAAATTAAATAAAGTATAAATTTAAGCACACCGAGAAATTCACTGTAAGTATAAAGGCATAAACTAAGAAGATAGTAAAAGATGCATCAAACAATAATAGAAGGCTGGAGTGGCTATATTAATATTAGACAAAGCAGACTTGAAAACAGGGAATATTACCAGCAGTAAAGGGGGGCATTAAATAATGAAAAAGGTATATAAGGACATCTAACACTTCTAAATATATATTCAGGAATTGTTGTATTAATAGTTTGATAAAAAAACAAGTTGATTATATATATATATTTTTTTTGAGACAGAGTCTCACTCTCTTACCCAGGCTGGACTGCAATGGCATGAACTTGGCTCACGGCAACATCCGCCTCCCAGATCCAAGACACTCTCCTGCCTCAGTCTTCCAAATAGCTGGGACTACAGGCGCCCACTACCATGCCTGGCTAATTTTTGTATTTTTAGTAGAGACAGGGTTTCACCATGTTGGCTAGGCTGGTCTCGAACTCTTGACCTCAAGTGATCCACCTGCCTGGACCTCCCAAAGTGTGGGATTACAGGTGTGAGCCACTGAGCCCAGTCTGATTAGAATTTTTAGCAGCTTATCTTGGCAATGTAGGCAGAGTCTAAAAAGAATAAGTGTAGTCTTTACTGGAAATTTAAAAATAGTAATTATGGTATCCCGTCAGTTGTTTCCCAGTCTGTGAAACATCCCTTGGAATCGCATGTTTTTCCATCAAACAGGGTAGGAATCTTGAGCCAATGTAGCAAATAGTTTCTGACAGGCTGACCCCTCATTTCTCACCCTGACAGGTGTGAGTGTTTGACACTATAACTTTGACCTGGCATGAGTAATCATAAACGATCCTACATGCTAACAGCAATATTCTACTTATTGCCCTCAGTCCTAGTTTGCAGAATGCTTTCTGCCTACCAACTTACTGAAAGAGATGCTGCTGGAAACCAAAGCCATGGCCTTGGAGATTCTCTCACCTCCCAGCTTGCACGGCCCCCTCCTTCTTGACTGCAGGAGACCCCGATGGGTGTGTCTGGCCTGGCATGCCACTAGCAGGTGTTTCTTGATTGTTCTTCTTTCCTGGGGTGGAGAGTCATGACCTGATTCTCATTCTTTTTATATTTTCTCACAAGGTAAGGGAGAAATTATGGGCCAGCCTATCTACTGGCTTTTGACCCATTTGCCAACTGTTCTTCAAGTCACAGTATAGAATCTACAAAGGGAAGTCAGGAATCAAAAAGATGTTGGTGGATTGCTGCAATTAAATAAAACCATGAGGGAATTATAAGAAATAAACATCAAGTCCAGGTTTATGTTTATTCTTTTCGTATCTTTTTTTCTTCCACCCCAAAGATATTGCAGGTTTATGTTTAGAAGATCAATTTCATTAAAATCAGCATATAGGAGGCCACTGTAAGAAGCCCTGAGAAAATTGGTAGCAAGGTCACTAAGAGTGAAGCTAGCAAAAATCAACTTTAAATGGATGAGGACAAAGAGCACACACATAAACCTACGGACTATTCTCAGTCATGACGATCATTGCCACAACCCTCAATAAAATGTGTGCAAACAGATAGCATATTAAAAGATTAATATTACACGACCAAAGGAATTTATTCCATGAATGTAAGGGTGTTTCAATATTTGTATGTTTATTAATATATTTCACATTAATGGATTCAAATATTATAGAAAGATTTCCATCAATTTTTTGAGAAAATTCAACATCTGTTCTTGATTTTTAAAAAAAGTTTTAATAGAATAGAATTTAACAGATATTACTGTGTTATGCAAAACCCAGTATCATGCCTATCAGGAAAAGAGTAGAAGCATTCCTATTAAAATCAGGAACAAGGAAAGAACACAGCGTCACTAGTGTAATTTATCATGGCCTAGTGGAGTTTTTCAGCACAATTAGAGAAGAGAAAGAAATGGATGGTTCAAAAGTTGGGATATAGCACATAAAGTTATAATTATTAGCAGATTTATTTGCCTCAAAAAATCCAAGAGACAATAAATTGAAATGTTGTTATAATCAGGGAATGTGGCAAGGTAACTAAATAAAGGTAGTATATGGAAATCAATAGCCTTCATATATGCAAATTATAATCAATAAGAACAAGAGGCCCCCAAGGGCAAATACAAAATACGTGAAATACTTAAGGATAAACTTAAGAAATGTACAAGATTTATAGGATGAAAACTTTAAATATTAATGAGGGTCACAAAAGGACACTTGAACAAATAATATACTAAACTGATAGAAAATTATATCATTATAAAGATATTAATTCTCCTTAAGGTAAACTAAATGTATAACATACTGCCAATAAAATGCAACTGCAGTTCTTTTAGAACTAGACAAGCTAATTCTAAAACTTATATGGCCCTGATTTCTTAACAGATAAGGCTTTGGCCTCCTAAAATTTATATGGAAAAAATAAACAATCCAGGAAAGCTAGGTAAGTTATGAAAAAAAATGAGGGAACTGTTTCTACTAGATATAAAAACATAATATTCAAAACAACGTGACACTGAATGTTAAGTAGATAAATAAACTAGTGGAAAAAAATTAGGAATAGATCCTCAAGCATTGAGGAATTTATTTTGTGATTTTTCAAAGCAGAGGGTGAGCCGATTATATGTTGGCATTTACCCCCATTCCCAACCTTCCATGCTCCCCTCTGCCACAAATATGCTGGCTGGAAGCCAGAGCGCCACATTTCTGGATTTTCTTGTCAGCTGCCTATGGTAAGGTTCTGCAACTGAGGGCCACTCACTGGTTGGGATTGAGGAACAAGAGGTGAGAAGGAGCCATTTTTCTGCTTCTGGTGCCTCTTCTGGCCGCAGGAGGAACATCAGCAGCAGGTAACTTGGGCTCCACCAGCATTAGTAAGAATGGTGGTAGTTTGAGCAGCATCCTTAGAATGTAAGTTCTGGGGTTCCTGCTCAATGTCTACAGAAATGTTCCAAAAAAGCAATGGCCCTGCAGCCAGCAGCTCAGCAGTGAAAATAAACTGTTGGTTTCCAGCCCAGGAGCACTAGCAGCGTCATGATCACAGACTAATATCTCTTTCCCCTGTTGCTTCTTTAGCCCTTCCAATTCCTTGTCACAAATTGTTTGCATTAATTTATTCTCTGCTGGAAATATCTAGAGTACTTCCACATTTCCTAACAGGACACTAGCTGATCAAAGGAGAACATAGCAATTATTCAACAAATGATATTGGTGAAACTAGGTACAGTAACTCCTCACTTAACATTGTCTATAGCAGGGGTCCCCAACCCCTGCTATCAGTTTGTGGCCTGTTAGGAACCAGGCCGCACAGCCCGAGATGAGTGGCAGGTGAGCATTATGGCCTAAGCTCCACCTCCTGTCAGATCAGCTGCAGCATTAGATTCTCACAGGAGCATGAACCCTATTGTGAACTGCACATGTGAGGGATCTAGGTTGCACACTCCTTATGAGAATCTAATGCCTGATAATCTGAGGTGGAACAGTTTCATCTTTAAACCATCCCCTGCCACCCTGGCCCATGGAAAAATTGTCTTTCATGAAACTGGTCCCTGGTGCCAAGAAAATTTGGGGACTGCTTGTCTATAGGTAACTGGAAACTGGACACATAATGAAACTAATTTTACCATAGGCTAATTAGGAGAAACAAGAACTAAGTTCCTATGGCATATTTCTGGCACAAAAAAAAATCGCCAAACTTCTAAATAAATATCCCCAACAGTTCTAATCTTAAACATTGAAATAAGTATGAGCTATACAAACATTTGAGAAAGATTAATAAAAATCAGTAAATGACTAGTCAATTTGTGGTGAGTCAGTGAGTAATGGCAGGTGTAGTGGTGGTGGGTTAAATGAAGGAATAAATGTTTGCAAAGTGATAATTGTGAGGAGCCTCTCTTGCCCCTATGCAGTTCCAAAACAGTCATAAATGTGGTAGGTTTGCTGAGTGCTTTTGTACCTCATCGTTTATTGTTGTGCATTTGCATGATTATTGAATACTTTATGAATTTTTACTTTACAATTATTTGTATTCATTCATTCCTTTTCCAGCCGGCTTATTTCAGTTCAGGGTCATGGTGGCCAGAGTCTATCTTGGCATCTCAGGGCATAAGAGGTGAACCAACTTTGGGTAGGATGTCATCCCATCACAGGGCACACTCCCACGCACTCACTCTTGCTCACACTGGGACAATTTAGACACGCCAATAAACCTAAGGTGCATATCTTTGGGATGTGGGTAGAAACTAAAGTACCTGGAGAAAGCCCATGCAGATGTGGGGAGAAAGTGCAAACTCCACATAGAGAGTGGCTCTGGCTGGAAAGCAATTTATTTTTCTCATCAATGTTGTGAAGAAATGGTTAACTAAACAATGTTATTCAAGGATCTGCAGTCAACTTCTGGAACTAAAAAAAAGATTTGATTCCTTACCTCACAGCTTATACCAAAATATATTTTAGGTGAATCAAATATTTGAATATAGAAAAAAATACACCACAAAAATATAGAAGAAAACAGACCAGGCACAGCAGTTCATGCCTGTAATCCCAGGACTTTGGGAGGCCAAGAAGGAGGATCACTTGAGCCCGAGAGTTTGAAGCCACTCTGGGCAACACAGTGAGACCTGTCTCCACAAAAATTAAAAAATTAGCTGAGCGTGGTGGTATGCAACTGTAGTCCTAGCTTCTCAGGAGGCTGATGTGGGAGGATTGCTTCAGTCTCAGCTACTCAGGAGGCTGAAGTGGGAGGATTGCAGTGAGCCATGATCATGCCACTGCACTGCAGTCTGGGTGACAAAGCAAACCTTGTTCCCCCACCAAAACACACACACACACACACACACACACACACACGTATGTGTATATATATGAACACATAGCAGATTGTTAACCATATGCTCAGAGAGCTGAAGGTCTTTCTTTCTTTTTTTTTTTGAGATGGAGTTTTGCTCTTGTTGCCCAGGCTGGAGTGCAATGACACAATCTTGGCTCACTGCAACCTCTGCGTCCCAGGATCAAGCGATTCTCCTGCCTCTGTCTCCCCAGTAGCTGGGATTACAGGCATGCACCATCACATCTGGCTAATATTGTATTTTCAGTAGAGATGGGGTTTCGCCATGTTGGTCAGGCTGGGCTTGAACTCCTGACCTCAGGTGATCTGCCCACCTCGGCCTCCCAAAATGCTGGGATTACAGGTGTGAGCCACCGCACCTGGCCCTAAAGTTCTTTCTAAGATGCTCCAAATAGTAGAAACATTTGAAAATTTAATTTCATTAGAAAGTTGGCATGAAAAAAAAAATCCCACCACAGAGGAAGTTAACAGGCAAACAGGGAAAATATTTGCAATTCATATCCTCAGACAAACATCAAAACCCCAACAGAAAAATCAACAAAGGTAATGGACAGACAGTTTACAGAAAGGAAATATGAATGGTTTTCTTTTTCTAAAAAAAAAAAAATTAGAATTCATGAATGAAGCCATCTGGTCCTGAGCTTTTCTTTCTTGGGAAATTTTAAATTAATGATTCAATCTCCTTACTCATTATTGATCTGTTCAGATTTTCTATTTATTCATGATTCAGTCTTGGTAGGTTGTATGTATCTAGAAATTTATCTGCTTCTTCCAGGTTATCCAATTTGTTGTGATATCATTTTCCATACTACTCTCTCCTTTTAATTTCTGTGACAGCGCAAGGTCTCCTCTTTTGTTTCTGATTTCATTAACTTGAGTTGTCTCCCTCTTTTTCTTAATCTAGCTAAAGATTAGTCAATTTTGTTTATCTTGTAAGGTGTTGGATGTCTATTACCTTGATTGTGGTGATGAGATCATGGATGTTTGCATATGTTCTAACTCATCAAATTGTACACATTAAATATATGCAGTTTTTGTATACCAATTATACCTCAGTAAAGCTGTAAAAAAACTCACAATAAGGAAATTGCACATTAAAATCACAATAGATACCATTTCCACCTATCATATTGGCAAAGATAAAAACAAGTTTGATAACTCACTGTGGCCGTTTTAAAATATATCCACAAATTCTTGGATACTCCTTTCCTTTAAGAGGTAGAGCTTACTTTGCCTCCCTGTGAATATGGTTGGACTCAGCGACTCACTTCTGATGAATAAAACATAGCAGACACGGTGATTTGTGGCTTCTGAGGCTGTCATGAAAGGCGCAGCTATATCCTACTTGCTCTCTCTGTTGGATCACTCTCTCTGGGAAAGGCCAGTTGCTGTCAGGAGGACACTCCAGAAGGCCTGCAGAGAAGTCCACATTTTCAAGGAACTGAGGCTTTCTGCCAATAGTCATGTGAGTGAGACGTTTTGGAAGTGGATCCTCCCACCCTGGATGACTGCAGCATTGTCCAACCTCATAAGAGTCAGCGAGGCAGAACCACCCAACTAAGTTCCTTTAAATTCCTGACTCACAGAAACTGAGAGATGAGATAATATATGTTATTTTAAGCTATTTAGCATTGTGGTAATTTTTTTTTCTCTGTGGCCCAGGCTGGAGTACAGTGATCTCAGCTCACTGTCACCTCCACCTCCTGGGTTCAAGCAATCCTCCCCCTTCAGCCTCCCAAGTAGCTGGGACCACAGCACAAGCCACTACATCCAGCTGATTTTTTGTGTTTTTGTAGAGATGGGGGTTTCACCGTGTTGCCCAGGCTGGTCTCAAACTCCTGGGCTCAAGCGATCCGCCCACCTTGGCCTCCCAAAGTGCAGGGATTATAGGCAGAGCCAGTGTGCACAGCCTACTGTTACTTTTTACACAGCAATAGATAACTAATGAACTCTTTCTGTGGTGAGGTGTGTGGGAATAGGCACCCTCATAAATTGCTAGTAAAAATGTAAATCAGATCAACGCTATGGAGACATATTAGACAATATCTATTACAGTAAAAATGTAATTCCACATTTAGGAATTATTTAATTAATATTTCACCCCTGTGCAAGTGTATCATCCAAAAATATACTTGCACAGGTGTGAAATATTAATTAAACAATGTTATTTATTGTAGCAGTCTTTGTAATGACCAAGGACTGAAAACAATCTAAATGTGTATCATTACTAGGACTAGTTAAATAAAGATGGTACATCTATATGATGAAATTCTACGCAGCTATTACAGAGAATAATGTAATTCTAGAAACAAAAAACAAAACCATGTGCACAGTATACTACCATTATATTATGCAAAAGAAAAGAATGTGTGTAGATTATCTTTGGATAGATACACAAGAGACTGATGGTGGAAAAGATGGGATGCAGGAGTGGGAGATAACTTTTCACTGTATGTCTTTTTTTGATACTTTTTGAAACACAATTATTTTATTATGTGTGTATATTAACTATTCCAAAAATGAAAGTATTAGAAAACTAAAATAGATGAAAGGTCATTCATGTTAAGAGAGTGTTTATAATGTGTTGCTGAAATAAAAGCCTGGAAAGCATTCTCCTACAATCATGATAGCTAGGAGAATATCTTCACGCATGGAATATAACTTAAAGTTATGACCTAAGCCATTGTATTTCCTTCTGTCTAGAGGAAGAATAGATTTATAGGAGGTGGATGGTCTGCTTAGAGTCTAGATAAAGAGAAATCTAATAGGAAGGATTTGTTGGTGTTTACACAGACCATGAGAGAAAGGCAGTATTTAGCAGACGTAAGTACTTTAATATTAGGGCAGTATACTTTATGTGATTCAAGAACATTCTGTTTGTTTTTGTTTTTTGTTTAGGTTCTGTGCCCAGTAAACTTTTAATTACTAATTGTTTCCCTAGGTTTTTACAAGCTATCTGCTTAATATTAGACACAAGTATCAGTCACTGCAAAAATATAGATCTCATTAGAAATTTTTAAAAGGCATTTTCGTTTATACATCAATCTTTTTGGAGTTGGATTTGTGTGAATCAGGCCAAAGCACCAGAAGAGCAATGACTGCTCTAATATGATGGAGTTTCTAGACACATAAAACTGAGGAGGAGAATCCACTTAGATTCCATCTCCCTCTGAGGCCTAGTAGAGTAGCCAGCCAATCTCTCTAGGAGAGTTTACTCTCAACTTCTAAAATGCAATAAGCATAATAGAGCAAAAAGAAGAGCAGGCTGAATAGCAGTTCATCTGAAAAATCCCCATGTGGTTTGATGTGATCCAGCTAAGAAGGCTGATGAAAGCTCAGGACTCATCATTACATAGGGACCACATAATTGAAAATCATCACCTCCCCGGGTTCTTTTTCCATTTGGAAAATCTTTGACCTTTATAATTTGAGAGGGGTGTGACCTAAGATCCTGACAAATTTCCAGATTTTCTGGCACCATTATAGGATATCATTGGCACTATGAAATACATGCATAATAAAAGTCAAATTAAGATTTGGATATGGGGAAGTCAGCTAGGCTCACTCACTAGCTGGATGATTTAAATGACTTAACTGTTACACTAACCTGGTAGCATCAGTTCCATTTTGTTTTGTTTGTTTGTTCCATAACCATAAATGACTACATTGGATAGGCCTTTAGAGTCACTCACAAATAACTGAAACTGCAAATGTTAACTTGGTGATTGTCAAAAGCCAACTCTACTGACCCTAGCTCTAGGCACCTCACTTAAAGGAATCATTAACTAACTTGAGAGGTTGAGCAGGTGAATATTTGTGTTTACCTATACATTATCCATCCATTCACTTACTCATTTGTTTAACTTATATTTATTGAACATCTCTTTGCCAAGAGCTATAGTACATTTTTGGTAATCTGCTACTAGAAACAGTAGAGGGAACTTCAGATGCACCGCCAAAAAGAAGATTTAAAGGGGACATGACAGCTGTTTTCGATCATGTGAAGAGGGAGAAGGCTTATCTGTGTTTTTCCAGAGGGCACAATTAGGGAAAGTGAGTAGTGATAAGAGGAGTCAGACTTGGGCATAAATTACAGAAGAATCTTTGCTTTTGTGAGCTGACCAACAATGGAATCCACTGCATTGCAAAACCGTCTTCTGGCAGGTCAAGAAAACTGCCAAAGCACAGATAAGGAAGATGGGGCCCAGAAAGATTTAGTGACCTGGACAAGGGCACATGGCCAGTGAATGGAGGGCCTGGCTTGGAACCCAGAGTGCAAGGCAGTCTGGGTCATTCAACCCTTGGCCAGTAATGATTTTAACGTTTGCTTTTTCAACCACAAAGCTTCATGATGGATTGTAATTTTGATGAAGTACATGCTCCAAGGCGAATGTGTGGGAGTGAGTCTCTGAGCTAGCAAGTAAATACCCACATCTCAAACAGACTTTGAAGTTCCATGCGTGTGGAATACACAACAATTCTTGTGATGTATAATAATTTCCTTTTGCTTCATTATGAAAAGCAGTTAATGCTTATGGTGATGAACAAAAAGTAAAGAAAACTAAGAAAGTGAAGGTTCCTATCAGAAATATGAAGGTTTGCATTAATTAGAGTGGCATGTTAAATTTGATGATGATAAGCATCTGTGATGTGCAATTGTTTCATTGAATGTTCCATAGTTTTGGCTGTCTGCCACAGGAACATTTGAAATGTTCAAGGAAATGATCAAGAAGAACAACTATTCTGTACTCATTCCATTGTTTTCCATAAGTTCCCTTGTTCTTTTGCTCTAAATAATTTGAATACTAGTTGTGGGGAAAAAGAAAAGATCCCTAATCAATTCTTACGAAGTGTGGGGAGGTATTGCACACAGGCGTCTCATGATATGTGGCTTCTCTGCAGGTCCACACAGCCTGTGAAAGTCCCTGGCTCCTCTGACTTGTCAGATGTTCCGGGTTGGTGTGACTCCAAATACAGTCTCAAGGACAGACACCAAGTCCGAGATGTTTCTGCCTTTCCCTTTAAGAAATAGGCCTATTCTTGTCAGCTCTAGGCCTGAAGGCATTGTTTCAGAGTCAATCACTTTAAACATTTCCCCCAGGACAGCAGAGGCAATTCAAGCTTAAATAGTGAAGCCATAGCAGGACTTTTCTGGAACTTCCCAGCCCTTCATGTTTCCCTAACATAGTATTCTCAGAGAGCAGGCTGCAGATCACCACCAGCAGCAGCAGCATTAGGGAACTTGTTAGAAATGCAAATTTTCTTTTTTTTTTTTAATTTTTTCTTTTCTTTTTATTTTATTATTATTATACTTTAAGTTTTAGGGTACATGTGCACAACATGCAGGTTTGTTACATATGTATACATGTGCCATGTTGGTGTGCTGCACCCATTAACTCATCATTTAGCATTAGGTATATCTCCTAATGCTATCCCTCCCCCCTTACCCCACCCCACAACAGTCCCCGGTGTGTGATGTTCCCCTTCCTGTGTCCATGTGTTCTCATTGTTCAATTCCCACCTATGAGTGAGAACATGCGGTGTTTGGTTTTTTTGTTCTTGTGATAGTTTGCTGAGAATGATGGTTTCCAGCTTCATCCATGTCCCTACAAAGGACATGAACTCATGCTTTTTATGGCTGCATAGTATTCCATGGTGTATATGTGCCACATTTTCTTAATCCAGTCTATCATTGTTGGACATTTGGGTTGGTTCCAAGTCTTTGCTATTGTGAATAGTGCCGCAATAAACATACGTGTGCATGTGTCTTTATAGCAGCATGATTTATAATCCTTTGGGTATATACCCAGTAATGGGATGGCTGGGTCAAATGGTATTTCTAGTTCTAGATCGCTGAGGAATCGCCACACCGACTTCCACAATGGTTGAACTAGTTTACAGTCCCACCAACAGTGTAAAAGTGTTTCTATTTCTCCACATCCTCTCCAGCACCTGTTGTTTCCTGACTTTTTAATGATCACCATTCTAACTGGTGTGAGATGGTATCTCATTGTGGTTTTGATTTGCATTTCTCTGATGGTCAGTGATGGTGAGCATTTTTTCATGTGTTTTTTGGCTGCATAAATGTCTTCTTTTGAGAAGTGTCTGTTCATATCCTTCGCCCACTTTTTGATGGGGTTGTTTGTTTTTTTTCTTGTAAATTTGTTTGAGTTCATTGTAGATTCTGAATATTAGCCCTTTGTCAGATGAGTAGGTTGCAAAAATTTTCTCATATTCTGTAGGTTGCCTGTTTACTCTGATGGTGGTTTCTTTTGCTGTGCAGAAGCTCTCTACTTTAATTAGATCCCATTTGTCAATTTTGGCTTTTGTTGCCATTGCTTTTGGTGTTTTAGACATGAAGTCCTTGCCCATGCCTATGTCCTGACTGGTATTGCCTATATTTTCTTCTAGGATTTCTATGGTTTTAGGTCTAACTTTTAAGTCTTTAATCCATCTTGAATTAATTTTTGTATAAGGTATAAGGAAGGGATCCAGTTTCAGCTTTCTACATATGGCTAGCCAGTTTTCCCAGCACCATTTATTAAATAGGGAATCCTTTCCCCATTTCTTGTTTTTGTCAGGTTTGTCAAAGATCAGATAGTTGTAGATATGTGGCATTATTTCTGAGAGCTCTGTTCTGTTCCATTGGTCTATATCTCTGTTTTGGTACCAGTACCATGCTGTTTTGGTGACTGTAGCCTTGTAGTATAGTTTGAAGTCAGGTAGCGTGATGCCTCCAGCTTTGTTCTTTTGGCTTAGGATTGACTTGGCAATGTGGGCTCTTTTTTTGGTTCCATATGAACTTTAAAGTAGTTTTTTCCAATTCTATGAAGAAAGTCATTGGTAGTTTGATGGGGATGGCATTGAATCTATCAATTACCTTGGGCAGTATGGCCATTTTCATGATATTGATTCTTCCTACCCATGAGCATGGAATGTTCTTCCATTTGTTTGTGTCCTCTTTTATTTCATTGAGCAGTGGTTTGTAGTTCTCCTTGAAGAGGTCCTTCACATCCCTTGTAAGTTGGATTCCTAGGTATTTTATTCTCTTTGAAGCAATTGTGAATGGGAATTCACTCATGATTTGGCTCGCTGTCTTTTATTGGTGTATAAGAATGCTTGTGATTTTTGTACATTGATTTTGTATCCTGAGACTTTGCTGAAGTTGCTTATCAGCTTAAGGAGATTTTGGGCTGAGACAATGGGGTTTTCTAGATATACAATCATGTTGTCTGCCAACAGGGACAATTTGACTTCCTCTTTTCCTAATTGAATGCCCTTTATTTCCTTCTCCTGCCTGATTGCCCTGGTCAGAACTTCCAACACTATGTTGAATAGGAGTAGTGAGAGAGGGAATCCGTGTCTTGTGCCAGTTTTCAAAGGGAATGCTTCCAGTTTTTGTCCATTCAGTATGATATTGGCTGTGGGTTTGTCATAGATAGCTCTTATTATTTTGAGATATGTCCCATCAATACCTAATTTATTGAGAGTTTTTAGCATGAAGGGTTGTTGAATTTTGTCAAAGGCCTTTTCTGCATCTGTTGAGATAATCATGTGGTTTTTGTCTTTGGTTCTGTTTATATGCTGGATTATGTTTATTGATTTTTGTATGTTGAACCAGCCTTGCATCCCAGGGATGAAGCCCAGTTGATCATGGTGGATAAGCTTTTTGATGTGTTGCTGGATTTGGTTTGCCAGTATTTTATTGAGGATTTTTGCATCGATGTTCATCAAGGATATTGGTCTAAAATTCTCTTTTTTGGTTGTGTCTTTGCCAGGCTTTGGTATCAGGATGATGCTGGCCTCATAAAATGAATTAGGGAGGATTCCCTCTTTTTCTATTGATTGGAATAGTTTCAGGAGGAATGGTACCAGCTCCTCCTTGTACCTCTGGTAGAATTCGGCTATGAATCCATCTGGTCCTGGACTTTTTTTGGTTGGTAAGCTATTAATTATTGCCTCAATTTCAGATCCTGTTATTGGTCTATTCAGAGATTCAACTTCTTCCTGGTTTAGTCTTGGGAGAGTGTATGTGTCCAGGAATTTATCCATTTCTTCTAGATTTTCTAGTTTATTTGTGTAGAGGTGTTTATAGTATTCTCTGATGGTAGTTTGTATTTCTGTGGGATCGGTGGTGATATCCCCTTTGTCATTTTTTATTGCGTCTATTTGATTCTTCTCTCTTTTTTATTAGTCTTGCTAGCAGTCTATCAATTTTGTTGATCTTTTCAAAAAACCAGCTCCTGGATTCATGGATTTTTTGAAGGGTTTTTTGTGTCTCTATTTCCTTCAGTTCTGCTCTGACCTTAGTTATTTCTTGCCTTCTGCTAGCTTTTGAAAGTGTTTGCTCTTGCTTCTCTAGTTCTTTTAATTGTGATGTTAGGATGTCAATTTTAGATCTTTCCTGCTTTCTCTTGTGGGCATTTGTGCTATAAATTTCCCTCTACATACTGCTTTGAATGTGTCCCAGCGATTCTGGTATGTTGTGTCTTTGTTCTTGTTGGTTTCAAAGAACATCTTTGTTTCTGCCTTCATTTTGTTATGTACCCAGTAGTCATTCAGGAGCAGGTTGTTCAGTTTCCATGTAGTTGAGCGGTTTTGAGTGAGTTTCTTAATCCTGAGTTCTAGTTTGATTGCACTGTGGTCTGAGAGATAGTTTGTTATAATTTCTGTTCTTTTACATTTGCTGAGGAGAGCTTTCCTTCCAAGTATGTGGTCAATTTTGGAATAGGTGTGGTGTGGTGCTGAAAAGAATGTATATTCTGTTGATTTGGGGTGGAGAGTTCTGTAGATGTCTATTAGGTCTTCGTGGTGCAGAGCTGAGTTCAATTCCTGGATATCCTTGTTAACTTTCTATCTCGTTGATCTGTCTAATGTTGACAGTGGGGTGTTAAAGTCTCCCACTATTATTGTGTGGTAGTCTAAGTCTCCTTGTAGGTCACTAAGGACTTGCTTTATGAATGTGGGTGCTCCTGTATTGGGTGCATATATATTTAGGATAGTTAGTTCTTCTTGTTGAATTGATCCGTTTACCATTATGTAATGGCCTTCTTTGTCTCTTTTGATCTTTGTTGGTTTAAAGTCTGTTTTATCTGAAACTAGGATTGCAACCCCTGACTTTTTTTGTTTTCCATTTGTCTGGTAGATCTTACTCCATCTCTTTATTTTGAGCCTATGTGTGTCTCTGCATGTGAGATGGGTTTCCTGAATACAGCACACTGATGGGTCTTGACTCTTTATCCAGTTTGCCAGTCTGTGCCTTTTAATTGGAGTATTTAGCCCATTTACATTTAAGGTTAGTATTGTTATGTGTGACTTTGATCCTGTCATTATGATGTTAGCTGGTTATTTTGCTCATTAGTTGAGGCAGTTTCTTCCTAGCCTTGATGGTCTTCACAATTTGGCATGATTTTGCAGGGCTGGTACCGGTTGTTCCTTTCCATGTTTAGTGTTTCCTTCAGGAGCTCTTTTAGGGCAGGCCTGGTGGTGACAAAATCTCTCAGCATTTGCTTGTCTGTAAAGGATTTTATTTCTCCTTCACTTATGAAACTTAGTTTGGCTGGATATGAAATTCTGGGTTGAAAATTCTCTTCTTTAAGAATGTTGAATATTGGCCCCCACTCTCTTCTGGCTTGTAGAGTTTCTGCCCAGAGATCAGCTGTTAGTCTGATGGGCTTCCCTTTGAGGGTAACCCGACCTTTCTCTCTGGGTGCCCTTAACATTTTTTTCTTCATTTCAACTTTGGTGAATCTGACAATTATGTGTCTTGGAGTTGCTCTTCTGGAGGAGTATCTTTGTGGCGTTCTCTGTATTTCCTGAATTTGAATGTTGGCCTGCCTTGCTAGATTGGGGAAGTTCTCCTGGATAATATCCTGCAGAGTGTTTTCCAACTTGGTTCCATTCTCCCCATCACTTTCAGGTACACCAATCAGTCATAGATTTGGTCTTTTCACATAGTCCCATATTTCTTGGAGGCTTAGTTCATTTCTTTTTATTCTTTTTTCTCTAAACTTCTCTTCACACTTCATTTCATGTGTGTGTCTTCCATTTTGTCTTCCATTGCTGATACCCTTTCTTCCAGTTGATTGCATCAGTTACTGAGGCTTGTGCATTCGTCACGTAGTTCTTGTGCCATGGTTTTCAGCTCCATCAGGTCCTTTAAGGAGTTCTCTGTGTTGGTTATTCTAGTTGTCCATTCGTCTAATTTTTTTTTCAAAGGTTTTAACTTCTTTGCCATTGGTTTGAACTTCCTCCTTTAGCTTGTAGTAGTTTGATTTTCTGAAGCCTTCTTCTTTCAACTCGTCAAAGTCATTCTCTGTCCAGCTTTGTTCCGTTGCTGGTGAGGAGCTGCGTTCCTTTGGAGGAGGAGAGGCGCTCTGCTTTTTAGAGTTTCCAGTTTTTCTGCTCTGTTTTTTCCCCATCTTTGTGGTTTTATCTACCTTTGGTCTTTGATGATGGTGATGTACAGATGGGTTTTTGGTGTGGATGTCCTTTCTGTTTGTTAGTTTTCCTTCTAACACTCAGGACCCTCAGCTGCAGGTCTGTTGGAGTTTGCTGGAGGTCCACTCTAGACCATTTGCGTGGGTATCAGCAGCGGTGGCTGCAGAACAGCAGATATTGGTGAACCACAAATGCTGCTGCCTGATCGTTCCTCTGGAAGTTTTGTCTCAGAGGAGTACCCAGCTGTGTGAGGTGTCAGTCTGCCCCTACTGGGGAGTGCCTCCCAGTTAGGCTACTCAGGGGTCAGGGACCCCCTTGAGGAGACAGTCTGCCTGTTCTCAGATCTCAAGCTGTGTGCTGGGAGAACCACTACTCTCCTGAAAGCTGTCAGACAGGGACATTCAAGTCTGCAGAGGTTATTGCTGTCTTTTGTTTGTCTGTGCCCTGCCCCCAGAGGTGGAGCCTACAGAGGCAGGCAGGCCTCCTTGAGCTGGGTGGGCTCCACCCAGTTCGAGCTTCCCAGCCGCTTTGTTTACCTACTCAATCTTGGGCAATGGCGGGCGCCCCTCCCCCAGCCTCGCTGCCACCTTGCAGTTTGATCTCAGACTGCTATGCTAGCAATGAGTGAGGCTCTGTGGGCGTAGGACCCTCAAAGCCAGGTGTGGGATATAATCTCTTGGTGTGCCGTTTGTTGAGCCCATCGGAAAAGCACAGTATTAGGGTGGGAGTGACCCAATTTTCCAGGTGCCGTCTGTCACCCCTTTGTTTGACTAGGAAAGGGAATTCCTTGACCCCTTGTGCTTCCCGGGTGAGGCAATGCCTCGCCCTGCTTCAGCTCACACATGGTGTGCTGCACCCACTGTCCTGCCCCCACTGTCCGGCACTCCCTAGTGAGATGAAGCCGGTACCTCAGTTGGAAATGCAGAAATCACCCATCTTCTGTGTTGTTCACGCTGGGAGCTGTAGACTCAGAAATGCAAATTTTAAATCCCCACCCCTGAGGCACTGCATCATAAACTCTAGGGGAGGCCTCAACGAGCTGTGTTTTAACAAGCCCTCCTAGTGATACTGATGCAAGCTGGAGCTGGAGAGCTGCTAGAAGACCTTCAGGAGCAGAAAGAGTGACTTGGGTTTAATGGTTGGTTTGATGTCCGATCTTGGCCAGCCAGCTTTTTCTCCCCCAAAAGAGTGCTCATGGAAGCCAAAAGTGATCTGAGCATCTCTGTGTGCATCAAGAATCTACAGGGTTTGTCTGGGATTTCCCGGAATACAGGGCGGTAAGTAGAAAATGCTGTTAGATGCCTTCTGTTTGGCTCCCTGTGGTCTTGCCAAGGTTTAAGTGGCACCCAGATTTTTCATAAATGGAAATAGAGATGTCAGCAAACCTGTGATGAACCATGAACAGTGATCCAGCTTGTATAAGCTGTGCCGAGACCCCCAGAGCAGCTGCTTTTTGTATGTTTCTACCTACAAAGCTGTCAATGCAGCAATTTTGCCAGTTCCGATTTTACATGAGAAAGCCAAAACCCAACCATTTATATGATTCATATCTTTTATTACTAGAACTTTACCAAATTAAATGTTCAATAACTAAAATAACAAATTCTCTGCCTCTCTGTATGTTTTTCACCTAGTAAATACTTCAGTCTCCGTCATTTCCCTCCTCCCTTCCTCACTTGGTTCTTGTTTTTCTTCTTTATGGCAGGCTGTGTTCATGTGACAGCTATTTTACATTGATATAAACATGCACCCCACTCCAACTGAATAAATGTCAAGAGAACAGCAGGAAGCCTGTTTCTTCCTGTTACATCCTATCCCTGCTATCAATGTGTGTGCCCACTAATGACAAGCAACATTTGCGGAGGCCATACCTGGAAGGTTGTCCACATTCCAAGAGAGACCAGGGATAAGAGAGGTCTGAGTTATAAACCCAGAGTGGACTTTCCTCAGCAATAGTTGGTCACAACATTATAAACACCTGCTTTCTGTTTATATTGTCAGTGTGTTTACGGAGGCCAGGGTAAAAAACCAGAGACTGCTAAGAGGGGAAGAGATGTGGAGGAATAGGGTGGTGGAAGGGGAAGACCTGAACTCGCATCAGCAACCCTGAAGCAATGTCTCCATAATTCAGTGGTTTGTGATTTGGAGAGAGACCACCAACACTTCCGGATTTTTTAAACAAAAAGCATGATATTGGTCTGAAGTGTCATATTTCCAGGTGGTGCCCTGTGAGCAGAGGGTTAACTGTTTAATAAAGTTTTTCTCTTTTCATTGAAGGCAGCTGATTTCAGACTTTAACCCTGAAATCTCTGCTTTTTTCCCTGTGATCTGGAGGAAAGAAAGAGGGAAGGAGGGGGAAAATGCCATAATTTAGATATTCATAAATTCTAAAGGGAGTCCTGAATACATGTTCTCACTGAAAAATTAACACTAAAACCTTGAGGTGTGGTTTTCTCCAGCTGGAAAGGGCTCGGGAGGCTCTCCTGTGCATTTTCCCTCAATTCCTGGCTGGAGGGCTTGGGGCCAAATAAGGAACCAGTCCTTGTTCCACTGCTTAAGTGATGCCTGTTGACAGCCTGTGTGAAGTAAACTTTGGGTTTGTGGGTGAAAGTGGGCCTCTTCCTATAAACCTCTCCCTGGCAGTTAAAGAAAACACAATCTCTTATGAATAGACCAATTTGGGTTGGCCTTTACCTGGATGGCAGAATTCATTCTCTAGTGAATTGTTTTTTTTTGTTTTTTTGTTTTGTTTGTTTGTTTGTTTGTTTTTAACCAAACTCCATGTGCTAAATAAAGGTCAGTGGAACAGTAGGCAGCCTGTTTCATTCTATTATGTCTCTGTCTTGCTACAAACCAGTTTAGCCTCCAAATCTTCCTGACAATACAAGGCTTTGAGGGTGGTGCTGCCACAGAGCTCTGCATGGCAGGGCTGTCCTGCTGTTCTATTAAAAGTCAAGTTTCTGAACAGCATCAGGATCCCGTGGAAGCTGGGGTGAGTGAGATTGTAGCTAAACTGTGGGGCAGGGTCTGACTCAAGCTGTTGGAGGGTCTTGTGCCCCCACTGGCATCCCCAGCATGGAAACCTCCCCACTAAACAAAATTCTGGGGCTGGGGGTTGTGGGTTGGCAGGGAGTTGTTTGGGAGAAAAGATCCAGTACATAGTTAATGTAAAGATGGTACATGGGTTATGAAATGGAGGGCATTCCTAAAGATATGGGGGCCCCAGAGCAAATCAGTGTGTTATTTCCCCATATAGTTTACCATGTACAATTAATTACATTAGAGTGAATTACAGTAGGAGCCCTGAAGGTAACACATATAGAGCACATGCTATGTGCCTAGGCATTGTTCATAATATACATGCGAATTGTCTCTCCTGTCCTTAATACTATGGATTCTCTCATTTGATCCTCTTAATAATCCTCTCATGCAGACACTCTTATTGTCCCCAATTTTACAGATGGGTGAATGAAGTTTAAGTAATGTGCCTGGGGTCACACGAGTAATTTAAGTGGAAAACCAGGCGATTCTAAATTAGGTGCTGTAAACCTAGCCTTTAAGCTTGACTACTATTAAGAATGAATCTCAAAGTTTAATGGGCAACGAATCATCTAGAGATCTTGTTAATAGCAGAAATGGATTCCTAAGGTCTGAGGTAGGACCTGGGATTCTGCATTTCTGTCAGGCTCTCAGGAGCTGATGGTGCTGCTGAGCTGCTCCAGGCTTCTGGCCACCTCTGGGTAAGAGGAAAACAATTGGCCCAAGGGCCCCGGGCCTGGCCTCCTCTCTCTGAGCAGTGTGTTTCCCATTGCCCCACCTGTCCTCCCCTCCCTGAAACCCAGGAAGGAGACAGGGAAAAGAACATCTGGAATTTTCACTGTGACACTTACTCCTAGACTTTGGAGAAGGCCTCTGCATCCATGGCCATGCATCCCACCCCCTTCCTGTCTTCATGACCCTAGGGGCCAGAGTGTCCAGCAGCAAGAACATCAAAGCTGTACTGCATAAGGCTGTTGATTTCCCAGCCCCAACCCCACCCTTGTCTCTGTTCTGATAATTTAAACTACATCTTACAGCCACAAGAAAACATTTTTGTGCATTTCTCATCTGTACTACTAGTGTAATGGAAACCACCCTGGATTAGAAGGCAGGGGCTTGAGTTCCATCCCTAGTTCACATCTTTTTTTGCTCAGAGGCTAGAAGCTTAACCTTTCTAGGCCTTTGTTTTCTCTATTTTTAAATGGAGCTAGTAAAACTCATATGGCTTGGGTCTGTGGCCCCACCCAAATCTCATGTCGAATTGTGATCCCCAGTGTTGGAGATGGGGCCTGGTGGGAAGTGATTGAATCATGGGGGTGGATTACCCTTTTGGCACTGTTCTCATAATAGAGAGTGAGTTATTGTGAGATCTGATTGTTTAAAAGTGTGTAGCACCTCCCCCCTCTCTCTCTTCCTCCTACTCTGGCCATGTGAAGACATTCGGCTTCCTCTTTACCTTCTGCCATGATTGCAAGTTTCCTGAGGCCTCCCCAGCCATGCTTCCTGTATAGCCTGCAGAACCATGAGCCAATTAAACCTCTTTTCTTTATAAATTACCCAGTTTCAGGTAGTTCTTTATAACAGTGTGAGAATGGACTAATACAAAAACGAATCCCCAATATGTAGCCTAGGGATACTCTAAGGACTAAGAAACTTGCATTTATGAAACAATTTGAGCTTCCTTGGAAATAAGTGCTCATTATGGTAATGTGTAAATAATAGTATAGGTATTGCCAAAGTCTATGAATGCGTTCTGTGGCATTCAGCAACTTATTAGGCTTAATGAACAGTTCTCCTTCTGTTTGGTTTTAAAAACCTTACTCATTACAGCATTTTCCTGAAGTAGTCAAAGGAAGTGGCTTGCTTGAAATTCATATTTGATTTCATCATCAGTGAAATCCCACTCCAGTGCCAAGACACTGCATTTCTAGAGACCGAATTCCCTATGGCCAACTCAAGCTGTAGTATCAGTGAGTGGCCGGGCTTCTATACATAAACAGGCAAAAAACGGGACAATTCCATTGGCTGTACTAGAGGCAGACACCCTGTAATGGAACCCAAACTGCTTCTTTGTTTCCCTAAAAATAGCCCGTCATTTGGTGAGTTCCAGACAGGTTCATATTCCCATCGCCAGTTTGGGGGAGGCGGGGCTGGATTCGTTAGAACAGCAAGAAAAAGTTTTCCCAGCATTCTGGGAAGGAATGTAGGCTGAAGAATGTGTGTGACAGGCACTTTCAATTTCTATCCAAAGTGCCACTTTGCATTTCCTCTACAATGTGTGGGAAAATTGTTTTTTTGTCTAAGGGCACGATTGCTTTATTCAGAAAAGTAGACATTCGCCTGGAGCATTGTCTGCCTGGGAGTCGGGCAATCACGTTGTTGAGACGGTGATTTCTCTTGTACATGGAATGTCTTAACAATCTTTCTATGACTTCATTACAAAGTTATGTTTTTACTTCCCCTGTCTCTTGGCATACAGCATGGAGTTCTCCTGCCTTTTCCTATTTGATTTTCATTTGTTCCCCTGCTGAATGCATTGCAAAGTGAAGGGTTCACATTGCTGGTGATAAGGCTGTGGAATCAGAAATCACTGATAAGCATGGGGCAGGGCTGCACAAATCTAAATGCACTAAGAGACCTGAAGGGTTGGTTGGTTTGTTTCCTGCCACACAGATTATCTTTCAATTTCATGTAAAGAGGTGAAATGGTATGTGGGGTTTACAATTCACCAAATGTCCCTCAATCTAATCAGTCACCCCTCACACAGACCATCCCCTAAAGGCTGGTATATCTGGCTGCTCTGGTCTGCTTTTCTCGTTTGTTGCCCACCTTTTCTAGGTTTCCTCTATTTCCTCTTCCCTCCACTTCCTCTCTTTTTCTTCTTTTAAGTCTTTACTTTGTGTCTGGGACAGCCTCCCACTTTCCTCCCCACCTCACTTAAGACTGAAGTCAAGATGTTCTCCTCTAGTAAATCTGACTACTAGTCAGATTTATATCTAGATGTAATCCACTATGCAATCCCAGCATGCCCACCTCATTTTTCCTTTCCCCTCTAGTTTCTAATTATCTTTAAAAAAAAGTCAGAATTGGCTATTACCTCTCTTGATAGGTGTGAATCCAATATAGTGTTCCAAATATGAAAATATGCCTCTTTTCTATAATCCCAGCACTCTGAGAGACTAAGGCAGGTGGATTCCTTTGGCCTAGGAGTTCAAGACCAGCCTGGGCAATATAGTGAGACCCTGTCTCTACAAAAAATACCAAAATTAGCTGGGCATGGTAGTGTGTGCCTGTGGTTCCAACTACTTGGGAGGCTAAGGTGGAATGAGCTGTGATTGTGCCCATGCACTCCAGCCTGGGTGACCTGTCTCAAAAAACAAGCGTGGGGGGATGGAGAAAGAAAATATGCTTCCAGTTGTTGTGAAAACAAAACCAATTCCTTATAAGGTACACAAGTATCCCCTGCACCCAGGTTGTGTTTTGGTTCTGTCTAAATTGACCAGTGCTGTCTACTACCCAGTTCCCATTTTGCCCTCTCCAGAGAGCAACACACTTAAGGGCCCAGGGAGGATTGGTTTATTTCAAAGTTCAAGATGCCCCATTCTTTATGGACACCCAGAATTGGACTCTTTCTGGTGTAGCTTTCTCAACTTGCTGGCTACTGCAGGGAAGTATGGGTTTCACCACCCGCTTCTTGATGGCTGTTTGACCTTGACCTTGCAAAACAGGAATGATAGTATATACCATGTGGGATTGTTGTTAAGGCTAAGACAAAATAATTTATGTAAAATATGCAGCACGGAGTCTGGCATATATTAATGGAAATGAAAATTTGTTAATTCTTTCATTTGTCAAATACCTACAAAGCATGTAAAGAAGTTCCATTTATGACATGAAAATGCCTTTGCCCACTACCCCCCAACCCCACTCACAGCCACTCCTCATTCTATAGGGAATGATTTCAATTCACAAATCAATTCTCCCTTCTCCACTGTCAACTTTTATTTTTGGCCCTGGAAGCCGATACATTCCAGCATCCTAGCTAGAGCTGGCTATGACTCTTTACCAGTGAAGAACCATAATAATCATTGTTGTTATGAGATGGACAAAAGTCCTCTCCTGATTTTTGGGGAAGACTTTGTCTATATGGCTTTGGAATGCTCTGTTTTTACATTTCTTTCTTTTTTAATTATACTTTAAGTTTTAGGGTACATGTGCACAACGTGCAGGTTAGTTACATATGTATACATGTGCCATGTTGGTGTGCTGCACCCAGCAACTCGTCATTTAACATTAGGTATATCTCCAAATGCTATCCCTTTCCCCGCCCCCACCCCACAACAGGCCCCAGCGTGTGATGTTCCCCTTCCTGTGTCCATGTGTTCTCATTGTTCTACCCACAAAGAGTTGGTTGACATAAAGCATACAAAATAGTTTGCATTTCCTTTACCTTAAGAGGTCTTCTCTCACGTATTCAACTCAGTGCATTTGGTAAGGTATATTTTTAAGAAAACTTTTCCAACAGTGGAGGCAGCTGCTGGAAAGTTTTTTTTTTCATCTTAATAAAAACACTCAGGACACTGCCCTGGTCTCTCGTGAATGTATTCTTGCTGGTAATATACTTTGGAGGCACTGTTTTACTTTCATTTTAAGTGCTTTGGACTTTAGGGAATTGAGTCTTGTTTTATTTTGATTTGTTTTAGTTTAGATGTGTGTGTGTATTTGGCAGGGGGTGGAGGGGTGTTTCATTGCCTGCCAACCAGCCTGTCCTCTTCCCATTTTCTCACCTTTACTCTTTTCTATCTATCTTTTCTTAAGGCTTCTTTTCCCAAAGGAATGAACAATATCTATATACTTCTCAAACACTCAGTAAGATTCAGCCCCTATCAAACTCTAGAACATCCTTCTTGGTAATTTAAAATAAGGATGCAGAGAGTATGGTCTCACATAATGAGCCCTGTCCAAGTTCTAAATCAGTTAATTCAATGGTCAATATACTGACCACATGCAGGTCAATTGCTCCATAATCACTAGCCCTTGATGTGATTTGATTTACCTAGATTGACCATTTTGGCCTAACAACTTAACTGTTCTGCAATTTAATATATTGTTTTTCTATCATTAATTATGACTGTGGAAATAGCCAATTAGAGAAGAAAACTATTCAATAGGGATACTAGGAGGACACTTCTAAATCTCTCTGTCAAAATCACTTTCAGCTGGAACAAATGTACACTAAGGCTCTGAACAAAATTCCTGAGCTGATCACTTTTGATTGATTTGACTGCTTAATTTAGTCAAAGTACCTACCAATTTGATCAGGTGGCCAATTTGACTGATAATGTATATCTGACACTGCATGTACCCAACAGTGCATTCAAAATGGTCTCTACAGCAACTGTTTTCACTTATTCATTTACTCATTAATCCAACATATATTTATTGAGCATCCTACTGCGTTCCAGGGGTTCTGAAAACTGGAGCTACAATAAGAAACAAAATAGTCCTTGCTGTCATGAAGTTATGTTCTGTGGGGAAATAGACCATAATCAGGAGAGCAAATAATCCATATAGTAATTTTATTTTTTATTTTTAATTAATTAATTATTTATTTTTGACTCAGGGTCTTGCTTTTTCGCCCAGGCTTGAGTGCAGTGGCACCATCACAGCTCAGTGCAGCCTCAACTTCCTGGGCTCCAGCAATCCTCCCACCTCAGCATCCCAAGTAGCTGGGAGTGCAGGTACAGGCCACCATGCCTGGCTAATTTTTACATTTTTTGTAGAGACAGGGTCTCACTATGTTGCCCAGGCTGGTCTCAAACTCCTGGGCTCAAGCGAGCAATTCTCCTGCCTCAGCCTCCCAAAGTGCTTGGATTACAGGTGTGAGTCACCACACTCAGCCCATATAGTAATTTTAACAGAGAGCGGTGCTCTAAAGAAAAAGAATGCAAAGGGTTGGAGAACAATAAAGAAGATCATTTTATATTAAGTGATGACACTGAGCCAGTCTGCAAAAGTTACATTTGAGTCAGTATGCCAAACCCACTATGTTGATCTCTTCCTGTCTGTCTACCCATTCTCTTCTGGGAGAAATCCTGGAAAATTTTAGTTTTAAATAAATTTCCCTAATAGCTACAAAAATTACTTCTAAACTGGCACAGCATGGCTGTTTCTAGAGCTTTCATTTCTTCAGGTTTTACCAATTGTAGAAGACGGTGTAGATGAGTGATTTTTCTGAAAGCCACAGTTTATGATCTCTTCTTTGTCCATTCAAACAGGTCTTCTCTAATTTTTGCTTTCATTTGTGATTTAAGAGACTTTATCTTCCCACAAAATAACATATATTTAAATAGAGCTTAAGCAAGTGCTCAGGCAAAAGTCCATTTCAGAATGTAGAGATGAAACAATTATACCACAAATAAAGTGTCTCTTCCTTCCCAATCCTACTTCTTAAATAACATTTTAGTCAAATCTCCCAAACCTTATTCCAAAAAAGAAAATGTCTTTGAAATTCCTGTAGTTCCAACCATGAAATGTGTCTGTTGTGAGTTTTTGGTTTCCTGTCAAAGGTTTTTTCTTCCTTACCGAAATCATCTAAATAAAGTATCTGAAGCAATTGGGATTTGCCCACAGTTTGTTTAGTTGAACTGAGAGCCTAATTGGATTTAGGAGTTTTTCCAAGGGGAGACCATGGTTGCATGAATGAGTCATTGCCTACCTGTGTGGATTCAACATGTATAAAAGAGAAAGATGCAGTTCTGTGTGTATATGGAAGCAGATTCCCTCAGGGCCATTCTTCAGAAATAATAATAACTAGCATTTATTAGTGCTCTCCAAGTGCCAGGTATTGTTCTAAAACTTTTTAAAGCTTATTTTTCAAACTCTGTGATTATCTTCCTTTTATAGATAAGGAAACTGAGATGCAGAGAAGTTTAGGAACCATTCCAAGATCACACAGCTAGAATGGGCAGAACCAGGAATAGAACCTAAGTTGACCAGATCTGGAACTCACCCTCTTTGCCTCTCTTTATACAACCTCTCAGTGGCAATCAATGGGAGTTGCATATGCAGCCAGTGTGTACAAGTGTGACATCATGAGTTGCTTATGTCCTGGCATCCTTCCTGGTTAGTTGGTGGCCCATTCTGATTGGTAGGTGCCCGTGCCATACTGATTGCTAAAAATTTTGATTCTATGGCAGCTTTAATCCACTTACCACATCTCCAAGCTCTGGCCCTATGTCCTATATCTCATTTGCTGCAGAGGCTAACAGGGTGTCAATTTTGCTGCTCAACTGTAGCAGAAATACAGTACAGAAACTGAAAATGTTCTTTGTATTCTTTAAACTGTAATTCTTTAAACTTTGTATTCTTTAAACTCATTCTTTAAATGAGTAAGCTGTTTCAACTTACTCATTTGATATATGAGGAAACTGGGGCTCAAAAATGAGAAGACATCCCCAGATGCACTCAGCTCTGTCGTTGGTCTAGAACCCAGGTTTCCTAATCACTGGGCATCCTACTGTATACACCTTCTTCCTCCCCTCAACTCCTTCCATGAACTGTGGCCTCAGAAAAGCTCAGAGTGTAGGCAGAGATTAGGGAGGGGGTTTGAGAAGGGTAACGAAAGATGGAGAAGGAGAGTAACATATTTGCGACATGGTATCCCGTCAAAGCATTTTGAGATATTTGCCAAAATCATTGATTTCCATGAAACTGCTCTACCATGAAGCTCCTGTGTGGCTTCATTACCCCTCCCCCAATATATAATATTGATGCTCTCCAGGGGTCTCTTTCAAAGAATACATTCAAGCCTGTTCTCCTGGCCAAATTTAACTGACATCACTTTACTTACCGATGACACATCAATGATTTATATCTATTTCTAGGCTCCTCTCAAGATATTTCAAGCTGTCTATGGCCTCAATGGCTCCAGCTCAACATATCAAAAAATAAAACCCATTATTTCCTCCCCAAATCTAATCTTCCTCCAATATCCCTCCTCCATGACCCCTGTCTTGGTTACCACCAACACCATGAACCTGGCATTTGAAACACTATTGCTCTCTAACTCACCTTCTATTAATTGTCAAGACCTATTGATTATACTGATGAAATTGATTATACTGATGATTATACTGATGAAGTCTCTCAAATCTATCTTCTTCCACCATACATTAATGCAGGCCTCCTTATCATTCTCCTGCATTGAAAAACAATGTCAAATTAAGTCTAATATACATATACATTTAGTATACAAATAATTGTACACCTGAACATACCCATATGACCAACACCCAGAATCAAGAAGCATAGTATTACCAGAACTACATCGAAGTCCTACCTTCTCAAAGACTGGTGGCTGAAATTCCACTGCTGATGTTTGTTCATTTTCAGGCCCCAATAATTACCAAAATTCAGATATCCAAGGTGTAGTAGTATTTCCAGCTATCATCAGCTAATGTATAGCTAAGTGTGTGAATGATTTAGGAGCACAGTTAATAAATACAGGGAGAAAGAGCATGGGCCACTGGGGCATTGAGAGACAGAAATTTACTCAAGGGTTGGAGGATTTTGAGAGAAGCAGTTGGAGTTGATGATCTACACTGCCAAAGACAAACCAGCTGCCTGACTGTTTCACTGAGGACAGGCTCCTGTGGTAATGAAATAGGGTAATGATATCCCCTTGCCCCCAAGTGTTCTGCTCATTATTTGGATTCAGTGATTTGTTGTAGAACTTGAAGGAGTCAGAAATAATAACAGCAGAAATAAAAGTGAGGGTGACACTCCTGAGGCCTTTGAAGTTACAGTAGGTGAGACCTGAGACCTTCAAAGTCAGAGTAGGTAAGACCAAAGAATTGAAAATCCATTTATGAGTGTTTACCGAACTCATGTTATATCAAGTTCATTCTCTGCCTCAAGATAGATCAAAGTGAAATTCTCTGTGTTGAACTGCATTTCAGGGAAGATCTTAAATAGCACATTATCTGTAATTTGGTCCACAGGAAGGAGCACCTTGCAGCAAGGCTTGTGTAGATAGCTTTCTTGTTCCTTTTCTGCAGGGGCCTCTTTCTCTAACCTTAAGATTGAAATTTTACCCCCAACTGTATTTATGCTTTTGGCTACTACTGCCACAATCCTACCTATTTAAATAGCTATTTGTGTAGAAAAACTCTCTAGTTTTCTTTATAGTCATTAGAAGAACACTCAGATTTATTTTTGATGACTTGAATATCGATTAATATTACTGGTTAAAGATTTTGAAAAAAGGGTCTTCTTTAGGCTGGCTCTCATGCCAAGAAGAATTGATACATGCCATGGAGTTATGTCAGAATAATTTTTAAGCCCAACTGAATAGTGAGAAAAATTTTTCAAACGCAACTGAGTTGCTCCCAGCTCTATCAGACACTATTCAATTGCCCTTGAAGATATAAACAGGCAACTCAATTCCATTTGATTTCTTCAGAAACAACAGGATGGCTGCTGAGTAACTCAACTGATTCTCTCCTTCTCAGGCAGAGCTCAGTTATATTAAAAAAAATGAAGGACATGTGCTTAAAGGAATACTTAGTGGATGTCAGTTAACAATTAATCAGATGCCTCTTTGTCCTGCAAAAGTTGGGGTATAGTGATGAAAGGAAATATTTAGGATACAGTAGCACTCACATACCATACATTTATTCCTTCATTAAGCAGTCTATGCAATGCCAGGCACTGTGCTAGGGGTTAAGGCTATAGAGATCAGGTAGAAAGACTACAGTCATTTATCTCCCCAGCTCTATTCTCCTTTTTCTGGTGACAGTCCCTGATTTGGGGATGGGGAATCCACCCTCCATGCTGAATCTGTACAATCTAAAGACTTTTATCCCAAAATTTAGGGGTAGAACATGTGATCTTGGCTTAAGCCAATTACTGCATTACATTCTTCTGGCCACAATAATTGATTTAAGAGATGCCAGGAAGCCTAAAGTGGTCTAATCAGAGTGAACCTCAGACTTTTAAGAGAGCTTTCCACAATGAATCTTGCTCTTTCTGCTACCTGAAAGAATGCTTGATCTTTTTCCCACCTGAAAGTTGTTGGCCAATAAGTTCATTTCACCAGCACAAAGAGAGAGCTCAAAGAAGTTAGGGCTCATGATGGAGCTTAAGCATTAAGCCACTGCAGCAGAAGGCTCAGCCAAGGGATGGTGAAGAGTGGTTACAGTGAATTATTTGAGCTCGGAATCTAATTGTAGTGGAAGCTAATTCTAAACTCCTATACCTTACAGCCGCATATCCAACTTTTTGGGTAAGAGATTAGCATGAATTGCTCAGTGGATCTAGACAGAAAAAAAAAAAACCTGAGCTGAGTCTATCTTCAATCTGTATTAATTTAGGATCAAGAAAACTGAGGTTGGTAGAAAGAGAGCAATAGAAATATAATAATATTTATGGGGGGAAAAGGAGTGGTTGGATTCTTTCCTTCCCTTTATATGCTCTTCATCTTCAGGATGATACTGACTCAACTGAATGAAAAGTGAAAAAAACAGTTAAGATTTCTAAATGTGTGACCATAAGTAACCAGTACAGTCCCCGGCTTTTTAGTGAATTGATTTGCTGTCTGAGTGACCTGGCCAAATCAGGGACAAACAGCCTTAGTATAAGCCTTTAGAGTGTAAAATACATAGAAAGTAACCAACAACTCTGAAAGATCTTAATGTGACACTATGGAATGAAGTGGAGAACCCCCTAGTTTACTCAAAATGCATGGTCTTCTGTGAAATACAAATTGAAGCAGAAGAGTGGAGGGCTTGGTTACTGAGAACAGCCTGGATAGACAGTGGGTAGTGGCTGACTCTGAGATGCAATTTGAGGGACACAAAGAAAGTCGCTTCTCTGACCTCATGATTTTGTTGGGAATTTGGGTCCGTTTAATATAACAGGAGAAATGTACTGCCTAATAACAATCTAAGAGGAGGCATGAAATCACATAGCCACGTCATATGGCTTCAAATGCTGCTAGATCATGTATGTGGCAATGACAGCTGCTATCCCATGTATATAAATTTTAACATTGTCATCATCACTTTCATCATGATGGCAAATATGAGAAAAATGCGGCATGGGCACTCAACTTCTAGCTCTCTATCTGGTATGCTTTCCTCTTCTTCAGAGGCTGGAGAGCTAAAAGAAGCATTTGCTAAACACCCTTACAGCTAGAGTTCTTGATGACATTAGGTTTCTTTAACTAGATCCACCCAAAGGAGATTTGAAAGGAAAAAGTGAGGCATTGGACATCTTTCTACTGTTTTTGCAATATTTTTCTGGCAAGCACACTTGTGAAGGTGCTCCACAGCACCTTCTGTGGAGGATTTTCTGTAGCAGGATTCCAGTGTCCAGTCACTGGCTTCATGGGCATCAAGAGGTGAGGTGTGGAGCACTTTTTTTTTTTTTTTTTGCCAGTGCACATCTACACATCTAGCAGGCATGGGTGTAATCTTGGAGCTTCCAGTTGCAGCATCAGTAATGTCCTGATCTCTGGATCACAGCAAGGATACCACTGGGAAGTCAGCAATTCTAGCAGGAATCTTATGAGTATCTACTTTCCTGCCTGAGGGCAAGGTAGCAGTTCCCCCTGATGACCAGTTGCATAGGGTTGTTCTTGGAGGCCCAATCTAGCTCCCTATTCTAGCCTTTCTCATGAATTTGCAAGTACCCATGACTCTCTACTAAATCTGCTTTCACTTAAGGTAACTAGAGTGCTTTGTATTTTCTGCCAGCGAATGCTGATTGACACAATCACCATGATCCAAAAGATACACATTGAAAAGGTAGAAAATAGTGGGCAGGGGGTGGGAGGAAGAGAATACACAAAGTGACTGAGTTTTGTGCCCAAACTTAGTAGACTGAGGAGAAATAATTAAAATCAGGAAATCTTCAAGCAAAGAAGAAAAATGAAGTTAGATCCTAACCTTACAGCATACACAGAAATTAACTCAAAAATCTATCAAAGACATTAATGTAAGACTAAAACTATAAAACTGTTAGAGGAAAACAGAGGGGTAAAATGTCACAATATTTAATTTGGCAATGATTTTTTCTTGGATATGACACCAAAGAAAGGCAATAATAGAAAAACTAGGTAAGTTGGACTTCATCAAAATTTAAAACTTGTGCATCAAAGGACAATGCCAACAGACTGAAAAGGCAACCCAGAGGCTGGGAGAAAATATCTTCAAGTCATATATGCGATAGGGTTTAATATCTATCATATGTATTTTTAAAACTCCTACAATTCAACAACAACAAAAAAATAAACAACCTGATTCAGAAATGAGTAAGGAACTTGAATAGACATTTCTTCAAAGAAGATATACAACTGTCCAATAAGCACATGAAAAGATGCTCCATGTCACTAGTTCATTGAGGAAATGCAATTTAAACCAGAAGGAAATATCACTTCACACACATTATGATGACTATTATAAAAAGCCATCCTAATCAGAATAAATTTGATTATTTGAAATCAAATAATCAGAAAATAACAAGTGTTGGTGAGGCTATGGAGAAATTGGAACACTTGTGTACTATTGGTGAGAATGTGAAGTGGTTCAGCCCCTGTGGAAAATGACATGGTGGTTCCTCAAAAAATTAAAAATAGAAATCACGATATGATCCAGCAATTCCACTTCTGGGTATATATCCAAAATAAATGAAAGCAGGGTCTTGAACACATATTTGTATGCCCATGTTCATTGCAACATTATTCAAAATAGCTAAATGGTGGAAGCAATTCAAGGATTCTTCAGGGGATAAATGTATAAACAAACTGTGATATATACATGCTATGGAATATTACTCAGCCTTAAAAAGAAAGGAGATTCTGGCCGGGTGCGGTGGCTCATGCCTGTAATCCCAGCACTTTGGGAGGCCAAGGTGGGTGGATCATGAGGTCAGAAGATTGAGACCATCCTGGCCAACATGGTGAAACCCCATCTCTACTAAAAATACAAAAGTTAGCTGGGCGTGGTGGCACACACCTGTAGTCCCAGCTTATCAGGAGACTGAGGCAGACTGAGAATCACTTGAACCCAGGAGGCAGAGGTTGCAGTGTGCCAAGATCATGCCACCGCACTCCAGCCTGGGGACAGAGTGAGACTCCATCTCAAAAAAAAAAAAAAAAAGGCAAATTCTAACTTGTGCTATAACATGGATGAATCCTAAAGACATACTAGGTCAAATAAGCCAGGATAAATTACATGCTTCCACTTTTATGAGATATCTGGAGAAGTCAAATTCATAGAGGCAGAAAGTAGAATGGAGTGTGAACCCCGAATATCTGAGACAGGTCTCAGTTAATTTAGAAAGTTTATTTTGCCAAGGTTGAGGACGCACTCCCATGACACAGCCTTAGGAGGAGGTCCTGACGACACATGCCCAAGGTAGTCAGAGCACCGTGGTTTTATACATTTTAAAGAGACATGAGACATCAATCAACATATGTAAGATGAACATTGGTTTGGTCCAGGAAGGCGGGACCACTGGAAGCAAAGGTGGGAAAACTTGAAGCAGGGAGGAGGCTTCTAGGTCATAGGTAGATAAGAGATGAATGCTTGCATTCTTTTGAGTTTCTGATTAGCCTCTCCAAAGAAGGCAATCAGATATGCATTTATCTCAGTGAGCAAGGGGTGACTGAATAGAATGCAAGGCAGGTTTGCCCTGAGCAGTTCCCAGCTTGACTTTTCCCTTTAGCTTAATGATTTTTGGGGCCCCAATATTTATTTTCCTTGCACATTTCCCCCCGTTTTCTTTTTAAAAATCTTTTGGAGAAAGCATTTTAGAAGAAAATGAGTCTCTGGTCTCAGGTTTAGTCTGATCCCTCTTGGCTAGAATGGTTTATTCCTAAACAGTAGGTCCTGAGTTATAATGAAACTTCATTTTTAGCAGGTTGTGAAGTCTCATGTCCTATGAAGAGAAAATAGGGGGAGGAAGGGAGAAGAAGAAGAACAACAGACAAAAGAACAATCCTGGAAAATCAATAGGCCACATTACTCTGAAATCCATACATCAGCAGGAAGGTATGAAAATTGCAGTTATTTTTATTGATTTATTTATTTTTTTGAGACAGAGTCTCACTCTGTCACCCAGGCTGGAGTGTAAAGGCACGATTTTGGCTCACTGCAACCTCCGCTTCCCAGGTTCAAGCGATTCTCCTGCCTCAGCCTCCTGAGTAGCTGGGATTACAGGCACGCACCACCACACCTGGCTAATTTTTGTATTTTTAGTAGAGATGGAGTTTCACCATGTTGGCCAGACTGGTCTCAAACTCCTGACCTTGTGATCCGCCCACCTTGACCTTCCAAAGTGCTGGGACTACAGGCATGAGCCACCTCGCCCAGACAGGGTCCTGTTATTTTCTTCTGAAGTTTGTGTTGTCTAGCTTCAGTTCCCAGAGCTTTACAAAAGCACAGCTTAGTTTTCAGTGACTCCAAATTAGGAAAAAGGGAGGAAAAAGAAGGAAAAAAATTGAAAACATTATTTTGAAGCCTTGTAGCAAAAAAAATTAGAATTTGGTCCAAACAGTAGAAAATAATAAAAATGGAAAAACATTAAGCAGGACTAGAATCTAATTTTTCTCTCTCCAGTTTACCATTTTTATTAAAAACAAATCATGGTAGGACTGATTTGCTTTATTATACTTGGCCTGATTATTTATATATGGTGTAGAAAGACTAATTATTTTTTACATAGGCTTTTAAATTGGCTTGATGGAACTTTGTTCCATAGAAGGAATCTCAGACAAGACTTTTTTAAAGCTGAGCCCAGCCATGGATTTTTACCATCAAATACCTGCGAGTTGGGTGAATTCCTCTCCTCTTGAGGTTCCAAGATAAACATGGGGGCTCCTGGGCCTGTCAGAAAGTGGCATTCTTTACTTACCACAGGTCAGGAATCCTGTACAGGGACTGTATAGACAAGGTATGAGGCCGGTTTTCCCAAGGGGCTTTTATTGGCTCCATAAATCAAGTTTGATTCCTTAAAGGAAAGCACACCATTCCAGTCAAAGCCTTGGTAAATAACCAGTTTCTCCAATTGTGCCCTGTTATAAAGGAAAACAGATTCTTATCGCACTTACGCAAATAACTGTATTGCCGTAAATTAAGAATAGCCACAAATAGTTTCCAAATTCTAGAGAAATCAGGTACAAAGGAACAAATATGTTCATGTTCTAAGTTTTGTTCACAGTATACTGAATTGTTAAAAGCTGTTAAGAGCTCAAAAGAGAAGTTTCCTTGACTCTGAAAAAACAAAACAGAGGATCAGCAACGTTTTAAGCAAAAAGTCAAAAAGGTTACTTCAGTCTTCTACTAGTTCAGTCCATGTAGTTAATTCCTGTTCTGCTTGATAATCATGAATATTTTAGTTCTCCATGAGCCCTGAAAGTTTTTCTTTTATTCTGATGTCATAATCTACAAAATTATCAAAAACTTGTATTCAAGAGCACCTGTTAGAGTTTTACAGCTGATTATAAAACGACCTTCTAAAGAGGACCAAAACAAGATAACAATTGTCTGTGAATGACAAAAACTTTTAGGGCAGCCATAATCAAAGACACAATTGAGAAGTAAATTTGTTACCTCAGTGGCACACAATAATTTAACATAACAATTATAATTATTTCTGATAATGTACATTAAGTCATATCAGAATTATAGGAGTTTGCCATAATTTCAGAATGCATACAAATAACATATTTATATAAATACAGCTCAAAGAAAACAAACACCACTTCATATTTGACAACATTTCTTGTATAATTTTTATACCAAAGAAGCCAAATGATATCATTTTTGAACTCTAGGAAACCTAATATCTTAAAGGATTAAGTCTGTCAGAAAAAGACAGAATTGATAATTTGATTTTGTAAAGTTTGTCAAATATCAAAGGTTTAAAACAGTTGATATCACAGGTCATTGTAAAATAAGTCATTCATTTGAACAAAGTAATAATGCAAGGATTTCAAAAAAAGGGTGAAAACCTTAATTCTTTGAGAGAGGAGACTTAATTTTCCAAACAATAAGCCCTAATAAAATAGCATGAATCCAAATTAAATTTGTTTTTCAAAAATTTATAAACAATGTATAAAATTTTAATCTTGATCATAAGATATAACTTCCATAAGCCTTTTATAACCATTATACACTTGATTAAGGGGTTGGTTAATGCTTCAAGGAAACCTTGTTAATCTGACACAGGGTTCCATATGCTGGTCTTGCATCAGTGTGCCTTTGATATTAATGATTAATTTATGGAGAAACAGAACTTATTTTATCTCTCAAAATTGGCCCTTACAATTGCACATGCCCACCTCTTCCATGATAGTCTCTGGGCCTTGTGGAGTTGAATAGCTTTAATTTCTGGCCCTGTGTCTTAGGAATGCAGTTTATTTTGATTGGCATCTTCTACCAGGCCTGAAGATGAGGCTTTAATTGCTGTCAGTGTTTAAAATTTAGCAGGACTTGGTGTCCTTTTTAGATCCAGGAGTCAAAACCCTGTAACTCAGTGTCAAAAGTACTTTAAAAGTACATATAGAAAGATATACAGATGTAATAACCTTAACTACAAAATTTTTTTTTAATCTCAGTTTTTTTCCTAAGCAAACCAAAACTTAGTAATAATGGCATAGGAATTGTTTCGATAAACCATAAAATCTGTTTGTTACCAAAAGGCAAAGGAAAAGATCTTCTGGACTGCACAGAATATTATGTTGGAAGAAAACACTGCCTTTAGACCTTTAAGAAAACATTGTTAGCATTAGGTCACTACAAACAGAACTCGAGGATAGAACTTACATGAGCTGAAAGTGAGCTGAAGGAGAACATTACTATTTCACACCCTTCAAAAGGAAAGAAAAGCCAGATATGGTGACTCATGCCTGTAATCCAAGCACTTTGGGAGGTCGAGGTGGGTGTATCACTTGAGGTCAGGAGTTCGAGACCAGCCTGGCCAACGTGGTGAAACCCTGTCTCTACTAAAAATACAAAAATTAGCCTGGCATGGTGGTGCACACCTGTAGTCTCAGCTACTTGGGAGGCTGAGGCAGGAGAATCGCTTGAACCTGGGAGGCAGAGATTGCAGTGAGCCGAGATCGTGCTACTGCACTCCAGCCTGGGTGAAAAAACTAGAGATGGTCTCAAAAAAAAAAAGAGAGAGAGAGAGAAAACCAAAATAGTTTAACTTTGGGTTAAAAAAATTAAAATCTCATATAATTTATTAAGAATAAGTCAATCCCTTAAGAAAATTTCATTGTTCTAACCAATTATTTAGTGTTTAAGTGTTTTTTTACATCAAGCCCAATCTCTAGAAAGACCATTGTAATTTCCCTTTAGTTATAGACAACATGATCTTGTAAAAGTTTTTTAAATAAATCTTCTTATTGTGACTTACACAGGCCATACATGATATGCTTGGACTTTCTAGTTTGTCCTGAACATCCATCTTCCTTAAACAACCAGTCATTTTATTTTTTATTCTAGGACTAAATTTACCATACAAGATTCTTTCTCCGTAAAGTTATTTCTCTTAAGCTTTCTTACAAAAAACAAAAAAACCACAAAAAACCTTTATTTTTGTAACTTTCTTTACATCTGTCTTATTTCCTGGTTCCTTTTACCTTATTTTGTACATAACCCTTAAATAAGCTTTGAATTAGATAAAAATTGTTCACCTTTTAAAAAAGGAAGCACATTTTTTGAAAGAATGTTTTCCTACAAATACATTTGTATTGGAAAATACTCAAATAATGAAATATCTATTATTATTACTATTTTTTTTGAGACTGAGTGTTGCTCTGTTACCCAGGTTGGAGTGCAGTGGCACAATCTCAGCTCACTGCAACCTCCACCTCCTGGGTTCAAGTGACTCTCCTGCCTCAGCCTTCAGAGTAGCTGGGATTACAGGCATGCACCACATGCCCCACTAATTTTTGTATTTTTAGTAGAGGAGGGGTTTTGCCATGTTGGCCAGGCTGGTCTCAAATGCCTGACCTCAGGTGATCCACCTGCCTCGGCCTCCCACAATGTTGGGATTACAGGCGTGATCCCCTGCACCCAACCTGAAATATCTATTAATTTAATATAAGTTTAGATTCTAAATTATGATGAGTTTGTCTACAGGTATTTATCCAATTACATTTACCCAATTATTTTATTTTTATCATTTACCTAGATTATTTATGAAAACTGTGATTGTCATTATATAAAGTTATGGAACCACCACTGCAAAATTATAACTGAGACAATGAAAAAGATCTGACCTAACTGACTCCATCTTGCTTTTAACCTCCGAACTGTCCTTGTTCATTCCTGGGTGTAGGCCGAACTAACTTTGGGGGGAACTTAGTTTGTACTTTAGCTTTGAAACAAAGACAATAACAGTTCTTTCCCAAAACAAATGTTACTGCCTGTGGACTAGACTGCCTAAAGCCACAAGATTAGAAGTTGTGGTGATCTTACTAAATTCAAGATATAGCTATTTTCATTAAACCAATATCAATGTCTTATTTATTAAAAATTACACAAGCAAAGATCATCCTGTCTTGGGCTTGGTTTATAGTTTTTTAAACCCTATACCAAATTTTGACACCTTACAGTATTTGGCAGGGATAAGTATGAAGCTGCTTAAGTAATAAATGCAAACAAGAATATATGCTGGCAATTCTTAAGACATTTCTAATATTATTATACTTTACCAATAATTTTTAAAATAGCTTATTAAAAATTTTATTTGTTACATAAACTTGAAAAAGCATTTGACTACCTTTTCTTTTTTCCTTATAAAAATTAGAGCTCTTTTATATATTTTCAGTAGTGAAATATTGGGTACACAACACATAAACACATAGATGTATTAGGCATGCCGATAGAAGTACATCTTATAGATTCATAAAAACCTTTTTCCCCATCTTATACTTTCAAATTCTTGATAACCTGTTTCAATAGGTAAACTGTATCAACTCTTGCTGTTTCAATAGGTAACCTGTATCAACTCTTGATAACCCTAGGCAGTCATCAGCTAAATAGTTTTAAATTTGCATATTAAAGGAAACAACTCAGGTGAAAATAAAATAGTAAAACTTACATCACAAGGTACGGAGAGAAAAAGTCTGGTGTGCTAGAGAGAAATGAAAATGGATTTAATTGCCAATTAAACATAAAATTACATACATTATAAAGGCCTTTTAAATACACACACACACACACACACACACACACATATCCTATAGCTTTTACAGAACTTTAACCATGAGATAAATACAAATTCACTGGCTTGCAAACAAAAAACCTATTGGATCCAAACTGTGATTTTTTTTTATCATAATAGAAAAATAACAGCAGATTTAAAGCAGGCAGAAAATAAAATAGAGAAAAAGGAGAACTTAGGAACTCTATAGTTTGCAGGTCTACTTTAGGGCTCTTTTTCTTTAATGTAAATGTGCACAAAGACGATATTACTTCCATTTTACATTAACTCTGGCAAGTAGAGGTGCCATAAAACCTACAGAGTGCTCGCAAGAGGGTCATTCTTCTTGTTTTCTCCTCATTCTTAGGTTATTTGTTTCACACTTTTTTTTTTCTTAAGAGAAGGAACTGAGCTGTAGCCTAGGGTTTTTGTGTGGTGGATTGATGTGTGCTGCTTGTAGACAGGACTCCACAGTGTGTCACCAGTGAGTTGTTTCCGTCCTGTTATGTATCTCAGTTTCTCTCTCTAGAGGTCTATGACCTCTGAGAGGGCTCCAAACACCAGGTGATCAGCCCTTATATGCATTTCCTAGATGAGGCTTTTTTTTAAAAGTTTTTTTTTTGTTGGGGATTACCCTTCAGGGCTGCTGCATGTTGCAGGGGGTCAACCCCATAGACACTCCCATGAGGACCCTGATCACCCAGGGGTGCCTTTCAGCTGGGAGGAGGAAAATGCCCTTTCTCTTCAGAGCTGAGAAAACTCAGTCTCTCATTTACCTATGGAAACAACAGTTCAGTTCCTCATGCAAATGTGCACAGATAAGCTGAACTGAGATTAATTTTGGGACAAAAAGCAAATAGAGAAGACCCTTTAGAATGCATCTTCAAACTAGAATTAGGATCTTTAAACAATAACTTCATAGGAGGAAAAAAAAAACAACAGCCAAGACTACTTCCTGTAAACTGTGCTCAGCCACCGCTACTTTGTAGCTCTCATTCACCATTACACATGCCAAGGTCAAATCCTCTCACAGTACAAGGTAATCTCTGGTATCCCCAAAGCCAAAGAGGTCAGGTCATGCAATACAGGAAAACAGAGCTTTAGACCCAAGAAGAATCTGCCCATGACTCTTGAAACTCCACAAAGGAAATGGAACACCCCAAAAGGGGTGAGTGGCACCTTTGTTCTGAATTCTTTAAAGAAGTTCAAGTCATTAGAAGCCTTCTCTAGATTTTTTGGTACTGTAGATGGCAAAAGGGGGTAGGACATATAAGGTGGAAGAAAATAAGCGAAAGAACACTTTTTTTTTGAAGACAGGAAGGCAAACACAGAAACCAAGTGCATGTTTTTTGGGGTTTTTTGGGTCTCCCCCTTTGCAGCTGGGAGGAATTTTAGCCAAATTAGAGAGGCTTTGTTAAACTGTAATTTGGAATTCTCACTTGGATTTGACCAAGTCAGGTAGAGTTGGTCAAATCTGTTGAGAGAAAGACCAGAACAAACAGCAACAAAACCCCCCAACAATATGATCACTGAACGCTCTAATGGTAAGGAGAAATTAAGACCAGTTGGTTGTTAAACTTTAGCCAAGATAAAACCCCAATTCTGCTACTTACCTATGGATGGGTCTCAGGCTGAAGACTGCCCTCTACCATCCTAGAAGCAGGGAAAAAACTCAAACTTGTCCTCTCTACTGAGAGCGAGCTCAAACTCCATAAAGAAGTTACCTGCCTTCCGTCGTCGTGGAAACCAGAAATCTTGCCTTCCTTGTTGGAAGCAAGTAAAACTTAAAAAAAAAAAAAAATGGGGTTGGGGGAGTTGTACAGCAAAATAAACTTTAGATCTTGACCAAAATTTGGGAGATCGGGGTTCTCTGGAGGGTGTGCTCCCAGATCTCAGCAAATTGTCCATAAAGTTAGCTCATGCTGGTACCAAACACCAATAGGAGATTTGTCAGAATCCCTTCATGGTTACCAAAAATGTGAACCCTGAGTATCTGAGACAGGTCTCAATTAATTTAGAAAGTTTATTTTGCCAAGGTTGAGGACACATGCCTGTGACACAGCCTCAGGAAGTCCTGATGACATGTGCCTAAGATGGTCAGAGCACAGTTTGGTTTTATACATTTTGGGGAGACATGAGACATCAATCAACATATGTAAGATGAACATTGGTTTGGTCCAGAAAGGCAGGACCACTCAAAGCTAAGGCAGGATGATTTGAAGCAGGGAGAGGACTTCCAGGTCATGGGTAGATAGGATAAGATGATTGCATTCTTTTGAGTTTCTGATTAGCCTCTCCAAAGGAGGCAATCAGATATGCATTTTTTTTTCTTTTGAGATGGAGTCTTGCTCTGCCGCCCAGGCTGGAGTGCAGTGGCACAAAATCTTGGCTCACTGCAACCTCCGCCTTCCAGGTTCAAGCAATTCTCCTGCCTCAGCCTCCCAAGTAGCTGGGATTACAGGCACCCACCACCGTGCCTGGCTAATTTTTTTTTTTTTTTTTTTTTTTAGTAGAGATGGGGTTTCACCATGTTGGTCAGGCTGGTCTCGAACTCCTGACCTCGTGATCCACCTGCCTCAGCCTCCCAAAGTGCTGGGATTACAGGTGTGAGTATCTCAGCTGAGCAAGGGGTGACTTTGAATAGAATGAGAGGCAGGTTTGCCCTGAGCAGTTCCCAGCTTGACTTTTCCCTTTAGCTTAGTGATTTTGGGGCCCCAAGATTGATTTTCCTTTCACAGGTGGTTGTTGAGTGGGGAGCAGATGGGAAGTAATTGTTTAATAGGTACAAAGTTTTAGTTGGAGAAGATGAAAAAGTTTTGGAGATGAATGGTGGTGATGGTTTCATGACAATGTGAATGCACTGAATGTCACAGAACTGTTCCCTTAAATGGTTAAAATGGTAAATTACAGTTATGTATATTTTACCATCATTTCCAAAAAAAAAGAGGAAAAATCTAGGCGATAGGTTTTCATCAGGAAATACTAAAAGAGACCTTGGTAGGATGTGGAGAAAGAAAAACTTAAGAGGCAAAATACAAAATAATGGGAGAGAAGTTCTTGGGTAGCTTGGAGAACAGATTTCATTATTTGAGAGTCACCTATCTCTAAACTTTTAGAAGAGCAATACATAAATATATTTCAGTTAGTATTATTATATTTCCAATGAGAAGTAATATACATTTGTATAATGTTGATGTGTGTTACACTCAAGACAGAATTTCATGGATCCCATATGTCCATGTTTAGATCTCAGACTTAATTCCCCAGTAGGACATTTTAATCTATTTACAATGTAAAATAATAACGATAATAATATAATTTGAGAATTGGCATGGAGTAAATTGTCCAGGTTAACTTGTAATAGTACACCATGTATTTGCTGTAACTCTTCTATGTGACATCATAGTGAAGATTTGATTCAATTATGGAAGATAATCTGTTGGGAAGAAGTGCCAATGATGTTTTTAAAAGAATCTGTGAGTCCTGGAATACTTTGATTTCAAAGTAATTAATTCCAAGGGGAAACTTTCTGAGATGAAATAATGAGGTTATTTGGCTATGAGAGCTTTCGTAGTCATGAGGAAAAAAGGAAGCACAATTCTTTTGTTAAATTAGCACTGCATCACAAAAAAGAGCTAAAAAATGACTGATTGCAAGTATAATGTAGGGAATAGAAGCATCTGGTTCAGGCATAAATAACGAGGCTCTTCAACATACGGCACTAATTTGCGTTTAAGCCTCTGTAATCTCACCTTTTCAAATTGCTATGCCTTTCTCAAGATGGGCTACTCTGGGTATCAATGTGGAGCAGATAGCACAGGGGAGAGCAAATGTCTGCCTGGCCTGTTTCTGTGAGGAAGAGGTGTTCAGTATTAAGAAAGGGCTTGTGGCAAGTGTGTGTCTCTGGCTCCAATTCAGCCACAGTGACAGCTGAAACCGGAAAATGAATGGCATTAAGTCCAGTCAGAAGGCTTTAAAGGTTTAAATTCTCCTCATTTCTAATGCAAAACTGAAAACCTAGCTTTGGCAAAGCACAAAAAGATAACTTCTTTTTTTTTTAAGTCCTGCATCTCCATACCAAAGAGAGTTAGATTACATTTAGAGTCTAACTTTAACAAAACTAGAGAGGACTAAACAGCCCCTTCAAAGTTGGTGGCATCGAATGGACCTTCCTTTTCTTGTCTCTTGAAGAAGAGTTGCAGCAACATTCCTTCCGACTGCGGTGTGTCTGCCTTCAGGCTTTCTTAACCTCCAGGCAGCCACGCAAACCCTGGACACTGGGCCTCTGAACTCTGCTTCTAACAACTCACAGAGTAAGAAACTGGGAAAAAATACATTTGCAGAGAGGGCTGTAGATGCCCAGTATTTCTGAGATCATATAGGGTAATGTTTCCTTTGGATTTAACTATTGAGAAAAATGTCTCTTTGGGAGACATTTCTCCTTGGGTAATGCCACATTTAGGCCTAGCTTCCCTCGATTTTCTGAGGAAAGGGTTCTAACCCATGGCAGGGTCCAGCCTGCTTCACTCTCAACCTGACCCTGACTCAAGGCAGCTCGGTTACTCAGCCAGCTGCAGCCATGATCTTTGGCATCATAATGCAGGTTATGTCCTTTTTCTAATCTTTGGGAACAAGTCCTGTTCTTATAAACAGCCATCCTGTCTTCTCATGGGAGAAACTGCACAAATTTTCATGACCCTTTCTCATAAATCTAATTTTTAAATTGATTTTTTGGTAAAATAAAACAGTATCAAAAAAAGTTGTTCTCTGAGCTGACTGGTTGCCTGTCTCCCTCTGGTCCGCCCCCTACCACTCCTGAGCAGGAGTCTCACACAAAGTCCCAAGTGCCCAGGGCTAAGAATGAAGATTTACCAGCTCTAAACATTTTCATATAGATTATCTCTAATGGTTAAGATAAATATTTGTCTTTTCATTTTTTTACTTCATTGCCGACACACTTGAATTTTCCTGACAGTAGAATGCTGAGTCTTATCTCTTATCTCTTTGTTGGGGTAGTAGATTTTATTTCATGTTCTGCTCCACAGAAACACAAGCAACTGATTTTGTAGAATTTTTCTCCCTCAGAAATGACTCATGTAACTGAGGATTTTGAGGCCACGTAGACATAGCATATGCTTTCTCCACTTTTCTAATACTTGAAAAACCTCATATTGGCGTCTGATATATTTGTAATTACTGATTTTAGCTCAGATTTTCAAACTATAAAGCTCTTGTTATATTCTAAAGTTATCTCTCAAAGATTTATAATCTTTGCTGGGTGTGGTGGTTCATGTCTGTAATCCCAGCACTTTGGGAGGCTGAGGTGGGCGGATCACCTGAGGTCAGGCGTTCAAGACCAGCCTGGCCAACATGGTGAAACCCTGTCTCTACTAAAAATACAGAAAAAATTAGCTGAGCATGGTGGTGGGCTCCTGTAATCCTAGCTACTCTGGACCTCAGGCACGAGAGTTGCTTGAACCTGGGAGGTGGAGGTTACAGTGAGCCAAGATCGTGCCACTGTACTCCAGCCTGGGTGACAGCAAGACTCCGTCTCAAAAAAAAAAAAAAAAAAAAGGTTTATAATCTCCATGAAAGTCTATCAACTGAATAGTAGATGAAAACATAAGTTTGGATCCATAATAATTCCCTGCTGCAGTAAATACAAATGACCAACTGAAATACGAACAAACAACACCTTCTTGTCCAATTTATTTTTTCCTGTATATGTGATGGCTGCTAAACGTGTTCATTTCCCCAGTAAACTGCTCTTCTTAAAGAGCATATCCCAATAGACTGGGGGAGGGGATAATTTAGAGGACACAAGATGAATGTAGGTGTATCTGTGTTAAGCTCCATGTGACTACTCCTATTCTGGAAACTGAATTATATTTGCCCAGATTACAAAAGTTGATTATTTGCACACATTTCCGGCAAAACTTTGGAAATGCCAAATTATACCAGTTAGGACTTTCAGATTATAGGTTGAAAGCATGGTCAAATGTATTTGGTAAACATAACAGCTACTTGTTGTCTCTGTGGCAGCAAAAGCTCTGGAAAAATCTGCAGCCGGGAAGGTGATGAAAGGTTCTGGGCACTTGGTGCTTTCTAGAATGGAGTTGTGGCTCTGTACAGCACTTTAGAAAGCCAGAAGCAGCTGTCAGCTTGGGCAGGCTGGAAAAGTGCATGACATCAGATCAGTCTGAGCTTCTCTCATTATTATGCTTGAAAACTAAGCTCTGATTTTTTCTTATCTTGCCCAAATTCCTATCTAAGGGGTCTGGGGAGTCATGAACTACAAACCATAAATTCTCATCAGATGGGTTTTATTTAATCCTATATATTGTGACTTACTTTCCAATCTGACTTTGGAATAATATTATGTGACAAAGAAGAAAATCAAAATATTTTGCCCCAAAACATGTTTCTTTGCCATACTTTGAAATGACCCTGCAAAAAACTGTCCTTTGTGGAGAAAAATTTGCATCTGTAAAGAACCTCTATTAAGATAGATAGATCTTTTTTCTTCCAGGCCCTCCCAATCCTGAAGAGATTAACTGAGAGTCTAGCACCTTTTAAAGATCTGAATAGGAAACATGTGTCATCTATTGTCTCTAAGGGCAGCCACTATGACACTTCAAAAGAACCTTGGTCTCCACACTCTTTTATCTCAACCAGAACATTTCCTTTCTATTGATCCCAGGTCTTTTTTTTTTTTTTTTTTTTTTTTTTTGAGATGGAGTCTCACTCTGTTGCCCAGGCTGGGGTGCAGTGGGGTGATCTCCGCTCACTGCAACCTCTGCCTCCCGGGTTCTAGCCATTCTCCTGCCTCAGCCTCCCGAGTAGCTGGGATTACAGCTACAGCACCATCACACCCGACATTTTATTTTTTATTTTTTTTGTATTTTTAGTAGAGACGGGGGTCTCACCATGTTGGCTAGCCTGGTATTGAACTCCCGACCTCAGGTGATCCACCCACCTCAGCCTCCCAAAGTGCTGGGATTACAGGCGTGAGCCACCCTGCCCAGCCGATCCCAGGTATTTTTTTTTTTTTAGACGGAGTCTCGCTTTGTCACCCAGGCTGGAGTGCAGTGGCCCGATCTCAGCTCACTGCAAGCTCCACCTCCCGGGTTCACGCCATTCTCCTGCCTCAGCCTCCCGAGTAGCTGGGACTACAGGTGCCGGCCACCACGCCCGGCTAATTTTTTCTGTTTTTTAGTAGAGACGGGGTTTCACCGTGTTAGCCAGGATGGTCTCGATCTCCTGACCTCGTGATCCGCCTGCCTCGGCCTCCCAAAGTGCTGGGATTACAGGCATGAGCCACCACGCCCCGCCGATCCCAGGTCTTTAGACAAATTCAACCAATTGTCAATCAGTCAACCAGAAAATGTTTACATTTACCTATAGCCTGGAAGCCCTGCCTCTCTGGACCAAACTAATGTATTTCTTAAATGTATTTGATTGATGTCCCATGCCACCCTAAAATGTATAAACCCAAGCTGCACCCCAGCCACCTTGGGCACATGTTCTCAGGATCTCCTAAGGGCTATGTCATGGGCCATAGTCACTCATATTTGGCTCAGAATAAATCTCTTCAATTATTTTACAGCATTTGACTCTTTATCGACATGCTTCATCTAGGTGCTAAATCGATTAAATCTAATGAAACTTTTAAAAAACAACCTCTATGTTTTAACAGGAGTTATAAAAATTATCCATAGCAAAAAGAGTTATTCATGTAAAATTTTGGGGACCTTTGCATGTTTACTAGAAGATTGAGAAAGTGACTCTGCTTTTGCAAGCTATTTAATTCTTTTTCTATTTATTTTATTCTTCACTTTATTATTACAAAGAAGAGGCACTATGCCAGAAGTTAGCTAATGTGAGCAATATTAGGCATAGTTTGTATATGGGAAATATAGGTAATTAAATGAAAACATTACTTTTATAAACACTCAGTAACAAATGAACCCCATGGGAACCTTCTGTTTTGTTTGTTCCCTTCTAAATTCACCTTTTGCTTTCCTGCCACTTTTCCATTTGTCCCAGCTTGTACTTTCTCCCTGTCTCTACCTGTTAATATTACATGATATTATTACAGCACAAAACACAATCCTTTATGAGGCAAGATATGATCTCCACCTTTGACCTTCATACAACTTAATTTCTGTGCCAGGCACTTGACACTTATCCTGAGAAATGGCTTGCATTAGAGTTAACACAACAAAGGTCCTGATTTGACTGGGGCAGTCCAGATTTACCTCAGTTCCTGGCATCCCTTCTTATTTACCACTTGCCCTCATTTTTTTTTTTTTTAACAAAGACTTACTAATAATGTCATTGAAATGAGCCAGGATGGGTTTCATAGATCTCCACTTTGCACTTCCACTTTATGCCACAATGTCATCTAGCAGTTTGGGGGATTCACACACTTAACAGAGTTCTCGTTTGAACATGTAGTTAATTATAAAGATGACTAGTGGTAGTCTCTCTCTTTCCCCAATTTTTTTTTTGTTATACTTTAAGTTCTAGGGTACATGTGCACAACATACAGGTTTGTTACCTACATGCTTGTGATGTATACATATGTATACATGTGCCATGTTGGTTTGCTACACCCATTAACTCCTCATTTACATTAGGTATTTCTTCTAATGCTATCCCTCCCCCATCCCCCACCCCATGACAGGCTCTGGTGTGTGACGTTCCCCGCCCTGTGTCCAAGTGTTCTCATTGTTCAATTCCCACCTGTGAGTGAGAACATGCAGTGTTTGGTTTTCTGTTCTTGTGACAGTTTGCTCAGAATGATGGTTTCCAGCTTCATCCATGTCCCTACAAAGGACATGAACTCATCCTTTTTTATGGCTGCATAGTATTTCATGGTGTATATGTGCCACATTTTCTTAATCCAGTCTATCACTGATGGACATTTGGGTTGGTTCCAAGTCTTTGCTATTGTGAAGAGTGCTGCAATAAACATACGTGTGCATGTGTCTTTATAGTAGCATGATTTATAATCCTTTGGGTATATACCCAGTAATGGGATCGCTAGGTCAAATGGTATTTCTAGCTCTAAATCCTTGAGGAATCGCCACACTGTCTTCCACAATGGTTGAACTAGTTTACACTCACCAACAGTGTAAAAGTGTTTCTATTTCTCCACATCCTCTCCAGCACCTGTTGTTTCCTGACTTTTTAATGATCGCCATTCTAACTGGTGTGAGATGGTATCTCACTGCAGTTTTGATTTGCATTTCTCTGATGACCAGTGATGATGAGCATTTTTTCATGTGTCTGTTGGCTGCATAAATGTCTTCTTTTGAAAAGTGTCTGTTCATATCCTTTGCCCACTTTTTGATGGGTTGTTTGATTTTTTTCTTGTAAATTTGTTTAAGTTCTTTGTAGATTCTGGATATTAGCCCTTTGTCAGTTGGGTAGATTGCAAAAATTTTCTCCCATTCTGTAGGTTGCCTGTTTACTCTCAATGGTAGTTTCTTTTGCTGTGCAGAAGCTCTTTAGTTAAATTAGATCCCATTTGTCAATTTTGGCTTTTGTTGCTATTGCTTTTGGTGTTTTAGTCATGAAGTCCTTGCCCATGCCTATGTCCTGACTGGTATTGCCTAGGTTTTCTTCTAGAGTTTTTATGGTTTTAGGTCTAACATTTAAGTCTTTAATCCATCTTGAATTAATTTTTGTATAAGGTGTAAGGAAGGGATCCAGTTTCAGCTTTCTACATATGGCTAGCCAGTTTTCCCAGCACCATTTATTAAATAGGGAATCCTTTCTCCATTTCTTGTTTTTGTCAGGTTTGTCAAAGATCAGATAGTTGTAGATATGTGGCATTATTTCTGAGAGCTCTGTTCTGTTCCATTGGTCTATATCTCTGTTTTGGTACCAGTACCATGCTGTTTTGGTTACTGTAACCTTGTAGTATAGTTTGAAGTCAGGTAGCGTGAAGCCTCCAGCTTTGTTCTTTTGGCTTAGGATTGTCTTGGCAATGCATGCTCTTTTTTGGTTCCATATGAACTTTAAAGTAGTTTTTTCCAATTCTGTAAAGAAAGTCATTGGTAGCTTGATGGGGGTGGCATTGAATTTATAAATTACCTTGGGCAGTATGGCCATTTTCACGATATTGATTCTTTCTATCCATGAGCATGGAATATTCTTCCATTTGTTTGTGTCCTCTTTTATTTTGTTGAGTAGTGGTTTGTAGTTCTCCTTGAAGAGGTCCTTTACCTCCCTTGTAAGTTGGATTCCTAGCTATTTTATTCTCTTTGTAGCAATTGTGAATGTGAGTTCACTCATGATTTGGCTCTCTGTTTGTCTGTTATTGGTGTATAGGAATGCTTGTGATTTTTGCACATTGGTTTTGTATCCTGAGACCAACATGGCTGAGTAGGAATAGCTCTGGTCTGCAGCTCCTAGTGTGATCGACACAGAAGACGGGTGATGTCTGCATTTCCAACTGAGGTACCTGGTTCATCTCACTGGGACTGGTTGGACAGTGGGTGCAGCCTGTGGAGGGCAAGCCGAAGCAAGGCGGGGCATTGCCTCACCCAGGAAGCTCAAGGGGTCGGGGGATTTCCCTTTCCTAGCCAAGGGAAGCCATGACAGACTGTACTGGGAAACTTGGGGCACTGCCACGTAAATACTGTGCTTTTCCAATGGTCTTAGCAAATGGCACACCAGGAGATTATTTCCCCGACATTTTTAAGATGTAGTGTCAACTAACATTTTCCTTTCAACGACAGCTGGCAGGACACTCACTGATAAAAGGAAGTGCTTGAGATACAGGCAATGGAGGACAGCCTGCTCCTGCCAGCCTCAGATGGTGGTGGGAGGGATTGACACTGTCTCTCCAGCTGGATACTGGGGTGCTCCAGCTGAACAGTCCTGACATCCATTGTGCACAGAGATAAGGTTGTTGAAATGCTCTTATGCAGCGGTTCTCTCCTTTATCATATGGTGCACACAAATATTGATTTATTTTATTGTTTGGTAACACTTTTTTATTTCACAAAAAACCCTATCATCAGCTCATCAGCATGAGCTTTATTATTATTATTAAGATAAAACCCACAAATAAAGAAACCCCACTATTTTAACCAGTTTGAAATGTAAAACTCAGTAGTTTTTTAGTATATCTGCAATTTTATGTAACCACCACCACTGTCTAATTTCACATTTCCATCATGCCAAAAAAAAAAAAAAAAAAAAGCCTTGTACTTGTTAACAGTCACTCCCCACCTCCCTCTCCACCTGTTCTCTAACAATCACCAGTCTATTTTCTGTCTTCAGGGACTTGCCTATTCTGGATATTCCATAGAAATAGAATAACAGAATATGTCGCCTTTTGTGTCTGGCTTCTTTCACTTAGCACAATGTTTTCCAGGTTCGTCCATGTTGTAGCATATACCAGTACTTCATCCCTTATTATGGTTGAATAATATTCCCCCGTATGGATAAATCACATTTTATTTATCCATTCATCAGTGAGTGAATATTTATGTTATTTCCACTTTTTTACTATTATGGATAATGCATCTATGAACATTTGTGTATACAACATGTTTTCCATTCTCTTGAGTAGATATCTAGGAATGGAATTATTGAATCATAGGGTAACTATGTCTAACTTTCTGAGAAACTGCAGAAGTGTTTTCCAAAGTGGCTATACCATTTTACATTCCTACCAGGAATGGAATGTATGAGGGTTCCAATGTCTGCACATCCATGCCAACACTTGTTAATGTCTGCCTATTTGATTATAGCCATCCTAGTGGGTGTGAAGTGATATCTCATTTGGCTTTGATTTAAATTTACTTAATGACTAATGATGCTAAAAGTCTTTTCATGTGCATGTTGGATATTTGTATATCTTCTTTGGAGAAATGTGCATCCAAATCCCTTGCCCATTTTTTAACTTAGGTGGCTTGTCTTTTTATTATTGAATTGTAAGACTTCATTATATGTTTGGATCTTAGACCCTTATCAGATATACGATTTGCGAATACTTTCTCCCACCAGTGGGCTGTCTGTTCATTCTCTTGATAGTTTTTTTTGAAGTACAAATGCTCTTAATTTTGATGAAGTCCAATTTACCTATTTTCTCTTTTGTTGCTTGTGATTTTGGTGTCATATTTCAGAAACTATTGCCTAATTCAAGGTCATTAAGACTTATACCCATGTTTTCTTCTAAGGGTCTTATAGTTTTATCTTTTACATTTAGTTGGTTTTTTTTTTTTTTGTCCATTTTCAGTTAATGTTTCTATATGGTATCAGGTAAGTGTCCAAATGTATTCTCTTCTTATGGATATTCAGTTGTTCCAGCATCATTTGTTGAAAAGACTATTCTTCCTCCAGTGAATGGTCTTGGCATCCATAGTTACAGGATATTGCTGGACTCTCAATTCTATTCCATTGATCTATATATCTGTCTATCTTGATGCCAGTAGTACACTCTTTTGAATACTGTAACTTTGTAGTAAGTTTTGAAATCAGGAAGTATGAATCCTCTGATTTTGCTCTTCTTTTTCATAATCATTTTTGGGTATTCAAGGTCCCTACTTTGCCTTAGCTTAATGTTCAGTTAGTGATTAAATAAAGATTGCTTTCAATGCCTGGAACCAAAAAAAAAATTCCCAGTCTCTCCAGAGGGGCTCTGTTTGTGTGTCAGGTTTGCCTTCAACATAGCCAGGATGTTTACTCCCCTGCTTTAGTCTGTACTTCCCACTTCTACAGAGGTCTTTCCTGAGCACGGACATAGCTCTGGGCATACATGTAACCTGCTAGATTCCTAGGACTATGTCAGAGCTTTTCAAAGACCTTATTCCCTAAAGCATCTCACTCCCAACACTTTTCTCTCAAATATTTTGGTTCATCTATTATTTGCCCCAGCTGTTATTAATATGTATTGCATCAGCAGGGACTGAAACATTTGCCCATAAAAGTTTTTGATAAAAGTTTTCTGCTCCTGTATCAGCTTTATCACAAGGGGAGAGTATCAGTCAGATGAGATCAAGGTAAGCCATTTGAGCAGGTCTTCCAGGGAGTCAACAAACAGATCAACTAAGGACAATTTACAGATGATTTGTTTTCTGCACTCTCCTCTCCTGGTAAGGTACAGGGAATGTAAGCTATTACTATTAAGGCTACCATTGAGATGGGGAATGGAGGATTGGACTAGCGTAGGTTAAGATGCCACAAAGCTCATTGTTATTACTGAGATCCAGCTCATTTTTCTTGAATAAGTGCTCTCTGCGTTGCTGCAAGCTTTTAGTTAGTTTTCAAAGTTGCAAAAAATTTGTGATCATTTTTGCCAGTTTTTTTCATTGCTTTTATGGAGGAATGGGCTTTGGGAGTTCCTTATCCATCATCAATTTTCTCTCAGCAACGAGCTTTTTAAGAACACGTTTAATAAAAAAATTAAGAACTGAATTTTAGTTTCTCAAGAAAATCAATGGTAGATGTATAATCCTGGCAAAAAACAATTCATTTTTACCATTCACCAAAGAGGTAGTGATGATTTTCCTGACCACTTGAATGCAGGAGATACAAATTTGCTGAAGAATTATCAAGATCTACTTTAAAAGTAGTTATTCTATGAAGACTGTATCTGAGACAATTTCACATGTGTAGCTGCAGAAGTTTATTTACATATTACAATCTGAAATATGACTTTTTAAAATAAAATGATTGCTCTTCTAAATAGACTTCTCTCATTTTGACTCCTAAGATCTCTTGTGTATGTACAAAACATGGAATGATAACTGTCAACGTGTTGGGTCCATTAGCAAAAGAGGAAACTTACAAACAGATAACTGAGGCCTGTTTTATATTTGTGATACCAGATGCTTCAGCGAGAAAAATCAGTCAAATTGATACAAATGGTGGTTCATTTTTTTCATCAAATTCATGGACTCAAAGTATATCTTTTGAAAGTTCATTGCATTGAATTTGAAGTATTTGACATCAATGTAGATTTTATTGTAAATACAGTTCAAAAGTTTGAAAATAAAATAATTTGTTTTTATAGTGTTAATATAAATACAAATTTTGGTAGAACACAGCATTACAGCAATAGCAATGTTCTTACTAAATTAGGAAACAGAGCAGAAATGTATTTGAAATTGGTTGTGTGCAAACACAATTGATAATTGTGTGTTCAAACAAGCTGCAGTATTCTACCAATCAAAATAGAAGTTTTAGTTATCAGGATTTACAAATATTTTTATACATGCGCAGAATAACAGAACTATGAAATTTTCTGACAAAGATGATGCTGAATACAGAAAAATAGTTCAATCTGGCCGTAAAATATTTTCTCTCTTCATTGTCCTTCATCAGTTGGAATTTAGAAAATGCTGTGCCTTTGGAGAAGTACTTTGTAAATGTGCCTAAGCAACCTAACATGGTAGTATGTTATTTTGTAAATAAGTCCTTCAAATTTTGACTGCATTTTGTTCAAAAGCTAGCATTTACTAATACACAGAAGCAACATCCTTGACAAATTTTATCCTACAAAATTAATTGCCAAAGAAAATTAGTCTGAATAGAGACAGAAAGGCAGTGCTTATGAAAATGTTGAACTCAAATATTTATACATTTTAATTTTTAAAGGTAGAATTGATGCTATCCTCCATTTAGTAGAATTTACTTTGAGCTTCCTGCATACTTCAGCTCCTGTAAGAGTGTATTTTCTAATCTAAAATATTATAGCCAGGCCAGGTGTGGTGGCTCATGCCTATAATCCCAGCACTTTGGGAGACCAAGCCGGGTGGATTGCTTGAGCCCAGGAGTTCAAGACCAGTCTGGGCAACATGGCAAAACCCTGTCTTTACTAAAAATACAAAAATTAGCTGGGCATGGTGGCATATGCCTGTAGTCCCAGCTACTTGGGAGGCTGAGGCGGGAGGATCACTTAAGACTGGGAGGTTGAGGCTACAGTGAGTTTTGATCGTGCTACTGCACTCCAGACTCCAGCCTGGGTGACAGAGAGTGATCCTGTCTAAAAAAAAGAAAAAGAAAAAAAATATATATAGTCTACCAAGAGAATTCAGTTTAAGATATCAACAATATCAAATTTAGTAATTATAAATGCAACTTTGAAAATATGAGAATAAGTTTTATGAAAAATAAGGAAAAATTATACAAAATATACTTAAAAAAGTATATGGGTCAGAAAAATAACAATCATATACCATTAGAAAACAGATATAAATTTGAAAATTAATTAAAATACATGAATATGTTCCAGGAATCATTATTCTGTTGTTTAATGTTCAAATAATCAATATAAGAAATTTTTGAAAATTTCACTTTAATATACATGGACATGTAATTTTGTTTGTGAATATGTTCATTTAAATTTTCTAGAAAGCTTTTATATTTGAAAATAGTTTGAACAAAACAGTTTTGTTGATCCAGTTATATCATGATACCAATTTGTTAGTTAATAAGAAAAAGTCTGTAAACATTATGTAACTAGTTATTCTTAGTGCCTTTTTACTCTCAATGATATCCTGGTTTGGATGATAAATTACATTACCCTAGTTGTAATTATTTGTCATGTACTCAGAATGCCTGGACTTCTGGGTAATAACAATAAATTGATATTAAGTTCTCTCTCCTATAAAGCCCACCAAAATGACTTAAGAGAATAAAATGCTTTAAGTCCATAAAGCCAAAGAGTAGAGGCATGGAAACAAAGAATGCAAAATGGCAAAAATTGCTATAAGATTTAAGGCAGATGGGTGGGGGTAACTTATTAAACAGAGCCAAGAGGCTTCAACCCACCTTTGTGCCTACAGAGGGGCAAGCCCATCACTCCGAAAACCCCAACAGCTTCAGGCCATGTAGAAAAGCACGGGTGAGGCATGAGGGTGAAAACCAGGGGTGTTACTGAGAGAGCCTGGGTAATGTAATGATTACCAGCCTTTCTCAACTGGGGATTCTACAGAGGATTAAACCCTGCAGAAAATGGTTTGAACTACTAATCTCTCATTTCTCCCAAGGACGGCACAAACTTACTGCCTGTCTCCATGCATGGGAGGGAAGTTTATTCATTCCCTATAATGGATGCCTTAGCACATCAGAGCTGAAGCCTCTTGCAGCACCCCAGCTTCGAAGGACCAGCTTCTTAGAAGGGCCGCCTGCCACTCTGAGTAGATACTGTTGAAAACACTGAATTCTGAAGCCCTTGGGTCCCTTCCTCCACCTTGCTTCTTGAATGCCAGCAACAGGATTTATACTCTGCTGAGGCAGATTAAAAGATTCTTCCCTGGGGAGATTGAAGAACTACAGAGAAAAGACCTACAAATACTGATAGTGAAACCCTCCAGTTGACAAGCCCTGCCCAGACCCCAAGTTTTCAATCAACATTTTAGAGTCTCCCTCTTACATATGAGTGTCAATAGATTGCCAGAGGTTTGAAGGAGCCATGGGTGTGAAAGACAAAGGCCAATATCAGCAAATAGAAGAAAATAAATTCCGAGGCAGCAGAGACAATGAGAAATTGCAAGCTTTAAAGTAACTGCTAACTAAAAGCCTCAGAGATACATTGCATCCATGAAACAAAAAGAGTCAGAAATGTGTTGGATATAAACGTTTCTGAAGAACATTTTGAACGTAAAGTTGAGGAAATCTGCTAGAAAACAATAGAAAAAAAGGAAAATAGGAGAAAAAAAAGAAGAAAATTAGAGAATGGATTGAGGATCTAAAAAGAATTTTAGAGCTAAAACATAAAACGGAGAGGAAATCATTCAGGAAAGTATATAAGGTTCCCTAGACTGAAGGACTCACATCTCTAGACATAGAAGGTTCTATCAAGTTCCCTGCACAAATAATAATTTCAGAAAGATCCATATTAATGCGTGTTAAAGAGGGAATAAAGCAGGTCACATGCAAAGGACGAGGAATCAGCCAGGCATATGGCTAATACCTGTACTCCCAGCACTTTGGGAGGCCATGGTGGAAGGATTGCTTGAGCCCAGGAGTTTGAGACCACTCTGTGCAACATGGCAAGACCCCATCTCTATAAAAAATTTAAAAATTAGTTGGGCATGGTAACATGTGCCTGTGGTACCAGCTACTTGAGAGGCTAGGTGGGAGGATCACTCGAGCCTGAGAGGTTTAAGTTGCAGTGAGCTATGATTGCCACACTGCCCTCCAGCCTGGGCAACAGAGTGAGAGGCTATCTCAAAAAAAAAAAAAAAAAGGGAATATAAGTGACAACAGGTATCTCATTGGCACCACAGAAAGCTTGACGGCAAAGGAGCAAGGCCTTCAAAGTCTGAGAAAAAGAGTCTATGTTTAGTTTCTATAGCGGAGCCAAACATACTGTTACTCTAACCTCCTTGGCTATTGTTTAAGCTACTATTAACCTCTTGCTTATCATGTTGCTTATTTACTTCTCAGGGCTAGCAGGTATCTGGAGTTTCCCTTGAAAGAACCCAAGATTTTCCCTTATTTCCATGCTTGGGTGGCCTGCAGGCCCCTAAGAGGCATCCCTACTCCCAACCTAAAATTCTTAACCCAGATAAATTATCAATCAAATATGAGGGAAGAATAAAAACATTTTCAGACACTTACCTTCCATGCATCCTTAAAGAGTAACTAGAAGATGTTATTTAGCAAAACAAAATGAGATGAAATAGTTCCCTTGACCCCTTTGCAGGACTCATGAAGGGATGGCTCACTTACTCAGCGCACAGTGCTCAAGCCCCTTGCAGGAAGGGGAGCACGCAGGTAAGCAGGTGCAGGGGCTGGGGTGAGTGCCTTTGGGAACTAGCAGGGACAAACCCTGTACTGGCCTGTGGCAGTGTCTAGGTGTTGCCTGTGACCTCTAAAGCCCCAGAGGGGCATGTGTTACAGTGTGCTATTTTAGCTTTCCTGTCCAAGGATGGCTGACATGTTAAACAGCTCAGTGGAGAGTCAGTGTGACAGCCTCTCGCACCTGCACTTGGGTCCTTATCCAGTGCCCAAGAAGAAGGAGATCACATGGACTTGAAGGATGATGAATGTGGAGATTTTATTGAGCACGGGAAGTGGCTTTCAGTGGATGGGGAGCTGGAAAGGGGATGGAGTGGGAAGGTGGTCTTCTCCTGACTGTAGTCTTTGACCATACTACTTCCCCAATCATAGTTTCTGATGTCCAGCTGCTTCTTCTCCTCTCAACGGTCAGACACTTTTCTCTTCTGTGTGTATGTCCTTCTCTGCCATGCTGCTCTGCTCCTCTGCCAGTGGAGCTTAGGGTTTTTATGGGCACAGCTTAGTGTTTTATGGGCACAGCTTAGGGTTTTTATGGGCAGGCCAAAAGGCAACATCTGGATGGGAAAACAGAAATGTGAAGTTCTCATTTAGGGCCATGAGTTCAGGCTTGAGGGCAGAGACCTTGCCAGGGACCCTGCCGTCTTCTACTTCTTCTACTCAGTATTTCCCTGCCTCCTGTCTGTATCAAAGGGACTAAATCAAGAAAAGAGGATTCAAGAGATCCAGAAATGAAAATCCAAAAGCAGTGAAGAGAAGTCCCAGGATACTTGTGTGCAGCAGCCTGGGTGTCAATCAGCTCCCAATGGGACAGAAGGACCAGGGATGCCAGGAGGGAGGTCTCCAGGAATGAATTGCGACCAATAGATGTTGTAATAAGTCTGACTAATGAAAAATAGTGTCAAGAGCAGTTTTATAGAGATGTTGGAACTGTAGGAAGAATCAGCAAAAGGCACACTGAAAATTAAGCAAATGGAAAAACAATAAGATCAAATAAAGAAAATCATAAACATTACTTGGCTTAGCAATACACAACATTCATTCAACCATAATTGTATACACCTTAGTGTTAAGTAAACAAAAAATTGTGATTTAATCACTTTGGGAGATTGACAATAGAGGAAAGGAGCCAACGTCGTAAATGAATCTGTTTGTAAAAAACACTTTCAACCAAACTTTACCAGGCTCCTGTTGTGTGTCCAGCTTTGTGCTAGGCTGAGAGAGCAAGGTAATGAAGATGTGTCTGTAAGGATTGCACAGTCTGATGGGAGAGATTGCAAATTAATTTGTGTTAATAAGCTGTTTCCAGCAAATTCTCTGAGGCCTTGGTTACAGGTCTGCCCGTTCCTTTCTGAAAGCTCCAATCCTTTAAATGGATGGCAATTTACACTTGAAAAAGGATTCTTAAGTTAGCAGTATTTTCACTGCAGGGACCTTTTCATTGTGAGCTTTTGGTACATTTAGTATTTATTTACACACAATTAAGTGTTGTATAAAGTTAGAGACAGGCTGCAATCCTAAATTTCCCTTCCCAACCAGGTAGAGTGTTATATCCTTGGATCTTAAATATACTCAAGGAATTGCATAACTTTCTGCTCACTACTCTATATTTATCTCTTGGCAGGGGACTAAGCTCCACTAGGCTTGCCCATTTCCTTGGGCCTCTATGAGTACTATAGTTCCCCTAGGATTCATTATATTTATGGAACACTTATATGATTCACTTGATTCAGAAACAGGATGATCGTCCTGCTTCAACATACCATTGGGAGGAGGTCTGGCAAGGTCTGAAGGTGAACAACCTCTTTGACAAGAAAGGAGGGCATTTCCTGATAGGAAAATGTGATTTTAAAAAAATTAAGCCATTGGACCTCTCCATTAGAAAATGAAATCTTGAATCTTTGAAATTTCTATCCAATAGTATGTTCTGTGATATGGGAATGTTCTGTGCTGTCTAATACCTTAGCCCCTGTGGAATTGGATTTGTGTGACTATATAGCACATTGGACTATGATGCTATTTAGTTTTTAAAATGTGGTTGGTGAGAACAAGAAACAGAAGTTTTAATTTCATTTAACTTTAATTCATTTAAGTTTATAATTAAATGGCCACATGTGGTTAGTAGCTACCATGTGGTACAATGCAAGTCTAGAGAGAAGCTGTGTTATCTGGTTCAATAAGTCACTAGATAATTTTTTAGGATTTTCTCAACCTCTTATTTTCTCTTATTTAGGAACTAATAATAAGAACCTAGAACTATAAGGGCCTGATTGATTATATTAGAGATAATGTAAAAAGGGAGAAGTAGAGATAGGCTTAGGGAATAAAATAATCCAAGGTGGAGGCTGAGGTAGCAGCTAGACATGAGAAAGACAAAAGTAGTGTCTTTGAAAGATGAGAGTGATGGGGTGGGAGGGAAGGAAAGGGAGGGAGGTTGAGGCGGAGAGAGGAGGGAGAAAGAAAAAAAGGAAAGAAGAAAAGAAGGAAAGGAAGGAAGGAAGGAAGGAAGGAAGGGCCCAGTGGGCTTTCCTTGCCTGCTGCCTAGACAGAGACAATTTATCAAGACAAGGGAATTGCAGTAGAGAAAGAATTTAATTTATGCAGAGCCGACTGTAGGGGAGACCATGGTTTTGTTATTACCCACTCAAATCAGTCTCTCCAAGAATTTAGGGATCAGGGTTTTTAAGGACAATTTGGTGAGTAGGGGCCAGTGAGTCAGGAGTGCTGATTGGTTGAGTTGGAGATGAAGTCACAGGGAGTTGAAGCTGTCTCCTTGCACTGAGTCAGTTCCTGAGTGAGGGCCCACAAGACCAGATGAGCCAGTTTATCGATGGTGTCAGATAAACTGTCAGATGAGCCAGTTTATCGATGGGTGGTGTCAACTGATCCACTGGGCCTGCAAAGTATTTAAGCACTCATTTTAGATTTTTCAATAGTGATGTTATCCCCAGGAGCCTCCAGCTACATGACTCCTAAAGTATAACTTCTAATCTTGTAGCTAATTTGTTAGACCTACAAAGGCAGTCTAATCCCCAGGCAGGAAGGGCGTTTGTTTTGGGAAAGGGCTGTTACCATGTTTGTTTCAAAGTTAAAGTATAAACTAAATTCCTCCCAAAGTTAGTTTGGCCTAGGCACATGAATGAACAAGGACAGCATGGAGGTTAGAAGCAAGATGGAGTCGGTTAGGTCAGATCTCTTTCACTGTAATAATTTTCTCAGTTATAATTTTTGCAAAGGCAGTTTCAGAGTGGAGGAAGGAACCAAGGAAGAAAGCTTACAAAACACATCATTGATGAATGACTGAGCCTGGGGGCTACAGGCTGATAGGAGAACCCAGCCTACTGACAGATCACACTACAAGCAGTGTGGACTCAATTCTTTCATTCATCTTATCACATTAACCACTCATTTATCTAAGTAATGTCTTCCAGTTTAAACATTTACATTGCCATGAATAAATGAAAATGTATTTCACCTTGGTTAGCATAATCAAAGCTATAATTTTCTTTAAAATTAATAGATGAAGTCTAATATATACATTTACTAATTAGCAATTTGAACACCATGTGCACAATGGTACATGTACACAAACACACACTGATATCTTACCTTACCTCGTTTCTGTAAATTACCTAAATCTTTCCTTAATTTATTGACTGAAGAAATACGAGCAAAGAGCCCAAGGAATTTCCTGTCATTTCTCTAGAATGCATTATATCTTCCCCTCAGCTTGGCAATAAGGGGCCCTAACCTGAAATGTACAACTTGAAAATTTCACACACACACACACACACACACACACACACACACACACACGTGTGCTGCTTAGTTTTTAAATACGTCTTTGACTAAATGAATAGATGACCAGAATCATCTGGGAGCTCACTTTCTATCAGAAGAAATAGCAAGTTTCTTTGGTCCAGATTTGGTCAAATGCCTTTTGTCTTCAGAAAAGTATTAAAATTTATCCTAAATTATCATAGATCTGTAAATCTAGGCTCCAAAAGAGACTCCCTTTGGAAAGTAAAATGTAATAAAATTTTAAATAATTCAAGTTCGACTCACAACATTATTACCAGGGCTCATTGCCTCGGAGAGACCATTACTACATCAAAGGGGACTGTAGGAAGAATTAGTTAAAACTCTGTAGGTTGATGAAAAAGAATTGATTCAATGGTGTTTATTTATAATGAACACAAATATCTATAGCAATACTTGAAGTAATATGCTTAATTATATTTAGAACTTTATGCTAGGTTCTGAAACACTTGTTGACTTCTTTCAAAAGTCAAGACTTGCTCAGCAAGTCTTTATTTAAAGCGCTTAAGAGATTGGCAGGTTAGCAAATTTCAGCAGATTAGTGGGAAAAAAACAGCACTGTCCAGGAAAAGATAAAACAGACATTTTGGATAAAATATTCTTCAGAGAGGCTGAAATTTTAGCACCTTTTCTTTCTCAGCTTCTTCAGTTCTTGTACTAGAAAATTATAAGGGTACAGATACATTTACAGTGACATATATTTGTCAGTCAGTGACATTTACTGGGTCTGCCCTCTGCAGAAACGTGAACTGACACAGTGTGAGGGATTCAAAAGAACTGCAAGACCAGATCTTCCTCTCAAGAAATTGCACCTGAAAATAGATGAAAAACATATTCATAGAATAACACAGCAAGAGCATATGAATAGAGTAAAATCTCTAGGTACGTAATTAATGAAGGCTCATTGAGTAGAGGAATTGGGTCCAGTTAATCAGGAAAAGTTCTCAAGGAGAGATTTTAAAGCCCAATTTGAAAGGTGAGAAAGAGCTTAATGGAATGGGGTGAGAGGATACATCCCTCATTGCTTACCTATCCCCGCTTACAGATGAGTGTAATTTGGGGCTTGTGCAGCCAATGTCACTCTTCATATTGGTTAATGGTGTGACTGAAGCAAGGCAGCGTTACACTGAAAATGCTGCTCAAGTGCCATGTTACAGGGCAGGCAGGGGACAGGTTGGTATTCTATGATCCTCCTCTCTGAATGGCAACTTCCAAGCTAACCTCAGATCAAATAAATAACAAGAGTACAGAGGCTTCTTAAAAAGAGGGAACTGAGGTCAGGAAAGCATGTTGTCCATTTTGAAACAAAACAGTTGCTAAGCAGAGCTGACTGGAGGCACTATGAAAGAAGGAGGGCCCATAGGAGAGTGCGCCCCCTGTGGACCACGGGGGTGGCAATGGAGCGAAAGGAAGCCCAGGTGTTTCCTACAAGGTAGGGAGGAAGTATGTTGCTAACTACCAGGTGCCAAATACCTGCTTCTGCTCAGGTAAGGTGATTGCCCTCTCAAGGAGCAGGGATGGACTGGGGGCGGTGGGTGGCAGGAAAGGTTATGAGTTCAGGCGATTATGATATGGTGTAGCAAATGTTATCCTAGAGGTGAGTGAGAACACAGTGAGGACCCAGGGACATGTGTTGCCTGGGAGATGTCTGAAGACCACAGAGCTTGTGAGTGACATTTGACTTTTGAATCAGGCCGTGAAGACTCAGTAGTCATTTTCTAGGTAAAGAAGGTTGGGAGTCATTTCAGGCAGCGGGACAAGCCAGTAAGAAAATATAGAAGCATATAAGGGATGTTTCATGTTTAAATTATACATTTATTTTGTGAGATTTTTCTGTGTCTAAAAAGGCACAATCTGCACCTTAGAGGAAAGACCCCTACCTTCTAGGCAAGGGAGAGATAAGGAAGAAATGTTGGTCAGCACACTTGTGTAAAGTAAAGCAGTCTCATGAATCCAGCTGCTCATTTGTACGAAATCCCAAGGTCAGAAGAACACGCTGGACATCAGGGAGCTGTCAGCAAAATCCAGACTGTGGCAACTCAACTGGCCCCACTTGCACTGTAAGGCAAAGAAAAGGACTGTGGAGGTGTCTGCAGGTCAAAAGAAATTTAAAACACATTAGTGAAAAACTGGGCCAGACAGAACTATAGTTTTTGTCACTTGGTGAAAAGGAAAAACATAAAGGAACACAAGAAAGAGACTTCTATGAGAATTTGGGACCAGGGCACATGATGGGATTTTTGCAGTCACTGGAAAGTTCTTTTCTTGCTCTGAATGGTGGTTATAAGGGTGTTTGCTTTAATTGTTCATTAAGCTTAACATTTATTTTGTGAGGTTTTCTGTAGAAAAAAATTTTTAAATAAAATTGTAAGTAAAACTTTTCCAAGGGTGAACTGAGTTCCATGCAGAGATGAGTCTCACTTGTAGACAGAGGTCTTGCTGGAGCCAAACCCAGGACCATCTTAACTGAGCCAGAGAGAGTCTGACAGGAAAGACTGAACCTGCTGAAGGCAGCACAGGTCAGCTCTGCCTTACTCAGGCTGTGAGAGCACCAATGCTGAAGGCACACTGACCCGCCTGGTGAGCCATCCGCTTCCACACCTGCCTTTCCCAAGGCAGCAGTTTGTATCAAAAAACAGCCAAATAACAAACTATATGCATTATCCTAGGTTCTCCTTGCTAGAATGCAGCAGATATTTGATTCCTCCAATTACTGGGTAACTTTAAGTTTTAGGTAAGTTGGCTGAAAGTGTATTCATTAACTCTTCAGTTTGCCTTTTAAGATGGAGAGCAATGTGGGTCTAGGGCAGAAAAAAAAAAAAATAAAAGCATGTGCAATTCTCTCCTACCAATAATCTATGCATTGTGCAGGCCTGGTGTTGACTTTCAGATCACATCCCCCAGTTCCTGAGACTGTCGCACATGTTTGTTTTCTACTAAGGCGTTAAACATCTCAAATGGTAGGTGTCAGCATTCAGTGTACACGAGTGCAGCCAGACATTAAACAGGATAATAATAAAGCAATAAGTAATATGGTTAAACAAATACATTCCCAATTGCCCTTGTCTTCTTCAAACATCTAATGCAGATGTTTCCGTCCTTATTAGTTCAGTGCTTTGGTCTCTCTCTGCTTTTCCCCTGGCATGGTGGAAGCAGTGTGTCTCGAAGAGAGCTTTCACATGGAGAAGGCTGTCAGCCTCTCTTAAATATAAGCAAGTAAAAGTAACTAAGGACTGTTTGTGTGTGTGTGATGCTTTTGATACTGGTCCCTGTAGTCATTCTGGCTTGCCCGTTTTAATGAGTAAGGTTTTCCTTGCTGTCTTCATATGTATTATTAACTCCATACACAGAGGTAGGGAGGATATGTAGGAAAAACAAATCAAGGATCAGATGCTTCAGGTCAACAGGGCGTTCACAAACATACACTTTTCAATGTCATGACCAAGGTCAATTGAAACTGTAACACCACTTGGCAGAGGGAGAAGAGACATAGGAAGAGCTTTCAAAGTTTAGAGGAATGAACCAGCAAAAGTTAGCCAGCATGTATTAGTTATTCATATAAGAGAGAGCTCACTTTAAATATTAGTTTTCATGCTGCTCTTTTGTACAGAATTTGTGGGAGGCTAAAACCTCAGCTTCCTGGTATCCTTTTGAAATGAGTTATTCCAGATAGCTGAGCACAATGAATGCCAGAAATTCATCTAATTAAGCACAAAATATTTTTAAAAGCGTATTGGGTGGAACTTTCTGGAAAATGTTTTATGAACTCTTCTGAGTGGCCAATAGAAAGAGTACAGACTTTATGTTCTCATTGTTCAATTCCCACCTGTGAGTGAGAACATGCAGTGTTTGGTTTTCTGTCCTTGCGACAGTTTGCTCAGAATGATGGTTTCCAGCTTCATCCATGTCCCTACAAAGGACAGGAACTCATTCTTTTTTATGGCTGCATAGTATTCCATGGTGTATATGTGCCACATTTTCTTAATCCAGTCTATCACTGATGGACATTTGGGTTGGTTCCAAGTCTTTGCTATTGTGAAGAGTGCTGCAATAAACATACGTGTGCATGTGTCTTTATAGTAGCATGATTTATAATCCTTTGGGTATATACCCAGTAATGGGATCGCTAGGTCAAATGGTATTTCTAGTTCTAAATCCTTGAGGAATCGCCACACTGTCTTCCACAATGGTTGAACTAGTTTACACTCATCAACAGTGTAAAAGTGTTTCTATTTCTCCACATCCTCTCCAGCACCTGTTGTTTCCTGACTTTTTAATGATCGCCATTCTAACTGGTGTGAGATGGTATCTCACTGCAGTTTTGATTTGCATTTCTCTGATGACCAGTGATGATGAGCATTTTTTCATGTGTCTGTTGGCTGCATAAATGTCTTCTTTTGAAAAGTGTCTGTTCATATCCTTTGCCCACTTTTTGATGGGTTGTTTGATTTTTTTCTTGTAAATTTGTTTAAGTTCTTTGTAGATTCTGGATATTAGCCCTTTGTCAGTTGGGTAGATTGCAAAAACCAAGAAAGCTGGAATACTCACAGCCCCATTTACTAATTCAATGTCCTTTGGTAAATTAATTATCTTACTGAGCTTCCGTGTCTTAACCCTGTAAAATGGGCACAATTGCATTATATAGTTAAGTATCAAGTAAATATTGGTTAATTGTGAGAACTCTTCATTACTGACCTCTCTTAGGCTACCAGCCTGGCTCCAGTCTTTCACATTTTAGAAAGACATTGTCAGCAGGGCACAGTGGCTGATGCCTCTAACCCCAACACTTTGAGAGGCCAAGGCAGGCGGATCACCTGAGGTCAGGAGTTCAAGACTAGCCTAGCCAACATGGCAAAACCTTGTCTCTTCTAAAAATACAAAAATTAGCTAGGCGTGGTGACAGGCGCCTGTAATCCCAGCTACTCAGGAGGCTGAGGCAGGAGAATCGCTTGAACCCGGGAGGTGGAGGCTGCAGTGAGCTGGCTGAGATCGCACCACTGCACTCCAGCCTGGGAGACAGATGGAGACCCTGTCTCCAAAACAAACAAACAAAAAAACAAAAAACAAAAAAAGAAAGACATTGTCTGGAAAAATGCCAATGTCTCACCTGGAAGGTCACAGAAAGGGTGGAAGGATACACTTGATGATGTTGGAAGAATCCATGGTTTGAGGGCTTCTAGAAGGAACTGGAATGTTTGCATAGAGCTGGTTCTTAGGGCTGAGTATGCAGCATCTGTGTGATATGGTTGAGAACTGAAAGTTTCCCCTGCCATCTACCTACCGTCATAGGATGCCCTTTTGGGGTAAGACATTAGTCCTCTAGAACTTTTTTATTACACAGGGTTTTAGAAGGTGTGTGACAGACATGGCAAGACAACACACGATCCCTCTTCCTTGAAGAGGGATCTTCAAGGAAGGACACGCTGCCCAACTGCAAGACGTGTGCTTAGCCACAGCTTCCAGCTGTTAATTCAGGGTCAGCCTCAGCTTACTGGCCAAGATCACACTCTTTTTGGAACATCTGCCAGCCAGTGTCTGACCAAGGGGATGACAGCTGAGGGCACTGAGAGCATGCTTTTTTCATCATGGCTTTCAGCCAATGACTTTGGAAGACAGTGGTGCTAGGCCCTGACCATTTTGGCCCAACTTTGGAGCCCTCTACTGGGCAGTAGCTCCCATTGGAAAGGCAGAGACTGTCATGTCTGTATCACCATCTGGGGTTCTTCCTGCCCGATCTTGTTTCCTCTTCTTTCCTTTCATAGTGTTATTCCCTAGTAAACCTTTTGTACACCTAACCCTGTCTCAGCATCTGTCTGCTTCCTGGAACAGAATGGGTCTCACGTCACCTAGGGCGGGAGGAAGCATTAGCACAGCTTAGACCAGTGAGTCAGGGACCAAGAATGGGGCAGACCTCTGCACAGTTTAAAGAGGACGAGAAAAGTTGTGAGGGCACATTAGGGGAGACTCCAGGCAGCCAGGGGACAGCTGCAAGAGTTGGGGTTAGGGAAAAGGGCAGTGCTGTCTTCTTCACCATGAGCTGAGGACCCGACATGGAGGGGGATCCACTCAGGGTCATGGCGATCAACCAGGAATGGGGACAGACACAAGGCAGGCAGGGAAGTTGCTGAACTGTGCTTTACACAGGTGATCTTCAACCTCACAATAACTCTGCCAAGTTCCATACAAATAAGAAAAAATGAGACCCAGACAGGTTTGATATTCCTTTAAGCTGGTAAATGGTGAGAGTCAGCCTGTAGCTCCCTTGAGCTGAGATGCCTCTGGAAAGAAGGAGATGAATATTTCATACTTTTTTGGATCCGCTCAGCATCTTTTGCCTTTGGGAATGGGTGGTATTCATGCAGCCCTGCCTTTCTCATGATAAAGGGTGGGCGGGCAGGGAGTGGCAGAACACAGACTGACCAAACAGATTACTCAAAACCCCTGGATTTAAGGAATGATCTGGGGAGAGCATGTGACCCAAAGGGGCCAATCAATGTATTACCCTGCCTAGGAAATGATTTGCTAGTGCAGTACTGCTAGGTCTAGGGTGTTTTGAAATGTTCTGAAGGGATTTTTGGTGACTTCCTTAAAAGGAAGATGTCAACTTAAGTTTAACTACTATAGTCGGCAGATACTCTATAATCTTAGAAATGGGAGGTATAAGGACAAGTTTTAATTGTTCAATACATAATACTTAAAAAGGAAGGGCCGGGAGCAGTGGCTCAGGTCTATAATCCCAGCTACTCTGGAGGCTGAGGTGGGAGGATCACTTGAACCTGTAGGAGTTTGAGGCCAGCCTGGGCAACATAGCAAGACCTCCATCTTAAGAAAACAAAGTAACTTAAAGGGAGGGTTGTTGAGTATTATTCCAGACTTGTACATGGAAAATAGATACTGTCTAGGCCTGAAATCCCAGACTCCAATGGCTGGTTTTATACCTGTCCCATCGTCAGGCTCCACTGAGCTGCTGCCTCGTGTCTCATTGGTTTTATGAAACACTTGCATTAGCTGGTGGTTATGGTAGTTCTACCCTCAGGGAAAGTGCTGCTGCTTCTTCTCTGGTTCTAAGATGATATGTCTGACAGGGTCCTTGAAAGTACCTCTAGCACTCCTTGTTTCAACGATTGTGAGTCGTATCGTACACAGTTACTCCTATGCCAACTCTGCCCCCAGGGTTTGGTTTGAGAGACGCACTCAGTGTTCAGCCCATCACCCTCAACTGCTAACTTGCTGGCTTCCCCAGCTCTCTATTTCACTGTCTCCCACCCTCCACCACATCCTAGTATTCAACAGCTCATTAATATATGTAGTAATTAATTATACATTAATTATTATATGTAATAATAAACAGAGCCAATGGACTTGGCCTTGTTTTAGGTATTGAGGATACAATGGTGCACAAGACAGACAAGCATTTGCCTCCTTAGGGTTTCAATTCTCGGGATAACTCACAATTAAATGCAAGTTGACATTCAATTAACTGGCCCACCGTATTCCATAAACACACTTCTCTGTGTCCACATACATCCTTCCCCATGTTTTGGGGGAGAAACTGTCCCTCTACCTACCACTTGGTTACCTGGGATATTTCCTATCCCCTCTTGACTCCTCATGGAAATTTCTCAGTAAATCAATTCCTCACTTCGTTTGCTAGTTTCTTCATTTGATTGGCTAATTCCCTGTGCATGTAAATATGAGCCAATAAAGTGAAGGGCTCATACAGCCCAGTCTTTGGGTGATACTAAGAAAACAAATGTGGCAATACAGGTAGAGATTGCATGAAAAGCAAATACACCTGTACACACATTAATGCATTTTATCCTTTATTGTGTGTCATTAATCAGATTTCTAGAACCCTTTTTGAATGAAAAAAAATTAAACTCTTGACAAACAGTGGTCTCACAAAGATGCTACCAACTGGTAAAGTCTTTCTGAAATGATTAGCTCTTCCCATTTTCTGATAATTCTGTCTAAATGTGCTTTAGATATATTGAGACTATTTGGTTAGATGCATACAAATCCAAAATTTTTTTTAAAAAAATTTTTGGTTAATTTCTTCCAATTATCAGAGCATGATGGTCTATTTTATGCCTAGTTATTGCCTTAATGTTTATTTTTTCTGGCAATATTGTCACAAATCTTTTATTATTCCTTTATTATATCACTGCTATCTCATGTTAAACATTCTGTGTTGCTAAGTTTCAGACGTGACTCTTCTAAATAGCTTATAATTTGAGTTAGTTTAGTTTAAAAAACAAAACTAAACTAAACACGGGAGCCCCCTGTCTTTTAAAGTAGTTGAATTCATCTACATTTGATGCAATTTCTGAGGTATTTGAATTTATTCTGCCTTTTATGTTGTGTTTTCCATGTATCATTGTTTGTATTTCCCTTTTGTTTCCTTTTCTGACTTCTATTGGGTTTAAACTTTTTAAAAAATCAACTTTTTTTTTTTTACTAGTTTGGAAGCTACATATTTCATTTCTATTTGTATGAGTTTTTTCTTTAAAAATTTTAACATGCACAGCTAACAAAATCTAAATTATTGTTGCTTAGTATTTTAGTTCCATCCTATTTTCAAAACCTTCAACATTAGAAATTATTATTAAAGCATATTGAATTTACCCACAGAAAAGAGGCCTCGTTACTCAACATTGCACCCAACTTCTTCCTTCTGGGTTCAATTTCCTTGTTTTCTGAATTATGCTTTATACTAGTTCTTTCAGTTGAGGCTATGTGGGTTGTAAAATCTTTCAGTATTTGTCTCGAAATGTCTTTATTTTGGCCTTACTCTTGAATAATAACTTTGCAGGGCATAAAATTGTAAGTTGCCTTCTATTTTCTGTGAAGATTTGATTCTATTGTTTTTTTTTTTAAATTCTATTTGTTGCTGATGAGAAATTTACTCTTAGCCATCCCTCTATAGACACTCTGTCTTCTCTGGTTGTTTATAAAAAGTTTTTCTCTTGATCCTTGCATGCTGAAGTTTTGCTACAATATGACTCCGTGTGGATTTCTTTATATTTACCTTGCTTGGGGCTTGGTATCAACCTAACGATCAAGCATGTAAAAATTCAGGAAAATTCCATACCATTTTCTCAAATATTGCTTGTCACTCATTTTCTCTGGACCAGTGGTCAGCAAACTATGACCCATTGGCCAAACCTGTCCACTGCTTGTTTTTGCAAATAAAATTTTCCTGGAACCTAGCCACACACATTTATTCATATAATTTTTATGGCTGCTTTTGTACTACAACTGCAGACTTGAGTATTTGTGACAGATTTTATGGCCCATGGAGTCTAAAATATTTACTGCTTATTTCTTTACAGAAAAAGTTTGACAACCTCTGCTCTAGACCCTCATTCTGAAACTTCTATTAGACATAAGTGGGCTTCATTTTCTACTTTGTGTGTTTAATCTCTAATTTTCGTTTTTTTACAATTTTATCTCTCTGTGCTGCATTCTGGGTAATTTTCTCTGGAGCATGTTTTAGTTAGTACATTCCTTTAAAATTATGTGTAATCTAATATTTAGTCCATCAATAGAATTATTTATTCAGTGATATTTTTCATTGCTGGAAACTTTTTAATTAAATTTTAAAATCTTTTTGTTCTTTGCTCATTATGGCATCTATTCTCCACCTCCATTGCCCATTTTGAATGTTTTTAAATTGATTCATCACCTTGAGTTTTTATGGTAGTTAACCTTCTGTTTGTATTTGCTGGCTCTTATTATGGTGCGTCACGTCCTTTAGTGGCATGTTATTTTTGTTTGTGAGCTCATCTTCAGTGAAGATTTGATTTTTCTTCCTGTAGTATTTTAGTGTGTCCCTGGGTTTTGGACATATTGAGAGGTGACAGCGTGCTGGCAGCCCTCGCAGCCCTCGCTTTCGGCACCTCCTCAGCCTTGGTGCCCACTCTGGCCGCGCTTGAGGAGCTCTTCAGCCCACCGCTGCACTGTGGGAGCCCCTTTCTGGGCCGGCCAAGGCTGGAGCCGGCTCCCTCAGCTTGCAGGGAGGTGTGGAGGGAGAGGCGTGGACGGGAACCGGGGCTGTGCTCAGCGCTTGCGGGACAGCGCGAGTTCCGGGTGGGTGTGGGCTCAGTGGCCCTGCACTTGGAGCGGCCAGCCGCCCCAGACAGTGAGGGGGTTAGCACCTGGGCCAGCAGCTGCTGTGCTCGACTTCTCGCCGGACCTTAGCTGCCTCCCTGCGGGGCAGGGCTCCAGACCTGCAGCCTGCCATGCCTGAGCCTCCCCCTGGCTGTGGGCTCCTGCACTGCCCGAGCCTCCCCGACGAGCGCCACCCCCTGCTCCACTGCGCCCAGTCCCATCGACCACCCAAGGAAGGGCTGAGGAGTGTGGGCGCACGGCGGCGCGGGACTGGCAGGTAGCTCCACCTGCGAGGCCCTGGTGCAGGATCCACCGCATGAAGCCAGCTAGGCTTCTGAGTCTGGTGGGGACTTGGAGAACCTTTACCTCTAGCTAAGGAATTGTAAATACACCAATCCACACTCTGTATCTAGCTACTCTGGTGGGGACTTGGAGAACCTTTATGTCTAGCTAAGGGATTTTAAATACACCAATCGGCACTCTGTATCTAGCTTAAGGTTTGTAAACACACCAATCAGCACCCTGTGTCTGGCTCGGGGTTTATGAACGCACCAATGGGCACTCTGTATCCAGCTAATCTAGTGGGGAGGTGGAGAACTTTTGTGTCTAGCTCAGGGATTGTAAACGCACCAATCAGCACCCTGTCAAAACGGACCAATCAGTTCTCTGTAAAATGGACCAATCGGCTCTCCGTAAAATGGACCAATCAGCAGGATGTGGGTGGGGCCAGATAAGAATAAAAGCAGGCTGCCCTCGGTAGCAGTAGCAACCGACTGCGGTCCCCTTTCACGTTGTGGGGCCAGTGTTCTTTTGCTATTTGCAGTAAACCTTGCCGCTGGTCACTTTGGGTCCACACTGCGTTTATGAGGTGTAACACTCACTGTGAAGGTCTGCAGCTTCACTCCTGAAGCCAGGGAGAGCACGAACCCACCATGGGGGAACAAACAACTCCAGACGTGCTGCCTTAAGAGCTGTAACACTCGCCGTAAAGGTTTGCAGGTTCACTCCTGAGCCAGCGAGACCATGAACCCCCCAGAAGGAAGAAACTCGGAGCACATCCGAACATCAGAAGGAGCAAACGCCAGACACGCTGCGTTTAAGAACAGCAACACTCACCACGAGAGTCTGCGGCTTCATTCTTGAAGTCAGTGAGACCAAGAACCCACCAATTCCAGACACAATATCTTACTAGAGAAGTTTTAATTTTGCTTTTTTTCAGATATCTCAGGGATTCACTGCTCTGGAATCAATGTTTACATTAATTTTTTGGCTTAATAACTCCTGCACCTGTGAGCAATGAAAATTTGCACTGCCTGTTGGTACATGGTTTATAGGCTTGGGATTTGGATTTTTTTTTTAACTGTAGACTTTTATCTTTCTATTCAGACCCCATAATAGAGATAAACGTTCTGTGCCTTACCATTTACTTTTCTCAGCCTGTGGCAAGAAGTTTGAAGTTTGTTGGGACACCTTTTCATCAAGGAGGTAACTTTTCCAGGGTTCCAATTTTGGCTGGAATTTTGTTTTCGTGATTTTACCTTGAGAAGCACAAGGACACATTTCCTGTTCTGTATTCTGACCCCTAGCTTGGGATAGTGCCCTATCCAGGTTTGATTCCTGGATTCTATCTTCTACCATGTCCACTCACAAGCATAGCACTCTGGCTTCTGTTCCTCATCATTTCCTTAAAAAAAACAAACCCCTAACATATAGTAAAGTTGGCATTTTTGAAGTTAGAGTTTATGAATTTTAATACATATAAATTTGTGTAATTAGGATACAGAGCATTTCCATCATGGCAAATTTTCTCATTTCTTGCAGCTAGAGATTTAAGTTCAGCATTATATTCATTTTTATGTGTCATTTGTGTATTATTTTTATGTATGTGTTTTAGGAATGGGAGCCGGTTAACTCAGTTTGCCATGTTTTCAGGACCACAAGCTGGCCCGTGCCCATTCTAACCGAAAAGCTCCTAATAATCCAATAGTCAGGGTTCTCCAGAGAAACAGGCCTATAGGATGTGCAAATGAATGTATACAAAGAGGTTTTATTTAAGAAATCGGCTCATACAATTACAGAGGCTGGTTAAGTCCAAAATCTGTAAAGTAGGCTGTCAGGTTGGAGACCCAGGAAAGAGCTGATGTTGCAGTTCAAGTTTGAAGGCCATCTGTTTCAGAAGTCTCTTTCCTCAGGGAGGTCGGGCTTTTGTTCTATTCAGGTCTAGAACTGACGGGATGAGGCCCATCCACATAAGGCAGGGCAATCTGCTTTACTCAAAGTTATCAAATTAAATGTTAATCTCACCCCAAAACGCTCTTGCCCAAACATCCAGAATAATGTTTGATCACATATCTAGACACCAAGGCACAGTCAAGTTGACACATTAAAATTAAGCATCAGAAGTCTGTCCCTTGTCAACTTGGCACCCGTATGCATCTTCTTAAACCATACTTAATCATAAAAATAAAGATAATAGCAGGGTCACATTTCCACCCAACATGATACAACTATCTCTTTTTTTGTTTGTTTTTTGAGATGGAGTCTCATTCTGTTGCCCAGGCTGGAGTGCACTGGCGTGATCTTAGCTCACTGCAACCTCCACCACCCGGTTGAAGTGCTTCTCCTGCCTCAGCCTCCCAAGTAGCTGGGATTACAGGCACCCACCACCATGCCTGGCTAATTTTTTTGGTATTTTTAGTAGAGGTGGAGTTTCACCATGTTGGCCAGGCTGGTCTTGAACTCCTGACCTCAGGTAATCCTCCTGCCTCGGCCTCCCAAAGTGCTGGGATTACAGGCGTGAAATACAACTATCTTACATATAAGTGAAAATGTACAATTACTTTCTCCAGAAGAGGATTCAAAGTCCCTGGGTGTTGCCTACTCTTCTCCTTGATATCTCAGAACTTAAATACTTTGATAAAGACAAGCTAAATACTATGACATATATCGTATGTTAGGTGATAAAGGGATAAGAGTAGGAAGAAAACAAAGATGTTTGATACACACATACACATATAACAAAATAAGGAGGAAATGCTCATGTGAATGACAGTCCTTATTTCTGTAACGGGTCATGTGGCTGTAGCTGGTATTTATAACTGCCTTCTTCCACTACCTATTCCATGTTCCCTTTGTTCTCATCAAGCACCTTAGCTTGTTATAGTTATTTATAGTTCTTTACCTGAAAACGGGGGTGAGGATGACATGCAAATCTATCATTCCTGAAGAGTCTGGGCCAATCGTAGCCCAGCCCAGATTGGATTATTGTAGTTTTCCATTGACTTTAATCACAGGACACTGTAATAACAAGAGATGCCTTAAGGGAACTCCTGTATTCCCGATGTAGTCTTCATTACCTTCATTGTGGGATAGCAGTCTTATTTCTCCCTGGTAGTCAGAGTCAACCACCCTAGCTGGTATAGCAACACCCTTCATTGTCTGTTGATTTAGAGGCATAAGGATCCCAAAATGGCTGCATGTCAGAATCATTACTGTGATCCTGGTTGAACTAAAACCTCGTAGCTAGCAGAGCATAAGGTCACAGGGACAGAAAACATTTTGCTAGTGAGTCAGTAGGAGTAATAATTATGCCACTCCATTACCATCCCTTGATTCCTGGACCCACGAATCTTGGCTGTGGGTACTATACATCCAGTAGTACTATATATTTGATACTGATTTAAAGTGTATACAGCCTTACAGAGAACCTTGCCCCAGCCCTGCAAGATATTGCCACCTAGATGGCACGAAACTATAAGGCCTACCTGTAACAGAGTCTTCAAAAGGCCATACCAGTGTTCCATCAAGCCAGCTTCTTAAGAATGTTGGGGGACATGGTAAGACCAGTGAATTCCCTGAGCATGGGCCCATTGCCACACTTGATTTGCTGTGAAGTAATTTCCTGGATCAGAAGCAATGCTGTGTGGAATACCATCATGGTGGATAAGGCATTCTGTAAGTTCACAGATGGTAGTTTTGGCAGAAGCATTACGTACAGGGAAAGCAAATCTGTATCCATAGCAGAGTCTTTTTATTTCTCCTAGCACATAATGTTCTGGGTCAATCCTCCTTTCTAAAACAGTATACAAACATAAACACAGCTTATTGACTTGTTGCAGATACCATAAAAAAAAACTGGCAATATAGAAAGCCCATGAAAGAATTAACAGTATTTAAAAACTAGAACAAATTTAATAACGCTTTATATAAATTTGCTGCATCCACGGAAGTATGGAAACACTCACATTCCAGATATCAACCTGAGTTACAGAAGTTAAAACCTCTCCAAATACATCACCAATTTTCCCTGGTACTAAACACAGTCATCTTCTAGAAAGAAACACCAGTGACCCATATTTTAAACTAAAGCACACACTGCTTTTTGTAAAAAAGCAAAGTCATTTAAAGCAGCTAATTAAAATACCATTTAAGCAATTGCAATGGGTAACAGGATCATAAAATCATTAGTAAAGTAGAAGTTTGTCACTGAAGCTTCCACATGATCTTATAGACTAGAAGTAGACTGGTCAGGCTTCATAGACATCAGCTAACTGAAGGCACCAAACTCCATTAAGTCCTCAAATTTCAGTGTCTTATTTTTTTCTGAGCACCACTAGAACAAGAAAGAAAAAGCAATGGTAAGAGAAATATACCATGACCTATGATAGGGATTAGTTTTAAATTTTAGCCATAAAAGCTTAGTGTTGGTTTTTTTTATATATAAGCCATCTAGGTCAAATACTTACTGAATACTTATATATGCTTGTGCTTTGCTGGCCAATTTGGGGAAGGATAAAAGAGGTATTCAATGCTATGAGATGCTTCAGCCTAATTGAAAAGACTTGGACAATTAAAGCTCAGGGCAGTGAGTATGACAGAGTACCAATTAGATGTGAGAGGTAGTGCCTGCAGCAGGTCTCAGGGAACTATGAGATGCTGACCAATAGCACCCTACCTGTAGCAGCTATTCACAGCAAGGATGAATTCACAACCATAAATAAATTATGTATTGTTTGGTTCTAATTTGGATAAAATATTTTTATAACTTAAACTACCCAGTCATCTGTGTTGCCTGGAACAAGAACTTCCTAGGAGACCTAGGGAGTCTGCCCTGCTTCAATTGGAGGCCTAACGATTCTGCCCTGCTTCAATTATAAATTCCATGCCCCATGGAGTTCTTATTCTTAAACCTGTAAGTCCTGGCCTAGACACTCCCAGGCAGGTGGTGAACAGTGTGAAAGGACAGGCTAGTAAAGAGCCTCTGCCCTGGGAGCAGCACATATCTTGGTGCAGCCTTCTTGCCAGTGCTATTCTCCCTAACTTTGAACTTCCGAAGTCCCTCTGCCTAGGTGTTCCAGCTATACCTGATCCTTTTACATTTCCTGTTCTCTGGATGGTACTTGCCTGACTGCTGGGGTTGGCCTCCTGTTTCCAGTTCCATCTACTTCCTTCCATGTCCTTCACGGCTTCTCTGACCTGTCATGCCAACAGATTGCTCATGTTGGTAGAGCTCTGAATCCTAAACAGCCGCTCTGAAGCCCGAATTCACTCTATTCTGGATGATTTCACTCTTGATCTGGAAAAGGAAGAAAAGCCTTTAAGTGATTTTCCTCAGAGGTACTGTGTTGGTGTTCTGCTCTGCTTATGCTTTCACTGTGGCTGTGCCTCAGGCTCCTGGCTGCAGCCCATTTCTTTTCTGACCTCCACTCTCTCTCCCTGGACAATCTCATTCCCCTATGCCTGTAAGCTTCATCTTTCCTCTGATGAATCCCCAGTCCCTCCTCCAGGTTTTAGAGTATCTGAGCTGGCCAGGGACCTAAGCTACAAGACACAGAGGCTAACTGAAGCACTAAAGTAAATTATCAAAGAGATACTGTGTAGCTCCCAGAGTTGTTCGAAAAACTGGAGAACAAGACATAGAAAATAGGCTGGAAGAAAGGGAGGCAGAGCTAAGCCACAGCATTTGTCCAAGGAGGTCCCTACTGCCCCAAACACTGGACACTGCAGTTTGTTCTGCCAGTGTTACTCCTTGGGAAATGGGTGTTGTTGCCACCTCCAGAATGAATTCTCCACTGACCTTGCTTCTTTGAGCAACTTGCTCCTAATTCAGACTCTCAGATGGGTGCATCTGATTGGCCAAACCTAGATCATGTGTACATATCCTAGCTGCAAGGGGGCCAGGAAAACAAAAATCTGGCCTTTTAAGATTTTATGTTGGGATATGGGCTGTCCCTCATCAGGATGCATTCAGTGGGGAATTTTCCATCTATCCAAAGCAGATGACATTGGACAATAGAAATAAGTGAGAGAGAAAGGGAAAGCAAAGAATGGAAAGGAAAGGAAAAAAGCAAACGTACACCACAGAGACATGTTTTCAATTGCCCACTGTACAGCTTTACTAGATCTCCTACAAATACCTCAAACTGTGTGTCCAAAAGTGAACCCTCCATCATTTATCCCCAATGTATTCCTCCTCCTCCCTTTTCTTTCTTGGTATCTGATTGTTTCCTCATTCATCCAGTCACTCAAGCCCCTAAACTCAGTTATTCTCCCTCCCTTCTAATGACTCTGGTCATCAAATGCTTTGGATTACATATACTTTATGTTTCTAAAATACATCTCTTTTTCTGAAAGGTCACTGCCATTCCTTCAGGGCCAACACTCATCAGCTTTTGTCCAGATGAGCACAGGAGCTCCCTACTATTCTCCCAGCCTCTAACATTTCTCCATGGCACTTGTCACAGTTGCAATTGCATTTGTTATGGGATTATTTGATTGTCTGCTCCCCATCATCCTCTTGTTCTACTTGATTCTGCCCTCTTAATGCCAACTGTTCGGTTATCTAACAGTAGAACAGTGAGAGAACCATCTCTAAATAAATAGAATTAGGCTTTTTTATTAGAATCTCAGATGACTACCTTCTGCCTTTTCTCACCCTGAGAATTGTGACTATGGAGTCACAATGTTCCCCTGTAAACCTGACTCCTAGAAAAAAAGTAAACTGAAAGGAAACAAATGAGAGGATAAATACATCAAATTTCTTCTCAGGTCATCCTGAGTTCACTAGACCTGGAATGGAGCATGGTGCTTATTCTCACTGTTGAGTTAGAAGTGTAATAACTAGTCTGTTAGATGGTGCCCAGTGGGCCACATGTCTTAGTATGTATCCTTTTCTCTTCTCTCCCGCATTGAACCTGGACTGGACCTGTGACTCTCTTTAACCAACAGAACTTGGCAGAATCTAGTGCTGGTCCTGGAGCTAAGTCTTGAGAAGACCTGGAGGCTTCCACTTCTGCGCTTTTGGAAATTCTGAGCTTCCGTGTTAGAAGAGTTGCTACCCTTCTGGAGATACTACATGGAAAGACCTCATGAAGAGGCCATATGGAAAGGGAGAAGCCTTGTCCAACCATCTCCACCAAGGTCCCAGGCATATGAGAGAGCCAACTTGGACAGTCTGGTCCTGTTGAGCCCCCAGATGCCCACAGTCTCAGTTGACAACATGTGGAGCAGAAGAACTGCCCAGATGAGCCCAGCCAACCCAGTGAATCATGAGAATAAGGAAATGGTTTTTGCTTAAAGCTTTTGCTTTGAAGTGGTTCCTTATGCAGCAGTAGATATCTGAAACAGGGGGCATTGATTAGGTATGTGGTCTTCTTTAATTATTCATTTCACTGAACTCCACTTCCAGGCATTTAGTATATTCTTCTGTGGGTTGATATTAGCTATTGAATGCAAAACCCCTCTAGTTCACAATCAGCACAAGTCTTTGATTTTTTTTTTTGAAAGGTGAACTCATTTGACGGCCCTTATCAATATTTGAAGCCCAGAAAAGCACATACATAACAAAACCAGAGCTTCAGGCTATAAATGGAATTGGCTCGATTCTTCTTGCTCTTTTCTGCATCTTGCTCTTTTCTGCATCAGCCTTAGCATGGCACCATTAGTGATCCATGAGATAGCTGTTTAGGGCCCTGAAATAGATTGATCTGAAGTTCCCTTGGCAAGGAATAAAGACAATAATAGGTAGAAGGTTGAAGAAGTTTTAATTTAGAGAAATTTTACGAAGTAAGAAGGAAAATAAAAGAAAGCCACCAAATTGAATAATTTCCATCGTGTTTAAAGATGCTAATTCAACCCACTGGCACCAGGGAATGAATCTTATCTTGTGTTGACATTCCTCCTTACATAAAGTAGATTTGTCACTGGGAAGCAGCTGTCTGGCCAGGAACTGTGTCTCCCAGCACCCTCTGCATCTAGGTGTGGACATATGACTAGTACTTACCAATGGAATGTCAGCGGAAGTGACGTGTCACAATGAGCCATGGCTTTTAAGAAGTCATTATTTCTTTTCCATGTTCCCTTTCCCATTACGCTGGCTGGATATAAGTGACATCAAGGCCCTAGGGGATGGCAGAACTCCCAGATGGAAGAAAGCTGGATGTCTGAGTCATGGCAAGGAGAGCCATTCACCAACTAGGAAACCACGTAGAAATATTCCACAGGAGAAATAAACTTTTGTTGTATTTGAGCATTTCAAAACTTGAGGTTTATTTGTTGTAGCAGCTAGCATTTCCCTAATGAATATAGTTGTTCACTTATTTGAAAATTCACATAGATTTTTCATAGAGGAGATCATTACTAGTTCTCAAATTATGGGGGAAGTTCATTCATTTTCCTTCACCTCTGTTCTTACATCTATAAAATAGGGCTAATGCTCTGTATCTCCAAGGATTGTTCTCATACCAAATGAGATACTATTGTATTCACAATAAATGAGATACTATAGCATCTCATTTATTGAACATTACCATAAACCAGGCCCTATACAAAGCACTTTACTTACCTTATCTCATTGAATCATCCCAATAACCCTATGAAGTAATTTCAATTAGCCTCCATATTTCACACATGAGAAAACAGAAGCTTAGAGAAGTTAAGTACTTGTCCCATGTTACACAGCTAGTCATGGCAAAGCTAGTAATTGAACACAGGCAGCCTGACTTCAGAGGCCACATGCCCAGCACCAGTCCTCTCTGACTAGGACAATATAGAGCACCCAGCATGGAGCCTGATACATAATAAATGAACAATAAACACAAATTTTATTTTCCCTCCACTTTAAAGAAAGAGACAATACGAAACCTAAGTGTAAACATACACATTTTTGGTTAAGTGCACAAAATACACACATACACAAATTTACACAACCTTCACTTTATTCACAGATATTCAGCTAGTATGTTTAAACTAGAAGTAAAACTAGAATTTCCTGGAGTTCATGGACAGCACTGCTGTACAACATACATATGTCATCTCAACCAACAAGGTTATTTTGTGCTCATAGCCCAGCTGCAGCTGCATGCTTCAAAGAAGCAGCAAGAACACTGAAGAAATGAATCCCAACATGACTAATGCATTTTAAAGTTGCTTGTGAAACATTCATGTTATTGATCTGCTGCAGGAAAACTGACAGAAAATCTAGCTCAGGGATGGACATTACTGCAGGAAGTGCAGGAACGCTGGGTCCCTAAAGTCTTTCTCATTTCATTTAATATACCACATATTTCTTGAAGCAAACTAGTTTAAACACCTAGTCTGAAGTATATCTTAGAAATAGACTGAAATTGATAGTTTTGGTCATGCAGCACTTTGTATACCTGAAGTACATTTTAAAAAATTACAAAACCATAATGGGAATGCTAGTGCTTTCTCTAAAGTCCTATCAACTATTATTAGATTGTCTATAGAACCCAAGCTCAGAGTGCTTTTTCAAAGAAGGTGCAGCAATTCTCCCCATTCTAATTGCCATACCAAGAGTAATCTGTCTTCTGGGCTTTGGAGCTGCTGAACCACTTTATTCTTTTGCCTGAAGTTTCATCAAGGCAATATGCTTAATCGATGTTTGCTGATGTTTATGGTCTAATGCCTACTGACAGCAGGTGCAAAAAGAAAAAAAACGCAGTGAATCCCCATTTGCATAAAAACCTTCCTTAAATTCACCAGCATGCTGTTTTGCTGTAATTTAGTAGACAGGTGATTTTTCATGGCACCTTCATGAGTTGCTTTCTCCCCTGTCGCTGGCTCCATTTCTCTACCTGCTGTTCCCAGAAGCTGTGGTCTTATTTATGCCACATGTGGTAGCCCCTTTCAGACTGTCTACTCGGCTCGTTGATCAACTCTCCTTAGTGCTTGATTTTCATATTCTGGTCCAGGAAACAGAGTCTATCCCTGAGTAACTTAGAAGCTGTTGCTAACTTATGTGTTAAGCCATGCCAAAGGTGGGCTATGGGATTGTACAGGCATACCTCAGAGATAGGCGTGTTTGGTTCCAGACCACCACAATAAAGTGAGTCACCTGAATTTTTTTGTTTCCCAGCACATATAAAAATTATGTTTACATTATATTGTAGTTTATTAAGTGTACAATAGCATTATGTCCAAAAATATATATTTACACCTTAATTTAAAATACTTTACTGATTAAAAAATGCTAACAATCTGAGCCTTCAGTGAGTCATAATCTTTTTGCCAGTGAGGGGTCTTGTCTCCACATTGATGGCTGCTGACTGATCAGGGTGATGTTGCTGAAGATTGGTGTAGCTGTGCCGATTTCTTAAAATAAGAAAACAAGAAAGTTTGCCACACCAGTTGGCTCTTCTTTTCATGAAATATTTCTCTGTAGTATGTGATGCTGTTTGATAACATTTTACCCACAATAGAATTTTTTCAAAACTGGAGTCAATCTCTTCAAACGCTGCCACTGCTTTTTCAACTAAGTTTAGATAATATTCTGATTCCTTTGTTGTCATCTCAACAATGTGCACAGAATCTTCACCAGGAGTAGATTCCATCTCAAGACACCATTTTCTTTGCTCATCCATAAGAAGTAACTCCTCATCTATTGAAGTTTGGTCATGAGATTGCAGCAATTCAGTCACATCTTCAGGCTCCACTTCTCATTCTTGTTCTCTTGCTATTTCCACTGCATCTGCAGTTACTTCCTCTACTGGTCTTGGCTCCTCACAGTCATCCACAAGGACAGAAATCAACTTCTTCCAAGCTCCTGTTAGTGTTGATATTTTGACCTCCTCGCATGAATCATGCATGTTCTTAATGACATCTAGAATGGTGAATCCTTTCCAAAAGGTTTTCAATGTACTTTGCCAAGATTCATCAGTGGGATCACTACTTGTGGCAGCTATAACCTTACAAAATGTATTTCTTAAGTAATAAGACTTGAAAGTTGAAATTTCTCCTTTCAACTGGGCTACAGAACGGTTGCTGTGTTGGCAGTCTTCAAAAAAACATTAGTCGCTTTGTACATCTCTATCAGGGCTCTTGGGTGACCAGGTGCATTGTCAATGAGAAGTAATATTTTGAAAGAAATCTTTTTTTCTGAGCACTAGGCTCAACATGGACTTAAAATAGTCAGTAAACCATGCTGTAAACAGATGTGCTGTCATCCAGGCCCTGTTGTTCCATTTATAGGGCACAGGCAGAGTAGATTCAGCATAATTCTTAAGGGCCCTACGATTTTCAGAATGGATTTTCAGAATGGTAAATTGGCTTCAGCTTAATGTCACCAGCTGCATTACTCTCTTAACAGGAGAGTAAGCCTGTCTTTTGAAGCCAAGCATTTACTTCTCTCTAGCTATGAAAATTTTAGATGGCATCTTCTTCCATTAAAAGGTTATTTCATTTACACTGAAAATGTCTTTAGCGGTAGCCACCTTCATCAATGATCTCAGCTAGATCTTCTGGATAACTTGCTGCACCTTCTACATCAGCCCTTGTTGCTTTACCTTGCACTTTTATGTTGTGGCGACAGCTTCTTTCCTTAAACCTCATGAACCAAGCTCTGCTAGCTTCCAACTTTTCTTCTGCAGTTTCCTCACCTCTCTCAGCCTACATTGAACTGAAGAATGTTAGGGCCTTGCTTGGGTTAGGCTTTGGCTTAATGGAATATTGTGGCTGGTTTAATCAGGTTTCCGGAGTACTCAAACTTTCTCCATCTTAGCAATAAGCCAGTTTCACTTTCTTATATCGCATGTGTTCACTGGAGTGGCACTTTTAACTTCCTTCACGAACTTTTCCTTTGCATTCACAACTTGGCTAACTGGCACAGAGGCCTAGTTTTTGGCCTAGCCCAGCTTGCTACGTGCCTTCCTCATCAAGCTTCATTGTTTCTAGCTTTTGATTTAAAGTGACAGATATACGACTCTTCCTTTCACTTGAACACTTAGAGGACATTGTAGGGTTATCAACTGTCCTAATTTTAATATTGTATCTCAGGGAATAGGGAGGCCTGAAGAAAGGGGGAGAGATGGGGAAACAGGAGACAGACAGGGAAGCATACACAGCATTTATCAACTAAGTTAGTTCACTATCTTTGGCGCTTGGTTTAAGGCAGTCCAAAAATATTACAACAGTAAAATCAAAGGTCCCTGATCATAGATCACCATAACACATATAATAACAATGAAAAAATGTGAAATATGCCAAGAATTACCAAAATGTGACACAGACACGAAGTGAGCACATGCTGTTGGAAAAATGGTGCCAACAACTAGATGCAAGGTTGCCACAAACCTTCAATTTGTTAAAAAAAAAAAGTGATATCTGCAAAGCACAATAAAATAAAAATGAAGCACAATAAAGCAAGGTATGCCTGTATCTTTTCGGAGACCTCAGAATAGCTTCACTGACCCAAACAATCTATTTCCAATGGTATACGATGGAAGGGAACTTAACCTAGGGAAGTCCATTAACCTTAATGATAGTCACTTAGCTAATTACCCTTCAATGTGCATCTAACTATAGCCTTGTCCTCATTATTATTTATTTATTTATTTGCTGAAGCAAGGGAGATGAGTGGCTCACCTTTCTGCTCCCCATTAGGGAAGGGTAGCTGTTAAACTGAAGACAGTGTACAGTGCTTCAGGCAGGCATTTTTTCACTTTGGCTTCTTTATTTCAGTTGACCTTAGATTCTTTTAGGCTAAGGTGACTGTATTATCCATTTCTGTTAAAGGAGGAAAAAGGAGAAGAGCTTGGCCTCTTGGAAAAACTCTTATTGATTCTCTGGGTTATTAGTGTTTCCATGTCTACTCCTGTCCTGCCAATATGCAGGGTTGCATTGAAGATCATGCAAACTTGAACGTCGGTTTTAAACATTAAAGTAGTATTCAAAGTCAAGGCATTACTTGATCATGCAGAACTGTTAAAATTTTGGTAGCACCATGCATTGACAGCAGACTGCTTTCAATCTCAGGGAGCTACAATTAAGGCAGCAAAATAGAACCACAACATTAATGACTGTTTAGTTTGCTCTTTCTTGAGACGGGGAAAAACACACCAACTGCCTTAAACAGAAGCACTTCACAGACTCCCTGAGGACATGATACACATTTGAAAACAACTGAGCTGTGAATGCACCACTGCTTGTCCACTTGTGTGGCTTCTCCCTCTACCACACATTATTTCTAAAACACTATAGGAAGATCTTGCTAAATCAGCTTTAAAAAATAATTTGTAAAAAAGAAAAAGAGATGGGGGTGGAAACCAAGTCCTTCAGGGGGTTCAAAGGCTAGGCACAGAACGACAAGGAAAGAGGATTAAACAAAGTCATGCGAGAGAAATCTCAAAACAAGATGCTTCAGAACCAATAGAAATTCAAGATCAATTGTGTCAGCAGATCAAAGACAAAACCCAGCATAGTGAAGAGTATTAACTATCACCAGGGGAGACTCATCCTACTTACTAGAGTGAAACAGACACTTTGTTCCTTTAAGGTGATAAGACTGGCTTTTGAGTAAAGATCAACCAAACTGAGCAAAGCAGTTACATTTTCCCAGAAGACTGTGGTTAGGAACTGAAGAAAAGGTAAATTCGCTTTATAAAAAGCATTCTAGACAGCTTAGTTACCAGAAAATTTAGAGGCAACAGTTCGGCCTCCCTGTTAGAGGAGCTATTGTATCTAAACAGGGTCTGCATCCCCTTGGCAGGTATTTTGTAGGAAGATTTCCTCTGACTGTGCTTTAGTGAGTGACCCTTGCTGTTTATCTGGCAGGTACGCAAAAAACCTGTTCCTCAATTTTAATTTAGCAGACTTAAATAAATGTATTGTTGGCTAAGAATCAGGAGCATGGCGTGATGGTAACAGTCAAGGTAGAAAGACTTGGCAGGAACTACTGGACAGATTTGTCCAGACTCTATTTAGAGACCTGCAGGAGATGGAAAGTGATAGCCTGCCAGTGCTCTGTCTAGCTACCAGGAGTCTGTATTCATCCCAGTACTGGAATACTTAAAACAATGCTTGAAATGAACCATACTGTTCATGCAGTGCCAATGATGTGCATACCTAGAAAAAGAAAAAGGTAACCAAGTATAACTAAAACTGAAGTCTTCTGAATGTCTTTTTGGTTAAGATAAGAAAGAGTGCTCTCTTACCAAGATATGATAAGTACCCATATTCCTGATGGCCCATAGTCAATAGTAAAATAATTCTCAATTCTAAGGAGCAGATGGTGTAAACAGAGATAAAGTATCATGAATGGCAAGTGTGATTAAGCAAATGATTCAAAATGCAACGGAACTGTCATATAGTGGTTATCAATGTTGATATTCACTATATAGCAGTTCCATTGCATTTTCTAATAGATGAAGATAGAGAAATGGGACAATTTGGCTATTAATTGAATATTTGTGTGGGCTGGGAAATTATTGTTATTGTGAAGTAAACTATCATTGCCATGGGATACATGAGAAAATGGAACCACGGAGGAGTAAGTTCAGCCGATTTGTTCTAAGGAATGGGTAGGTGTGTCTGGAATGATAATCCAGTTTCGGATTTGTTGATTACCTCATTGTAACATAGTGCCTACCACTGCTAAGTCCATGTCAGGAATGTTTATCACAGACACAGTCTCATAAGTTCATAAATAGGTTGATTTGGAAAATTATCTCTGTGAGATTCCAGACAGATTGTCCTTCCTGGTCCCCTCCCCAGATCTCTCAGTTGATAGAGTTTAAGCAGAGGTTGGATGAAAAACCTTAAGATTTCTGATTAAACTTGGCATTCACGTTAATTTCTTTGGCTTGAATTATCACTTGGAACAATTTCTTTGATAGAGTTTGTATTCCACTCAGAGCAAAGCGTCTAACATACTTCTTACCTGTTGAATGAAGACGCCAAGAAGATTAAATGAACTGATAAGCTAATTTACTTACTCTCAAAGTATTTTTAAATCTCCCAGTTGGATTGTGGATGCATCCACTGCTTCTTGAAGTGCTTTACATTTTTGCTCTATATTCTAAGACTATATTATTACATGTGAACAAATTGAGTGAGCCTGCGCCTCCAGACTGTGAACTTCACAAGCGCTTCTCAGTGCCCGCTGTGGGACAGGACAGCTAAAGCAGGCTGGAGTTAGGCATTTCTCTTCCCCCAGGTTAACTTCTGATAAAACCCCAGCAGGTTAGAGTCTGGTTAGAGTTTCTCCTGAGAGCAGGCCTTGTTAAGAACAGAGTGCTTCTGGCATATTTCCAAAGCATTCCTTTTCTCCTCCCATTACCGGAAGCATGAGGGGGATTTTCCTTTGATACTTACTATGAGAACCTGATCAAGCCCCGGGAGATAAAACTCACAAAAGTATGAGAACTTCTCTATGACTGGGTTTCTCTGGAATTGTTTTTAACTCCCAGACTTGTCCACACATAGCCTGCAGCAATTTGACAATTACAGTTCAGGATTTCCTACCCAAGGACTGGTTTCCGAGGCAGTTGCCACCAAGTCTTTGGTAAGTCTTGAGTACGCACGCACATTTAAAATATTTTTTTCTTTCTGGTGAATGGAATATTTTATCTTTATAAAGTATCCCTCTTCATCTCTAATAATGCTTTTGCCTTAAATTTTACCTTTCTAATGTAGTCACAGTATTTTTATTTTGGTCAGTGTTTGGATTTTTTTTTCCATTGTTTTGCTTTCAATCTTTCTATATGCTGATTTTTTAATATTATCTCTTATAATCATATTTTTTTTTGTAAATTCTAGCTGCTGACCTTTGTCTTTTAATGGAAACATTCAGTTCATTGAATTGTTGCTGTCTTAGGAATTAAATCTACCATTTTATTATATTCTTGTTATTTCCATCTTTCTTGCCATCTTTTAGATTGATTAGAGTAGGTTTTATTATTCCATTTCTCACCCTGCCCCTGGCTTGGTGGCTGTTCTGATTATCTGTTGTTACATAACAAACCACCCCCAAACTTAATGACTTATAACAACCATTTTAGTTTGGTCATAATTTTGTAAGTAGGGAACTCAAGGAAGGATTTGGTTGGGCAGGTGATTTCTGACCCACATGGCATGGCTGTGGAATTAACTTCTAAGATGGCTTCTTTACTCATATATCCAGGCCATGGTGCTCTTTGGCCAGTCTCTCACTCCCTACCTTCCACTCACTCCACATTGTGACTCATCTTGTAGAGTCTCCCCACGTGGCTTGTTCTTCTCACTGCACAGCTATTTAAAATACAGTCATCCCTTGGTAGCTATTGGGGATTGTTTCTAGGACCCTCTGCATATAGCAAAATCCAAAGATACCTAAGTCCCTTTTATAAAATGACATAGTAGTATATGCATATATTAAGCACATCCTATCATACACTTTAAATCATCTCTAGATTATTTATAATACCTAATACAATGTAAATGCTGTGTAAATAGTTGTTATACTGTATTGGGAATAATGACCAAAAAAAGTTTTTACGTGTTCAGTACAGGAGCAACAATTTAGATTTTTTTCAAATATTTCTGATTTGCAGTTTGTTGAATCCATGGATGTGGAACCCACAGATACAGAGGGCTGACTGTAGTCACATTTACATGAAGGCTGGCTTCCATGAGGCAGAAGTAGAAGCTGTTAGACTAGTTTATGGATTTCTTGGAATTGACACAGCATCACTTTTGTCATACTCTTTGTCATATACTTTGTCACAAAGAAGTGACAGAGGCCACCCAAATTCAGGACAGTAGAGAAATAGTCCATCTCTTTTTAGGAGAGAGGCAATATCACATTGCCAAAAAACACGTGGGAAGATGGATATTGCTGTGGCCATACATCTGCCACTGATTATACATATACGAAATTATATATTTTTAAACTGTTTTTGTTTTGTTTTGCTGCTTGCCTAGGGGTGGAAACACACGTACTGACTTATTATGGTTTAGTATACATTAATACTTTTACGTCTTACTGGCCAATGAAAAGATCTTAGAACACTTTAAATCTCTCCATTCCCACATTTATGACATTGTTTTTATGTATTTTAATTCTGCATTTAATTAGAATCACACCAGAAATTATTACCACTGTTTTATGCATCAATATTCATTTAGATTTTTCCACATATTTGCCCTTTGATTGCTTTTCATTCTTTCCTATATCTTTGAGCTTCCAACTGGAATCATTTTCATTGTATGTCCTTTAGTGTTTCTTATAATGTGTGTCTCTCAGTCACAAATTAAGTTTGTATCTTTTTTGTATATTTCACTTTCATTTTTGAAATTCTTTTTACTGATTACAGATTTATATTTTGCAGGTATTTTGAGGATATCATTCTATCATTCTATTGTCTGTTGACTTTCATTGTCTCTGTAGAGAAGTGTGATGTAAATCTAATTGTTGCTTTGAAGCTCCTTTGGCTGCTTTTAAGATTTTTCTTCTTTCTTTCTCTTCCTTCCTTCCTTCCTCCCTGATTGTTTGTTTGCTTGCTTGCTTTTAGTAATTTTGTCATTATATGTCTTGTGATTTTATATTGAATTATTCTGCTTGACATTTTTGGAGTTTCTTGAAAAGGAGGCTTCATGATTTTCACTATTTTTTGGAAAATTATCAGCCATTGTCTCTTTAAATATGGTTTGTGTCCTTTTCCCTTTATCTTATTCTTCTGGTACTTCCAGTACATGTATTTTAGATCTTTTTCACTGAACTCCTGTCTCTTACACTCTTTCTTATATTTTCTATCCTTTTTTGTTTTTGTGTTTCATTCTGGATATCTTCTTCTTCCGGTTCATGAATTCCCTCTTCAACTCTATCTAGTGTAAAATTAAGCATGTAATGAGTTTTTAATTTTAATTATTGTATTTTCCAAGTTCTAGATTTTACATTTTATTCTTTTAAAATATAGTATCCAGATCCAACATGGGACTATTTATAATGTCTATTATTTCTCTTGGTTTTAAATTGCATGTTCTTGTTGGTTCACGTGCCTGATTATTTTTTGCCGTCTACTGGTGATTATATATTTTAAGATATAGAAATAACTTGGACCATAAGAGGATTTACCTTTATTCTTGGAAGGCAACAAGGGACATGGCTATTCCTTAATCTTAATATAGGGATCGATATTATTTAAAGCTAGTCTTTAGTCCCAGTGAGGGCCAGATTATTCTAGTTCACCTTTGTTTCTAAGTTAACAGCTTCTAGGGGTTCTAACAAAAATCATGAAAGTTTATTTGGGACCTTCCTCTTTCACGGTTCCTGGATTCCAATTTTTATTTACTTGATGAAGCTAACAAAAATCTCTGCTTGGCCGGGCATGGTGGCTCACACCTGTAATACCAGCACTTTGGGAGGCCGAGGCTGGTGGATCACCTGAGGTCAGGAGTTCAAGACCAGCCTGGCAAACATGGTGAAAACCCGTCTCTACTAAAAATACAAAAATTAGCCAGGCATGGTGGTACACGCCTGTAATCCCAGCTACTTGGGAGGCTGGGGCAGGAGAATCACTTGAACCTAGGAGGTAGAGGTTGTGGTGAGCCAAGATTGTGCCACTGTACTCCAGCCTGGGCAACAGAGTGAGACTCCATTAAAAAAAAATATATATATATATATTTTTAGTGTTTGTATATAAATATATATATATTTTTATATATTTATATATAAAATATATTAAATATAAATATATTTTTATATATTTATATATAAATATATTTTTATATATTTATATATAAATATATTTTTATATATTTATATATAAATATATTTTTATATATTTATATATAAATATATTTTTATATATTTATATATAAAGATATTTTTATATATTTATATATAAATATATTAAATATAAATATATTTTTATATATTTATATATAAATATATTAAATATAAATATATTTTTATATATTTATATATAAATATATTAAATATAAATATATTTTATATATTTATATATAAAATATATTAAATATAAATATATTTTTATATATTTATATATAAAATATATTAAATATAAATATATTTTTATATATTTTATATATATATAAGCTTCTCAGTTTCTCAGATGACTTATTAAATTGTCAGTGCTCCCAGGAGATAAGCAGATTTAAGTGCTGAGCTTACCTCTCTGGTCTTTCTTTCTTCTGTATCTTTACCTCATAATTTTTCATTGTTTTACTAGTTCCCTTGTGTTTTCAATTTTCCTCATTAGAGGGATGTTCCACATTACCGAGTCCAACATTGACAGAAACAGGAAGCCTAGTCTCAAATAATTTAATTATAAAACAAGTTTTGAATTTTACCTCGTCCTCATTAGAACTGGGATTGAGTCAGAAAATAATGCAAATATTGAAATATATGCTAGTTTCCAGTTATTTTTTAAACACAATAGAATGTGTGAGGCTTAACTTTTCACAAAAGTCAAAGCAATCATAAACTGTTAAATAACAGATTGCCGCATTTTAAGTTCTTATACCATTCTCACCCACCCATGTTAAACCTTCCAATTTACATGATAAAATCAGCCTCTATTTCAAAATGAACTTTTATGCTTGCAGAGAGAAGCAGAAAATCACTTTCACAATCCAGAAAAGGTCAATTCAGCACCACAAATGGAAAGGACAATAACTGATAACTGCTTATAATGCTCACACCTCAAGTGAAAAGCAATATCTAAAGAATACATTTTATGTAATTTTAAAACATCTATTGAGCAATTCCTGGCTATAAGACAGTATGCTAAGTTCTATAGTTGATTCACAAAGATGAATGAGTCATAGTCTTTCCTATAGACAATTAAACATTTTTCAGAAATTTATAATTATCTATTATTCAAAGCAGAGTCCTACCTGATATTAAGATATATATTATAAAGGGATAGTACAATACAAAAGTGTGTTGCTTGTCAGGAACAGGCAAATGACCCAATGAAACAAAAAAGAAAGCCCATTAAAAGACTCATAATTCCCCGAAAACTTGGTATATAATGAGGTGACATCCCAAATCAATCTAGAAAGAAGGGGTTAGTCCATAAATTATCCTGGGACAAATGGCTTTCCACCTGAAAAACTGAAATTGATCTTGCACATCGAGTAGAATATATAAACCAAATGTAAAAAGTAAAATCACAAAGTTAATGAAAAAAATGAGAGAGAATGCCTTTGTGACTTAAATTAAGAATCTCTTAAATGAGACTTAAGAAAGCATAAACCCCCCCAAAAATTAATGGGTTTGTATCAATATTAAAGATTTCTGAATAACAACAGGAACCATCAATAGAGTTAACAGATGAGTAACCTTCTTTTTTTTTTTTTTTGAGACAGAGTCTTGCTCCGTCGTCCAGGCTAGAGTGCAGTGGCATGATCTTGGCTCACTGCAACCTCCGCCTCCCGGGTTCAAGTCATTCTCCTGCCTCAGCCTCCTGAGTAGCTGGGACTACAGGCACGTGCCACCACACCCGGCTAATTTTTGTATTTTTAGTAGAGACGGGGTTTCACCATGTTGGCCAGGATGGTCTCGATCTCCTGACCTCGTGATCCGCCCGCCTCCACCTCCCAAAGTGCTGGGATTACAGGCGTGAGCCACTGCGCCCAGCCTACAGATGAGTAACCTTCTACGAAAAGATATTTATGGCATCTAAAATGGACAAATGGTTAATAAACAGCATATACGAGTAATCCCTTATTCAGGTCTCTACCCAAATATTACCGCCTCAGAGAAGACTTCCTTGAGTTTCTGAACACCGCTGCCTCCTTACTGTCTATTCCTTTAACTTACTTTATTTTTCTTCATAACACCTATCAAACCCCAACATCATATTATATGATTATTTGTTCATTGTTCTTTCCCTTCCCTAATAAATTCTAAGCTCTATGAGGTAAAGGGTTTTTATCTGTTTTGCTGAATTTATTGTCTTAGCACCTAGAACAATGCCTGACACACAGTACATGCTCAATAAAAATTTGTTAAAAGTGAGTGAACAAACTTCTGAAAATGGACAATCCCACAGAAAAGCATCAAAAGACAAGTATAGGCAATTCCAGGAGGGGGAAATCTAAATGGCAAATATATGAGGAGATGGTTAGTCTGACATCAAAAAATGTAAATGAAAAGAAGCTTGAGAAAGCATTCTATGTCCACCAGATGGGCAAAAATTCAAAAGTCAGAAAATAAAAAGGGAAGTGAGCAAGTGGAACCTCCTAAACACTGCTAGTGGGAATGTAAATTGGTACAGCCATTCTGGAAAGTCATCTGAAAGCATTCAATAAAACTGAGTGTGTACATATCCTACAACCCTAATTACCCCACTCCTGGATGTATAACCAGAATAACTCTCACACTGATCCAAGAGGGGTAATGTATGCAGATGTCTATGGAAGCATTGTTTGAGGTAGCAAAACACAGGAAACACTCTACATGTACTTTAGTAAAAGACTGAAACAATATAATATGGCAAGTGTATTCAATGGAATATTATGCATCAGTCAGATGTAACAAACTAAATTTACACATAACACCATGGAAAGAGATGATTTTCGTTCCTTTTTCCTAATTAAAATAAAGTAATAGAATATTTTAAATATAATGTATTATCTAAAGCCGGTAGACAAAATAAATGGCTCTCTGATGATTGCATAATTTTTCTGAGTCTGTGGCTCTTGGTAGGAAAAAGATTCCTTATTTCTCATAAATACTTTTTTTTTTTTTTTTTTTTTTTTTAGCAATTTTGGGAGCCTAACATCTACTCATCCTAATCAGTTTGTTTATATTCAGGAGACTTATTTTCATCTGCAAATTCTGGTCAGTTTTAGAATCTGTTTAATATCTACCTTGGGGAATGAAGGGCTATCCAGTGCTGTTTCTGGATCTTAATTCACATCGTAGCTTTGAAATTGACCAAAATTTACTACTTCAAGGTCTCTCCAACTGGGAATGTTGTTAAAATGCAAATTTGGATTCATTAGATCTGGAAGGACCTGAGATTCCACATTTCTGAAAAGCTCTAAAGTATGGCTAATGCCATGGATTCTCAGACCACACTTTATGGAAGGGGTTGTTCTTAGGGAAGCTGAGATCTCACCCAGGGTCCAGGACAATCCCTAGATTTATGTACATTTAGCAGAAGATTGCTGAAGGGGCATATGGGGAACTGTAATGTGTGGCTTGCTCCCCAGTGTCAGAGTGGGGAAAGATGAACATGTTACTCTAAAGAGCTCCTGTGTAGGAGGTACTGATGCTGGCTCACACCTGAGCCAACTGCATGCATCTCATCCCAACTCCATGTTTAGTGATATCCCACTGGTATTAATAGCTTGAATCAATATTATTAATATTAATATCTTGAAATCAGTCTTGGGGTCAGTATTTACACTATGAAAATTGGTGAATGCTACAATTTAGGGTTCTCTCCCCAACCCTGCAGAGAGCCAGTCTACCAGTATACCACTCTGACCAGTATTCAGTAGGAAGACCACTACAGATGACCTTGGTGTGGACCCTGAACAGCACAAGTGGGAACTATAATTTCCCACCATGGTTTCTGGCTGTGGTAAGAATCCAATTTTAGAAGAATCAAATAATAACCACCTCTGACAGAGAAACAGAGAGAGTTACATGGGAAAATAGAAAATAGGGCTTTAAAAAGAAAGTTCATTTCCCTACATCCATGTTCCTCACTCCAAGCATGTGTAGGCCAACAGTAAAGGAACATTACACTTGCAGCAAGGGGTCTGCAGCAGGAGCTGATGAACTTTTAAAAACAAATTTGTCATTTTAAGTATTCATATTAAAGTCAGGAAGGGAAAAATAGAGAAAATATATTATTTAGAACAGGAACACTTTCATTAAAGAATTAGTAAATCTTTAGTGTTAGCTAAGAGCACAGAGGAATCAGTGCAGTAACTGGGTAGTTGAGTTCCTATTAAGAAATTCCTACTAAGAAATCGCTTCAACTTATATTTAATGGGTTTAGACAAATTCTGTGCATTTTGGGGGGCCATATTTTCCTAGCTTGTAATGTAAGACTAAAAATAGCTTTCGCTCATCTCACCTCCTCACAAGTTCCATAGCATGTTGGGATAATAAATTAGGTTGAAATGAAAGTTAGGAAATATCTGAAAATGACTTTGATTTAGAAATAAATGCCTATGTACTAGTTATTATTACCTGCAGTCAGAGACTCATGTCTTCCTTGGGTAGATTCAGTCCTAATAAAGCCCAATTGGAAAGTATAGTAAGTATGTAAAAGAAGTAAAGGCTATGGAAATCTCAGTGAGCCACCGCAGGAATGAGAAAAGAGACTGACTAACATCCCTCATCCCAATGATGTGTTGTCATCATTGTTACACTCGTATATTACACAAAAAAGTCCTATATTATAGCCACTAGCTGTGTAATTAATGTCTGTTCAGTGGCCAGCTCAGGGCTTTCATTGCTTCTTCTAGGCATTTATTAAATTAATATTTGCAAACATTTTAGGAGGTTGAACTTTGAGATGCCTTTTCAAGGAACCAGTCTTGTCACATATAATTTATATTCAGATTCAAAATTATAGAAAAACAGCAGTTACAAGAGGCATAAAATATAATCTTAAGTTTGCTAAAAGTAAAAGTAAATGGTAATCATATGTGCCTTCAAAAATATGGGAGACTATTTAACAAATTATTTCTATGGCTCTCTCAGGATGCTGGGATTATGGATGATACTGATTTTCTTTTATATATTTTGCTTCTTTTTCTAAATTTTAAAAAATAAAGATTTATTATCAGAACAAAAACCCACACTCTTTTTTGGGGGGGGTCAGTTTTCCATGTTTAAATCTGACACTTTCAACAACATTTCATAAGACCTCAGATTTATAAGGCAACACCTTCAGAAAGAGTTAGGGCATGTAATTTGATTGTTCTTCCGTACTGCCAGAGAATTTTATATCTGGGATATATTTTGAAGCATCAACTAAAGCTTGTAGAGCCCCATAGCTCTACAAGAAGCTTTTGCTTAAATGATGAATTGACATTTTAGAATAAGCTGATTTGTCGAGTCACAGTTGAAAGTGAAGATTTTCTATCTTACTCTCCAGCACTTCGTCTTCTGGTTCATTCTGCTTCTTTCTGTTCCTAAAATCCTGTAACTTGCACAGGCATGGCTTGCCAGCTGGAACTAGAGTTATGGCAAACTAAGCATTGACATCATCTGGCCAAACACGGAGCCAAGGAAATGAACATGCCTAATATATGTGTATCCTGATTTACTTTGGAACACTATTCTATGGCTCAGAAAAAGTCAGTTGTACTTTTCCACATTACATCCCAAAACCCACATACCACTGGCCAAAGAAGAGAGTGTTACAAATGGTAAGGAAAGACAGGAAAATCCACCATATCATCTGTACTCTGAACTGTCTGATTAGGGAAAGATCATGTCTTTGGTATTATGTTTAGAATATTTTAATTGCAGAATTTCCATTCTAGACTATGTGAATTCACCTGCTTGTAATTTGCATTTTACAAAAAGAATCTGTAGCCCCTTAGGAGACATTACTTCCTTAATCCTCCCTATGGTCCTCTGGGAGAGATGGGGTCAGGCATGTTAGGGAAGAGAAAGCAGAAATTAGGCTTTCTCTTAGGAACTCTATTTAGAGGCTTGGACCCCAGTTCAGAAAGGAACATGAGCTCCTGAGTCCATTGCTGGGGTTCCTGCACCGGGGAACCCCTCAGGGAAGTAGCTCCTTTACTTCAGCACACCCCGTTTCTGATCCATACAGTGGATTTAAGGGATCTTCTGGTAGAAGCTCCACTGTTCATCAGTCTCTTTCCCCATAATTTCTTTAACTCCCCAGCATATTCTCAAATCCCTTTTGAATTTAGCTCAAACATATAAACTATTTTGTTTGGTCCCCTAGTGTTGACTTGTGATTTTCAGGCTCTTTATTCAAATTGAAAAAAAAAAATTATTTAACACAGGGATGGTATTTTATGATTTCTGCCACTATTCACAGCACCTGCCTAGCACAGCATAATGTACACCCTATCCTCCACCTATCTCATCCTCCACCTTCTCATACCTCCACCTGTCTCATCCTCTACCTTCTCATACCTCCACCTATCTAATCCTTCACCTTCTCATACCTCCACCTATCTCATCCTTCTCTTCTCCTTCACCCAGCATTATTTTCTGATTTGTACTTATTGCTTATTGTGTGTCTTCCCCCCACTAAAATGTAACTTCCTTGAGGCAGGGGCTTTCTCTCTTTGGTTCATTGCTGAATCCCCAATGCCTAGCCTAGAATAGGGCTTGGTACAGTGGAGGTCCTCAATAAATATTCACTGAAGGAAAGGACGAATGCTTAAAGGAGGTGTTCAGTAAATGCAGTATGTAGGATGTATATTTTTGTTATAACTGATTGTTGGGAGCTGGTTCTCCAGTTACTCTGCTCGGATGTCTTTTTTTTTTTTTTATCTTGCTTGCAGAGTAACCAAGCAAAAGATCACAATTGATAGCTTTGGGGTTTACAGAGATGATGAGCCCATTTTTAATGGAGACTAGATGAAGGAGGGCAGAGGAAAGTCAGTTGAATTTCATATTTAGAGGATACACGTTTCCTGGCATTGAAGAAAGCTGTCAGCCCAAACAATTCAGAAAAATGTACCACCTAATAGAGGGGTCAGAGGGAGGTGCCACTGAGATGCAAATAGGGAATCAAGCACTTTGCATTTCCTCAGGTTTAAAGAACCTTAGCACAGGCTGCACCTGCAGGATACTTGAGGTGAAGAAACTGGAGTGCAGGGAGATGAATTTACTCAATGTTGCCCAGTGACATAACATCAGAGCTGACTTCCAGTCAATGCAGTATACACAATACTCTCTAAGAAGTATTAATTTAAAAATAAATCTATTGGTATCCCACACCTAGAAAGCTTCTGTGGTTTCTCTCAATCCAAAAAGTATCTTAGTTTTACAGCGTCACTGATCATATAGAATTGAGTGCAGCATTTTGAACAAGCTTCTGGTTGCATCAGCTCAAACTAGGTTATACCTTGGTTTAGGTAAGTGAAGCAAACCTTATAGGAAGACAAAAGTTCCTAACTCACAGAACACTTAAGTAGAAATCAGTTTGTTCCAGCAGATACTTAAATTGCCTACAGCCTATGAGTACACGCATAATCATCATGCAGGAGTGCTCTTCAGGGCCCCAGCTTTGAGCCTCTCTCTTAAAAAGCTGAGCAGGGCTTGAATCTGTCACTTCCTACCAGGCTGACAGCTTGAGGGCTGCTTACTGACAAGGAGCAGGGCAGAAATGCTGTGCAGGTGACCTGTACAGGCCTTGAATTAAGAGTGAAGCTCTCCTTCTCTATTGAGAGCTCATGGTAATCCTTCTCCTTAGAATGGCTCTCTGACCACCTCTTCTCTTATAGGCTGTGCATGTGATCAGAAAACACCGTGAAGCCAAGTGACTTAGAAACAAATTAAAACTTCCTTTCCTACAACTTGAATCAAATTAATACTCTTTGTGGGTACTGTATTATGGAAATATAGACTTTGACATTATCAGTTTATTCAGGATAAGACTGCCTAGAAATGTGTCTACCTAGAAATTTGGAACAACAGTTAGCAGCCAGGTACTGCTCACTGTCACCTAAATGTTCTTTTTCGTCTCCTCCACATTTACTCTTGTTATCCAACCTTTTATCTTTATTTCATTTCCCTTCCGCCCTTCCTTTCTCCCTCTCATCCTTCCTTTCTCCCTCCCTGCCTCCTTTCCTGCCTTTCTTCCTCCCTCCCTCTCTCCCTCATCCTCTTTATTCTCCTCTCCTCCCTGGATCCTAGGCCTGCCAATGACACTCACAGTCATTGCTTAGTTCTCTCCTGGGCAGACAGGGCTGAAAGAAGTTCCTGACCCCTTCCCTAGCACAGTTCTCAAGATGTTCTTCAACAGGTAGTTTCTTTATTCAAATGAAGATAATATTTAAGGCTATTGTATTAGTCCCCTATTGCTGCTCTAACCAATTACCACAAACTTGATGGCTTAAAACAATACAAATGGATGATTTTATTTCTGAAAGAAGTCCTAGAAGTCAAGATATCAGCAGGGCTGAGCTCTTTCTGGAGACTCTGTTTCCTTGCTATATTAGTCTATTCTCGCATTGCTATAAAGAAATAGCTGAGACTGGGCAATTTATAAAGAAATGAGGTTTAATTAGCTCATGATTCTGCAGGCTGTACAGAAAGCATGATGCTGGCATCTGCTCGGTTTCTGGGGACACCTCAGGAAACTTACAATCATGACAGAAGGTGAAGGCGGGGCCAGCACTTTACATGGCCAGAGTGGAGGAAAAGAAGATGGGGGACATGCTACAGACTTTTAAACAAAAAAATCTCCTGAGAACTCACTATCATGAGAACAGCACCAAGGAGTTGGTGCTAAATCATTCATGAAGGATCCACCCACCATGATGCAATCAACTCCTGCCAGTCCCCACCTCCAACACTGGTGATTACAATTCAACAAAAGATTTGGGTGGGGACAACATCCAAACCATATCACTTACCTTTTTCAGCTTCTGGTGGCCATCAGCATTCCTGGCTCATAGTCCCTTCATTCATGTTAGAAGTCAGTGATGCAGCATCTTCAAACCTCTTCCATCTCTGGCCTCTGCTTCCATCGTCACATCTCCTCTGACTCTGACCCTCCTGCCTCCTCTTTATAGAGACCACTGTGATTACATTGGGCCCACCCAGATAATCCAGGAAATCTCCTCATCTCAATTCCTTACCTTAATTACATAGGAAAAATCCCTTTTGCCATGCCACATGGACATTTTTAGGAGCCGTTATTCTTGGGTTTGTTTTTTTGTTTGTTTGTTTTTTTGAGACGGAGTCTCACTCTGTCACCCAGGCTGGAATGCAGTGGCATGATCTTGGCTCACTGCAACTTCTGCCTCCTGAGTTCAAGGGATTCTCCTACCTCAGCCTCCTGAGTAACTATGATTACAGGCACCCGCCACCATGCCCAGCTAAGTTTTGTATTTTTAGTAGAAATGGGGTTTCACTGTGTTGGCCAAGCTGGTCTCCAACTCCTGATCTCAAGTGATCCACCCATCTTGGCCTCCCAAAGTGCTGGGATTACAGGCGTGAACCACTGCACCCAGCCCATTATTCTTTATACCACAGCTGTGAAGCCAGTGATCCCAGAAGCAAGTCACTGGCTTGAACATTCTCATTCAAAGAACAATCAGCCTTAGATCCTCTTGTGGGAATGAGCTTAGTTTCCCAAAACAAAACTAATAAATAAACGGGCACGGTCTTCTGGGTGAATTGTAGTCTAAAAATGATTTGGTTTAGAGAAAGTTGGAGCAATGGCATGGTCGAGCAGAGCTTCAGCATACACCAGGCTCAGGGTTTAAAGCCCAGCTGTCACACTTGCTATAGGACCTTGGGTATGTTTGTTTAATTATAAGCAAACATTTATTTTCTTAATTATAAGATGGGATTAATAACTCTTCCCTCATAGGGTTATAGGATTAAATAAAATTACATATATAATAATACTTAGTATGATGCCTGGTCCATAGATAATGCTTCATAAGAGTTATTTCTTTTAACTCCTTCCTTAGTGATTAGACTGAAGGTCAAGAATGTAATTACAGTATGGCCAAAAGTAATTAGGTTGAGAGTAATAAAATAGATGTTGAGCAATGATATTTTAAAGTAAACTCAGAGGACACACCCACACAATCTAATGGGGACTGACAAAATCTATTTCTTCTCATCTGGCTTTAGTCTAATTACATTTTATGTGTCCAAATTGAATGAGGCTGTGTAAAGGAAAACCTGACCTGTCTCATGCTTACGCTTGAAGAGTTGTAGAAACCAATTGGAATTTCTGCCATTCCCAAATTTGATTGAAACATATGATCTCGGGATTCAATCAGTCTTTAGGTATCATCCAGAACAATCTTCCAACAATGTCAGCATTCTTTGCTTGTCTTTGCTCAAACATTTTCCAAAGAGAATTTCTCTGCCTTTTGAAGTAGTTCATTGCATTGTTAGCCAGTTCTCACTAGAAAGTTTCTCCTTATTTTTAGCCAAAAAGCTAATTTCCTAAAGTTTCTATATTTTGATTCTAATTCTGTCCTCTAAATTTATAAAAACTTAATACAATTGTCATATAACAATTTTACAGATGTACCCACTCTGACTCTTTTCATCTCTAAGTTAAAATTCTAAACTTTCTTCAACCATTTGTTGTTTACTATTGTTTTCAGGTCTTTCTAAATCTCCTAGTTGCCCTTCTCATTGTTCTCTGATTTATCAATGTCTCTCCCAAATTGGGTCACCCAGAGCTAAACAGAGTATTCGAGATGTGATTATATTCATGCACAATATGTGAAACATTTATTTTTGTTGGATCTGGATTATATGTCGATTGATGAATTCTGATTGCATCAGTTTTGTTCAAAGTAGTCACATAAGACTGTCATTTGGCTAATTACAAGCTTATAGTCAATCAAATCCCCAGGTTCTTTGTAAATAAGCATTTGTTTCCCCCATTCTTACCTGTTCAATTGATCTATTATAATGTTTGTTGTACAAGCAGTGTTCCAAAATGATAGATAACAAGGAAATAAGTGACCCAGAATCTTACTAACATGACATCAGCAATTTTCAGTTGTCCATGTTCTCACACATATGCTTATGTAAATTTTATATAGTTTTCATCATAACCTAGATAACATTTCATACCCTGACTTTAAAGTGTAATATATTAACATTTTCCCAAACTACTACACTATCTTTTATAATTATGTCTACCCAGGCTGGAGTGCAGTGGCATAACCATAGCTCATTGCAGCCTTGAACTCCTGGGTTCAGGAAGTCCTCCTGCTTCAGCCTCCTGAGTAGCTAGGACTATGGTAGCATGCCACCATGCCCAGCTAATTTTTTAATTTTTTGAGGAGACAGGGTTTCACTATGTTGCTCAAGCTGGTCTCAAACTCCTGGCCTCAGGCAATTCTCCTGCCTTGGTCTCCCAAAGCACTGATATTACAGATGTGAGCCATTGCATCTGGCCCTCCCTGTAATTATATATTAAAATAGCTGCATTAAATTCCATAGTAAGATGTATCATATTTATCCAACCATTCCCTGTCTTGGACAGGGAATTGAGGTTGTTCTATCATTTTACATAAAATTTTTTCCTTTGGGGGATTTTAATATGGTCCTTGAAATTAAATGACTCCTTGGGCCAAAAATCATAATTTTATATTACTCTGTTTTAAATTTCCTCCTTTTTAGTTTTATTCCTGGTCCAGATTTCTATGAGATGGCTTTTCTAATCCCCTTCCTCCTTTTCACCTAACATCATCTTTCAATTCAGAACAAATATAGTAGAGAGTAAGTAAGACAAGACCCTGAGACTTTAAGCTTTAATATCCACTTTAATTCCTTCAGGGAGCTCTTGACTATCTCATACTCATGTAACAACCTCTATCAGTGCCAGCCTAAGAGCTCCTATTTCAGGGGCAAATAGGAAAGCCATCCCTATCGCAAATATTCCTTTCATACTGACCAGCTGATGCCTGCAATTAGTGGAGGCCAAATTTTGTAAGTTAGTTGGAGGCAGGCTGTGTGTCGCTTTCATGTACTGTGTTCCTAATTAGTCATTGGAGGATCTCAGTGAATATTTATTAGTAGAAGGAATGAAAGAATACAGTATAATTAAAGATAAGACTTAACAATTTAAATCAGCCTGGGGGAGATACCACTTCATTCACACTAATGAGTAAATTGCTGGTATTAGTTATTTCCCTGGGAACAGGTTTTACTATAAGGAAGAAAGTGTAGGAAGCACTCCAGTTCTGTTTGAGAGAAGAAAGTGATGGGCTTGGGACACCTAAAAAAAAAAATTATAATTTTGCCTATGGCCAGCCTTGTACTTTATAAACCTATCTATTAGTGCTATTACTAACCACAGAGACTTGTAACTTGTAGGGCCTGTAGATTCTGCATTATAAAATATATGAGATGCTTTTGTAGCCTTCTATGTATGATTTCTGACGGGCCTGTTTAACTTGGGCTGATGCTATTAAGTAACTGAACCTGCCTTTGATGTTACTACAGAAATGTCTAGGGGTGGAGGTAAGACAATGGGTAAAAGTAAAGACTTGGTAGTGTGTATGTGTATAAAGCTCTACTACTTCTTGCTAAAGATCCAGCAGGGTGTAGATGGTAGATTGGTATCCTTTCCTGACATTCTTCACTCAAGTCAGGATCTGACCTAGGTGGGAAGGAATATTAGGGTGACCAATTGTCTGAATTTGCCCAGGATTCTCCAAGTTTTAATACTGAAAGTTCCACGTCCAGGAGCCCCTCAGTCCTGGCATAATGGAGACAACTACCCAGTCCAGGAGCTGTCAGCAGTTTGATTCTCTGAGAATTAAGTTGAAAAGGGGCAAAATATTCCCAGATTTTTAGATTGTATGGCTATGCCCCTTGGCATGGTCTATGGAGGGACCGTGCTACGGCAGATTAACTCATTTATACTTCCATTCATATTTGCATGAGTATGTTCACCAAAGCATCACTTAGAACTTGTTCTGAAATTAGAGGACAGCTGATAGGAATATTCTGATGGGCCCAGGGAAGTGAGTATATGTCTGGGAGTGATGCTGTAGTGGGTACCTCAGTGGCACTTTCTGTCCAACCAGAGCAGTAAGAGACAATAGGTCCCTTGAAAAAGAATGGAAAGGCACCAGTTATTTATAATTCAACTTATGATTTGTGTTGATTCATCTTTAGTTTCCAGAATAGAGACACTCTCCAAGTTACAAACTTAGACTTTTCAACATTCATATAATTAGTGGGACGCTGCTTTTCCTCTTGCCTCAGAACAGCCACACGGCCCCAGCATTTGGGTCTCATTTATTAGAGCATCACAAGCTGTGCTGGGTTGGAAACATCTCCTGGTGGTGGATTCATGTCTTTATCCTCTTTTTTTGTTCTCTTTTGTTTTTTGATATCCACAGATTAACTCATTACCTCTCCTATACACACATGTTGTTTTTTAACTTTCCCCTCTTCCCCTCATTTTCTAGTCATCTCAGAAAAAATTTTCTTTTGCCATGTTATCCTCTTTTTCCCATCCTGTTTGCCTTTTACAAGTATCTACGTTCATATGTGTGTGTTTATATGTACGAATATATGTGTGTACACACACAGATATCTGTATCCTTGTAGCCTGCTTAGATACACCTGTTTCAAATAAAAACGAGGGGCAGAGATTTCAGTTAAATGTATTATAGTAAAAGACTGGGCGTGGTGGCTCATGCCTGTAATTTCAGTACTTTGGGAGGCCAAGGCAGGCAGATCACCTGACGTCAGGAGTTCAAGACCAGCCTAGCCAACATGGTGAAACTCCATCTCTAGTAAAAATACAAAAAATTAGCTGGGCGTGGTGGTGCTCACCTGTAATCCCAGCTACTCAGGAGGCTGAGGCAGGAGAATTGCTTGAGCCCAGGAAGTGGAGGTTGCAGTGAGCTGAAATCATGCCACTGCACTCCAGCATGGGCGACAGAGCAAGACTCTGTCTCAAAAAACAAAAAACAAAACAAAACAAAAAAACTGTATTATAATAAAAGCTCAGAACCTTCCATTTCTAGAGCACTTGGAAGTGCTTGAAAGATTTCCTTCATAATTTTTACAAAAATTTTACCAAAAAAATATTATTCATCTGCTCCTTTGCTTTCTACTAATTTAACCATCCCTTTCTCAAACATGGTATTCAAAATGATAGAAGAAATAATTTCCTACTCATATTTTCTTGTTTTCTTTTTAGAAAATGATAGGTAGCATTGTAGTAGCACTATTTTCTATTTTTTGTTCTAAATCTAAGGCATATGCATCAATATTAGATGTTAAGGCTTTATGCAGTATATGAAAATGTAAGCACTATTTTATTAGCTATCATTAGAAACAGAGGGAAAACAGGTGTTGAGGTGGTCTATAGAATGCTTCTAGATGTTTGGGGTAATAACAGGGACAAGCACATCAGGATTTTGTGCTGTGGGCCTTTATTTGTTATGGGAGAGGCCTCAGAAGTCTTTAGAAAGAGACCTCAACCTCAGACGTGCTCGGAAATACAGCAGAGAGTCCCAGCATGTTCTAGCAAGTTTTATTATACTCCAGGGAGTTCCAGCCTGAGACCATCACTGAGGGTGCTACTAAGAGGATATCAGTCCTGCGTGAGCAAGAAGTGATCAGAATTGTGGATCTGTCCTGCAAGCACAACGTCTCCCAGCCCATAAGGAAGGAAGGGGCATTTGTCTTGCCCTTGCAGCTGAATCTGCTTTCCCGGGATCCTGACTGTTGGAATGAGGAGGATAGTTCTAGGCCATCGGAGTTCCAAACAAAGACTTAAATTACATTTGTATGCCAGAGACTTCTTGCGTTTTATGAAGGTCTTTTCATTAAATCACATAGCAAACCTGTAAAACACAGCTATTATCACTATTTTATGGATGCTAAGTAATTTGCCCAAGTTAATAGTATATTTGACTTCTTTCTCTCCCTCAGCTCCAAAGAATCAAAGCCCTGTTGATTTTTCCTTCAATATGCTATGCGTGCTCATCACTCCCCTGCCATTGTCACACCATCAACCCTGTTCCCAGCCAGTGTCACTTCATGCCTACTCCCTGCAATCACCTCCTAACCACTCTCCTGTCTCCAGCCTGCCTTGGCATCAGGACATCTGAATAGCCAAACATTGCTGCTAGGGTTCAATGTTAGAGTCAATGTCATGAAACTGCTTTAGCTATGTCACTTCCCTATTCAAATTGTTCAATGACACCTCCACCCCCATCCCTCTACAGGATAACGAACAAACTCTTCAGCTTGACATCCACCGTCTTCCGTGATATTTCCTCAGCCTACTTTTTCAGCTTTAGTTCCTCTCACCCTGTGTGACAGTCAAACTCTTTGTATCTTAAACAATTCTTACCCTCCATGTCCACACTTCTGCTTATCGTGTTTCCCCACCTGAAATTCTACCTCTCCTTGCAGATATCCTCATGTTTCCCTGAAAAGCCACACTTAGGGTCTATACCACCCCACTGCTATTAATCTGTAGAGCCAGGTGACATCTTTTTTGTTTCTCTTTAATGTTGTTACTTTATTCTTTATGGTTATTAACTTTTCATGAATTTCCTTATTTTTCATGTTTTCTCAGTTATATAGGCAACTTGGAGGCAAAAACCATGTTTTCAACTATTTTGATGTAGAAAGATAATATTTTGAAATATTAATCTTTGTGCTTTTGTTTTCTTCTTGTCCTTGTAAGTGACTTTCCTCCTCTCAGGCAGAGGCGTCCACACTGCCTCAAGCAGAAAGATGCGAGCAAAAGAAAAGCAAGAGATTGTCAATGTTCTTGGTGTGTTTTTTGTTTTTTAAACTTTTTAAAAATTTGTTTAAACAGATTGTTTAATCTAACAATTAATTGTAAAAACAGATTAATTGTTTAATCTGTTTATACAGATTTTTTTTTAAAGAATTAATCAGGAAAGTATGAGGGTTTTACACCATACCCAGAGTTTATACCATAAAAATGGAATTGGAAAGAGGATGTGGCTTTCTAGAGGCCTGCATATTATTCATGGTGCACTCAGCCAAGGAGGCCTCTGTCTGTCTCAAGATTGTACTGACACCTATTCAAAATGATCCACAAAGACACCTACTGCTAATACCATGGTCCAAGACATTCATGACAGCACCAACAACCCTCAAAGATGATGAAGGCTTTGATGCCCTGGGGGAGATGGAAACAGGAAGAAAAAGCCCAGCACTAAGACTTGGGCAGGACCTTGTATTCCACTCTCCTTGTATCTGTGGTGTCCCAACCAGTGGTCACTAGCCATGTGTGGCTATTGAGCACTTGAAATGGGACAAGTGTGACTAAGGAATTGAACTAAATAGCCACGTGTGGCTAGTGGCTACTGTATTGGATAGAGAGGCTTTAGAGAGCCTGACCCAGTCTACCTGATTCTAATGACTATCAGTGTCCAGCATAATTCCTGACACATAGTAGTCACTCAATAAATATGTCTGGAATGAATCGGTGATTCACACTGTACAAGTACTAAATACATGTTGACCACTGTTCAAGATGGACGTGAAGCCTGTCAGCTTCAATGTTCTCTATCTACTGATCTTATAGAAGAGACTGCAGCTTCTATGGAAAAAAAAAAACTATAGGAATTGATTTTTCTAGGGTTGCCTAATTCCCAAACCATTAACATCAACAGATAGCTAGCTATTGGGCCTGACAATCACTATACTGCTTTGAATCTGCAAGCATTTAAACCAGGTTTGCCAAAGATTTAAATTACTTCCTTTGTAACACTGGGAACAAGTTAGGTAACATGCTTTCTTACTTCTTCTCGTTAGTTCAGTGTTATTGTATATTATACGTGTAACCTAATTGTCCCAGATGTCTGTGGATAGAGACAAGGTCACATTAATATTGAAATCACAGCGCTGCAGCAGTTCAGCATCTCTTCATGTCTCTCTGGTATTCTTACCAGTATTTCTGCTGCTGCTGCTTTGTAATAGAACACTCTCCAACTGGACAAAGGCTTCTTGCTCTGGGAGCCGCCCCAAGCCCTCAGATGGCCCAGCCTTCAAGAACACCCTCAGCCCAAGGCTGAGCTCCATTTTGCTTCCTAGGCCCTGAAGCAGCTGTCTATGTTCCAAGTCTCATTACAGGTTTTATATTTCTTTGTTTCATTTCATTTTGCTTTGCGTTAATGAACAAATAAACCTTTGAGCTTCTGGCTCACCCCAGTCTTCTGAGGCTCAAAAGCAGTTCATCAAGCCAAAAGACTAGGCTGAATCAAGTAGTCAACAAATACTTGTGGGCTCTACCATGTGTAAAACTTCTATCTTTTTCAACTGGTAGATACTGAATCCACACCATAACACTTAATATCTAGACATCTTGCCATACTCCTACCTTCCATGTCCCGTTCTTTCATCCTGAAAACCTGCAACTCCTGTGCATCTCAGTCCGTGGAGATACAGACCCATTCAGGATCACCAGTTACACAAGCAGACAGATGCCAAACCAGATTGGGTGCAGCTGGGAATCAGTACAAATCATTCCTTTAATCCAGAGGCTGTCAACCCTTCCTGAGGATCAGAATCACCTGCAGGGCTTGTTAAAACACAGATTGCAGGGCCCCACTCCCAGAGTTTCTGATTTAGTCTTGGTTGTGACCCATGATGTTGCATTTCCAACAAGTTCCCAGGTGATACTGGTACTCATCTGAGAAAAACACTTGGAAAACCATTGCCTTAATTATTTAGTGGCTAGCTTTCTGGGGGGAAAAAAAGAAGCATATTTGGATCGGATGTATGATAGTCCTCCAACTTCATCTTAGCTTTCACATGCCCTAAAACATTCCTCAGTAAAGATCTTTCTTGCCTTAATCCAAGAAGACAACAAGTCTGAAATATGAGAGTTCTTAATACCTTCATTCTCAGTTCTAAAAAAAAAAAAATCAGCTCGTTTAGGGTTTCTGTAAGCTCCTGGGCAACTTGGTTTGTAGGTGGTAGAAAGCAGTGATTCACTGCTTTCTGTCAAGGCATTGAGTCATTTAAGTAAATCTTACTGTAAAGACTTGACTAATTAGGTGGAGCTCTATCTGCCGTGTGAGCCCATAAGAGTCCACTGTCAGATGGAGAGTGTTATTCCAATGATATAACATAAATTACTGCAAAACAATGTAAAACAGAAAACAACTCATTTTCTTTTCATCATTTGGATAAAATTTCCCAAAAGCCACCAAACATTTACTTAGTTCAATTAATCCATTAACAAATCCAGTTATAATACAGATGTTTTATCCACAGGACAGTCAGCTGGATGAAATGTTCACTATCACCAGATGTTTTGCTGTCAGGAAGATACAGCATCACTTGAAATGTTTTAAGAACCTGGATTTTTCTCTGTATTTAATCACTCTTCTGGTCAATAAATTCTACTTTCAGTGTAACAAAACTTCAGTATGGCAATTTAAACTCCTTTCTCCTCGTTTCTGTCTTGTGTATCGGTAATGAGCAATAGTGTTAATTATCTATCAGTAATTATTCTTAGTTTATTTGAAGACAGTCACTCTTTATCTTTTTCATGCAAAATTACCTCCAGCCCCTTTTTAAATTTCCCTCATAGATCCTAATTTCAGCCCTTAATTTGTTCATAACTGTTCTCTAGGCTCTATTTTTTCAAGGCCCTTCTTTGAAAGCTCAGACGCAAATTGGGAATCCCTTGCTCCTAACTGACGTGCCCTCATCACATGGGTGCTGAGGTGAGGGCTCCTACTCCAGGCTCTTCAAGGAGCCTCTGGAATTCCTGGATGCCCCAGCCTCGTTCTGCTAAATCTCCCACCCATGACTTGGCAAAACTTTGCATCCGCACCTCCTCAGGTTTGAGGAACATGGTGGTGTTGCAGGGTTTTGTTTTTAATAGTTAATTTAAGAAATATCAATGAATTCAAAGAGGCTACTAGTTTTATACAAATTGATTCAGTTCACAGTTAAGTGAAACTAACATTGCGTCCAATTAATGAATGCAGCTCTGCTTGGTTCATTTTCATTTGGGGTACACTTTAGTTTAAGGTGAGTTTTACATAAATGAAAGTTAAGACAGCTCTCATGGATATGTGATGAAAATCATAATTATCTTTTTAACTGTGAGAAACTATGGCTCTAGGCTACCCCTAGGGAAGAATCAAGCTATAGATAACAATGGCAGTGTCCTTCATTCTAATCCTCACCTACCCACTTAGTTACTGAAGCCTGAGGCCCTCCAGCCTCCTTTCTTCCAGCAGATTCTCAAATCTCTGGACAGCAGTTGTCATTTTTTAAAAAATGATTCTGCTAGTTATGATAGAAGAGGATGAAGTTCTCTCCTCACAAATCACACTTAGATTGGCAATTATCAACCTTGGCTGCTATGTCAGTTATTGCTGAATAGCAAGTTTCCCCACAGCTTGGTGGCTTCATTCACCATTTGTTACCTCACAGGTTTTGTGGGTCAAGAATCTAAGTACAGCTTAGATTGTGGATCCTCTAGCTGTGGGTCTCTCGCAAGGCTGCAATCACTGAAGACTCTCCACTTCCCAGTTCACTCACATGATTGTTGGCAGAATTTAGTTTCTCATGGGTTGTTGGTCTGAGGTCTCAGTTCCTACTGACCTTTTGGCTGGAGACCCCCCCTTAGTTCCTTACCGTACGGCCTCTCCATAGAGTACCTTGCATCATGGGGGCCTGCTTCAAGGGCCAGAAGCAAGAGGGCAGGAGACCAACAGTACCAGTCACATGACCGCTGTAGACTTTAGTAGTGGAATTATAGAAGTGGTATCCCATCACTTTTGCTGTTTTCTGTTTGTTAGAAGCAAGTCACTAGGTCCAGCCCACACTCAAAGAGGGGATTACACAAGAGCAAGAAAAACCAGAGTCAGGGACTATCGGGGTTCTGCCTACCACTACTGCACATTAGAATCACATGGGCATGGGGGAGGAGCACTTAAACACCCATGCCCACCCTGCACCCCAGACCATTTAAATTAGTTTTTATCCATGAATAAGGTATAACTTAGATATAGTAACAAAAGTACACAGTTGTTTAATTACCACAACAATCATAATATAGATTATTTCAATAACCCAGATAATTCCCTTGTACCCTTTTATAGTCAATCCACTTCCCTACTCCAGCCCCTGGTAACCACTAATCTACTTTCAGTCACCACAGTTTTGCCTTTTCTAGAATTTCATGGAAGTAGAATCATATAGTACATAGTCTTTTGTGGTTTTTACTTAAAAGAACGCTTTTGAGATTCATCGATGTAGTTGCATGTATCAGCAGTTTGTTCCTTTTTTGTTATTGAGTAGTATTTCATTGCAAGTATCTATGATCATTTATTTGTCCATAAATCGGTTGATAGACTTTGGATTGGTGTTTGGCTGTCATAAATAATGCTGCTATGAACACATGAATATAAGTCTTTGTGTGAACATACATTTTTGTTTCTCTTGAATAAATACCTAAGGGTAATTGTGGGTCACATGGTAAGTGTATGTTTAACTTCACACAAAATTACCAAACTGTTTTCCAAAGTGGCTACTGCATTTTGCATTCTGACCAGTAATGTATGTGAGTTCCAGTTGATCCACACCCTCACCAACACTTGGCAGGCTTTTAAACTTTAGCCATTCTGATGAGTGTGAAGTGATATTTCATTGTGGTTTTAATTTGCATTTCCCTAATGACTAATGATATTAAGCATCTTTTCATGTCCTCTTTTTTTTTTTTTTGCAAATATTTTGCCCATTCTTTAAAAATCTGGAGTGTTTGTCTTCTTATTATTGAATTGTAAGTGTTCTGTATATTATCTGGATACAAGGCATTTAACAGATCTATGTTTAACGAACATGTTTTTCAAGTCTGTGTCTTGCCTTTTCATTTGCAGGACAGTGTCTTTTAAAGCAGGGGTCCCCAAACCCCAGGCCATGTTCCTGTCAGGAACCAGGCTGCACAGCAGGTGAGCAGCAGGCAAACAAGGGAAGCTTCATCTGTGTTTATAGCTGCTCCCCATCACTTGCATTACTGCATTACCACCTGAGCTCCACCTCCTGTCAGATCAGTGTTGGCATTAGATTCTCACAGGAGCACAAACCCTATTGTGAACTGTGCATGCGAGGGATCTAGGTTGTGTGCTCCTTATGAGAATCTAATGCCTGATGATCTGTTACTGTGTCCCATCGTCCCCAGATAGGACCGTCTAGTTTCAGGGAATCAAACTTGGGGCTCCCACTGATTCTACATTATGGTGAGTTGTATAACTATTTCATTATATATTACAATGTAATAATAGAAATGAAGTGCCCAATAAATATACTGCACTTGAATCATCCCGAAACCATCTCTACCATCCCCCCAGCTCCCCAGTCTGTTTGTCTTCCACGAAACTGTTTCCTGCTGCCAGGAAGTTTGGGGATCACTGTTTTAAAGAGCAGTTTTTTTATTTTAATGGAGTCAAATTTACTTTTTTTTTTCCTTTATAGTTTGTGCTTTTTGTGTCCTAAGAAATCTTTGCCTAATGTGAGGTCACAAATATTTTTTCCTATGTTTTCTTTGAGAAGTTTTATAGTTTTAGCTCTTACATTAAGGTCTATGATCCATTTTGAGTTAATTTTTATGGGTGATGTAAGGTAAGGGCCACGTTTCTTTTCTTTCCTTATGAATGTCCAGTTGTTCTACATGATTATTTCACTACCGAATTCCTTTGGTACTTTTATTGAAAACCAGTTGACCGTACATTAGTGAGTGTGTTTATGGACTCTGCTATGATCCATTGATTTAAATGCCTATTCTTACATAAATATCATATTTTCTTATTGTAGCTTTGTAGTAAGTCTTAAAATCAGTTAGTGTAAGGTGTCCAACTTTGATCTTTCTTTACAAAATGTTTTGTCTGGTACAAGCCACTTGCATTGCCTTATAAATTTTAGAGAGAGCTTGTATATTTCTACAAAAAGACTGCTGAGAGTTTGGGATTGCATTGAATCTATACAGCAATTTGGAAAGAATTGACATCTTTACAAAATTAAATGTTCTAATGCATAAGCATGGTATACTTCTCCATTTTACATCTTTTTAAGTTTCTTGCTGCAATGTTTTACAATTTTCATTGTACAAATATTGTACATATTTTGTTAAATTAATATGTAAGTCTTTCATATGTTAGTGCTGTTATAAATGCTGTTGGATTTTTTAAGTTTAATTTCCAAATGTTCCTTAATAGTGTTTAGAATTACAATTGATTTTGTATATTAGCTTTGTATTCTATAACCTTGTAAAAATCACTTATTTGTACTAGTAGCTATCTTTTTACATTTTTTAGGACTTTTTACACGGCCTGTTTCACTGCTTCCTTCCTAATACATATTTTATTTCTTTCTACTGTCCATTGTAATTTTACTGCTTTCTTTCCAATCTATATGCCTTTTATTTCTTTTCTTGCCTTTCTGCATGATTTTAAGCATGATTTTAGCTGTAGAGTTTTTTGTACATGCCCTTTATCAGGCTAAAGAAGTTCCTTTCTATTTCTATCTGGCTGTGAGTTATTATTCTTAGATGCTGGATTATGTCAAATCTTTTCCTGACATCTATTGAGATCACCATATGTTTGGTTTTTCAGTTTGTTTTTAGTTTGCTAATATTGTGGGTTACATTAATTGATTTTCAAAGTTAAACTAACATTACATTCTTGGAATGATATCCACATGGTCACGATATATTATACATTGTATATATAGCTGGGTTTAATTTGCTAAAATCTTATTAAAATTTTATTATTGTTGGACCTTTATTTAAGAGGGATATTAGTTCCGTTGCTTTCCTTTCTTTGAATGTTTTTGTTTTGGTATTAAAATTAAGACAATGCTGACTTCTTAAAATGGAAATACTAGAATAGAATTTGTATTATTTCTTTCTTAAGTGTTTGGTAGAGTTCATCAATGAAACAGTCTAGGTTTGACATTTTCTTTGTGAGAAGGTCAAATTACAAATTCAGTTACTTTTCTAGATAGACTGTTCAAATGGTCTACCTTTTGGATGAGCTTTGATTATTTTTATCTTTCAAGGAATTGATCCTACTAATCTAAGTTGTCAAAATTATTGGTAAAAATTATGCATAATATTTTCTTATCCTTTTAACATTCATAAGATAACTCTTGATATTGGTAATTTGTGTTATATATTTTTAAAGTAATCAGTCTGGCTAGAGCCTTATCAATTTTATTGATCTTTTCAATAACCACATTTTTGTTTCACTGATTTTTCTCCAGTTTTTTTTTTTGTTTCATTTATTTCTGCTCTTGTCTTTTTATTTCTTTTATTCTACTTATTTTAGTTACAATTTGCTCTTATTTTTCTTGTTTATTAAGATGAGAAGCTTAGATAATTAAATTGAGATCTTTTATCTTTTCTAACATAAGCATTTAATGCTATAAATTCCCCTCCAAGGACATTTTAAACTGCATCCCACACATTTTGATATTTTTTGTTTTCATTTTTATTCCATTTAAAAATATTTCTCATTTCTCTTATAGTTTCTTCTTTGTTTTCATTTGTTATTTAGAAGTATTGTATAATTTCTAAATATTTGACCATTTCCCAGATATCTTTTTGGTATTTATCTCTAGTTTCATTCTTTTGTGGTCAGAAAACATATGTCATGTGACTTCAATTTATTAAAGACTTGTTTTGGCTCAGAATATTATCTATTTTGGTGAATTTCAATGTGTGCTTTAAAAATATGTATTCTGCTATTATTGGGTGACTATTAAACATAGTTTCAAACAGAATCAATTATGTTAATTTGTTGATGGTGTTGATTAAGTCTTCTATACCTTTATTATTTCCTGTTTACTTGTTTTATCAATGACTAAGATTAGAATTTTAAAATCTCCAATATAATTTTGGTTTTATCTATTTCTTCTTTTGGTTCTATCAGTTTTATTATACTTCATGTATTTTGAAGGTCTATTATTATATGCATATACCTTTAGGATTTTTATGTCTTTCTGTGAATTATCCTCTCCTTACTATGAAATGTATTATTTCTTGCTCTAAAGTAGGACTGTCCAATCTTTTGTCTTCCCTAGACCACACTGGAAGAAGAATTGTCTTGGGCCACATATAAAATACACTAACAGTAAAAATAGCTGATGAACTAAAAAAAGAAATAGCAAAAAAAAAAAAAAAACCTCATAATGTTTTAAGAAAGTTTACAAATTTGTGCTGGGCTGCATTCAAAGCCATCCTAGGCTGCATGCAGCCCACAGGCCATGATTTAGACAAGCTTGCTCTAAAGTCTATTTTGTCTGATACTAACACAGCTATTCTGGCTTTTTGTACTTAGTGTTTGCATGGTAAATATTTTTCAATTCTTTTACTCTTAACCTATTTTTGTCTGTACATTTAAAGTTAGTTTCTTTTTTTTTTTGTAAAGGCATCACACAGTTGGGTCTTGCTCTTTTTCTTAAAATCTCTGCCTTTTAATTAAAGTACTTAGGCTATTTACATTTAATGTAATTATTTCTATGGATGGGCTTAAATATAATATTTGACTATTTGTTTTTATGTTTGTTCTATCTACTCATTTCTTTTCTATTTCCAGTCTTCTTTTAGATTAATACTTTTTAAATGATTTCATTTTATTTCCACTCTTGGCTTCTTAGTGATACCTGTTTGTTTTATTTATTTTTAATGGTTATTCTAATGTTTACAGTATACATTTTTATTTTATCAAAGACTAATGTCAAATAATATTATACCATTTTACATATGGTTTATGAACCTTGTACCCGTTACTTGCACTTCTGTACTTTCACTATGTGTAATTGTTGCTATAAATTTTACTTCTTCATATGGTTTGTTTTACATGTTTAGAATATTTTTTTTTTACTTTAAACAGTCAATATTTTTTGTATACGATTTTTAAAAAGAGATAAAAGCAATATTTTGTATTTACTCACATACTTACCATTTCTGGCTCTCTTTAGTACTTTATGGATTTCCATCTGGTATCATTGAACTTCCTTTAATTTTGCTTATAATTCATGTTTGTTGGTAATGAATTTTAGTTGTTTAAAATATCTCTAGTTTGCTTTCAAATTTGAAGATATTTTTATGAGTAAAGATTTTTTATTTTTATTTAAATTAGTTTATTTTTAATTTTTGTGGCTACATAGTAAGTGTGTATATTTATGGGGTACATGAGATGTTTTAATATAGGCCTGCAATGCGTAATAATCACATCATGGAGAATGGGGTATCCAACCCCTGAAGCATTTGTTCTTTGTGTTACAAACAATCCAATTACATTATTTTTAAAGGTACAATTAAGTTGTTATCAACTATGGTCACCCTGTTGTGGTATTAAATAGTAGGTCTTATTCATTCATTCTAACTATATTTTATACTCATTAACCATCCCCACCTCCCCAGGAAAGATTTTTAGATTGACATTTTGTTCTTTTCATATGTTAAAGATGGCTTACCATTGTCTTCTGACTTGCATAGTTTCTTGTAAGAAGCTTGATACCATTCTTGTCATTATCCCTTTTTACATATCTTTCTTCTCTGGCTACTTTAAAAAATTTTTTCTTTATCAATTGATTTTAGTAATTTAATTATAATGTGGCAAAGTATATTTTCTTTATTTCATTCTGCTTGAATAAATTGAGCTTCTTGAATCTGAAAGTTTATAGGTTTTATTAAATTTGGAAAATTTTGACCATTGTTTAAATATTTTTTGTTCCCTCCCCTCTTTTTTTCTGAGGCTCTAATTACACATATATTGGCCCACTTGATAGTGTCCCACAGGTCACTATTACCCTCTTCTTATTTTTTCATTTGTTTTTCTGTTTCATTTTGGTTATTTCCATTATTATGCCTTAAAATTTATTGCTCTTTCCTTTTCAGTGTCTATTTACTATTAATTCTACACAGTGTATTTTTTATTTAAGATGTTAGTTTTTTTCTTCAGTAGTTTATTTGGATCTGTTTTATATAATTAATTTTTTTCTCCATATCATGGTCATGTTTTCCTTTATCTTCTTAAACATATACAGGATATTTATAATAGCTGTTCTAACATTTTTTTTTTCAGATTCTTGTCTGCTAGTTCCACCATCTCTGTCATTTCAGGCTATTTCTGTTAATCGAGTTTTCTCATGCATTTAGTTCTTATTTTCCTACTTTATTGTAAGCCTGTTAATTGGTTATTGGTTACATTGTTGATTGCTGGATTTTGTGGTATTCTTTTTAATAGTGTTGGATTTTTGTCCTGGTGTACAATTAATTTACTTGGAATCATTCGAATCTTTTAAAGACTTCATTTTAAGTTTTGCTAAATTAAAAGAGTGGCCTTTAGTAGTATGGGGCTAAAGAATATCTGATTCCATCCTACAACTTATAGATTATGAGTACTTTCCACTCTTACTCTGTATAAACTCTGGGAATTGTTCTGCCTAAATATCCTGATGGTTATTTTCCTGGCCTCAGATAGTTTCTGCTCAGACACACACAGATGGGTATGCAGCCAAAGACTCAAGAGGACCCCTCTATAGATCTCGTGAGCTTTTTCTCTGGGCAACTAGTACTTTGACCAACAATATTTTACTGCCTCAGCCTCCCTGAACTCCTCTTCCTGTGTTTTTACCTCAAAGAGACTACTGAATTTTGATTTCCTCATCTCTGCACTGCAGTCTAAATTGCCTCCTAAGCAATAAACTGGTACAATTATTCAGCTGACCTTATTTGTTTACCCTCTGTCAGGAATCACAGTCTCTTGATATCTGCTGTTCAACATCTGTGTAGTAGGCACCTTCTAAGATGGCCCCTAATGATCCCAGCTGTTATGGTTTGGCTCTGTGTCCCCACCCAAAACTCACCTCGAATTGTAATCCCCACAGGTCAAGGGAGGGACCTGTAATCTCCATGTGTCGAGGAACGGAAGTGATTGGATTATGGGGGTAGTTTCCTGCATGCTGTTCTTGTGATAATGAGTGAATTCTCACAAGAACTGATGGTTTTATAAATAGTAGTTTTTCCTGTGCACTCACATTCTCTCCTGCTGCCATGTGAGAAGTCCCAGCTTGCCTCCCCTTCACCTTCCACCATGATTGTAAGTTTCCTGAGGCATCCCCAGCCATGAGGAACTGTGAGTCAACTAAACCTCTCTTCTTTATAAATTACCCAGTCTTGGCTATTTCCTTAGAGCAGTGTGAGAACAGACTAATACACCAGCCTACTGGCATTTGTACTTATATAACCCCCTCCTCTTGAGAGTGGGCTGGATCAAGTGACTAACAAATAGAATAAAGCAAGTGTGATAGGATGTTACTTCTAAGATTAGGTTACAGAAGGCTGTGACCTAACTTGCAGCAGACTCATGCTGGCTTTTGATGAGGCAAGCTGCCATGTTGTAGAGGACCAGATGGCAAGGAACTGAGGGCAGCCTTTGGCAAACAGCCAGCGAGTAACAGAGGCCCTCAGTCCAGTGGCCCACAAGGAACTGCATCCTGCCAACAACCACCTGAGTGAGCTTAGAAATGGATCCTTTTCCAGTTGAGCATTCAGATGAGACCACAGCACTGAATGCCTTGATTGCAGCCTTATGAGAGACCCTGAGCCCAAGGACCGAGTTAAAACATGCCTGGATTCCCGAACCACAAGAATGGTGAGACAAAAAATTGTGTGTTGTTTCAAGCTGCTAAGTTTTGGAGTAACTTTTTACTCAGCAATGGATAACTAATTTCATCTGAAAATCATTATTTTATATATTGTGTCTGTTTTTGTCCTGTCATTTAAGATACAAGGATAAATGAGGTCTTTGTTACTCTATCTAGGTCAGAAAGAAGTCCCAAACCATTCAAATTAATATCTCTAAAGACAGGACCAAGATATTAATAGTTTGTAAAGCTTTTCAGATGATTTCAATATACAGTCAACTACAAAAGCCACTGTCTTAAATCAGTGATTCATAACCTTTAATGTTTATGTGAATCACCTGGGAATCTTGTTAAAATAAAAATCCTGTAATCCCAGCACTTTGGGAGGCCGAGGTGGGCGGATCACCTGAGGTCAGGAGTTTGAGACCAGCCTGACCAACATGGTGAAACCTCGTCTCTACTAAAAATACAAAATTAGCCAGGCATGGTGGCAGGCACCTGTAATCCCAACTACTTAGGAGGCTGAGGCAGGAGAATTGCTTGAACCTGGGAGACAGAGGTTTCAGTGAGCCAAGATCACGCCATTGCACTCTAGCCTGGGCAACAAGAGCGAAACTCCTTCTCAAAAAATAAAAACAAAAATAAAAAATCCTGATTCAGTAGGTCTGTAATAGGACCTGGGATTTTGCATTTACAACAAACTCCCAGATCATGCTGATGCTGCTGGTTTGTGGACCACATCTTGAAGAGCAAGGATTTAGATTATTGAGTGCCTTCTGTTTATTTCATCTGTTGAGAAACTTTAAGTTTCTTAACATCTGTACCAAAAGATATTTGAGTAGCTTTACTCTCTAATTCAAAAACACAACTCTCCATTATTGAGTGTCTCATTAAGTTATTAATTCAGCAAATATATTTTTTATATTTCTTGTATGACAACCTCTTTGCTAGATGAATGAGACACGGCCCCCTATCCCTTGTGATCTGCAGCCATTCTCAGTTTAATGGATAAAGCAGACATGTAAGGCAGTACTTTATAATGCAGGCAGATAAATGCAAAACTAGAAGCACAAACTAATTATGAACTCTCTGTTAGGGTGCAATGATCAGGGAGTCTTTTGAAGAGGTGATGTTAAATTAGGTTTGGAGATATGAATGGCCTTCCCAATGTGTGAGTTGGAGAGCGATGTTCGAAGAGAGTAAATACTAGGACTTCCAGCTCTGCTTCCTCTCACTGCTGGAGAGCCTTAATCTTAGTGTCTCAGGTCTGGATTTTGAGGCCTTAGGCCCAGATAACTGTTTGCTGTCATGCAAATTGGATTCTTGGTGGTCTTCACTGAAGTCTTAGAACCTGGAGATAGATAGGCAGATTACACCTCACTGTCTTCACCCTCTGTGTTTAAGCAAACAAATTTAAGAGATATTATCTTACTTTTAGTCTCAAGTTGGTTTTATTATCAAAAAGTTTCAACTGTCAAAAATTAACATTTTTATCTCTACTCATTTTATCAGAGTGGAGTGTAGGGGCGGGGAGTGGAACAGATAGACAATGCATGCTTCACATTTATTTTATACTTATCAGTGTTTCTGACTGTTCCTATCAGGAGAAATATATGTTGTGAAACTTCTTTCAACGCCCTTCCAAAATATTTCAGATTAACAAATGAAAGTAATAGATGACCCTAACTATGCAGAAAGCAAAGCAGAGAAGTTTAAGCTTTTCTCTACTGGGACCATAGGTAAGAGACTGTTAGCTTCCTTTGTGCAATGTAGGCTTATGAACTAAGCTAGAGTTTTTCCCCTTGAGGTGGAAAAATCAGTCCCTCTGTATCTCTCCACAATTTCTCAGTAAAGATTGGAGAGAAGAACAGTACTAGGTCCTCCCCACAGTTAGAACCTGAGGCCTCTTTGCTGTTCCTACACTGAGCCTAAACTCAGTGCGGCTAAGGGAATAAAATGTATACTTTCTAAGTATTCTGTGAGGTTTGTGGGCACTTCCCATCTAGACTAGCTTAGCTGAGTCCAGGTGATTTGCATTGGCATCACTTATACACGTCTGGATTATTTAGGAATGGCTGGGACACAGCTTCTATCTGATAGGTCTTTCATCCTCCAAAAGGCTAGCCCAGGCTTATTCACACAGTGGTGGAAGAATTCCCAGAGAGCAGCAGGAGACAGAAAATGCCAATGTGCAAGCAGTTTTCAAGCTTCTGCTTGCAACACATTTCCTAATGACCCACTTGCTAAAGCTAGTTATGTGATTACAGATCCAAGTGATGAAATTTACTCCACCTCTTGATGAGAAGGCAGCAAAGTCACATGGAAAAGGGTAGGCATATAAAGAATTGCAGTCCACCATAGGCAGCCACATCTTGCTTCTATTCTCAACACTCAGGTTAAATCATCCCGCACATCAGTTGTTCCTAGCCAGTCAAGTAAATACAGGCTGGTCACTAATGGTAACTTTCAGAATTACCTGTTTGTTCATCTGCAAGCTTGACCCACTTGTTATTCATCTCCCACCACACAGCCACTTAAGTGACTGCTCCTTTGAAATCTTGTCTTGTCTCTTGTTCACTCTCACTTGCTCACTCTTACCCCAAACACCTAACAATTCTGGCCTCTGCACATGTAGTTTCTTCAGGCTGGAAGGTCCTTCTACAGTTTATTCCTCTAATGAATGCCAATGCATATGTTAATCCATAACTCAAGCATCTCTGCCATTCAATCCTTTCATGACCTCCTCAGCTGGATCTAGATAAGCTCTTACACCTGTGCTCTCAGGTCACCTCATGTATAACACTAGGGTTGCACTGTAACATCACATCAAAATCCTTTATCACTCCCACTGGCCTGTAAATCTCCAAGGTCAAAGAAAACTTTTGGTCTTCTTCATCTTTCTGTTCCTGGTGCCTAGCCCAGGGTCTGGCTTGCAGTAGATGCCCAGTAATTGTTGATTGAGTACGTATGGTGCATAGTAAATAAGACATAAGTAACGCCATACGCAGGTAGTTTATATGGTCTGGTTGGAAAGACAATATATTTGCCTGTGAAACATCTGGAGAACAATATAAATTATTTGCTGCAAGAAATAAGAAAGGGAAAAAATATTTCCTAATTCAGCTTCCGGCATCTTATCTACCTTAAGTTCTTCCCTTTCCATCATATCTTTTTGTCTCTCTCCACCACCAAATCTAGTCTGTCATCATTTTTCTGCAGCTCCAGTAACAGGCTCTTTGGGTTCCAATCCTGCTGACTTTTTGACCTCATGCAAGTTATAGGTTATCCTCTGAAAATCTCCTTCTCTTCATCTGTTTTCTGAGGATCTGTGAGGATTAAATAAATCAAGACACCTAAAAGCACTTGGCCCAGTTCTTGATTCACAGGAGTGCTCAGTAAATATTAGTGTTTCTTAAGGTGCACAACATCACTATTGTTGTTACGTTTCCAGGTCACTTCTACTGCTTTTGTTCTGTCCCTAGTAATTCCTTTCCTGAGTCATTACAATCACATTCTGGAGACTCTTTCCCCTAACTCATCCTGCAACTTTTACCTGTTTGCCTTTTCTAAAAGAAATCTGACCACATATTTTGCATGCTTCAAAACCTTCCTTGTTTTCCATTGCCAGAAGAATTCAGTTGGAATTCTGGCTAAGGAGGCCAGAACCTGAAGGGGATGGGTTCCTAGAGCCAGAGCCCCTGGGAGGAGGTACTCACCCAACTATCACATCCCTGCTCCAGTGAAAGAGGACTGCCACTCAAGAGGGCTCATTTCTGGAGTGTTTACTCTATGCCAGGACTATACTGAACACTGTACCTTCCTGTACCTCCTTTAATCCTCTCAATACCCCTATGATGGCAATGCTATTGCTATCCTCATGTTATAAATGAAGAAACAGGCTCACAGGGCTTAAGTAATTTGCCCAAAGTTGCAGGTAGGAAAAAAAAAAGGTGCTAGGGTATTTTAAACCCTTGAACTCGACCAGTAGTTCTCTTCAATCATCTAAAACCATTTTAGGGTCTATTTATTTTAAGACATTATTAACAAAAAAATGCCTAAAGTAATATTTATTGCTTAAAGACATCACAAATTCTACCAAAGTGGCAGAGAGGCTTCATTCACTCTTGTTGGCTCATTTAGCAGCAAGATTTGCTTAGTTTTATCTTTTGTTCCCATGCCAAACCACAGTTAAATCTTGCTGTTTGGTGGAGGCTTTTCCTGAGCACCACGTTGCTTATAATTTAAATCTCTGTAGAACTGTTTGTGTTCCTGTAGGGAGATCCCTTTACCTGGAGTTTTATGTAGTTGGCTCTGGGAATGCTGAGAGTGCATGCTTTATCCTAAGTATGTGCATGCACTGCTTCTCTCTGGCCAAATTGTGCTTACCCATAGCTATGTTGTACCTGGTTTCATTTCCCCAAGTATGTGGTTTTCTGCCCTCGTCAAAGCCAAGGATGAGTGGAGCAGTGAGTCACATGTGTGATCGTCACTGTTTTCTCTACATTTTACAAGAGAACCCACAGAGACTTAACACGTTTCCATTCTTTTACTGGCTCCTTCTTAGATATAAGGAGAGATCAGAGAAAAATGCTGTGAATCACTTGGCAATGATGAACAATGGCCTACGGCAGAGAAATGAAAATGTCAGGTGTGTGGTTTTTCCAAACCTAAAATATTTGCTTTCAATGCAGTTAGCAGAGTTTTAATTACAGGGTGTTAAACCCTTGGAGGTGTCATGGTTACTCAGCACTCAATTTGATGATCATATGTAAAATAATAATAGCTTTATTGAGATGCAGTTTACATATATTCACAAAGTTGTGTGACCATCACCACTATCTAATTTCAGAACATTCTCATACTCCAGTAACAAGCTCTGTATTCATCAGCTATCACTTTTATTATGCCCCTCCTCCAGCTCCTGGCAACCACTAGTCTACTTTTTGTCTCTATGAATTTGCCCATTCTGGACATTTTATAGAAATAAAATCATACAGCATGTGGTCTTTTGTGATTGGATTCTTTCACTTAGCATAATGAGTTCAAGGTCCATTCATGTTGTAGCATGTATCTGTACTGCATTCCTTTTTATTGCCAAATAATATTCCATTGTATGGATATACCACATTTAGTTTACCCTTTCATCAGTTAATGGATATCTGGGTTCTTTTCACTTTTGGGATATTATGAGTAATGCGACAATGAACACTCATATACAGTTTTCTGTGTGAACATATGCTTTCTGCTGTCTTAGATATAGACCTAGGAGTGGAACTGCTGGGTCATATGGCAACTCCGTTTAGCTGTTTGAGAAACTGCCAGACTATTTTCCTAAGTGGCTGCATCATTTTACATTCCCGCAAACAAGTGTATGAGGGTTCCAATTTCTCCACATTCTTGCTGACATTTATAATTTATTATTTTGATTATAGCCACGTAGTGGCTATGAAATAGCATATCTTTCTGGTTTTTAATTTTTATTTTTTGCAATGGACTGAATGTTTGTCTCTCCCCCGTCTTTCTCCTCCACCTGCCATGTGAGGAAATCAGGAAGAGGGCTCTCACCAGAACCTCACCATGCTGGCCCCTGATCTCAGACCTCCCAGCCTCCAGAACTATGAGAAATAAGTGGCTGTTGCTTAAACCACTCAGTCTATGTTATTCTTGTTATAGCAGCCCAAACTGACTAAGACATCATGGTAAAATAGACATAAGATAAAGTTTATCATTTAACCATTTATAGGGTACAATTCAATGGTATTAACTGCATTTACAATGTTGTGCAACCATCACTACTATCTATTTCCAGAACTGTTTCTGTTTCCCAAACAGAAACTCTATAATCAATGAACAATAAATTCCCCATGTCCTCCTTTCCCCATTGAGGTTTTGACTTGTGTTTTGCTAATGGCTAATGATATTAAATATCTTTTCATGTGCTTATTGGCCATTTACATATATATATATATATATATATATATATATATATATATATATATATATATATATATCTTCTTTGGAAGTATGTCTGTTCAAGTCTCAGCTCACTGCAACCTCTGCCTCCCAGGTTCAAGCAATTCTCCTGCTTCAGCCTCCCGAGTAGCCAGTTTTACAGGCACACGCCACCACCCCCAGCTAATTTTTGTATTTTTAGTAGAGACGGGGTTCCATCATGTTGGCCAGGCTGGTCTTGAACTCCTGACCTCAAGTGATCTGCCCGCCTCAGCCTCCCAAAGTGCTAGGATTATAGGTGTGAGCCACTGAGCCTGGCCCCTTTGACCATTTTTAAATTGGGTCATTTCTCCTTTTATTGTTGGGTTATATATTCTGACTACAAACCTACTATCAGGTATATTATTTACAAATATTTTCCCTGATTCCATGGTTTCACTTTCTTGGTGAAGAAAGCACAAGTTAGTAATTTTGATAAACTTCCATTTACCTATTTTTGTTGTTGTTGTTTGCTTGTGCTTTTGGTATCATATCTGAGAAGCCATTGCCTAATCCAAGGTCACAATAATTTACCCCCATATTTTCTCTAAGAGTTTTGTAATTTTAGTTCTTATATTTAACTCTATGATCCATTTTGAGTTAATTTTTGTATATGGTGTGATGTAGGGATCCAACTTTATTTTTGCATGTGAATGTTTAGTTGTCACAGCACCATTTGTTGGAAAGCCTATTTTTCCCCCACTGAATTGTCTAGCACCATGACTAAAAATTAATTAACTGCAAATAGACTTTCACATGTATTCCATTCATCATATGTCTTTCTTTATGCCAGAACGACACTGTCTTTATTACTGCAGTTTGTAGTAAGTTTTAAAACTGGGAAGTGTGAGTCCTCCAACTTTATTCTTATCTTTCAAGATTGACTTGGTTCTTTTGGGTCCCTTACATTTCCATGTGAATTTCATGATCAGCTTGTCAATTTCTGCAAAAAAGCCAGTTGGGATTTTTATGGAGATTGTATTGAATTTATATGTCAGTGTTAGTAGTTTTCCCATCTTAATAATACTATGTCTTTACACCCATGAAGATAGTTTTCCATTTATTTAGGTCTTCTTTAGTTGATTTAAATATTGTTTTATAGTTTTCAGCACATAAGTCTTGCGCTACTTTTGTTAAATTTATCCCTATTTTATTGTTTTGATGCTATTACAACTGTAATTATTTTCTTAATTTCATATTTGGGTTGTTTGCTGCTAGAAATACAATTGATTTTTGAATTTTGACCTTCTATCCTGAAACCTTGCTAAAAGTGTTTATTTGTTCTAATAGTGGTTTTTGGTGGATTCTTCAAGATTTTCTAAATATAAGATCATGTCATCTGCCATAGAGATAATTTTACTTCTTCCTGTCCAATCTAAATGCATTTATTTCTTTTATTTTCTTTCTTTCCTTTTCCTTGACTAATTTATTTTATTTTAATTTTTTTAGAGATGGGGGTCTTATTCTGTCACCCAGGCTATAGTGCGGTGGAGCCATCATAGCTCACTGCAGCTTCAAACTTGGGCTCAAGTGATCTTTCCATCTCAGCCTTCTGAGTAGCTGATACTACAGGCATGCACCACCATGCCTGGCTAATTTTTTCTCATTATATTTTGTAGAGACAGGGACTCACTATTGCTCAGGCTGGTCTTGAACTCTGGGCATCAAATGAGTCTCCCACTTCGGCTTCCCAAAGTGCTGAGATAATAGGCATGAGCCACTGCAATCAGTGTAGAATTTCTTTTGTCAGAAGAGAAAAAGTCAAGAAGGGCAAGGCCAAGAATGTCTAGGAGCCCAGTATCTTGCAAATAAATCTATTTGTTGATATTCGTATTTTCTCATTCCTTGATTAAGAGATCTCTCTTCTCTGATTCCCCCATTTAGGAAGGAATGTGTAACTTAAGGCAGAGTACTTCTTTTAAAACATGTTCTTGGACGTTACCCAGTGATCCATCAACCAGCATTCAACCAGTTGTCTTTCACTTCCAATCTCCTATGTTATCCTAAACCACCATGTTGGACACAAGGGATAGAAAATATAAAATTTAAATAATAGAAACTGATGAACTTAGGTTGCCTTTCATTTGTGTACCCCAACCACCAGATTATGGTTATCAGTTTCTTCTTTTTGGCATCCTCACCCTAGCTTGCGATATCTGATACATATTTTTTTTCTGTATACCCATCTATGTCGGTGTTGGGAAATAAATGTCCCAACTTTGGAGGCTATGTTTATCATCTGGCCTCTGCTTCACGTGTGTTACTTAGCCTCCTTATTACCTGGCCAATGTAGAGAATTTAAAGTGTCTTCATAAATCTAATTTTAATTTTCTCTCAGTAAGAACTGGAAAATATGTCTAATTATAAGGATGCTATAGACTACAATAGAAGAATATTCAATTCCCACTAATAACCCTGAGAAGTCTGAAATAATGTGTTATTTTTGGAATTACTATATTACACCTTAGGCTGGCACAGCTATTTTTCAGGGAAGCAGCTGTAAAATAATAGAAAGAACAGTATGTTATGAGTGCAGTCCTGGGTTCTGGTTCTTCTGCAATTAGTTTGGTGTGTGGCCTTGGCTAAGTTATCAGTTGAGCTCTCTGGGCCGGAAATGAAATGTTTGAACTAAAGAATCCCTTGAGCACTGATATTCCATGATCCTGTGATGTGAATGAGAGGTGCTGTATGTAAGCCTAGTAAAGTGGGTCTGTATGCAAGCCAGTGAGAGAAGGCCATAACTTCCAGGAAGCACACTGCAGAAATGATGTCACCATAGCTACCAGGGCAGCAGAGTCTCTTGAAGAAGGACTTGCATGACAGTTTCAGTTTTACATCTCAGCACACTAGCCCGCATCATCTTTCCCTCCAAAGACCACAAAGCGGGAGGGGAAGCATATGACAACATATGGTACCGGAGCATGTATTCTGGATGAGATAATTCTTAAGAACAGAGTTCATCTAAGCAGAAGGCAATACAAATTCACAATCTCCTGAAGATTGTGAGTGTACAGCCTAGGGAGTTTCCTCTTTGATGTTCCCCCCACTCTAGCCTAATGGCCATCCTGAAGTAGGGTCAGAGGAAGGCCCAGAAAAGGTCCCCTAGCTATATGCTTGGAGCCGTTGCTCACCAATATGTGGCATGTCCCAGTTTGCCCAAGGCAGAGTCACTTGTTATATTAGTCCATTCTCGCACTGCTATAAATACCTGAGACTGGATAATTTATAAAGGAAAGAAGTTTAATTGGCTCACGGTTCTGCAGGCTGTACAGGAAGCATAGTGGCTTCTGCTTCTGGGGAGGCCTCAGGAAGCTTCCAATCATGGCAGAAGGCAAAGCAGGAATGAGGTGTTTCACATAACGGGAGCAGTGCAGGGGGGTGTGGGAGGCGCTACACACTTTTAAACAACCAGAACTCACTATCACAAGAACAGCACCAAGTGGGGGATGGCGCTAAACCATTCATGAGAACTCCACCCCCATGATCCAGCCACCTCCCACCAGGCCCGTCCTCCAACACTGGGGACTATAATTCGATAGGCGATTTGGTGGGGACACAGATCCGAACCATATCACCTATTATCACAGATTATTATTATTATTATTGTTATTATTATCATTTTGAGATGGTGTCTCGCTCTGTCACCCAGGCTGGAATGCAGTGGCGTGATCTCAGCTCACTGCAACCTCTGCCTCCTGGGTTCAAGCAATTCTCCTGCCTCAGCCTCCCGAGTAGCTGGGATTACAGGTACCTGCCACCACACCTGGCTAAGTTTTGTATTTTTAGTAGACACGGGATTTCACCACGTTGGCCAAGCCTAACAGGTCTCTAACTCCTGACCTCAGGTGATCCGCCCACCTTGGCCTCCCAAAGTGCTGGGATTACAGGCATGAGCCACTGTGCCCAGCCTCAGATAATTATTAATAGGACCCTTCTCCTCTTTAAAGTCTCCTGGCTTAGACAATAGATTATATGATCACCGTAAGAGCATGCTTATTCCTAGGTCCACCCATTTGTTTTTTTAAGTAATAAAATAAAATATTGTTCAATTAAATCCCTTCACTTGCTTCATTTTCGAACAGTATCAGCTTCCATCTATTGTGTACCCACTTGCAGCATGCTCTGGGCCAAGGTTTTAGACATGAAATCTTACTCACAGCGCCTAAGAGGGTATCATTAGTCCCCTTTAGATATGAGGAAACTGAGTCTCTAAGAAGAGAAAAATAGCAGATCCAGAATTTGAACTTAGGTCTGTTGGCATCAGAAGCCTTTTGTCATTACGCTGCTCTGTGTTAAAAAAAAAAAAAAAAGAAAGAAAGAAAGAAAAGAAAAAAGAAAAAAAAACAGAACAAAGTATTTTTAACCTTCAGGAAAGGTATATTGTCTCATTTGTATTTTTAGATTTAGAATGCTGATTAGTGAAGCACTTCAGATCCTGGCATCGACACCCATTGTGTCTTCTTTCTGTTCCTCAGTTTCCTCTTTAGGAAAATGGGACTAATAGTAGTTTCTACCTCATGGCAGGGTTGTAAGGATTAAGAACTAATATACATAGAGTGCTTAGAACAGTGCCTGGTGCACTGCAGTCTCTTTTTAACTGTTAGTGTTATTGTCATCATCACCACCACCATCATCACGTGATCATTTATACTTGAACGAAGTGCCCCCACTACACATGCTTCACTAATAAAGCTCCTGCTCTCCAGCACCCTTGGCTCTTCCCAACTGCTGCACTTCAGCCCGCCTGCCAGTTTCCACTTACCTTGCCATCTGTCTCTGGTTGTATTAATTTCTCATTAACATCCTTTTGTTGTTATAATTTCAATGAGTATAAAATATGTAAGAATTTTATGTTTTTACTGCAGAAACATAGTTTTTCTCCTTCTAGCACCTGATTCATCCAGCTTTGAAAAACTGCAGGGCTCTGCAGCAATACTTGAAACATTATAAGTTGAAGAGGTGAGAAAACTGGGGTCTCTGTGACCATTTCTCAATTTTGCAATAATTCACAGTATCACTTCACCCCCTAGTCTCTTTAGCTCTGAAATGGAAAGAACAACATTTAGTTTTGAGGTTCTTATACAGAAGTTATAGTCTTAAGGTAAAGAATTGGTAGATAACTATTGACTTAGGCATCATAATGGTTGAAGAACTTAAAATGTTGAGAATCACACAGAAAACATACATTTAAAGTTAAATATAATCTTTTTCTTATTACTCAAAAGAATAAAATGTTCATTGTTATATCTTATTTTCATATATGTGTATTTCTAAATTGTGTGTATATATATATAAACAAAAATGAGATCAAACTGAAGTATTGTTTTGCAGTCTGCTTTTTTCCTGTTACAAAGTACTGTAAACATCTTTCTATTCCAATAATATTCAGTTCTTTTTCAACTATTTTTGGCAGCAGAACTAATTTTCTGAAAGGAACCACCCTGCATAAGACAGATAAAATTGGAGCTTTTGAGGTTGAAAAAGGAATGTGAGAGCCAGAACATCATCCACTCTGTCTCCCACTGGTTTTTTTCTTCCCCACCCTCCAGTTGTTGCCCCTGCTATGGTTTGGATATGGGTTGTTTGTCCTCACCAAAGCTCATGTTGAAATTTGATCCCTGGTGTGATGGTGTCGGGAGGTGGGGCCTAGTAGGGGATGTGTAAGTCGCGAAGGCAGAGCCCTCATTAATGGGGCTCTTTTGGTAGTGAATGTGTTCACATTCTAGAGAGACTGGCTTAGTTCAGGGGAATGGATGAGTTGTTATAAAGCCAGGAGGCCCTATGTTTCTCTCTTAACATGTGTCTGCTTCCCCTTGAGCTTCTCTGCCATGTTATAACACAGCATGAAATCCCTGCCAGAAGTCAGGGCCATGACCTTGAACTTCTCAGCCTGCAGAACTCTGAGCCAAATAAACCTCTTTACTTTATAAATTACCCAGTTTCAGGTGTTCTTCTGTTGCAACACAGAATGAACTACGGTATCTGAGGTACCACGAAAGAACCCTGTGGATCCAAGGATCATTACAGCATGCCATTATATATTTAACGAGCATCTCTTCATTTAGGTTATTTCCAATTTTTTTTCTGTCATAAACAACACTGCAGTGAACATCCTCATAGCTAATCTTGGCATGTGTTATTTATTTATTTATTTCCTCAGAGCACCTTTTTAGAAGCAGAATTTCTGAGTTACAGTGTAAGTATAAATTTTTTAAAAAATCAATATTGCCAAAAATGTCTTTTTAGAAAGTCTGTACAAATTAACCTACTAACCTTGGGTATTTTCATTACAAAAAAATCTTGGCCAAATGTTTTGGTTAATGGCAAAACCATAAAATTTAGAGGAAACACCAGATACCATTAAATAGAGGAAGAGAGATGAGAATCTGTCACCCCACCCTCTCTTTCCCCCCTATACTCCCTCCTTCCCTCAGTCTCCACTTCCCTCCCAAAGGAATTTTGTTCTTTAATGTTTGCAGACATCCTGAAAGCAAAGGCCCTACCCTCTAAGAGCTTGCATTTTAAGGTTAAAAGATAATAAAATGTGGAGAAAAGTTTGCTCATTCCTATGAACTGGGCTTAGGACAAGTTCTAACATAGAAAACACTCTCGAAGTAGGAATTCAAGAGTCAAATGACCCTGAGAAGGTAGGCACTTTGGAAGAACATGGCTGGTAAGGGCAGATACAACCTGGCCATATAATGTAGCCTTACCCACCATGATAATCATTCATTTGGCCCACTGGGCACTGGACCTATGACTTTAGTGTTCCCAGTTTAATGGGAAGTCCTTGAAAAACCCATCTAGGAGACCCTTCACGAAATCACTTCCAGCTACCTGAGGGGAAAGTGCTGTTTCCGGTCATCTGCCACATCACCTACAACTCTGAGATATCATGGTGTCAATCCGTGGGTGATGAAACTGTGAAATATCATCTCCTTCAAGTTGGGTAGAATTTTTTTCCATTTTTCCTCTTAAATAAGAAATTGGCTTAATTTTCCCAGGAGATTCTTATGTGCTTTGCATTGAATATCTTTTGATTTCAAGGAGATCTCTACAGATTTCTCTGTGCAGGGAAAAGAACTTGAGGAGAGAGTTGGTAGTGGTAACCTTGGGTACACAGCAATGCTTTACTTTTCTATTTGATTACCCCTATTTTAGTAGGTCTCTGAAGGTCTTTAAGCTAGCGTTGTACATGCACTTCAAAGAACTTCTAAATTAAACTAAAAGTCTTTCCACAACAATTTCGTAAGATATAAATCATCTGTTATACCACAGGTTACCAGAGACCCCCAACTCCAGACTCAATACTGCACCAGGGCAGTTGTACAGAACTGACTGCCTTTTTGAAAACCTGAAGCACACCTCATCTACTCGACTCTACTTTCCTAAAGATTCTCAATGCTGGCTGAACATACATTGGCACCACTTGGAGGACTTTAGTAAGAGATGCCTGAGCCAGCCCCTGATATTTGGACACAATTGGCCTGGGGTGGGGCTGGACATCAGACTGTTTTAGGAGTTCCCCAGATGATTCTGTCAGATTCCTTCGAACCAGAGCAACTCCATCTTAAATAGGAGCTGGGTAAAATGAGGCTGAGACCTACTGGGCTGCAATCCCAGACAGTTAAGGCATTCTAAGTCACAGGGTGAGAGATAGGAGGTCAGCACAAGATACAGGTCGTAAAGACCTTGCTGATAAAAAAGGTTGCAGTAAAGAAGCCAGCCAAAACCCACTGAAACCAAGATGGCCACAAGAGTAACCTCTGGTCATCCTCACTGCTACCCTCCCACCAGCGCATTTACAAATGCCATGGCAACATAAGGAAGTTATTCTATATGGTCTGAAAAGGGAAGGCATGAATAATCCACCCCTTGTTTAGCATATAATCCAGAAATAACCATAAAAATGGGCAACCAGCAGCCCTTAGGACTGCTCTGTCTATGGAGTAGCCATCCTCTTATTTCTTTACTTTCCTAATAAACTTGCTTTCACTTTATGGACTCGCCCTGAATTCTTTCTTGCATGAGATCCAAGAACCCTCTCTTGGGGTCTGGATGGGGATCCCTTTCCTGTAACAATTTCGATTAAGAATCTTGAACTTTACCAAGTACTTCTCTAATTTCATCTTTTCGTCTAAGAATTGGGTTGAATTTAAAGTAGTCACTTCAAGGAAATTAAGAAAAATAAAGAGAAAGATTAGAAGAGAAAAATTTCTCCATTTTAACAATGCATTTCACTCTCCTAAAATAAAGCATAAATATTAGGGCAAGATCATTAACTTACCTGGAGGAAGGCCGAGCACTGGGGCTAGGACATGGGCAGTGTGGGAGGAGACAATATGACATTAAGATTGGTTTAACATATGAAACACCTTCTTACAGTGTCACTGCTAAATAGCTGGAATGGTTAAGAGCAATCGTTGCAAGCCAAGTTCTTGGCGCTTCAGAAGGCTGCCATACCTTTTCCTCTGGATCAAGCGCTTAATTACTTCATTTGCCTGAGATCTCATCGTGGAACTCATTACTAAATCCATCAGGACCTAGAGGGTGTCAGGATGATGTAGCAGTCTTATAAATTTCTTTATATTATCTAGTAATTCTTCTTGTACACTAAATGCTTCAGAATGACAGGAAGATGTAACTTATCATTGTGAGTGGGAATGACTTTGAAAACATCTTTTTCTCCTTTTAAGAGGAGAAAAGAGCAATGGAAAGAGTGTTTTAAATCTCCAAATTAGTATTTAACTAAGTTAGCATGAAACCTGTTCTCTTTCAAGCCCTTGATTGCTTTATTAGAAGTAATTGTTTATCTCGGTTTAAGAAAATTGGTTGAGACAGGTTACTTGCTTTCATGTCTCATTCATATCCACTTTATATTAAGTACTTTGAATGTATTTTTAACCCTTAATGTTTTGCAGACTAGACAGGAACCTACAGAAAGAAGAGATATGTTCTTTTAACATCAATATATTACTCTTATTAAAAATATTATTCTCACTAATGTCAAATGGTCTTTTCGTACCTAATGATCTTGACAAGAACAAATACAACCATGTGGATTTGGAATCAGGAGAGAACAGGGTCATTTATCTGTGGTGCTGTGGGAGAGACATTTTCGTTTTCAATTTTCTTCTCCATTTTCTTATTACAATTATTGTTTGGGTTCATTATGACAACTCCCATCATTATGTTCCAGCTCACAAGCTGGAGAAAGATTAATGGTAGAAGAAGATACAGTCTTTGGCATCAGAGCTACATCTAGCTGTTAATATAACAGAGTAGAAATACATGAAATCCATTTATAAGATTTATGCTTATGATGGAGAAAGTAGTACAAGGTATAAAATGTTAAGATGTAGAACCTGAAATGTTGGCAGGTAGCATGCAAATTTCAATCATTTATTCATTCAGTCATTCTTTCAACAAATCTTGAGCATTAATTATGTGTGCATCCTGTATGGTGAGCTTGAAATGAACTCTAATAAGACACAGCCTGATAAGGGATTGTGGGATGAGAAGTATGCACACGGTGGCAGTTGGGGATAGAGGACTTACTTATCTGGTTTTGACTATTCTGAAGACTTGAGTTTTGATTCTGATTATCTGGTGGGAAGCTCTGGGTCTAGGTGTCTATTATAATGATAACTAGTTTGTTTGTTTGTTTTTTAACGCAAAGCTTTGTTGTGAATAACCAAATGTACAAATGAAAACTATATTTACTAATTCATTCTGTAGTACAGAAACAATAAAAGCTCCACAGTGAGTCAATACAAGCCTCTAATTTCTCCTCACCTAAGAAATCAGTAATTCTTCTTTAACTGTTGTAACAATGAGAAAAGTTTGGTGCAGGCTGGGTTACTTTCTTCCAACATAGTAGTGTATCCATGTAGTTGCCTCCTTTGATGCTTTTAGAGATGCTTTCCTTGTTGCAGGTCCCTTGTAACTAACTTCAGAGAGTTAGACTTTGTTTTTTTAACCTTGGGAAGGTCTGCTGTAGGTCTTGTTTATGGGAGCACTCCAAATGTTCCCTCTGTGGGATTTTCTTTCTCAGCTCTATAGCTTTGGGTGGGGGGTTCTAAAAGCCTTTGAAGCGGAAGAGTCATTTCCTGTTTGGAGGCCTAAGTGTAAAGAAAGCCCTTTGTCATTGCTCAGAAATGGGGAGTCCATGACAATTGTTGTGCAAGAGCATTCAACACTCACCCAGGTAGAAATGGGTAGATGGGGATGTTGCCCTTTAATCACTTCTTGCTCAACATCATGTAGGTTATAATCAACACCGTTCTAGGCACTGGAGATGCAACAAAAGGCAGTGTTCCTAGCCCCAAGAAGCTTATAGTCTGGTGAGGGAGTCAGACAATTCTGGAACCATGTGACTAGTGCTATGATAGAGGTATGCAGGCAGGGGGTGGTTGCCATGGGATCACAGAGAAAGGTTACTTAATCCAGAAAAGTTCAAAGCATTTAAAGTTTTGTTAAGTAGCATACAATTTTTTGAAAGTTGATTACTCCAAAATAATCTGGGAACTTTCTCTAAGATATTTTGTAGTTCTATATTAAAATATATACATATATATGTAAATATATTTATAAAATAATGAATAAGTTTTGTACTATGTTTGTTAAGGTAGCATTTTGTTATTATTCAATTTCATTAACCTTTAAAATGTGAGATCTATCAGGAGGCAGTCAGGGAAGTTTTCCTACGAAGATCTTACCAAAGCTGAGACCTACAGAACAAGTGTCAGTAAGCCAGAGAAAGCCAAGAAGGGGAGAGGGTGTGTTCTGTAAAGGGAAACAGCACATACAAAGGCTGGGAGAGGTAGGGCGTGGTGGCTCATGCCTGTAATCCCAGCACTTTGGGAAGCCAAGGTGGGTGCATCACCTGAGGTCAGGAGTTTGAGACCAGCTTGGCCAACATCGTGAAACCCTGTCTCTACTAAAAATACAAAAATTAGCTGGCGTGGTGGTGCATGCCTTTAATTCCAGCTACTCAGGAGGCAGAGGCAGGAGAATTACTTGAACCTGGGAGGCGGAGGTTGCAGTGAGCTGAGATGGTGCCATTGCACTCTAGCCTGGGTGACAGAGCAAGACTCCATCGCAAAAAAAAAAAAAAAAAAAAAAGGCTGGGAGACAAGAAGCAATGGGTTGGGAAAGCTGGGCTAGTGCTTCCCAACCTGCATTGAAGAGGGAAGCCTAGAAGTAGGATGGAAGGGGGTAGAAGAGTAAGCAGGAGTATGACAGTGGAGAACCTTATATGTTCAACAAGGAGTCCAGGCTTTATCCTGAAGCCAATGGAAGAAGAGGGGATAATAAAGGCCTTTGAACAGGACTGAGACAAGATTAGATTTTTGGAGGGTGAATTGGAAGAAAAAGACTGGAGGCAGGAAGACCAAGGGGACGCTGATGTAATAAACCAGGGAAGAGAAGATGGCAGTGTGAACTTAGGCAAAGGTCGTGGAGAACTGAAAGAGATGATGGACTAGACAGTTACTTGGACTGGATTTAGTGACTGGCCAATGAGGGGATGAGAAAGAGGGGAGAATCCTATTCCACCTTGGCCACAGCCTGTGGGTCCAGGATGTTTTGTAGGTAGAAATGAGTTTTAGATATATGAGTCTAATTATACATATTTTAGGTAAATTTGCTGTAGAGACCAAGATAGCTTTTCCTTTCAAATCTCTACTGCATGAAATCACCTTCTAGCTTAGACATCTTAAAATGCAAATCTCAGGAGGCTTACTTCCTCAGGGAGGTACATCTGTTCTTTCTACCAATTGGCGTGGGTTTTGGACCTTGTTATTTTTGAATCAGTTACAGTCTCCCTGCCAGCTGAGGGCACATAACGTTTCATTACTGGCAATACTGGAGTCAAGGAGCACTGCCTATCCTAACTCTAAGTCTGGAGTTAGAGCCCGTTGAGTCTGTGGTAGTTCCTTTTGCTTTTGATATTTAGTTAGCAGGAAAACTGAGAGGATATTGAATTTCATTAACACTTCCTTAGAAGCACATTTCCTTAGAAGCATGAATATTGCTTGGATTCTGAACACTCTGAATCTTCACCAAGAGAAGAAACAAAATGCCGTGGCAAAACGGTAGGAGTTGTCTTTGGTTCTCCTTTAGCTCCAGTCCATTTCTTGACATAAACTTCCTCCATCCTTGCAGACCTACCCCCCATTTGGTATCTGTTGACCTTCATTGTGCCCTAAGCTGCCTTCCCCTCCCCTTTTCTTGAGAATTTTACATATTTTGCCTTTCCACGTTGAACTATGTATATCCCCTTCCTCGTCGGCACTCCCCACCATAATTGTGCTGTTGTATTTCATCCATAAGACAGACACTCTGCCCTATTCCAGCTCTTAAACCCTAGTGTGCTTCAGAATCACTGGAGATGCTTATTAAACTCCTGGGCCACTCGTCCTGTATCTCTGAATCAGGAAAGCTGGGCCAGGGCCTAGGAATCTGCATTTTAACAGAAGGTACCCTCCCCTGCTCCAGGTGATTCTGACTTGGTAAGGAGACCACTCTTTGAGCAACCCCACAGTCTGCTGTAGCAGAGCAGCCCTGCTTTTTGGACAGGAGACCTGGGTTTAGTTCCAGTGATGCCCTCCACCAGTCCTGTGGCTTTGGGGAAGTCACTTCAACTCCCTGGGCTTCTATTTCCTCATCTAAATCCTGGAGAAGCTGGGAGATACATTACACTGGAGACCTAAACTCCCTTGCCCCATGGCCTTCCCTTCTTTCCTGGCTGGAAAACCCCAAATCTGGATGGCTCTACACTCTGCCTTCTCTTTCCTGCACCCAGGCTACTAAATGTGCTGAGAGAAAGTCACAGGCCCAGGCCAATGGTGCTGCTCAGACTAGCTTTCAACATCATGCAAAGGATCATGGCCCTCCTCCTGTCAGCAACCTCTCTCCTGCATTACCAAATGCTCTTCTTTCTCCTCAAATGTCAGGCCCAGCCATTCCTCCTGCATCTTAACATGTGAACTTACCTTTCAACCTACAGTGAAAGTAGAAGCCACAACAGGAAATCCCTTAACTTCCTACCACACACCTGCAAATGCACCAGCTTCCATACCTGTCCTTTCCTGCTTCCTTCTATTGCATTGTCTCTCCTCTGGGATATATCATTTTTATCTCAGATGCTCGGGATCTTGCTCTTTCAGGTTCCTCTGTCTCTCCTGTATCTTCCACCTCTTCCCCTCTTCAGTTATATTCCTACCACCCAGAGATTTGTGCTGTTAACATATTGATATAATCCTTTCAGGTTTTTAAAAAGTATGTGTAAGAGTACATTTTATTATACCTCATTGGAATTTTTATCAATTAAAGTTCAAAATGAAGTAGGGGGAGCAGAGTTACTATGTTATAGGACTTATAGGAATTCGGCCTTACAATTGTGGGAGGAGAGAAATGAAGGCCCAAGACGAGAAAATTGGAGGAAGAGAGCAGTCATTTTCAGTCATCTGAGAAGCCAAGTGTTTCCTCCTGGATTATCCAGGTGGGTCCAATGTGACAACAAGCGTCCTTATAAGAGGGAGGCAGAAGGATGTGACTACAGTAGTAGGAAATATGATGACAACTGGAGCCACGCGAGGGTGGGGACCTGAGCAACACATGCAGGTGGCCTCCACAACTTAGAAAAAGCAAGGGAATGAATTCTCCCCTAGAGCCTCCAGAAGATACCAACCCTGCTGACACCTTGCCGTTAGCCCAGAGAAACTGATTTCAGACATCTGGACTCCAGAACTGTAAGAAAATAAGTTTGCATTGTTTTAAGCCACTAAGTTTGTGGTAATTTTTTGTAAGAGGCCTAGGAAACAAATGCACATATCCAGACACAAAGGGAGACCACCAAGGGAGCATCTCTGGAGAAGTCTGTTGAAAGCTGCTGCCTCTGTAGTTATGTGCTCTAGGGATCTGCAGGCAGCTGGTGCTGGGCCTGGGACCACTGTTGGTTGGTCAGCGGGCTAGAAACAAGAGGACCTGGACACAGAGCGGAGAACTGGACCCCACTAGACACTCCTTTGTCTGTCCTTACTACATCTGACCGTAAATACCTGCAGAAAGCAATGGCCACTTTGTCACCTCTAAATTTCACACAAGCTCCTCTTGAGCCAGCTTTAGCCCATATAGGGAACAGAACTCTGGGACCTATAGTTTCCACCTTAACCAAGTTGACACAGCACATTCCAATATAGGATCGTATGGTTTTATTGGTTTCCCAACATACTGAACATTATGGTAAGAGCAGTTTGCTATATCATGGGATATTCTTCCAAACTAATTTAGAAGAAATTCTGATGAACCATTATTTATTTAACTTTCCTTCTATTATTGTTAACTCAGGATGTTTTCTGTTTTTCTCTATCACAGACAGTGCTGCAGCAACTCTCTGTGCATACAAATATTTGTCAGTATCTCTGACATTTCCTGGGAATGGATTCCTAGAAAGGAGATTACTAAATTAAAGGAAGTGAATTTCTACGGAGCTTGATGATTCCTGCCAAACTGCTTTCCAGAAGTGATGTATCAGTTTTCATTCCTATTAACATTGGGCTCAGGCCAGCATTGAATATTATATTTTAAATCTTTTCAAAGAGACATTTCTTGACTATCTCTGATACTGGTGATCATTACTGGCTCAGGAATTGGATGTAAAGTGAGCTAGCTGGACTGGTGACACCTTCCCTTTACCTCCATGGGTTCCTACACCTTCAGAAGCTGCACCCTTGATGAAAGGGGACAACATGTTCTGGTGAGGAATCTAGCATCCTTCAGTCAAGAGCTTGGGGGAAGTATGTTGCTTAAAAATTAAATACATCCTGAGTAAACACGTTACGCACAAGAAAAAGTACTGTTCCTATATCAGAAATATAGAAACGGAAATAGAAAGCAAGTGACTTTCCCAGGTATAGCTAGCAAGTCCCTAGCAGGGTCACACTTAGCATTTACTTTCCTAAAATTTTCCATCATGATTTAAGACATTTCAAAGCATCTATATTGTGCCAAAAATTAGATTCTGCATCACACATAGGAAAGCACAATTTTTGGCTTATTTCTTAAATACTAAATCACATTAATTGGCTGTTTCCCATTGCAAATATTTGAATTAATAAGGATCTTTTTATCACATGTAATTTTAAATGATCTTTTAGTTTTTCAGCTTTGCTGCAACACAGATGGAACTAAAACAAAATTGTATAATGCTGAAGTGACCCAAGGAGAAAACCTCTCACATAATTTTGTGCAGAGAGTGAGTAAGCAGTCTATGCCACATCTTCCCCAAATTTATATTTTAGCTGAAATGTAATGGTTAGACAGATAGTCAGTAATTGGTACAGTGAGAAGAGAAATTAGTTCTGACTTATCTTCTCTCCAAACTGCAAAGTGTATTTTTATATACAATTTCAGAATGATAATAAAATGATCTAGTTTCCATTTATCAAAATGAGCGATGCTGAATGTCTGATGACTGGCTTGCTTTCTGAAATCTTATTTTAGAGTTATCAGACTGTCTGAGATCTTTGGGAAACTTCTGCATTAAGTGAGCCAATTGGCAAATAAACATCTACTTAACATGTACAAAACTATACAAGGCTGAGATACAGAGGATGTGGCAGAGATGATCAGTGGTCATCTCAGAATGGTCTCTGAACCAGCAGCATCAGCAGCACCTTGGAACTGATCAGAAATGCTTACCTTACACATATTGGATCAGAAACTCTATGGAGAGGCTGGGCAGTTGTGTTTTAACAAGCCCCATGATGTACGCTAAAGTTATCTAAGAACTCTGATCCCAAGAAACAACTTAAAATACACACACACACAGGAGTCAGCTCTGGAAAAGAGGAAATATTGTGTCATTAGCATATCAGAAAATTTGAAGAAGCCCTGAAAGAGCAAAGCTGATGTGTTCACATTCGCAGAGGAAACCATAGCCCAAATAATGTAGAAAAAAAATATATTAGTAAGGGAATGAGAATGTTTTAGGAGGAACTCCAGAATAGGAGAATACTAAAAATGGCAGGGGCAAAAAAAGAAAAAAAAATCAAAGAAATAATATAAGAAAAATTCCCAGCGGAAGCCACAGACGCCAGGAGCCCTGTACTCTCAGCCATGGTGAATCCCACCGTGTTCTTCCACATTCCAGTGGACAGCGAGCCCTTGGGCCGCGTCTCCTTCAAGCTGTTTGCAGACAAGTTTCCAAAGACAGCAGAAAACTTTCGTGCTCTGAGCACTGGAGAGAAAGGATTTGGTTATAAGTGTTCTTGCCTTCACAGAATTATTCCAGGGTTTATATGTCAGGGTGATGGCTTCACACGCCATAATGGCACTGGTGGCAAGTCCGTCTACGGGGAGAAATTTGATGATGAGAACTTCATTCTAAAGCATACAGGTCCTGGCATCTTGTCCCTGGCAAATGCTGGACCCAACACAAACGGCTCCCGGTTTTTCATCTGCACTGCCAAGACTGGGTGGTTGGATGGCACGCATGTGGTCTTTGGCAAGGCGAAAGAAGGCATAAATATTCTGGAGGCCATGGAGCGCTTGGGTCCAGGAATGGAAAGACCAGCAAGAAGATCACCATTTCTGACTGTGGACAACTCTAATAAATTTGACTTGTGTTTTATCTTAACCACCAGACCATTCCTTCTGTAGCTCAGGAGAGCAGCCCTCCACCCCATTTGCTCGCAGTATCCTAGAATCTTTGTGCTCTTGCTGCAGTTCCCTTTGGGTTCCATGTTTTCCTTGTTCCCTTCCATGACTAGCTGGATTGCAGAGTTGAATTAAGTTTATGATTATGAAATAAAAACTAAATAACAAAAAGAAAGAAAAATTCCCAGAGCTGAACAATGACACGTTTTCAGATTAACAGTTCCCACAAAATGCTAAGCAGGTTGGAATAGACACATCTTGATGAAATATCAGACACTAAGGATGAAGAGAAAGTTTCTAGAGAGAGAGGAGAAAAAAGAGGTTACTTAAACAGGAGAATCAGTTTGGCATCAGAATTCTCATCAGAAACGCTGAAGACTAACAGGCACTAAGGAATCACTTCAAAAATTTATGAAAAATATTTTGAAAAAAGTATTGGGTTCCTGGAAAAACTAACATTCAAGTTAGAGGGCAACAAGAAAATGACAGTTTTAAGCGCAAGAAAGTCTTGTTGCATTAAAGAATTTATGAAGGGGTTAAAGTTTAAAAATATTGAGCCAGTTGGGAAACAGTATTTTAGTTTGAGAGAAAGAAATATTTGGATTTCTGTCAGAATAATTCCCAAGAGAACATTTAAGAAAATTACACATTTTAAAAAACAAAAGCAAGAATAAAAGAGAGAGAGAGAAAGAGGAAGAGGACGGAAGGAGGGAAAGGGAGGGAGGGAGGAAGGAAGAAAGTAAGGAAGGAAAGGGAACGAAAGGGAAGGAAAGAAGGAAGGGAAGGAGGAGAGGAAGGAGGGAGGAGAGGAAGGAGGGAGGGAGGGAGTGAGGAAGGAAAGGGAAGGAAAGAAGGAAGGGAAGGGGGGGCAGGAGGGAGGGAGCAGAAAAGGGAGGGAGGGAGGAGAAAAGGGAGGGAGGGAGGGAGGGAGGAAGGAAGGAAGGAAAATTTAGGAACAAGTTCAGATTTAGCAGCTTAGTTAAGTGGCAGAGAAAAGCTATTACCCTCTCATATCCATTTAGTGGCTTATGTGAAATGAACTGGTTTTGAAGTCCAGTTTCTTCCACTTGGAATTTTGGGTTTTACATGCACAGCAAGTGTGGCTAGTACTGCATCCTTGTCCTCCCTTCCATGGCAAGGGCAAAGGGCAAAAAACAGATGGACTTCCCTAAAGATTCATCATTGTCACCAGAAGAATAGCTGGGTTTCCTATAAGAGACTAGATGCCGTCTTCCTTCATTTATGCAACTGGGGGACAGGAAAGGTATTGTTTGTCCTGTGCATCAGTAGAGCACTGGTTTCCTTGCATATCCATATAGAACAGCTGGTTGTACTCACTTTGTCTCCCTTATTCCAGCATACAGAGAGTGTACAACTCAGCCATTCAGTGACAGTAGTTTTTTGACCCTGAAATATGTAAACAGAAGGATGGTCCAAAGGAATCACGAAGTAATCCTCTCATAAAAGTAGTAATAGCTAGCTTTGTGTACAGACAGATTTCACATAATTCTGATGCAAGCTTCACAAACAGTCCCATGAGGTGAGAAAGAAATATAATCATTATATATTTTTTTACAGAAGAGTAATTTTAGGCTCAGAGGATTAAATAAAACATTCAAGAACATGCAGCAAGTTAGTCAGTCTGTCTCACTTAGTGAGGACTTTCTGTGTGTCAGAACTTGCTGTTCTGAACACGTCTTTTAAAAAGGGAGGTAAGTCCCTCAATGGGGAATGTATTGGCTAGCAGAGGCAGATGGGTGGTAAACATGTAAGGACATTAGCCATAAAGATAACTTTAGATATGGGAGATTGCCATGAAGAGGATAAAGTAAGTCAAGTCACAGGGGATGACTTGAGCTACGGTGGGAGAGGGGCTGCTGCTTCAGCGTGGGTGGAGTTGGGGAAATTCTCTGGATTGAGACCTGAATGTTGAGAGGAAGGCATAAGAGGATTGGAGAAAGAGCAACCCTTGCAGAGGAACAAACCCCTTGAGACAGCAATGAACTTGGCATGTACAAGGGGTACAAAAACAGACCAGTGTAGCTGGAACGCAGTGAACAAAGACAAGGCTGGTAGGAGACAGGGTCCAAGAGGTAGGAAGAAGCCAATCATGTAGAACTTTGTGAGCTATGATAAGGAGTTTCGGTTCGGGTTTTATTCTAAGTGTAATGAGAAGTTTTGTTTATTTGTTTTCTTAAACATCTTTACTAAGGTATATTTTTACATCATAAAATTCAACTGTTTTGAGTGTGCAATTCGATGATTTTTATAATTGAATTAATTAATTTATAATTATAATTATATATTAATTATAATTCAGGAGAGCAACCATCAACATAAATCAGTTTTAGAACATTCTTATTCTTCCAATAAGATCCCTCAGCCCACTGACAGTTATTCCTTTTTCCATGCAACTGCTAGTCTACATTCTGCCTCTCTAAATTTGTCTTTTCTGGGCATTTCTATAAATAGAATCATACAATATATGGACTCTGGTGCCTGGCTTCTTTCACCAGGCATAATGTTTTTGAGGTTAGGTAGGATATGTTAGTAGTCTGCTGTTTTTTATTGCTGAACAGTGTTCCATTGTATGGATATGCCACAATTTGTTTATCCATTTATCTGTTGATGAACAGGTAGGTTGTTTCCAGTTTTTGACTGTTGTGAATAATGAATGCTGCTATGAACAGTTGTGTACAAGTCTTTATGTGGACATGTTTTCTTTCATTCCTCTTGAATACATACCTATAAGTGGAATTGCTGGGCTATATAGGAATTTCAGACATTGCCAAACTGTTTTCCAAAGTGACTGCACCATTTTATATTCTCACCAGGAATGTACGAAGCTTCTCATTTCTCAACTCACCAACATTTTTTGTTGTCTGTCTTATTTATGGTAACCATTCTAGTGGGTATGCAACTATATCTCATTGTGGACTGAATTTGCATTTCCTTAATAGTCGACTAATGATGTTGATCATCTTTTCACGTCCTCCATTACCAATGGAAGAGTTGTAAGCAAGGGAAAAGATATGATATGATTTGTGCTTTGAAGACCAATCTGGTTACTAAATGGCAAGTAGACTATGGGCAGTTGGCCAGTTAGGAGATGATTGCTATAATCCAGAGGGAGATAATAGTGTCTCAGACTTGGGTTATAATAATGGAGGTGAAGAGAAGGAGTTTGAATAGAGATACATTATGAAGGTAGAGACAGTGGAAGTGGCTAATGGATTGGATATGGGATGTGGGGAAGAGTGGTATTTAGGCAAACAACTAGGTAGGTAGTGGTGCCATTTTTTTGCCAAGGGGAAGCCTGATGGAGGAGTAAATATGGTGGTGATACTGGGGAGTTGGTCCTAAACAATACCTATTTTGATCACACTACATTTTTGGCATCTATTAGACATCCAAGAGGAAATGTTGAATATGTAATCAGGAGCTCAGGGGAGAGTTCTGAGCGAGAGATAGAAATTTGAGTCATCAGCATATAGAGGGAATTTAAAGCTTTAGGACCCAGGGAGAGTGTGTGGATAAAAGAGAATGGAGTGGAGAATGAAACCCCAGAGGCATTTTGAAAAAGTTGCTTATGGAGATCAGAGGGTAAGGAGGAAAATTTGAAAATTGGGATTGAGGTAAAGTTACGCTAAGGGAAGCATCAAGAAATATGTTCATTGACTGTACTGTCCATGACGTAGCCACTAACCCATGTGGTTCAGTGAGCACTTGAAATGTGGCTTGTTGAATTGAGATGTAAGTACAAAATACATATTGAATTTGGAATACTTAGACAAAAACAGAAAAGTCTCAGTAATAATTGTTGAAATGATATTTTAGATATACTGGGTTCAATAAACTGTTATTAAAATTAATTTCACCTATTTGTGCTTTTAAAAATGTGGATACTAGAACATTTAAAATTGCATATGTGGCTCATATCATATATATATTTTTGGGGGGCAGTACTAGTCTATAATGTTCTACCCACAGTCTCATCCTGGTTTTCCAGAAATGTGACTGTGGCACTTTAAGGCCTGTGTAGGAACTTTAATTTATATAAGAATTCTGTATTTCCCCCCTTCTCACTACTGCACTTGACTATTAAAAAAATGTTTTAAAATAATTCTGTAGATATTTGCTACAAAGCTTTCTTAAGGTGCTACTAGGCATAGATGACATCCACAACCTAAAAGAAGAGTGTCAGTGCCTTGGGTATTTTGAGTATGTGTTTACATTGTGCAGACAGAGCAATATTTTAGCAAAGACAAGGCCACATGGATCATTTGATCTTTGTTGAGCTGGGAAACTGCAGTTAAAATGGAGATACTGGCCGGGCGTGGTGGTTCACGCCTGTAATCCCAGCACTTTGGGAGGGCGAGGTGGGCGGATCACTTGAGGTCAGGAGTTCGACACCAGCCTGGCCAACATGGTGAATCCCCATCTCTACTAAAAATACAAAAATTAGCTGGGTGTGGTGGTACGCACCTGTAATCCCAGCTACTCGGGAGGCTGAGTCATGAGAATCACTTGAACCTGGGAGGTGGAGGTTGTAGTTAGCCGAGATCGCACCATTGCATTCCAGCCTGGGCAAAAAGAGTGAAACTCTGTCTCAAAAAAAAAAAAAAAAAATGGAGATACCATATCCTTGATATTTATAAGACCAACATGTCCTTGCTGGCTACAAAAAAGTTCAATCAAATAAATTCTTTCTTCCATCTGGTTAAATACAACTTGATTACATGAAGAGAAACTTAATTGTTTAATAAGGTCACCATATGAATTAGAAATGATTTTTTTCTTTTCTTTATCATCTTTGAGATTCTTTACATACAATAAAAATCAGTTTTTCATCAAGTTCTTGTCCTATTGCTATTATGGCAAGAGTTTCCCTTTAGAAATAAGAAGAATTCCCTTTGGCTGGAAATCATAGAGGCAAACTGTGCAGATATAAGGTGGTGAGACTTCTTCACTCTCTTCCCTCGCCCCAGTGAATGAGGTCATTTGAACAAAGTAATTCCCTCAAAGGGGTAGAGTTACACTGTTTTTGTGTTTTACATGACAGATGATTGGGCAGATTTCATGCATAACCCTGTGGGAGATTTTGCAGTCACAATATAGAAATTTCTCTAGTGCTTCTGATTAAAATACAGAATCAAGAGCTATAGTAACAGCTCATCCATTCAGTTCAATGGAGGATTGGAGGCTGAGTTTTGCATAGAGTTTTGTATGAGTTTTGTATAGGCTGAGGTTGTTAGAAAATGGGAGCTAGGGCCAGGCACAGTGGCTCACACCTATAATCTCACCACTTTGGGAGGCCAAGGCAGAAGGATTGCTTGAGCCCTCGAGTTCAAGACCAGATTGGGCAACATAGTGAGACCCTGTTTCTACAAGAAATATTTAAAAATTAGCTGGTTATGGTGGCACACACCTGTAGTCTCAGCTACATGGGAGGCTGAAGCAGGAAGCTCACCTGAGCCCAGGAGGTCAAGGCTGCAGTAATCTGTGATTGTGCCATTGCACTCCAGCCTTGGTGACAGAGCGAGACCCTGTCTCAAAAAAAAAAAGAAAAAAAAAAAGAAAAAAGTGAAAAAAAAGAGTGTTAGAAAATATTATTAATCTGTCATATTGATCCAGGTTTCCAGGTGGTCATTTCTATAAGGCTAGATCCTGCCTGTCCTACATGTGGAAGTTCTCTGAGATTTTACAGTACCTTCCTCAGACAAACTTTTGGAAGAAGTATGACTTTTCTGGATGTAGAATACAAAAATTGTTCATTTACTGCTTTGGTTCCATGTATGATGACCTTTTCCATTTTAGTTTTCTATAGCCCTTTTAGAGTTCTACTTTCTGTTAATATTTGTAACTGCTCTTAATATTCTATTATTTTGTGTGTTATATAAACACAGTTAACATAAGGAGGAGAGAGTTCAAATTTCTATCACTTAATTTTTGAAGATCTTGAAAAGAGATGGTTCTTTTATTTAGTTCAGGACTGAAGGTAGGGGGTTTTTAAAAACATGCTGCTGGGCTCCTGAGAGTAAGCCTTATGTCAGCAACCCCTTTATATGTTCGATACATTTTAAGGGGAAGAGAGATCATTAAAGAAAGAAAGTGGTCATGCTCTTCAACTCTATAGTCCTGGGAACCAGCCACAGGAATAATAGTGTTCCAGCCAGAGTAATCAGAGCAGATATGGCTAATAGATTTCAACCTGCGTTGAAATAATAAATGATTGATACGAGCTGCCTGCAGCACAGCTGTGTTAGAAAGGATTTTGAGGCCACATCTGGGTTCATAGGACAAAGTGTGATTAATGATGTCTGCCATGGTTGTGAGAGGAGGTAGTGGTGGTAGCCATGCCATGTATTTTTAATCCCTGAATGATAATCTTTGATGAACAGAACTGTTCATCCATGAGGTTTCCAGATTGCAGTCGGAAGATTATGGGCATATTCGGACAGCATGGAGATAAGATGCTAGTTCTATTTGGGCTGATTTTATTCAACTTGTAGTCAGAATGATTTCCTGACTTGCCAGAGCCAGTAAATTGGAGAATAAAGTATGTAATATCTGTATTCCCACTGCTTAGCTTAAACTTAAACACAGGACCATAATGCATCCCAATACAGGCGCAAATAGGATGTTACACAGAAAATGGGATATTAGGCTGTTTGAATTATCATTTTAATAAAAATCTTGTGTTCTAGAAGGTAGGGATGGATTTCTTTTTACTTGCCTTATTTTATGCTTTGTTTAGTCAACACATGGAAATGTAAAGAAGAGAGTAATATTTACCCATAATGCCTCTGCCAGAGATAAATATTGCTAATATTTTGGTGTGGAACCTTCTAGAGTCTTTGCTATGTATATGTTTAAATCTGTTGGGATTATATCATAGATCCTGTTTATAGCCTAAAGTTTTCATTTAACAGAATTTAGACTTCCTTCTAAGTTAATAAATATGACTGCATTATAGTAGTTAATGGATCAATAATACCATCACTTTGATGAATACCCTTGTATATAAATATTGTGTACTAATTACTTCCTTAGCATAATTTTCTAGAAAAGCATTTGCTAGGTCAAATTTATAAATTTTTGTTTTTATTTTAAGGGCTTTGATACTGTCTTCCAAAAAAGCATTAGCAATATACTTGATAATTCTTGAAGAGTATGACATAAAAAGCCCAATGCATTTGCTAAGATTGCTACTCTGAGAGGAAAAGACAGCCCGAGCTGCCCCATCCACACACCCACACAGTCTCTTTCTCTACTCGATGATATTATATATCTAGATTGTAGAGACCGTAATAATTCACAACTGCAGCAGCCAATTCAGAAGCAGGTATGTGCACTTGGAGCCTATGGAGTGGAATTGGATAAGATCACAGCGGGTTGCTCGATTCTACAGACCAAGCATAGTTCCAGCTGTCCCAAGACTGCTGAGCTTCCCCAAGGAACCAAGCAATTCTGCCTTGTACTTCCTAGGACTTGCTGGGCTCATGCAGACATATTATGCAGATCCCCTGCTTCCTTCTATTGATTAATCTTTGAGGTTACCTGCAAGCCTGTGGAGTTTGAGAGGCTGGGGAATGGAGAGCTGAAGTCTAGAGGAAGACTGGGCTTCAATTTCCTGGGAGCGCTTCCCCTCAAAATGAACATTCTAAGGAGGGTGGAGTTAGTGACCTCCTTCAAGGAAGGCTCCCACTGTCAGTGGGTCAGTTTTATTTTATCCAAATGTCTTTTCTTTTCTTTCTTTCTTTTTTATTTGTATAAATTTAAAGGGTACAAGTACAGTTTATTCCTCCTGAGATGTATCTATCTTTATCCCATTCCATCATTTTATTTTGCCTTTGTCATTTGTGGCATCTGAACAAGTGTTCAGTGTTGCATATAAATATAAAAATAAATGACTCATACATCATAGTTAACAGTATCTATAAAAAGAAGGAAATTAAACCTTAAATAATCTATGCCTATACAATTTAGGGGAAAAAGTTGTTACTGTTTCATTTTCAAATAATAGAATCAGTATTTTGTGATTCTAGCTTCAGAGATTTCATTCTCCCTATAAATTGTTGTGTTGGTACCTTTTTAAAACTAGTAACCAGAGCAACTAGAGCTATCTCTGCACATTGGAATGAAGAGTGAGCTAGAAGGCATGATAGAAGACTGTGAGCTCATGATTTGGAGGGCGAGTTTCCAAACACACCCAGCCTGGAATGAACAGTCATTATCAGTGGTAACGGAGTTTAGTTTCTGACCTAGAAAATCCATTGTGGAAACACACACACACACACACACACACACACACACACACACACACACACCCTTCCCAAGATACTAGATAAAGAGAGCACATTTTCAAATTCCATTTGTTTTCTTTTTTCTTTCTTTTCTTTTTTTTTGAGACGGAGTCTAGCTCTGTCACCCAGGCTGGAGTGCAGTGGTGCGATCTTGGCTCACTGAAAACTTCCCCTCCTGGGTTCAAGTGATTCTCATGCCTCAGCTTCCCAAGTACTGGGATTACAAGTGCCTGCCACCATGCCTGGCTAATTTTTGTATTTTTAGTAGAGATAGGGTTTTGCCATGTTGACCAGGCTGGTCTCGAACTCCTGACCTCAAGTGATCCACCTGCCTCAGCCTCCTAAAGTGGTGGGATTACAGGCATGAGCCACCGTGCCTGGCCCCATTTGTTTTCTAAAAACAAATTTAAAAACTTCTAATTTCTTATTATCAGGCTATAAATAGATTTGATTCCTTTCCTAATATGTGTGGACTATGCTATATTGTTTGGAATTGTGCCATTTAACTTGACTTCTTTTTACAAACATTTTGTAGTTTCATTAAATATTTTTCAAAAATATGACTTTTAATGACTGTATAGTTTTCCACAAAATAGATATCAGATTAATTTGACCAATTTCCAAATTATTTCTTTTTTATTATAATAAATTCTATAATAAACATCTGTATACATAAATCTTTCTATGCATTTCTGATTCTTTTCTTAGGATAAAAATTAGAATTGAGCCAGTCTGAAGAATTTTATCCCATTTATATTTTAACTTATTTTTAAAAATTGAGATTATATTGTATATATAGACTGTCACTCAGATTTTTTGCTTGGCAAGCTGTGGGCATTGTTCCATGTCATGAAATATTTATTGAAAACATGATGGTCTGTTTTAGCGGCCACATGATATGTACCTTTTGAATATACCATTATTGACCCTTTTTTAAAGCCATTTTCCTACTATTGAATAATCCAGTTGTTTCTACTTTTTTGATGTTATAAATATTGCCATTGTGGACATCCTTGCACATATACTTTATTTCATTAAGAAAACGTTCTGTCACAGAGCTTCAACAATTACTGGCACATGGCCATGTGTTTTGCCTATAACTTCCAAATCTCCATTTCCCAGTGGATTATTTTGAAGAAAATAGCCCAGGACATTTTTGTTTCATAAAGTACAATAGGAAAGTGATCATTTGGGGGCAGATAACAGCATTACGGGGTCTTTTTGTTGGACATATCTGAAGTTTTTAACTCGGTAATTTCTTAGAAAAGTCTTAGAAGATTCAGAAGAAGTAGAAAACAACATTGTTAAAAAATGTGATTTTCAAGCAAACACATTGTTCTTAATTTTATATTAGTAAATTTTAGGTTTTGCCCGATTGTCTGAAAAAAAAGGGGTCATCATTAGGATATTCTGGCCAAAGACTGAGATAGAGAAAGTAATTGCTGCCCTTCCTAAATAAGCAAATGTTACCTTCTGAATATCCATAAATGGTAAAAAGAGACAATGCTAAATATAACTAGAAGACATATTTACTTTATAAATTGTGTAAAATGTTCTGTAATTTCACTTAATGCTTTTAGTGCTGCATGTAGGAAGAAAGAGAGGAAATGTGTGGTTCATAGGAGGAGAAAAACTGTTCATTATGATTCTCTAGAAATGCAGTAACAGGCTTTTTAGAGTGTGATGTATCATGTACCCACCCACTCTGAGCTGTGTGAGGGAAATTAAAACTATAAACACATCCCTAAAATATTTAAGTACGTCAGAGATCAGGTATCAGTAACAGACACTCCCCATCCTTAGAATCCAGCCATATTATCGCTGCACAGAAAATTGTCAGCCTCTTTCTCACTCACACTCGCCAGCTTCCTCACAGAAGCTCCTTTCCTAGTTAGTCAACAAATATGTATTCATTACTCACAGATGATCCAACAAGATGTTAGGTCTTGCTTTTAAATCTTTCCATTCACAATACTATTAGATCAAAATTATTTTTTCCAAACATAGGACCAATATTTCCTTAGTTCCGTTTTTGAAACCATCTGTTTGCTTCCTCTTTTTTTCCCTCACTAACTTTGAGCCCTTTGGTCTCTCTTTGAAGCAGTCATATTCAGCCTTCTTTTCTTCTCTTGTTTTCTTTAGTAGCTTTTTGTTTTCTTATTTATCCCACCATTTTTTTTTTTATTTTCAACATTATTTTCCCAACTTTGTTCTATTTTTGGGCTGCCACCTAAGATTTGATTGACTCTTATCATCAACCGCTCTCCCTTTACATCCTGGTAAAAAAAAAAAAACAAAAACAAAGCAAAATAAAAACAATAAAAACTACTGTCAAGGCCAAACATTCACCCCTAAAATTATTGCCTTGCTTTTCTGCTAGTGGAAAGTTAGCCCTACTAAGGTAAACTTATTTTATATATCTTTATTAAAAATCATAAGTTCTAACTAGAAAAGGTAACTTTGGAAAAGCTTTGCTTTGTAACCCCAGACCATTTGGAAAGGAATTTTACATACAAAATCGTGATTCAGGATTGATTGCTCAAAACAGAATCAGAGACTTGAAGAGATGGTAAGAATTTCTAGTTTGGGGAAGAGAAATGTCCTAGGATACTCATGCTGTAATTGCAAAGGAAATATCAATTTCCACTAAGATTTGTAGAAATTTGGACAGTGGGTGGGGAGGGAGAGGAACAAGGATGTGTTCTAAAAAGAAGAGACCTAGAGGAGAATTGCTTTATCAATAGCCTAGAAAAATAAGTGGTTGCAGGAATGTTCCATAATCAGAAATAGACAGAGATGTATCAATAAAGGAAAGTGATCCAGAAATTTAAGATTTGATTCTTAGGAGGATAAAGGGTAAGTTAATCCTATTTAAACTCAGGATAAACCCAGGATTAAATTAAGCAGTGATTAATAACAAGGATTATGAGAAAGGAAGATGCAATTGTATCAAGTATCTGACATTTCTTTAAATCATATCCTAATTATATGTCCTATTTAAACAGAGCAATTAGTAATACTAATAAATATTTGTGCTTGTCTGTTTTAATAAAGAATTTTACTTTCACGGACAGAAGCACAATTACAGGGGAAAACATACTGATCTTTCTCACTTAATAATGCTTATGGGATATCATTTCTGGGAGCAACAAAACCATAACCACCACTAACAATATGGCAGCTAACACTATTTATAGTTTAAATGTTTATAGTCCGAGTCCTAGTGATGGAATAGAGTTCTTTAAGAATTGACCTTATTAATAAGTAAGTTGCCTTTTTCCTAACAATAATCATCAGCAAACATTTTAAATTATATAATTTGATCACTTATTATGTGCCTAACCAATGTACTTGTATAATACCTTTGAAATACTATCTAATGTATTTTTTGGTTCCTGTAAAGTCTTAGTTGCCCTGTTTCCTCCCCATTGTATCAAAGGTATTTATTGTCTAAGAAATGTTGTATACTGTCTAGAATAAAGCAAGTTTTACATTAAAGAAAGTTTTCAAAGTCCAAAGCAAAGAAAATAGGAGTGGGAGTTCAGGAAGAGAGTGTGTGGAGTGTTCTAATTATTATTATTGCATAACAAATCACCCCCAAACTCAGTAACTTAAAACAACCATTCAGTTTGCTTATGATTTGGGAGTCAGGAATTTGGGAAGGGCTTGCTGGAGGGATCCTGAGATACTGATGAGGGCTTCAGTCGTCAGAAGGCCTGACTGGGCTGAATGTCCAGGGCATCTTCCTCCTTGAAAAGCGATTATACTAGCGCTCACCTGGGCTCACCAGAGTGTCTACATGTGGTCTCTCCAGCATGGTAGTCTCAGGGTGTTTGGACTTCTTCTATGGTGCCTAGCTTCCCCTAGAGCAACATTCCAAGAAAAACAGGTGGAAGCTACATGGCCACTTATGACAGGACCTTCCAACTTATGCAGCAATCCTTCTTTTGGTTAAGAGCATTCCATTAACTAATAGAGCATTCTATTGGTTAAGAGGAAATCCCTAAAGTCAACCCATATTTAAGCAGAGAGGACCTAAATCCCACCTTTCAGTGGGAGGCATATCAAATAATTGGAGGACATGTTTAAACTGCCCCCTAAGGGACTGGATCTTAGTTCAGTTTTGTCAGATCTATAGACTTCGAGTAGTTGTCAAATTGTTATGGTGGAGAGAAAGGCTGAACAGGATTCTAAGTATATAGACACTTATGGGAGAGAGACTGGAATAGAGTCCAGTGAATAATCTAGTTGGCAAGAGTGCAAGGTTTGTGGAGAGAGGTTGAGAAAGTGAACCTGAAAAGATTGTGGGAATTTGCATGCTAGGCTAAGAATTTTGGTATTTACCTTATTATCAGTGGGTAGCCCTTGACACACAGGAGAGTGGCATGATCAAGGCAGTGTTTCCAAAAGATTGATCTGGCATGGAGGTACAAGATCATTGGAAGGGCCAGACTATAAGAAGGGAAGACATTTATAAGGCTGTTGGAGTAATCTTAGAGTGATGGGGCTTACTTGAGTCAAAGAAATGGAATTTGACATGAGAAAGAAAGGATGATTGGAGAGTTATGGGAAGGAAAAGTCAACAGACTTGATGACTGATTGATTATGGAGAAAATCTTGCCAACTGGAGAGTTAGTTGCATCCTATGGAGGCAACATGATGTAGCTCAGGTTTCCTGTGTGGGCAGCAATGTGAAGAATTCTTCAACTCTTGAGGAGGTAGCTCCTGTTCCTACACTAGACATCAGATTAAATAAGTACAATTAATCTTCATCCAAGCAATATAATATGTAAGATCATGGTTTTAAATTAGGAACTGCAATAGGTCACCGTAATTGTGAATTTCTTCATATTTTTATTTATAAAAAACACTCAAGAAAACATAATAATAACATTGAGAACAATAGCAACCAACAATTGAACTTCATACTATCTGGAATTTCACCCTATTCAAGAAGAGCTCTTGGCTTTCCCTGTTGGTAATCCATATTTCCATTGGTATGAACAGGCTAAGAATGGATACCACTCACTGTTTTTATTTATGGTCCATTCTACAGCTTTGAAATTAAGTTGACATTGGGTGTTAGCAGATATTCATTACCTTTCTAAAATGCCACTTAAAACACTGATTGCTTGGGGAGTGGGTGGCAAAGGAGAAATCTCATACTCAGATGGTTGATCCCATTCATAAAAGGCTACATTTAGAAATTCTCCTGTATTTACGGTGTACACTGTTACTTCTGCTAGTGGGCCAGGCTGACTCTCCTGGGCTTCTTTGCATCTTTTCTGTTTTAAAATAATCTTTGTCTTGTTTCTGGAGTAAAGCTTTTGTGTTCTGTAAAATATTATGCATGTTGACAACAAGACACAAATAATGAACCATCTAAAGCAACATTCCAGCTAGCTAACAAAATTTGAGAGGCTGATTTATACTAGAATTTTCAAAAAAAGCACAACAAATGAAAAGGAGGGAAGAAACAACCCACTAGAAATGAAAAAAATAAGATATAAACAAATCTTTCTTCACAAAGAACATCCCACGTATGGATGCCTGTGAGACTCAGAAATTACTCAGTCCTAGAAGTTGTGAGCCAAGTCTTCTCTGAGGTGCTTTTCTTTCCCCCCAAAGAAGTCATACCAGGTATATATAGAGAGATCTATAATGCCCTTCTGTTGGGGGAATGAAAGCACTTTCAAAACAATCTCATAACATTGTGATGGAGGAAATGATGGCAGGTTTTATATTACCCCATCATACAGGTGATGGAGGCCCTGATAAATGGAGTCAGTGGCAAAGTCACAAATAGCAGCCAGGCCTTCTGATGTACAGCTAAGACTTCAGCAGTTAAATGAAAAATATGTTCCTGGTTTGCTCAGCCCTTTGTCATCTTTCAGACAGAACCTTTCTCATTGGTTTTAACCTTTGTTCATTCCGGCACAGACATGCATTCCCCCCACTTCCAAGAGACAGGGCTCTTGACTCTAATTTTAAATTTGAATCTTATATTACAAAATTATATCACAAATAATAAATGCTAAGATCAAACATCAAAAATATAGTTGGAGAGTCAAACTCATAAAAGCAGAAAGTAAAATGTTGGTTGCCTGGGGCTAAGGGGAGGGGAGATGGGAAGTTGCTGTTCAATGTGTATTGTTTCAGTTATATGAAAGAGTTCTAGATATCTGCTGTAAAACATTGTGCCTGTAGTTAATGATAATGTTCTGTAAACAAAAATTTGTTAAGAGGCTGATTTCATGTCATGTGAGTTTTTTAACCCCAATTAAAAAAATATAATTGGAATATACCCCTGCCCCAACAATAATAGCTTTATGACCATATGACCATAAACTGACCTACTACAACTTTGGGGAGTGCAGTGATACTTTACCATTTGGGGAGTTATACACCCCTTTTGAATCTGATAAAAGCTGTGCATGATCTCCCCAGAAAGATACACATCCACAATTACACAGGCTCCTGAAGCCACTTCCATGGTTCCATGAAAATCTTGGTTAAGAACCCAATATAGAAGGGAGAGCATGGACTTGAGAGAGACCTTGGATTAAATCTTTGCCCCATCTTACTGTGTGACTTTGAGAAAAACTATTTAATTTCTCAGCACTCATTTTTCTACTTGTAAAATGGGAATTGAGCCCTTGAAGTGGGGTTATTGAGGAGATTAAATACATAATGCACATAAAGCATTTAGTACAGTGTCTAGCATATAGAATGTGTTTAGTACGTGATAATTCTTTTCCCTGATGAGATATTTAGTGGAGAAATGACTCTAATGTTTGGAGCAGGCATGCTGAAGCTGATGCTCAGGCCCACATCTACCTGATGGCTGAAAACATTATGCTAGGGGCAGATTGGTACAATTAATCAAGGGTTGGAGCCTTTTAAAGTCAAATCATTTTGGTTTACCCTGTTAGCCAAATCTTTTAATACTCCTTCTACATTATGATGGTTCCCCGTGGTGTGAATCCCATCTTCCCAAGATAGCATGCAAAGCTCCCACATTTCTCAGTTTCTTTGCCGCCAGGGTGCAGTCATGTGACTTGGGTTCTGCTAATCAGATGCACATACAGAGATGCAGATACAGAAGTGATGCATATGAGGAAGCAGGTGGGGTGCAGGACATCAATTCTGCAGGCACAGATGGTGGGAAAACCAACATGGTTTTGGAATCGTGAGGAACAGCCATTTCCTTCCCTGCCAGTTCTGCATTGAGGTTCTGCGGACTGTGGAAGCTCACTCCAGAGCCTGTTTCTTCACTTTTTCCAAAGACTCAGTGAGCGTTCTAATGTCTTCTAATAATCCACTTCCTATTTAAACCAAATAGAATAGATTCCATGATTGGCAATTAAGAACCCTGACTTTCATAATGCTGATGTCCCACTATTTCATTTTATCTTCCTCCTGCCACAATTCCCTTGTTAATTCTGCAACAAGAATAAGTGTAATAAGGGATCCTGATATTCTTACATGAGTGAAATTTACATAAGAATGGGGCTTTCTATAAACAAGGGGCATAGACTCTTCCCACCTTGATTAGTGTCCTGAGTGATGTCTTTGGGATGCCTGCAAGAAGAATTTTGCAGCTTTAGTCTCGAGAGCTCCTTAAGTGTTCCTTCCACCCTATTCACCATATTCATGCAAGCATTGCTTATTAATTTGGATGTTTTAGGAAGGCAAATAGTTGCAAAGAAACTACTATGAGCATGACAGAATAATAGTGGTTTGAATGGAAGCGTTCTATGCAATTATTATTTTTATTAAAATGAAGGACTATTCAGGAATGAGGCCACTTTACTAAACAGATGCTTTTTTTCCTCCTAAAATATTTTGGGTTCTTTGATCAGCCTATACAATGCTTAAACTTTTTTTTTTGGATGAACACAGACTTTTAATAAAGCTGGTTTAAAGTCGCATGGTGGCAATGTTCTCAATTCATTCAATAAGTATTTATCATGAACTACCATATGCCAGATATTGTGCTAGGTGCTAGCGCAAATAAGATGCTGAATCAGTAAGATGCAGTAAGCTCTCTTGCCCTCAAGACTCTTGTAACCTAGCAGGAAGACAGACAGACAACTCCAACATAGTGTGGTGCCAGGATCTGTTTCTTCCAGAACTGGAAATGGTCTTTTTTTCTGCCAGGGCACTCTTTTTTTTTTTTTTTAAGTAGTTTAACCTCCAGTAAGAGGGATTTCTTCTTATACCTGAAACGTTAATAAGATTGCTAAAATTTGGTGGAAACAGCACTCTTATCAAGGTCAGGAATACATCATTAAGTTTAGTATCATTAATAGCTTTTGGATTGCATTCAGATGTCTTATTTCCACCTGGACTGGGTGGAAATATAGGTCAGCACACCTGTATTTCTTAGGGTTCCTTGGTGGCAAGCAACTGCTGACTTTAGCTAATTCAATCAGAAGGAAGTTTAATGGTAGTTCAGAAAATGAAAGGAAAAGCTGGAGAATAAGACTTGGAAAAGTACTGGAACCGTAGCCGCTCTGGATCTGGTTAATGGGAACTAATTGATAGTCTTGTCCAGATACCACTGATCTTGTGTTATTCTTCTCAAGATTCAAAGTCCAAAGATAGCCCAATCCTGGGTTGACAAGGTTGAGACTGCTCAGAAGGAAATATGTAATTCCTTAAAAATAAACTGGGATGTTCTCACCAAAAGAAAGCAGAATGGATATAAGCAGCCAGATTCCAAATATTCTACCATTATGTTTATGCTTTGAGTATGAGATTCTCATGTTGCTATCCATGGACATTTTCCTGGGTGGAGATTGGCTTTGAACAGTGATGTTGTTACTCACAATGTTGTTCTCGACCCAAGCTTGGCCACTTGGTTAAGGCAAGATAGGAAAAAAAATTATTTTCCTTGTGTAAGGAGAAAGGAGGAAGGGAGGAATGGGGTCACTGAGGGCTGAAGTGGTAGTTCTCAGCCTTGGCTACCATCAGCATTACCGAGGGACTTTTGCATTTTAATTATTTATTTTAAACTAATTTTAGACTTTAGAAAAGTTGTAAAAATAAAAAAACCGAAAGAGTCCCTAGTACCCTTTTACTAGGAGTACCCTAGTCCCTGTTACCCTGCTTCTCCTAGTAACATAATTATAATAACAATATAGTTATCAAGAACAGGCAATTAGCATTGGTACAATATTATTTAGTAAACTACGGATTTTTCACCATTTTTTTTCCTCATGTACTTTTTTTTTTATTCCAGGATCTTACCCAAGATCCCAAATTGTATTTAGGTGTTACTTTTTAGTTCCTGAAACGGTTCATCACACTTTAATTATCTTTCACAACCCTGATACTTCTGAAGAGTAAGAACAGTCATTCTGTACGATGTCCCTCAATTTGGGTTGGCTGTGTTTTCTCATGATTGAAGTTATGCATTTTTGTCAAGAATACCACAAAGGTGAGGTTGTGCATTATAGCAAGGGGCTCAGGATGTTGATATGTATTAATAGTGATGTTTCTATGGTTAAGTTGCTGTTTCCTAAGGTTTTCATTGTAAAGTGACTATCTTTGTATTGGTAAGTACGTTAGGGGAAGGATTTTAAGTCTATGCAAATCCTTTTCTTCTCAGACTTTTGCCCACAAATTTTGATGTACATTTTTGGGTCCTGTCAACCCAAAACAATGATTGCTGTGGTGTTCTCCTAATGGTGGTTCTCTATTTCCCTCTTTTCTATGTTTATTAATTGGACCTCTATTGTGAGGAAGAGCTGTCTCTGCTCCTCTGCTTACTTTTAAATTTATTTCATTATTTATTTATATGAGTGTGGACTCATGGATATTTATTTTAGTCTATGACTTAAAACCCAATGCTATCATTATTTGTTATTATAATTTGAATTTATTTTTCAAATTGCTCCAGCTTTGGCCATTGAGAGCTCCCTTAGACTGGCATCTGCTTTCTTTCAGTAAGATCCCATCTTTTGTTGAGCATTTCCTTAATTTGTGCACCATGAATTATTCAAGGCTTATCTTGTATTTTACCTGCTTTGGCCCTAAAATCAGCCACTTCCCACCTGGGGAAGTCGTTAAATCCTAGTGTCCATACCCCAGTCCAAGTCAATCAAATCAGAAGAGCTTAGGGGTGGGACCCAGGTGTAGGTAGTTTTAAAAAGTTCCACAGGTGATTCTAATGTGCAGCTGAGTTTAAAAATCACTGGACTAGAGTGGTACTCTGCTAACGTTAATGTGTCTATGAAGCCCCTGGGAATCTTATTAAGACTGATTGAGTAGGTCTGGGGCAGGGACCAAGAGTCTGCATTTCTAACAAGCTCCCACATCTGCTCATTGGCAGATCACACACTGAGAAAAAAGGGGCTAGAAGATGGTATTTCTTCAAGTACCAAAAGCCTTAAAAAGTATTCGCAGGGTTGCAAAGTGGCTTGTGGCTGCAGAGAAACTCATATTTGCTAGCTAACTATTCAGCATTATTTTATTTTCTAATTAGTTGGCATTAGTGGTAGAAAGAACTACTTGCCATATAGCATAGATAGTCAAGGAGATTGCTCTAAGAATTGAAAATAGAAAATGACTCAGAAAGCAAACCTCCTTAATGAATAAAAGCTAGTAAATGTATTTGCCTGTCTTCTATTTCCTCAACAGGCAAAAAGTACTGAATACATCTTTTGGAAAAATGAAAAGTGATAAAAGAACATTTCATGCTGAAAGCATAGCAAGAAAATCCCAGATGTGAGTATCCGTTTTGGAAAGACAAATGCAAAAGATTGGAGTCTTCTGTGGGAAATAGGTCACCATTTTGTATTTTGTTTAAACAGAATCCTCAAGGGAACATCATCCTCAGTTCTTTTTGTGTATTAGCTCAGATTTTCCAGCTGTTTTTAGAGCATGCATATTCCTGTCCAGCTGCTAAGCTGTCTTTGTCTCCTCAAGGTGGTTGGTCTCTAGGAGAATAAGAAACAGGTCCAACAAGGTGCAGTCAAGATCATTCCAACCACCTTCTTTCTATAGAGCCAGGCACATTTGTCCCATAAAATGTCTCTTTGATCTCCAAATTAGGCCCATCTTCAGTAATACTCAAGGCTCAGAATACTTGATACTTCTTTGGGGTAGTCCTTTAAAAATACAGATTCCCAGATCTTTGGGTGGGGCCAGGAAGCCAGCATCTCCCACTCCCCTGGTCATCTGATGCAAGTGTTCCACATACAACACATTCAGAAACTTTGATCAGAGAAATCAGATCAGCAGCATACTCCTCTTTGGTCCATCACAGGCTTGTTTTAATTCGCTAACTTAGCTTAGTTTCCCATCCTTCTCAACACCTAGGTCAGAGAACCCAATAGCGGCAATTCACATTATTCCTCTTCCTCCCCTGTTCTTTTTGACCATCATTTAAAAATCCTTTGACTTATCTTCTGGAGCTTTGTATAGTAACACTCGTTCCTTTCCTTAGATACAAACAAAAGCTTGAGAGGCTCCACGGGCTTTTCCTCCTGGCTGGATGATCAGAAACTTCCATGGTCTGTATCATGCTACACCCTCGGGTATAAATCGGAAACCCCAATCTAGCGCATCTCAACAGACACCTTTTGATAGATGCTTACTTTGTCTTGAAATTGTACTTTATTAGTCATAGGGGAGTAGGCAAATCCATCATTAACAATGATAATAAAAATAGTCTACCAAAGTTGGATAATATAATCATCTTCATAATTCAAAGATAATCTGATATTTAGGATTTTTAGTGCATTAAATAGAAACATATTTACTTGTGATTTTGCAAAAATGTTCGTTCTGAGTTCATGATGTTCTAATTTCATCTATGTAAGAAAGAAGGACAACTGACCTTCCTCCCAACCTGATGTTTGGGAGAAAGGTCATGACACTGGGAGTAGACTTAAGGGTATGATGACTTTGCTGGAACATCGTCCATCTGGCAGAGACAGCTTGACATTCACAATAGGCCTCACCTACACAGCAGAGACTGGCAGAGACAACAGAGACTCCCAGAGGAAATGTCTCCCGTCACTTCTGAGAAAAACATAGAAACCGGAGGGGGGCATTCAATCACAAAACACAATGAATACTTACCGGATTCCCAGGGGTGCTGTCCTTGAATCAAATACTTTGTGAGCATGTCTCACAGAACACATGGAAACTGATTACCTTGGAGTACACCGACCTTGTCTCTCCTCGCCTTAGGCTAGTCTGGTTCTGTCATGTGACGCTACACTATTGGCTTTTCAGGAGTTGTGATGATGTTGTTTTTATTTTTCTGGCTCCTGCCTATGGTGACACTGCAGAGAAAAACCTGTGCTTTCACACTCACCTCTGGTCCCACAGTCTCCAACACTAGACACGTTTATAAAAAGGTCTCTTGGAGGGGGCACATTTCTGACCACTGAGGAAAATATTTATTATTTAATTAACAAGATAGGAAAGTTGAACTTCAGGATTTGGATAAATCAAAACTGATTTTGGTCCAGTGGTTTGGCCACACCCCAGGAAATTTATCCATGGGTCTAACTAGGATACTTTTGGGGAACTATCCTGACTCTCTAGTCATCTTCTATTTATAGTTATCCTTTGAGTTGGCCATGTTCTGGTCTGGATACTCTTAGCCTGAACTACAGTTTATTTCCCTCACAGGTGGGTGTGGAGATGAACAAGTACACTTTTAAACTGCAAGTTTTGAAGTAGAGTTTGAAATCTATTTAGTGGACTACAACTAGCATCTTTATTTTTAATAAAATATAAATTTCAGGGTGCATTGCTTAAAGGATGGGTAAGTATTGTCTCATGACATTTTATTTGTATTTGTACATATGCATATGTGTCATGAGTTCCAGTGTGAAATATATTTCTTATTTGAGGTTCAGGTTTAAAAAGTTCAAGAAATACTGATCTAGTACTTGACTTTGATCTGTAGAGGTTAAGAGCACAAATGCTGGGACCAAATGTTCAAATCTGAATCCTGGGTCCATCATTTGCTAGCTGTGTGACTTTAGCTGAATTACTTAACTTCTCTGTCATAGTTTTCACATATTTCACAAATATGATATGAGAATAGTAATAGTAGCTACCTCATTGGGCTGGTATGAGAATTGAGTATATTAACATTTTAAAGTGCTTAAAATCCTGCCTGGCACATAGTAAGTACCTTAAAAATGTTTGTGGGAAAAACAAATATGTTCCTCAAGTATTTTCTTTTACAGATTGAATCAATACAGCAAAGTTTCTTCCCTATGGATATTTATAATATGGTATATATATATATTTGAAAAAGCTGTCTGTTTTGAGTGGCATTGTATTAATACTAGAATGCCTAGGAAAGACAGCCTTGGAATCAGGTTGCTGGGTTCCAAACCACAGCTCCACTGCTTACTTGCTGTGTGACCTTTGCAGATCCTCAGTTTCTTAATCAATAAAGTGGGACTAATAGAATCTGTTTCACAAGGTTGTTGCCAGGATTAAATGAGACCATCCAGAGAAGATGCAGAGGACTCAGGCGATAATAACTATTGTCATTCTTGCTGTCGGTTATTCAGACCATGACCTTGCTTCTTATTTCCCTATGTACTGAAAAGCAACTCCTCCTCTTCTTTTATGTGCATGGCTGAAATTGTCATTTCAGTTCAGCTCTGGTGAATCAACCACGTAGGGGCTCAGATAAAGACCAGAACTCCTAAATAGGAAAGTAATTGTGAGGCCCGGGTTAAATTCGGACTGCCCCACTGTGCTCTCTCTTTAGCCTTGCTCTCACAACTTAGCTGCCACTAGACTTGACCTTTTGCCTCAGCAGGTCTTCATATCCCTGTGAATAATTCAGAAGCGTCACAATGAAAGCCTGACAACCGGAGTCCATTTTGCAGTATGGCTGTCTGAAGCAAGATAGACAAAACGTATTTCCTTCCCCTTCATCTTGAGGGGAGGAAACTGATCAGGACAAAGGTTGCTGTCCAATATGATGAAGCCCTCTGTGTGATGTATCACTTGTAAATACCATGATAGCATGAAAGGCTCATTAGCTGAAGGGGCTTTCAATTAGGGTCCTCCAGTTTTTAAGGACCTTTGGCAAGGCTGCTCTGACAAAGAGAAATCTAAGATGCTCAAGGACCTGCTACTGTTTTTCTGTAACTCTTTCCTCTTCTCCCTCACACATTTTTCCTGTATCACTTATCACAGCTTCTAAAATGGATAAGGGAGCTATATTATGCAGTATCAATCTCTCGCTTGACCATAAGCTGCTCAAGGGCAGGGGACCTGACTTATTAATCTTTGTATCCCCTGCACCTGGCACACATCTCCATCAACGTACATGGAACTGAGGCGGTTGAATTTACATCCCAGGTCACTGTGCCAGAGCTCAGAATGGGACTAGAGCTGAAGGCAAGAGAGGAATCATTTATTTCCCACTGCTGAGCTGAGTGCTGGCTTCCAAGGAAATTCCAGTCACCGGACAGGCAGCATCCTCCAGCCCCAGGGAAGGACTTAAGGGTACTCTATTGGTACCTTTAGTGAAAGTTCTTTCTCCTAGTTCTTAGAGGTAAGGAAAATGAAGCAACCTGTCCTGTATCCTGTTGGTTTACAACCCAGGGCTAGGAGAATGTACATTGGAAAGTGAATCCTTTTCATCCTCTGCTTAGCTGATCATACCGAGACAGACAATTTGAGTAGGACTACAGAGCTTGGTCCTAATTAAATACAAGGACATACTTTTTTATCTTCCTCCCTATCAAAAGGTTCAAGTCTCAGACTTAACTTTTTAGTTTACAAACAGAAATAAAGACAGGAAATAGTCTTTTAAAAACGCTCCGTGTATCCAAGCCAGGCACTTTGCTGATGCATTATATATATTTGCTCTAAGCCTGCCAAGACCAGTAGTAATGTAGCCATTTACAGTTGAGGAAACTGAGGCCCAAAGAGCTTAAACGGAAAAGCAGAGATTAGAGGTCACTCCCCTTTGGGTCCGCTCACTATACCACGAAGTTTCTGTCCTTTTCCTCCAACACGCTGGTGAGTCCGTGTGCGTGGGTGACTGTGTGTGTGTGGTTCCTTTTTTCCCTATAGAGCCCTCCTTCTTGTCCGTTTTCTTGATTCCACTTTTTGGAGACAAAGTCCAGTTCTTCTCCAAGGTCTCACCATCCGCTCGCCGTCTCCCTCTGACGTCCCAAGGACGGTCAGCCACTCCCCCGCTAAGTTCGGAGTCTCAGCCCTTGGCTCCGATTCTGGGCTCCGCCCCCACCCTCCGGGGACCCCCGCCTGGTCCCTGTCCCCTGCGCCCAGGCGCTCCAGCGGGACCACGGCCCGCGCCCGGGCCCCGCCTCCCCTACCTGAGGCCCTCATGGCCGGAGGCGTCGCAGCCTCCGCCCACCAGCGCGCCTGCCCTGCCATTGGCTCTGCGGGCTGCCCGTCTCCTTGCTCCGTCCCGGAGGCAGGTTTTGCAAGGAGAAGCCGCAGTACCCGCGGCTCGGGTGCAGCGCGGGAGCACAGTGGAGCGCAGATCGCGGACCCGAGCGGGCATGTCCCCGCGCGCGGGAGCCTCCGTTTGCGGCCGGGCCCGGGCGGCTGTGAACTTAGCAGCGGGCTCCTGCGGCCCCGTCACTGCCATGTAGTCGCTGGCGGGGCTCCCTGCAGCCCGGGAGCGGCAGTGCCAGTGAGCCTGAGCCCAGGAGCCCGCGTCTTCCCCGGGAGGCGCTGAGTGCGCGCCGCGCCCCCGCCGCTCGGGAGGCACTTTGGGCCAGACAGGGAAATGGGGGAGAAAGTTTCGGAGGCGCCAGAGCCGGTGCCCCGCGGCTGCAGTGGCCACGGCAGCCGGACTCCAGCCTCTGCGCTGGTCGCCGCGTCCTCTCCGGGTGCTTCCTCGGCCGAGTCCTCCTCGGGCTCAGAAACTCTGTCGGAGGAAGGGGAGCCCGGCGGCTTCTCCAGAGAGCATCAGCCGCCGCCGCCGCCGCCGTTGGGAGGCACCCTGGGCGCCCGGGCGCCCGCCGCGTGGGCTCCGGCAAGCGTGCTGCTGGAGCGCGGAGTCCTTGCGCTGCCGCCGCCGCTTCCCGGAGGAGCTGTGCCGCCCGCGCCCCGGGGCAGCAGCGCGTCCCAGGAGGAGCAGGACGAGGAGGTGGGCCTTTCCCCAGCTTGCCCACTCTGGGTTCCGGCAGCCGGGCGACCGTAGTTTCCCATCCTGCGCACAGGCAGTGGGCAGGAGAGCGCTGTGGCCTGGAGATAGGGAGGGACCCCAAGCGCTCTGCCCCGAGCACGGGACAACGATAGTTAGGAGCCCCCCTGTGGGTTATTGACTTCCCTGTGGCTGTTACCCCCGTGTGTGTGTCTCAGTGTGCTGCCTGATGGTGTGTTTTTAAAATGTCAGAGAAGCAAACTCCTTCGTGTTTGTATCTGACTTGGTTGATCTGTGAAAGGATGCGATCTGGACATCTGGCGTGTCCCCACAACTCACCTCTGATTCTCCAAAGTGGGCGTTGTTTCCCACCGAAGCGCTTGGGCCGAGGGGCAGGGAGTTGAGGGGGAGAAATGGTGCCTTGGGGGTAAGAGGCAGGAGTAGGGTGGGGGGCAGCGGTAGCCGCGGAGTTGCCTGCGGAGGTTTCAGTGGCGCCAGCCCCCTGGGATCGCCCGCGGGTGGTTTTGGCGCGTCCCCGCAGCGTCGGTCCTCTGGGAGAAGAGGACTCCCCGCGCTCCCTCGGTGGCGCTGGCGTGCGCGCCTGCAGCTCCCGTTCAGACTTGTTTCCAGCTTGTCCAGATGAACGCTTGTCACCAAACCGAGTACAGATCGTCTTACCTTTTGCGGGGCGGAGCGGGGTGGGGGATCTGTATCTGCCCAGTTTCCTGGAAGGATGTTCCTCCAGAACTTGTGGGTCGCTTCCTGACACACTGAGCATAGGACTCTGGTGTCCTTCTGGCTGCTCTGTCCGGCTTATTTTCTGCTTTTGGAGGACAGTTAAAGAAGTGTACAATTCTTCACGTCTCAGAGCCAGACTCAGTTTAAAAAAAAAAAAGATTGTTTGCTTTGGACGTTTCTTGTGGGGAAGTCATCTTGATCAGGCAGGGCCACAAATAAAACATCACCTTAACATAGACTTATTGTGAAATTAATTCCTGAGTGCCAGTGTTGTATTTTCCTCATCTTGGATGGGGTTAGCTTTAGTAAATAATTGCCTTTGTCCCTTAGAGTAAGCAATCAGAGGCCCCCAGCCTGGAAGCAAAAACTGGATGTGGCACAAGGTTGAGAGGAGGCGAGTCCTAGCTTGGCAGAGATGGAACAAGCCTTAGCTGCTTAGCTGGTTCTTGGCCAAGCCACTTGCAGTAACCATGACCCATTCCCTAATTCCCCTAAGCCCCCATTGCAAGGATCCTGGATAAGGGTCTGGAGGCCTGCTTTCTAGAACTGCCTCTGCTACTGAGTGGTGAGACCTTGGGTATATCATTTCACTCCTCTGAGGTTCAGTTCCATAATCTGTAAAAGGAGGAGCTTCAAGGTAAATTTCATTTTCACTCTCATACTCCTGTTTCGAATCAGGAATTTCAGATGAATCCATAGCTCCAAATCGATCCTAGCGGCGGGATGTCAGGAGTTTGCTGAGTTCCTCACCCACCGCAGAGCTACATCCTAGCGGAGATGATCAAACCCTGTACTGCCCCAGCCTTCCTCGCTGATTACATCTCCCTTTCAAGGTGCGGGGCATGTGCCACGTGTTTGCCCCTTAACTTCTGCCTCCACTTCTACAGATGAGCACACTGGCATTGGGAAGCTGGGGGTGTACCCTAACTTAATGATTCACCAATAGTTCCTAATTTAGTATTGCCGCTGGTGGAGAGTAGTTAGTTGCTTTATGTTTTCTATTTAGCTAGGAGGGTGCTCCATGGTAAGTGACATGGTCTTGCAGGTGGTGGGGAGGGATGTTGTCGGGGAACTTCTGATCCCCATTCTGTCGCTGATTTATTGCCTGGCCTCAGGGTGACAGTGCTTTGCTTTGTTGGAAGTGGATATAATGATAACTTATTTCACAGGCAATGCAGTGAGAACTGGTTGATTGAAACACATTTTGGAAAGTGGAATGATTAAATAACATGGGTCACTATTTGTGAAATCTCAGAATTGCGTGTAAACTGATACAGTATTGCAATTTATTATGTAACTTAACCTGCGGCATGGGATGCTGGAAATTTCCCAGGAGCAAAATCTTGACTTGCTCTGAGAATTTTAAAGTGAAACGAAAACCAAACCATGTAGTTTTTTCCCCTCTTATGGAGTAGAGGAGTGATAATCTTTGTGAAAGGGGTTGAAGTCCAGTGTGCATTTTCTGGTTCTTACACTGGTGATGGTATGGGGCAGGGGGGTGTTCACCTTCACTGTTTGTGGGGTTGTGGGCCTCTTTAAGGAGCAAATGAAACCTCTTTTGCCCCTCTCCTCAAAAAGCACACCAGAGGATTCGGGAATGCTGGGTGATAAACACTCATTTTAGTGGAAAGACGTGGGTTTGATTTCTAGCTCTGCCACCTTGACCAGTTGTGGGATTGTGGACCATTCAACTTCTGCAAATCTCAGCTTTCCTACCTTTAATGGGAATAATAGCATTAGAGTTAGGCATTTTACACATGCTATCTAATTTAATCCTAGCACAGTAGCTAACATATAGCATCAAATGCCAAGTAAGTGTAAGTAAATATTAATTTTTTAAGGTCACTTTTGATGACATTTTGCAAAATAGGAATACAAAGTTGGGTTGTCCTGTTATTTTATTGCTGCATAACTTATATGCTACCTACTGTCAGAGAATCGGAGGCTATGTCTACTTAGCTTATACTCATAAAATGGGAATAAACTGGGAAACAGTTTTTATTTGTCTCCAGTTATTTTGTGACAAGGCGATGTGAGTGTAATGTTATACTGTAGAAAGGCACTGAGTATAAAGCATTAAAAGGCTTGTGTGCAACTCAAAAAATGGAAAGAGGTTCATTTAAAATTGTTATGTCTAGCTTGGGAAATTGATTATTTCTAAAGGGGTGTGTGTGTGTGTGTGTGTGTGTTTACAGTAACATTGTATCAAATTTTGAAAAGCAGTAAAATTCAAGCTTCTAGTATATTAGGGCAGTGCTAATTTCTTTGGCAACCTTGTTAAAACTGTTTTGAATGTATTTAGTAATGTCAACAGAGTTTGACTTATTTTTTACTTTATCTTACTGTCAATAATTGTATAAACTTCCAAAGTCTCACACACTTAAGTCTACCCTTTAAGCTTTTGGTGTCTTAAAAACAGTAGTTTAATGTGACAGTAATGGTAGTTTTTATGTCAAACACATGACAGCTAGACATACAGCATGACTTTTGTTTAAGGAAACTGTATCTGACTTTGGCTCTTTCCCCAAACCTTTGAATTTGGGGTCCGTGTGTGTTGAGGAGGTAGCACACTTCATTTCTGAGAGTTAACACTGTCTAGATTGAAGGACTGTTCCCCTGACAACATCTCTGAGATTTGCCTTTAGGCATTCTGCCTTGTCCTTTTCCAAAACACCCTGTGATGACTTTAAGAAAGTACTTGGGTGCTGTTTGGTAACTGTCTCAGCAAACTGGCCGAGGGCAGGAATTTTGTCTTTGTACGCCTAGCATGGTACAGTTAATATATTAGTAGGTGCTCAGTAAATATATGTTGAATGAATGAGAAAAAATGGCATCTATGAAAATAGTTGCACATTTGATTGAAGGGTACCTGTGTGTATTCATTGATTTTGTCTGTTGTGAATTATGATATGCAAACCTCTAGATCTCTTATCAAGAGAAACATTGTGGATCACAGTGAGAAACGTACAATTTTTCCAGGTAAATTTTGAACAAAGTCAAATCATTGAGGTTTCACTCAGAATGCTTTTGAAGAGACTTGTATATTAACTGTTACTGACTCCTTTTCACTGTGTTTATTAGAACTTGAAACGTGCTGGGATCCTTAGAATGGCAGAAAAGGGCTTAGTAAGTAAGAGGATTTCCAACTCAACAAGAGACAACCCATGTATACTCTGCTACACTAAGGGACTTATTTTGTTGGTATAAGTTAGGAAATGGTTTCTCTTATTAACAATAGGCTTACAGTGATAGGATGACTTTAAATTGTTCTATTAAGTGGTATATGAGCATGACGACTGCTTTTAATATTTTGGATGTGTTTATGGAGTGGGGGGTTTCCCACGTGTACTAATGCAGTAGATGAGTTTCTGGTGTTTGTTGGTTAAGACATTAATAGCAAAAAGCAAGCAAGAATTCAGCAAAGCTTTTCATTGAATTTATATTTTATTAATCACAGAAGCTACATAATTCTAAAAGAGTAGTGCATAAATCTTGGCATATTTATTATTTAGTCTACTTTTGGACTCTACCAAATTCAGTAAGAGCCACAAGATCAGAAAATCAGTCAACCAAAATGTATTGAGTCTGACTCTGAGACATCGTCCTGGGCACAGAGATGGTTTTGACCCCAGGGAGCTTCAACTCTAGTTGGGGAGATAGTCACTAAATATGTGATTATGAATTAATTGGTTTCAAAAAGTGGCAAATGGGGAACAGGCTGTGAGGTAGCATGTGGCTGCACTTGTAAGTCACTGAGTCTGGTGTTAAGGACTGAGTCACTGAGGAAGTGATCTGTGAGCTGAGACCCCCAGGATGAGCAGGAGTTAGGTGGGGGAGGGCAAGGGAAGGACAGGTGTGATCCAGGTAGCAGGAGGCCTTGAAGCAGGAGAGAGCATGGGTCCATGGCTCTGAGAGGATTCTGAGTTGTTAGGTGTGGAGGAGAGAAGAGCATGACATCTCATGACATTTGATAGAGAAGCAGCAGCCGGGTCATACAGAGCTGTCTGGACTTTATTCTAGAGGCAATGGGAGCCATTGAAGGATTTGAAGCAAAGAAGTGACATGATCAGATTTGTATTTTGGGAGGGTCAGGAAGTATGAAGCCCACCTGCTGGGAACTGTTGATATAGCCTAATCGTTCCAGAGTTGGAATTGATAACCTGAGAAGATGTCCCTTTAGCAAATTGTGTGGGGGTGAGATGCGATTGTCCCTAGTAGCTTAGGTACTCCAGGTATATGCATATACCTATGAAATACATACATATGAATACATATGAAATACGTGTGAAATACAATATGAAAATACATACATATGAAATACTTTTGATCTGTTGAAGAGAACATCTTAGTGTTAATGCTACTTTTCACTGCCATACCATTGTAACTCTAGTATTGAAGGAAAAACTTTATTACCATGACGGGAGAGTGAGGAGAGGGTCTTGTGAATGCCCATTTCCAGAGTAAATTTCAGGGACAGATTTACCTGGGGTGAGCATGAAGGGAGATGGTCTGAGGTTGTGCCTCTCTGTTGACAGGAAGTGTGGTGTTTGGGTACTAACACGCATTACCAGTCTTTCTTGGATTTTCCTAAAGAGGAAAGGGTCACTACCAAAGAACGAAGGCTTTTACCCTTTCCACTCTGGTCTGAAGTACTCCAGGGAATGTCAAATACTTAACATTTTGCCAGTGTTTTAGAGCCTGTGACAAAGGCTATCCACTCAGACCTAGTGGATACAGTGCAGGAGTCCAGGCGGATTTTTTTTTTTTTCTAGTTTGGCTTTGTAAGGAAGGTCATGGAAGTGGGGTATAAAGATGATAAACTGGAAAAAGAATCCTCATAGGACGTGTCCCACAGTGAGAAGGGTCCATGACCTGGTGGCTTGGCCTTAGAAAAAGCTGAGTGGGGGCTAGGGGGTGTGCATCTTAGAAGAGATGATTGTGTGTTTTAGATGAAAACCACCCTGCGTGTTTTCTGGTTATGTTCTTACATTCTATAGTGTTGCCAGAAAGGGCTTGCATTCTTCTCCTTCATTCCTTTAGAGCTAGCAGCCAGTGTTTCCCTGCTTTGAGGTCAGAGTCTGTAGTGACTAAGGGGACAGACTTTGGCTAGGTTCTTATTGCTGAGGCTGTTTCCTCATCTGTAAAATGGGCCTGTAGTTTTTATTCCTGAGGGTCATTATAAGGATTAATGAGATGTTTTATGGAGAGTACCCAGCATGGTGTGTGGTGCTTAGTAAGCACTCCATAATGGTATTTGCTACTATTACCGAGTGTGGAAAAGCTGGTTTATGCAGGGTATTGGTACCATCAGCACCATAGGCAGGTACATAATAAGCAAGAAACCTACAAGTCCCTTGCCTGATGGATTATGCTTCTAGCATATTTTGTTGGTAGTCCTGGCAGGCTTTCATTCATGAGTAGGTAGATATGTAACAGTTATCCCTTTTAATTTCATGGGCAGAGCATTCATTATGAGGTACTAACAGCAAAGCTTTATTGTATATGATTCATTAACCCTTCTGTTAAGACACCGTTTCTCTTTTGCTCATGGAACCTGTTCTTAGTGATCAGTTATTAAATAATATCCTGCAAGATTTTATGAACATGTAAATTACTAGCTGCACCCAGAGATTTAGTCAGAAGGCAGTGTGTCAGCCATGTCCTGGGGCTAGTGACATGACCATGTACTTCATTTCAGCTTCCTAGAATAATGATTTGGGGGATGAGAAAGGAGTAGGAAGGAAATCAGGTGATTATCTGGAAGTCAACCTTGGTTCATATAAGCATGAAAGATGGTGCAAGGCAGATGGTATGCAGCCATCCCAACTTCTCAGAGGGGAAATCTGTTAGGAATGCAATAGAACTTTCAAAAATACAAGAACTCCTGTATGCAGATTACCTAACACAAATTCTGTTTTGTCTCCTTGGAACAGTATAAACATTTTGGTTTTTAAGACAAAAATGCAAATAACCTAGTAGCCCTTTTGATATAACTCAAGCTGGTGCAGTGATTGCAGTTCACTTCTCTTCCAAACAACTGGTGTTCTGCTCTGTGCACTTGTTCAGGCTAACATTTACACAACTTTGCATCATTTAGTTCAGAGCATCTTGTTCTCTTTTATGTGTCCAGTATTTTGTCTGGCTTCTTATTTGATGATGTTATTTTAGGTTAAAGCATACCAAAATACAAAATTAAGCAGAAGTTGGTTTCGCCAACAGCTGCTGCGCATTTGTGTTTTTCCCTTTCTTCACCCTTCTCTCATCGCCCTTTCACCTGGTTCAGAATTCCTAGGAGGGATTGGATAATAGTCATCTGTGCTTCCAGGGTTAGGAGAGAAAGCCATGCCCTAAATGTGAAATGCTGGTTCAGGACTGTGGTCCTTGGTACAGACACATACTCTGAAGTCACATTTAAGTTTATGGAACTTGTGTGAAATTCCTGGTGGCGATTCCAGCCTCCCTTAATGAAAAGCAGTCACTGCTTATTTAATGATTTGAATTCATAACTAGACACATGTCTGTGAGACAGCTTATAAATTTGTATCCTAGGCCTGTACTCTTGCCAGCCCATCAATTCCCCTCTCAGACACAGTCGATATAATTTTGATTATGATACTTACCTCCACTGAACCTTTCAGTCCAAATGCTTTGTAATGATACTGGGGAAGGGGGAATGATGGTAGGTGGGAGGGAAGATGGAATACTGATAAATTGAACTTCTTAACTAATTTTATAGGCTATCATGTGGAAAATGAAAATTTAATTTTAATGTTCTTGGTTTGTGCTTTTGCGGTGTTTTCAGTGGGCAGCAGGATCACAGGTGCACCCAATTTAGTGTGGGTAGATGACTGTCTGTTAAACTCACATCAGATGTGGGTCTTTTGGCCTCTGCCTTAGAACTTGGCTAGCTCCTTTTTTTGATAAGCTGAGAATTTAGGTGTGTTCCTTTCTGGCTGGTGATTTTGTGCCTCTTTGTGTTTGTCTAACAAAAATAATCTCAGACTTCCTTCTTAACATTTTTCTTTTCAGGCATTTCTCCATACAGAGATAGATGTACTTGCTGCAATGCAGGAAGGGCCTCAGGGCCTCATCAGTGGTAGGGAAACTAAGTCAAATTGGGTTAAAATTGGAGGTTAAACTATTAGGTCGGTGTACACAGTCACTGAGACTGACATTCACAAAATCCTCACATTTGAAATTACTTCTTAGGGCAGTCATAGCCAGCGAAATTGCATTATGGTATTGAAATGGAATGAAGTTGTGATGAAATCTATTTTGTGTATAAAAGTTCAACAACTAATTTCACAAATTAGTTTATGAAATAAATTAGTTCCCTATAAGCATATCTACCTCCTACATAAGACAAACTCACAAAATTTGCTTTTTACTCACATACTTTTAGCTGGAGTGGCTTGATTGAAATAACCTGAGCCCTCACCTAGGCTTCATTTGAAGAGTGGCTCTGAGGATACTTAGATGCAGCCAAGAAGAGGAGGGGAGGATTGCTCTGGAGGAAAACTCAGGCCCAGAGAAAGAAATACAGAAAGGTTTTACTTCAAGAGGAGAGTTTCAGACATCCTAAATGAGCAGAATATATACCTGCAAAACCCAAGAAAATGTTGACTTTCCCGTCCTCATGGCTCTTAGCAGACTGGTAAGTAGAAGCGCCCTGTTAAGTCTATGCAACCTGAGTTTGAAAATTGAGGGTGCCTGAGCAGGAGAGCGAATGAGAGGAAAATTACTTGTCAAGTAAGACTGTCCCTTTGCCTTATATTTTGGTACTTTACTGTTCAAAATACTACATTGGTAAATTTTAATTCACATACTTTTTTCTTTCCTTGGAATTACTTGGTTATTTGTTCTACAGTCAGTGACCAAGTCTCCCTAATTGGCTACCCTGGTTTATTGTTGCTTGGGGAGTGGGACAGTCCCCAAAGAGCCTGTAAGACCCCTGAGGGTCAGCTTTAATCCACGGTGATTGTTGGGTTCTCGCCACGATGCATGCAGATTCCCTTTTCAGAGGACAAGGGATTAAAGGGAAATTACAACTTGGAACTCTTGATTTTTCTCCTTAGAAACCTCAATATCGTTTTTGTTTTCAAGATTTCCACTTTTGACATTAAAACATTTCTACCCAGAGAAAGCTTAGCCTAAGTGTGTGAGCAGCAGCCTGAGGGCAACCGTTTTAGAATTATCAGGTAAGACTGGTTGGGAACAGTTATGCTAGTAGAGTAACAACAATGACAATTTTGTAACCTGCTAAAATCATATCATTTTATATTCTTTTAAAGTTATTTCTGAATCACCAGTTTCTGTGTATCAGGTTACCTGTCATTCCTTGTTCTTATTCTTGCTTCTTTTTTTCTTCTTCTCTATCTATAGTTTTATCATCAGACCTTTAAAAAGAACACAACAAATGCTTTAGCTAGAAGATGGCAGAAAAGCCTCTTGTTAAACAGAATGTTTGGGGGCAAAGCCTTTTTTGGTTACTGAATTTTATGATTCATAAAAGATTAATTTGAAAGTTCTTCTTGTTCTCACCTTGTTGCTTGCTTCTTTTTCTAGAATGTCATGGTATGTTTTCTTGCCTTATTCTGTGCTGAACAAGCTATTTTTTTTTAAATAATTGGACATCTTGTAATGCTTTAGGGCTCTCTGGCCATCAGTCATCTTTGAAAACTATTGAAGATGTGAAGGTAGAAAGTGAGTATAAAATTGTGCTGTTAACAAAAGTAGTTATCTTGATTTCTCTTTTCTCACTTTAAAAGCTGAAGTTAGCAAAATAAGTTCTGTTTTTGGAGGTTTGTGCTGCATTATCTTTGTTCCTGCATTGTGCCAGGTTTTGCATATATGTTGTTAATATTTGTAGTACTTACAGTTTGCACAGCCTTTTCTCATATTGCCTATTTTCTATAAATTTCTCTTCGTGAATCTCTCCCACTGGTTTGTGAACCCCTCAGGTGGAAACCATGTCATATCAACTCAAATCTTGCAACAGGGAGGGTGCATGGCATATAGTGGGTAAAAATAATACATTACACAAAATCGCACTTGAGACATAATGTGTGGCGAAGCAACATTCTGAAAGTGAATTTGCTCATTTAAATTAAATATTAAATGAGTATATGAATTTACTCATTTAAATATTAAATGAGTATATGAATTTACTCATTTAAATATTAAATGAGTATATGAATATACTCATTTAAATTAAATATTAAATGAGTGTATGAATTTACTCATTTTCACACAAGCCTTTTTGAAATTCAATTGATCATTAAATTGGTCTACACTACCATGTTACAGCTAAGTGACCCATTCAACCTCATACAAGTGAGGAGGAGAATAGTAGGGAGATACTGGGACAAGGGCAGGTTTGAGGAGATCATCAAGCCTCTTGGTCATCTCTGCATCCCAGAGCCTGGCACAGAACCTTGCATGATGTGGCACACAATGATCAATTGCTGAATAAATGAGAATGCCATTTAGGGGATAGGTTGCTCTGCACTTAGCATAAAAGTTTAGATTAAGCGTCTGTAGAACTTTTGTTAAGGTTAGTGCTAAGACATAAAGCTGCTATAATCCTGGGTTTTAGGACACCAGTTAATGGGATAAGTGAGTTTCTACAAATGAAAGAGTTTGCCTGTAACCCAATTCTTATTTTCCTGTTGGCTTTGGGGAGTTGTATTCTGCCAGGATAATTCTTGGTTATTCATTAAAATTATACTTGTAGCAGTTAAGGCATTTTTGGCCACATGTTAAAAGGAATTATTTTGGTTTCTGATGAAGTATTGACAGCTAGCTTTAACATGTTAACAGTAATATTGGGCTGTACTCAGTTCTCAGGGTAATGCTGCTGTGAGTGGAAATGGATTGCAGGAATTTGGTCAGTAGTGAAAGTATTGGCCTGGAAATTGGGGAATCTGAACTCCTGCCTTGGCTTCTTGCTAGGCAAGTTATTAGCATCTCTGATCCTCATCTGTGATGAAATAAGAGGTCCTTCTTAGCTACAGTTTTTTTATTTGCCTCTTATTACAAAATATTACCTTTAAAACTTAGTTTTCATCACTCTATACTTTTTTAGGAACTGTTGATTGACATTTTCTTTTTGACGGACTTGATAATTGGTGTTTTCTGATTTGTCAATAGGCACCTATTCTTCCTGTCCCACCTAGCTTTATTAAAGTATAATTGACAAAAATGTATATATTTATGGTGTACAACACGATGTTCTGATATGTATATATTTTGAAATGAAATGATTAAATCAAGCAAATTATATCCATCACCTCACATGCTTACTTTTTTTTTTTGTTTTTTTTTTTTGAGACAGAGTCTCTGTTGCCCACGCTGGAGTGCAGTGGCACTGTCTTGGCTCACTGCAACCTCTGCCTCCCTGGTTCAAGTGATTCTCATGCCTCAGCCTCCCGAGTAGCTGGGATTACAGGCGTGCCACCATGCCTGGCTAATTTTTGTATTTTTAGTAGAGACAGGATTTCACCATGTTGGCCAGGCTGGTCTCAAGCTCCTGACCTCAGGTGATCCACCTGCCTTGGTCTCCCAAAATGCTGGGATTACAGACATGAACCACTGTGCCTGGCCTTTTTTTTTTTTTTTTTTTTTTTTTTTTTTTGATGGCGAGAACATTAAGGTCTATATATACATTCTTGACGGGAATTCTCAAAAGGATCCTTACTCATGAATTCTACCTTTCAGATAATGCTTACATAGGAAAATATGGACGACTTATATGTTCTGCTTTAATTCTTTTACACTTATTTGGTATGTCTCTGTCAGTATCCCTAGCAAGTGTTGAGGGTACTGTCTCTCACCTCCCAATCCCTGCGGAGGAGTTTGACTCCAGAGGACATGGTCAGTTCTGTGTTTGTCTTGATGCTGGAGCACTCTGTTGTGTCATCTCACCCATTCAAATGCTCAGGCTTCTGTGTGGCTTTTGAAATACTTACATTCTTTGAATAGTCATTCTGAGCATGGCACGTCAGTTTTAGAATAAGTCTTGTAATAGATGGCTGGTAGAAGCAGCAGGGGAAAGCGGGGGGCGGGGGGGAGAACGCGAGTCTTCTTCTCAGTACAGGGTAACTTTAGAACCTGTGAATTAGGATCTTAACTGTCTGACCTAGGACTGTCCTTTAGAAAATGCTGTGGTGTGGCTATCTGTTGAGTTGTTTTTGAAGTAATCTTAACACTAGAAGATATTGTTCTAGATGGAATCACAAAGGATGGTTTTTGGTGCCAACCCTTGGAGACTGAGTGTGGAATTGGATCTTTCTCCCTTAGATTTTTTTTTTTTTTTTTTTCCCTGTAAATCCTTGGATCAGTGGCAGAGTCTGCAGGCTCCAAACAGAAAGACTTGGGTTTGGATTTTTCCTGCTGCCTGGGATGATTTTCCTTTGGCCACGTGTCACAAGTCTATCACTCCTGTGTCCTAGACCAACTACTTCTGATTTTAAAAAGTTAGTCTTTTATTTAAAAAGGTTTGTAGGATCTCCGTTTCCCTGGGCAGCCAGGGCTTTCCTGTATGTTCTGGACATAGCTGCCCAGCCCTTAAAGTGGACTGAAAGTCTATTTGCATAGTTAAATTGAAATCTATCAAAACTTGTTTTGTACCAATGCACTACTTTTTTTTTTTTTTTTTGAGACAGCCTGGCTCTGTTTCCCAGACTGAAGTGCAGTGGGACCATCTCAGCTCACTGCAGCCTCTGCCTCCCAGGATCAAGCCATCCTCCCACCTTAGCCTCACAAGTACCTGGGGCTACAGGCGCATACTACCACGGCCAGCTAATTTTTTTTTTTTTAAATACTGGGTTTTGCCATGCTGCCCAGGCTGGTCTTGAAGTCCTGGGCTCAAGTGATCCACCCACCCTAGCCTCCCAAAGTGCAGGGATTACAGGAGTAAGCCACCATGCCCAGCCTGGTGTTTTTTTTTTTTTGTTTTTTTTTTTTTGTTTTGTTTTTAAAACAAAGGCAGACAGTTCTCAGTTCTGGACTAAGCTATTGGTGAGTCATTTCATAAGTTTGTTTGAAAGTCAGTTTGGAACTTGGAGTGTATAGTACCATACACTTCACACCCAAAACTAATGGGTGTGAAGCCAACCAAAAGAAACCACCATCTTGGCATATATCTGTGCTTTAGTTTCCTTTAGTGCCACTACAAAGTACCACACATTAGGTGACCTAAGCAACATAAATTTATTGTCTCACAGTTCTGGTGGTTAGAAGTCCAAAATCAGGGTGTTGGCAGGGATTAGGTTGGTGCAAAATTATTTGCAGTTTTTGCCAAAGGGCAAAAACTGCAATTACTTTTGCACCACCCTAATGGTGATTGGTTTTAAATCACCATTTAAAGGAACGATCTGTTCCATGCCTCTTTGTCAGCTTCTGGTAGCCTCAGGTGCTCCTTGGTTTGCAGATGGCCACCTTCTTCCAGTGTTCTCACATTTTCTCTCTGTGCATGTCTGTCTCTGTCCACATTTCCCCTTTTTATAAGGATACCAGTCATTTTGGATTAGGGCTTACCCTAGAGACCCAGCTTGATTACCTCTGTAATCCTTGTCTACCTCCACATAGTTTTAAATGGTGATTCAGTTTCTAGATCAGCCTACAACAGCCTAATTAGTTCCCAGGATGATAAATTCCTAGGAATGGGGTAATAGTGCTAGAAATGGTGAAGAAGAAAAGGTGAATTTTGAACCTGAAAAGCCAAAGGCTGTTTTACACCCGAGAGGTTGAGTGATACCTGGCCCCGAGCATCACCAGGGCCCTCTGCCTCTTTGAGCCGCTCCTGCCCCTTGGGGTGCAGTGCGGCCTCTAGCTTTTTGTTAGAACACGAGTTCCACTGGGGGTGCTGAAGGCAGGTCTGTCTTCGCTATAGTGTTGGGCAATATAGCAGCTTCTGAGGTGGATGACTATGCACAGGTAATTCTCAGCATCTGCACACCTGGAAGAGCAGGGCCCTACCCTCCTAGGTGTTCTGAGTGAGGGAACAGGTAAGCTGGAAGAAGGAACCCACACATTCAGCCTTCACTCCCAGCCACGTTGTGGCTCTGGGGAGCCTCTTGAAGACATGGCCATGACCTTTCTTTGTCTTTAGGACATCTTCATTGGATGCCCAAGACTCCTTCACAAATGGGGGCAAATAATTTTAACACAAAGCTAAATGTCTCCTACTGCTTTTCAGCTCATTTCTAACAGGAGATGCCAGTGAAGGCTCAGAATTTAAGAGACAAAGTGGTCACTTCAGAAAATCCATCAGAATGCCTTTAAAAATAAACCAAGTGCTATTACTAGAAATAGTTACAGCCAAGGGCCCTTTGTCCATAACATTTTTTTTCTTTGTGTAACAGAATTTCTTTCTGCAACATGTTCTCATTTGCATGTTCTGTCTCCTGCTTACCAGCAGACTTTAAGACTTTAAATTCTCTCATGGTTTTTCTTTGAGTTTAAACTCAGATAGTGGGATAGCTCCTGTAGATGAGGCTTTAAATAATTGCCACATGTCCTTGTTCCAGCGGCGACCTTACACTCAAGTGTGTGTTTTTAGGGGCCTCTTTGTTTTTGGAACTCAGACCCACAGAGTTTGTGGACGGATGTCTGCATCATTTCAATGTTTTTATTTATTATGCTGCAAGCTGCTGGTTTTCTCTCCTCTTCTCTGCTTCCTCTTTCTGTCCTCCTCTCATGAGAGGGTTAATGCTGCATTGTGGAGTTAGTGCAATTTGTTCTTCTAAGAGATGGCAAAGGCCCCATCAAAGTAGTCTATAGTCAAGTTCTAGCAATGACAGTGATTCCTTCAGAGCCTCTCTTGATATCTCTTTAGGGATCTTCTGTGGTGTTTAAAAGGAAGGTGAAATATGGGTTTTAAAAAATGATAAAGACAGTCTTACCAGTTGATTTCATAATGAGAGGTGTAAGCCATTGCTGGGATACATCGGAAGGTGCTCGCTTTGTACTCCTGAAAAACCTGTAATCAGATGGGCACTGTCTTGAATTGTTAAAATACTGTTACCTGCAGTTTTTAGAAATTTATTTTGACATTTAAGGACATCTGAAGGTGTATATTTAATTACTACTGCTGCTTTCTTTTCATTTGAATGAAAAGTGGTGGATTATATAACAATTGCCACTAAGATAAGTTTTCTTAAATCAGTGTCATGGATGTTCAAAATTTTGTTTCTAAATGTGTAATACAGATTAATAACTTAAACTGTTAGATCTTGGGCAGTCAGAATAATTTGAATTTTGAGGGGAAGCTTTAACAGCTTCCCACTTAGGATGCCCTAGAAAATGAGGGCTTGATTACAGCAAGGTTTTATGTGTATGGCTTGTTTTAACCCAAATTCACAGGCTGGAGCTATATCTCTGGCAGTGTTTAAAGTACTGGGGAGGTGAGTGGGTTGAGCCAAATCAGCTTCTGAGGTTTAGGCTTCTTTTTTGCAGTGTTTCTTTTTCTTTCCCTTGCCTGTTCACTTGAACTTCTGAAGGGCAGAAAAGGAGGAAATATTGTTAGAGTACTAGGTGGGTGAAATGTAGGGTCCTGGAGAGCAAGGGTATTATCTTTGCACTGCTTCACATAACGAGTGCTGGTAAAGACTCCATTATTGGTGGTGAGGTTTGGGACTCCCCCGAGTACCCTGGCTGCTGCCAACTCGGCTTGCTCTGGGGCTAGAGCTGGTGTGAAACTGCCAGTTCTTTTTCTTTGTCAACTCTACAGGTATTGAACCTTGCTACTTGCAAAGGGCGTAGGAGTTGGTGGGTGGGGAGGGAAGGAAGATGCAAAAGAAATAATAGATCTGGTCAGGGCCTAAAGCAGCCTGTAGTTGGGTTTGGAGACAGAGCACACACAGTGACTCGACCTGAATGTGCACAGTGCACTATCAAGTGAACAATGTGAGTTAAGCTGAAAGTGCCTACGGGGAGGGAACCAACCTGATGGATTTATCTGTAAATCCTGATGGATTTTCCATGGTGCCTTGACGATTTTAAGCATTGGAAAGAAGAAAAAGAGGAGGTCGTATCAGATTTAAATTATTTGGCCTATCAGATATCTTTGCTATAAATAGTTACAGTCTTAAAGTCTTCTGCTTTTCTCTTTAAAAGTCATATTTAGGAGGAATATAATTGACATGTTGCGTCTTACATATTTTATAGGTAATTTTGTATCTAATTAAAAATTACTGAAACAACATACTATGAAGATTACAATGTTTTCTCTATTACCAGCTTATTTATGGCTTTGTATCTTATCAAGAGTACTGTTTCTTTAAAAAGATTTGTATCTTGCTAGGTAATTAAACAATGTTTACAATTAATATATTTATATTTAAATAGAGACAGGGTCTTGCTGTATAGCCCAGGCATTCTTGAACTCCTGGCCTCAAGCAATCTTCTTGCCTTGGCCTTCCAAAGTGCTAGGATTACAGGTGTGAGCCAGTGTGCCCGGCCCAATTAATACCATCTAAGTCATTGTCTAAGGAACTTTTCGTTTCTGTTTGTTGTGGGGCCAGACTTTGGGAAGAAAGTATGTTTGATAAGAATTTATCAGATAACCCTTTTTTTTTTTTTTGTAATATCTCTTTGGGATAGCATTGTCTTCCTCTGCTTTGGGAAGTCTTTTGGTTACTCATTACTCAAAATTTGCCAAATTTAGGGTGGTGGTGATTTTGGCCCAATTAGAATTTCAAACACCACTTCTGTCTCCCCTAACGTATAGCTGGAAAAACTTCTTCAAGGAGAAACTCTCAGCCCCTGAGTTCTTGGCAGGAATCATGGCCCCCATCACAGTAGAGCCCCCTACATGGGTGAGGTCTTGATGTCCTTGTGGCCAGGCTGCCCCAGGCCCCAGGAGCTTTCTGAGACCTCTGAGCTGTGTGGACTTGCTGTTTGGCTGTTCTCAGCAGCCACAGACTAACTGGTCTTATAAAGCAGAGCCTGTGATTTTATAAGGTGGTTTCTCCAGGCCTCAAACCTGTCAGGGTGGCTAATTCTTGGTGTTTGCAGGTGGAGAGGGAAGTTAAGCTACTGAGGAAAAACCTAATCTGTTAAACAAAAATAAACAAAACCAAAAAAAACTTCTGGATTTTATATGTCTCTGTCAGTATTCTATAAGCATAGGGGAAAAATTCCTTCCTCACAGGGTTAGTGGATGCCAGTCATGGTTTACTGGTATGGGCCATCTGTGGCAGCGTGGCTGCTCCCAAAAGCCATGCAAATTTATAAAGCAAGGCAGCCAAGGGGACTGGTGAAAATTAGTTTATAGCATGAATGGGGAACACTTAAAGGAGAAGGTGCTAGGTATAAATGTCTAAGCCAGGATGGAACAATTAGGGCAGTTCAGCTTTTATAATGAACATTAAACTCCCAAAGGAACTTCTCTTTCACCCTACTTACTTTTCCCTGGCCCGGAACATCTTATCCTTCACCTTTCCCTCAGGAAAAATAACTATGAAAGCAGTCCGTGAGGCCCCGCGTGGGTGTCTGGCCAGTTCCACTACTTCAAAGATTCTCTGTCTCAGTTATTTTTATTATAACCACAGTGTGTACTCTGGACTTTTGAAATTTGTAGCTACAACCATGCTATTAATCTTAATTTTAAAAACTAAATATTCATCTTCTCTACCTGGAGCTCACAGACAACCTAGTACATGCATGAAATGATAGAATAGAAGCTATTCCTGAAGACTTTAGTCTTGGGGTATGTGAAGCCAAGGAGTTTATTGGCCCTTATTGAATTGGTATTTGGAATCTCTAGAATTCGTTGAGTCTTGATGAGGGCCATGAGATCCCAATCTTGGATTAAGTTTTGAGAAGAATTCTATTGGAGATTTTCTGTGTTGCAGAAGAGAAGACCATTTAAGGGACTTTCAATTTTCTCCTTCCCTGGAGAGTAAGTTCCCTCTTGTCATTTGAACTGGCAGATTTCTTTTGTGCCAAAAAGAGCCAAAAAGACATGGTACTTCCTACACCTCCCAACGTGATGGGGCTGCCAGAATGCAGGTTTGGGGAGAGCAGGGACCTCACGGGACACATGCAGGGAGAGATCTATAGTTCCCTCGTGTTGGGAGGTGATGGGGTTCTCCTGCTGGAGATGTTTTTCTCTGCAGCGAAAGACAAGGCATCCTTTCTGATGCTTTGTTTGGGGGTGGGGCACATGTGGCAAAATAATCTTTTTTGGGCTGTTAAATCTGGGTCTTTCACTTTGTGTTGTCTTTTTCTGGTATTTCACGCAGGAACCAGGACCCTTGTAAGGCCTTGCCTTGGGGATATTTGCCTGGCAGGCAACTGAAGCAGTTTGAAGTTGAGGCTCCTCTCAGTTGCTTTGTAAAAAGTTTAAACCTACAGAAGAGAGAATGCTGTGTGTCCTGGTGTGGAGGGTGGTTTGTTTGTTTTGAGGGAAGAGAGAGAAAGTGAGTAGATTTCCCTGGGCCAGGAAGGGAGTCAAGATTAGTGGGTCCTGGGTTACAGGGGTTGGAGCCCAGTAAACCTTTTGGTGGCAGCATGAGGCAACAGAGGACACTGGCTACTTGGTGGGTCTGGGGAGGCTGGACTTTAGACACCGGGTTTCCTGCCTGGCAGAGGTTCAGGTGCCATGCAAGTACAGATATGCTGATTTTACCGGCCTGTGGGTGACCATGAGGATTTTGGCAGCAAGCACAACAGGCTAGAGGCCCTTTGCTTCTGTGACATCCGAGGAATAGCTCTGAGGGATCAGTTTCTACCACAGGCCTTGGAATCAGAATGAGTTTGATCTCAAGAGAAAAGTAGCCAGGCATGGTGGCTCACACTTGTAATCCAAACACTTTGGGAGGCTGAAGCGGGAGGATCATTTGAGGCCAGGAGTTCAAGACCAGCTGGGCAACATAGTAAGACCCAGTCTCCCTTAAAAAAAAAAAATTAGCTGAGTATGGTGGTGCATGCCTGTAGTCCCAGCTACTTGGAAGGTTGAGACGGAGGATTGAGCCCAGGAATTTGAGGCTGCAGTGGGCTGTGATAGCACCACTGCACTGCAATCTGGGCAACAGAGCGAGATCCTTGACTCAAAGAAAGAAAAAGTATTGAGATCCAGACAGACTGAAAAGGATCTCTTATCTCAAAGGTCATGTTTTTCCTTCTATCCCTCCCATTTGCCTGCCCTCAGCAAGGTAGTTGCTTCTTGCATTTGGGCATTATGCAAAGGACTGTTAATGAACTTACCCTTGCCGTGTTGTGATGTTTTCTCCCCTTTCCAGTCTGCCAGCTACATGAGAGCAGAGCCCTTGCTTGTCTTATTCATCTTCATAGCCACAGCAGTTGCCTCCCAGTATGCAATAAATCTTTGTTGAACAAATAAATGCACAGAGGAAAACTTTATTTTGTAGCTTAAGGGAAGTTGAAGCTCTGAAACAAATGCCAGCCACTCAGAGACTGATAGAAGAAGAACTCTAGGAAAGAGGTCCGTCACTTTATTACGTGGATCACAGGCAGGTGTGGTGCATGCATTTTTCACATTCAGTCCGTGTGACCACCCCCTACCTCCCAAGCAGCCCCTACCAAGGTGAGCAGTTCAGAGTTGGATTCAGAGAAGAGATGTTTTAAATTTTTTCCCTTAAATTTTAAGTATGAGATGTTCAAATAATACATAGGAATTAGTTTCTAGACGTCTGGCGTTCTAGCTGGCCAGTTGTCACCCATTAGGCAGAACTGTCTCAAATAAGACCAGCTCTGGCTGGCTGGACATCTGGGGCAGGTGTCTCAGGGCTCCTGGTTCTCTTCCCAAGGGCCTTCTCAGAGTGCTGGTTTAGGAGGGTGAAGCCCAGAGCGGGGCTCTTCTGGACTGGACTGGAGGGTGAAGGGCTTCTCTTCTGGACTGACAAGTTCTGTAGAACCCCCAAGCAGCCAGGGTTTTGCTTTCTCAAGCTCCTGAACAGCAGCTGGCCGGGGCCTCTGTGTGAAGGAACAGCCTAAGAGAGTGCCTGGAACACTGCACAGTCTATCTTCTGAATAGGCACACATTTCATAATGTTTGCAAAAGCAAATTCTGGACAAGAAGAGTAAGACTTCCTCGTGTAAATAATAAGTACTGCCCCTTTCTTTCCTTTTACTGATAAGTTTCCCTGACAGCACTGCTTGCTGGCAGCTCTTCTCTACAATTGGTTGCTGAATTGCAGTGCTCAATTATCTGTGTAATAACATACTATAAAAACATAGAAAGCCAGGAAAAAATGGTTTTAACTAAAGTGGTTGAGCCTTGAAAAGAGACACCTTGCACATTCATATCTGGACTGAAAGGAGAACATTAAATCTGTCATTAATGATTTAATTGACTGGATTTTTTTCTAAAAGGTAAAGGAAAGCATTAAAATGGAGTATGAGGCACTCAAATTACCTTCAAATACAACCAGGAGCAGTATCTCATTAAAATGTTTGGGTTTTCTGATGCCATTAATGAGAAGTGATTCTCTGTGGCTGTTTAGCTTTTGAAAATGTGGCTAATGCATCGTAGCATGCTGTAGGCCTCCAAGAAGGCCAGTGCTGAGCACTGCACAGTTGCTTTATGTGCATTATGGCATTTAATTCCATCCTCAATCTTGCCAGTAAGGTGGGGGATATCACCATTTCCTGGTTAAGGAAAGTGAAACTTACAGAGGTTAAATTTACTCATGATTCACATGATTTCAAAACCAGTGTTTTTTCACACTTTGGGTCAGTAAAAGCAGAGAAGGGTTATTTTTTTTTTTCCTTTTAAAAGTTTCTCATGAATGGACGTATCAATTTATTAACAGTTACTTTTAAAAATGTAAAAGATTATGTAGAGCGTAATTGCTGAGCTGTGCCTGAATTCCTGGCTCACAAAATTGTGAGTGAAAATGAAACAGTAGTGGTTTTAAGCCTCTAAACTTTGGGACAGTCTGTAGCACCCAGTAGATAACCATACCCTTTGTTCTTTCTGTTCCTCTTGTCCACATGCATGCTCACCCTCTCTCCACAATCCACCCCTCCGCATGGTACCCACTTGAGGAGCTTACCATAGAAGCACAGATTTGGAAAGGCCAGTGACCATTAACAAAGTAAAACATCAACGCGTACTAATAAAGGGAGAAAGACAATGCTCAGGAAGGCCAGGAATGCAATAAGCAGAATATTTAGCTTGTGTTCCTGGCAGCTGGGGTTGGATAGGGAACTAGGTGCTAGGGCAGTATTTTTGGTCCCTGCTTTGACTCCATTTGAATCCCCTGTGGAGCTTTGACATCGTCTACACTGGGAGACCCTCATTCTGGGAGGAATGGGGGGGGGGCCCTGATTCTGTGTCTATGCGTGTTAAAGGCCTGCCAGGTGGTTCTGTGAGTAACCAGGGTTGTAGGAGCACCGGCCTCCCGCCCGTTGGCTTGTGGAGAAAGAGAATCTTTACTGCCGAGTGCTCTTTCCTGCCCACGGCCTTTTCTGCGCAGGAACTACGCTAGATGTTTGCATGCATCAGCCCTTTGATCCTCACAGCAAGTCTGAGGGTGCAGGGTAGTAGCCCCATTTTATAGGTGAGAAAACGGGGGTTTCAGAGAACTCAAGTCATTGGGTCTTCCAGTAAGTGACAGGGTTAGGATTTGGACCTGTTTTCCTTTCAAGTGTCTGACTTTGTTACTCTCTGATTTTCCCTGACCTTCTCCCTCAGTGTAACAAAGGATTTTGGACACTTGGTTCTACTTGCATTGTTCGTGACTATTTTTGTAACATGTAGAAGACTCTAGATTTTAGTGTGTATGCTTTTGCTTAAATTTAAATACAAATTTATGTCACCACCCCAGCCTAACCTGTTGGATGAACATTAATGTCTCATTACAGAACTAAACACTTCCCTCTGTATTGAAGGGAGACAGACACGCTGGTTTAAAAGGCTTCAGATTAACTAGATGCGACTTTTGATGTTTACCCTGATCACTTTTGAGTGGATCCTCAAATAGCAAGGCAGCTATTAAAAGTGTTACTCCCATTAGGAATATTGTGCTTTTCATTTCCTTTAGTAGTCTGAGAATCGCTAGTGCACTTTTTGTAAAAAGAAAAGGATTTTTTTTTTCTGACTTAATTTTGCTGAACTGATGGATATTTGAGTATGTGAAGAGAGGAAACAGAGAAGGATGCCTGCCTCTCTCCCTTTCCAGGGCATCGGTGTCTTTCTGTGGTCTGTAAGCCTGGAAAAGAATGTTTTCCAACAAAAGCTCCATTTTATAAATATAGCATTCTTTTCTTGGCAACGCACTAAATGCTGGCCTGTCACCCCAAGTCTTGTGGAGGGTAGTAGGGACAGTGAAATAGAAGAAATTAGCAGGTGAAGAGAATAACACTTGTCTATCTAATACTTTTTGGTCATTTGTTAGTGCTTTGTTCCTCAAATAGAAGAATGGCCATTGTGAGAGAGTAACTTTTCCAGGAGTAACTATAGTAGACGGTTTTGCATTTGGGGACTTGACGGGATGTTTGCTCCTGAATCTTTGAGCTCAAAACACATCAGGGGCTTGCTGGGTACCAAATTATGCTGTGCCACCCTCAGAGTAGGGACTTGGTGAGTGAGAGCCCCAGGGCATATGTATTTCACTCACTCGGAGCTGTCAGGTCTTATCAACCTTCGTTAGGAATATTTTTCTCCCTGAAAACTCATAAAAATTCATGTTGAATATCAATGCCTGCAGAATCCTGTGGAATTTTGTTGAGCTGCTTATACCCTTTTCTCCTAATAGAGATATAGAGAATGATACATTCTCCTCATATACACGGGTACAGATGTGTGCTTGTGAATCTATACAGGAAGCTCATGTATGTGGCAAAGTAAGTTTGTTGAGGGGAATGAAATAAACTAATTTTCCCTCCACCGAGTCAATATGACTAAGATATTTCTATGCATAGTCTCAGAAGACTCCATTCTGGGGAATATTTTAAATTTTATTAACCTTGTACATATTTTGCCAGATTCCTATTCAGCATACTTCTTTATTTTATTACCATAGTGATGCTTTGTTTACTCATATATCTGGAAATAAAATAATTTAGATTTAATTTTTAAAAAAAATTTATATCAAGGTCACCTTTTTTGTTGTTTGAAACAATAGATTTGTAAATTCTTACCAACACTGTATATGTCCTTGAGTCCTATAAAGAAAAAAGTGTTTTATATATTGTAAATATATATAAAATATCAGAAAGTAGGATATATATTATACAAGATATGTGGAATATATGGGATATATATTATACCAGAATTTTAGTATTTTAAATATAGGTCTTAAATGGAATGAAAGACTTAGGTTGCTTTTTTTTTTTTTTTTTTTGATGGAGTAAGGAAAGGGATAGTACTTAAAAATAATTGTTACCTGGTTATTATAGTTCGCTGTTAGCAAAATATTCTATAGGACACATCATATCCCATGATGCTGAAGATGAAACCCTGGTATAGTAGAAGGTGGATGCTTGTGTTTTCTCTAGCACTTTCACAACAAAGCAATTATATTGTATTGCATGTAAATATTTGTGAGTGGGGAAAATATATAGAAGTCTACAATACTACTTCCCCTCCACATTAAAACCATATGAAGTTATGCCTACAAATTAAAATATTGTAAAAGCTCAATACAGTTTTAAATTTTTCAACAAAGTTATGTAGTACTTCTTTATTTGTAATAATAAAAAGTATCATTGTGTGAAATTAGTATGGGCACATTATCTCTAATACTTGCCGTTAATAATGGCATTGAACCCTAACTGATAGCCTTTAAAAAAAACAACAAAGCATGGCCTTTAGTAAAACAAAACAATATGTGACATTTCTGTAGAAATGCTGTAATAGAGAAAAATTTAGCTCTGTGAGCAGTAGTCTCATTTATGGGAATGGTAATTATCTGTAAGTTGAGACTTAACATTTTTGTAGATTTTATGAGAAAATATTTGCTAGTCCTTGTTTTTACATCTTTTTTTCGTCCTGCCTCTGTGTCTATCTCTCTTTTCTCCACCTCATATGGGGACAATTCTGTTTTTACAGGTCCTGATTTTTTTTTTTTAAATGTCTCACCAGAAGTGATAACTCATTTTGTTAGAATGGTAGGGAGCTCAAAAGTGGAGGATTGTGACTTCAGTTGTGGCTTAATCAGCCCAAGCAGGTGCATTCTAAGTAAAAGAGATACGGTTTTAATGCAACTGTCCCCCCTAATTCAGAGAAAGGGAGACAAGTATAGGAAATGACACAGCAGTTAAGTCAGAATTGTTTCTAAATAGATTGTTTTTTTTTTCCCTGAATTCTCTGAGCACCAGCAGCAGTGTCTTGTTAAAGTGAAGAGAGATATAAATGAAGAGGAGTTGAGGATGACTGTGTTAATTTTTTGTTCTGAGGGATCAGAAATACTTAAGAAAAATGAAGTCGGAGATTTACATAAATAGGTGGGAGCCTCAGTAGTGTCATGTTCATTTGAGAGTAGAATTTGATTCTGGGGACCTCAAATAACAGAAGATGATTATATTCAAAATGTCCAAGGCACTACTGTAAGGCAACTTAAATGGCATGTGCCTTAACAGGGTGGCTTTGTAGTGAGGTTCTGGAATTTTTCTCATTCTTTTGTCTCGCAGTGTGCTATTGTATGAGTAGCAGTGAGAAAATGTTTGGATAGCATGTCTAAGAACCAGAGCATGCAGAGAAAACAGGGCTTTTATTCTACTTTGCATCTTAGTTAATTTGGTTTTTAGAGAAGCACACTATTTTGACTTGAAAGGCATTAGCCATATCTTCTTATTTACTTGAGTGGTGGTTACAAGAGTATTCTATATTTATTTATTACACTTTGCTCTTATGTTTTAGGTATTTTTTGCATATTTCACAATAAAAATGGTTAAAAAAAGTCACTAGTGTATTCTAGACCTTTCAAGTCAACCATACCAATTTATTCATTCCTCCGTCTACCCAACAAATACTAATTGAGCACCTACTGTGCATCGGGTACTGTTACTGGCACTGGGAATACAGTAATGAACAAAGCAAGCAAAAGTCCCTGGTCTCATGGGGTTTATATTGCATGGAGGGGAGGCAGATAATATGTCAGGCAATGGGTTAGAGCAGGAGTTGACAGTCGTCTTCTATAGAGGGCCAAATAGTAAATACTTCAGGCTTTGTGGGCCAGATGGTTTTTGTCGCAACTACTCAACTCTGCCACTGTAGTGTGAGAGCAGCCATAGCCAATACGTCCATGAAAGGATATAGCTGTGTTCCAACAACACTGCTATTTACAGAATCATGCAGCGGGCCAGATTTGACCCACAGTCCTCCTTAGTTTGCAGACCTCTGTGTTACATGGTAGTGTACCCTAAGGAGAAAAAAAAAATGGAATATGGAGTGCTGGGGTGTGGGGTGAGGGATATTTATAGATTTTGACAGCATGGTCGAGGAAGATGTTTCCGTGAAAGTGACTTGTGTAAAGATTTGAACAAGATGATGTGTTTGGCCATGTGTCTATCTGGAGAGAAGGGGAAACAGCAAGTGCAAAGGCCCTGAGATGGAACATATCTGGAGAATTCGAAGAATGGTAAGAAGGCCAGAGTGGAGCAGAACAAGTGTGGGAGAGAGTTGTAGGAGATGAGATCAAAGGCTAGGAATGAAGTGTAAGGCCATGTCATGTGACCTTGTATGTCCTTGTAAGGCTTTTTTTTTTTTTTTCTAACTTGGAAATCAGTTGCATAGTCACTGGAAGGTTTTAAGTAGAAGGGTGACAAGATCTAATTTTTAACAGGCTCACTGGCTTCTGTATGGATAATAGATTAAAGAGGCTTGGAGTGAAAACAGAGAATCAGTTAAGGGTTACTGCAGTAATCAGGTTAGAGGTGATGGTGCTTGGAGCAGGTTGACAATAGAGGTGGTAAGAAGCAAACAGGCTCAGGATGTGTATTGAACATAAACTTGACAGGGTTTGCTCACAGAGTGAAAATGGAAGATGATAACTGGAAAAATCAAAGAGGACTTCCAAGTTTTTGGCCAGGTGAACTCAAAGGGTAGAGTGCCATTTATGGAGTGGGGAAGATGTCAGACAACCAGCCTAATAACAACCTTGCGGCACAGAATCCCAGACCCAATAAAGCACCAGACAGAGATGTCAAGCTAACCAAGGTTATGCCATCTTCTGGGTTTGTGTGTGCCCTAATGGCCATAGGTGCCCTGTTCCTAAGGCTGCAGCTTGTGCTGTCCGTGGTGGGGTTTGCTCATAGCCTTCAGTCTGTTGCTAAGTTATGGACTTTGTGCTACTATGGGTCCCTGAGAGTCCTGAATTCCTATGGGACAGGTGAAGATGACCCAGATCCTTTGGGTGAATCCCTTTTGATCCATAAAGTTATCAAAAGAAACCCTGATATCCAGTGGGTCACCAGGGAAGCCCTCAAACACAGAGAGATGTGTGGGCTGACATCTGTAGCTACAAGGATTATGGCCTTATAAGAACCATGGTTCAAAAAACTAATACCAAGCCCTCTTAAATGCTTTTCAAAAAGTAGAAGAGGAAACATTCCCAGACTCATTTTATGAGGCCAGTGTCACCCTGATTCCAAAGCCAGACAAAGACACCACAAGAAAAGAAAACTACAGGCTATAATCCCTGATAAACATAGATGCAAAAATCCTCAATAAAGTACTAGCAAATATCATTCAGTAGCACATTTTAAGGATCATACATCATGACCAAGTGGGATTTATCCCTGGGATGCAAGGATGGTTCAATGTACATACAATATGATATGCCACATTCACAGCATAGAAGATAAAAACATCATTTCATCAGATGCAGAAAAAATATTTGACAAAAATTAACATTATTTTATGATTAAAAACTCTGAACCAAATAGGCATAAGAGGAACTTAGTAAAAGCCATATATGAAGGACCCACAACTAACGCTATAATCAATGGGCTAAAACTTAGTTTTTCCTCTAAGATTTGGAGCAAGGCAAGGATGCCATATGTCATCACTTCTCTTCGACATTGTACTGGAAGTCCTAGGCAGAGAAAACAGACAGGAAAAAGAAAAGGCATTCAAATTGGAAGGGAAGAGGCAAAATTATCTGTTTGCAGGTGTCATGATCATATATACATGGAAAATCCTAAAGACTTCACAAAAACTGTTAGAACTGATCAGTGAATTCAGTAAAGTAAGATACAAAAATCAACATACAAAAACAGTGGCATATCTGTACATCAACAATAAACTCTCTAAAAGGAAAATTAAGAGAATCTCATTTACATTAGCAAGAAAAGATAAAATACTTAGGAATTAAGGAGGTGAGAGACTTGTACATTTAATTATAAAATATTGATGAAGGAAATTTAAAACAAATGGAAAGATCTCATGTTCACAGATTGGAAGAATTAATATTGTTAAAATGTTTTTTTTTTTTTTTTTTTTTTTGAGATGGAGTCTTGCTTTGTCACCCAGGCTGGAGTGCAAGTGGCATGATCTCGGCTCACTGCAAGCTCTGCCTCCCGGTTTCATGCCATTCTCTTGCCTCAGCCTCCCCAGCAGCTGGGACTACAGGTGCATGCTGCCACGCCTGGCTAATTTTTTTGTATTTTTAGTAGAGATGGGGTTTCACCGTATTAGTCAGGATGGTCTCAATCTCCTGACCTCGTGATCTGCCCGCCTCGGCCTCCCAAAGTGCTGGGATTATAGGTGTGAGCCACAGCGCCCGGCCTGTTTAAATGTTTATACTATGCCAAACAACAGATTCAAAGTAATTCCTATCAAACTCTCAATGGTATCTTTTACAGAAATAAAAAAACTAACCCTAAAATGTATATGGGACCACAAAAGACCCTGAATAGCCAAAACAATCTTGAGCAAGAAGAACAAAGCTGGAGGCATCCAACTTCCTGACTTCAAATTATATTACAACGCTATAGTAATCACAACAGCATGGTACTGCTATAAAAGCAGATATACTGGCCAGTGGAAAAGAATAGAGAGCCCAGAAATAAACCTACATATTTATGGTCAACAATTTCTGTAAGAGTGCCAAGTGTGTAACGGGGAAAGGATAGACTTTTCAGCAAAAGAATAAAATTGGACGCCTGTCTCATACTGGTCACAGAAATCAACTCAAAATGGATGAAAGACTTTAACATAAGACTTGCAATTGTAAAACTCCTAGAAGAAAACAGGGAAAACCTTGACCTTGGTCTTGGCAATAATTTTTTGGATATAGCAACAAAAGCAAAAATGGTATTACATAAAACTAAAAAGCTTCGTCGTAGCAAAGGAAATAATCAAAATGAAGTGTTATTTTTTTGTACATGCAAAGCTCTAGAGCATGACCTAGCATACAAAAAACATTAACTATTTATATTCTCCTAACTCTGGTGGTCTCCCTCAGCTCACTGTGACACTTGGCCTTATTGTTCCTTTCCTTCATGTGTGCGTGTGTGTGTCTTCTCCAGCAAGATTATATTGCATATGGGATTCAGGTTGAGATAAATGAAAAGACAACCTACAGAATGGGAGAAAACCTACCTCTGTTGCATTCGGTTTCCTTCTGTGGTCTTTAAGCCTGCAGAAGGATGTTTTCCAACAAAAGCACCATTTATAAATACAATATTCCTCATGGCAGCACTGTAAATGCTGGCCTGTTACCCCCATGACAGGGATATAACCCTTGTTGAGTAAAAATATTAGCAAACTGTGTATCTAATAAGGGATTAACATCCAAAATATATGAAGAGTGAATACAACTCAATACCAAAAATACAAATAATCCAATTAAACGGGCAAAGTACCTAAATAGGTACTTGTCAAAAGAGAAAATTTAAATGGCTAACAGGTATATTTAAAGGTGCTCAACATCTTTCATCATCAGGAAAAAGAGTCAAAACCATAAAAAGAACAGATAAATGTTGGCGAGGATATGGAGAAATGGGAATCCTAGTACACAGCTGGGAATGTAAATTAGTATAGCCATTATGGAAAACAGTATGGAAATTCCTCAGAAGATTAAAAAAGGAAGCACCATAGGGCCCAGCAATTCTACTTCTGGTTAGATAGTCAAAGGAACTGAAATCAGGATCATAAAGAGATACTTGCACTCATGTTCTTAGCATTATTCACAGTAACAAAGATGTAGAAACAACCTAAATGTCACTCAACAGATGAGTAAAGAAAATGTGGTATATATGTGTACAATGGAATATTATTCTGCCTTTAAAAAGAAGGAAATCCTATTTGCAACAACATGGGTGGAGCCAGAGGACATTATGCTAAGCAAAATGAGACACAGAAAGAAATATTGCATGATATAACTTAACATAGAATCTAAAATATAAATAATCTAAAATCTAAAATGTATAGAAGCAGAGAGGAGAGTGGTTATGGGATGATATTAGTCAAAGGGTACAAAGTTTCAGTTAACGGTAGATGAAGTTCTGAAGATCTAATGTACAGCATGTCGAAGATAATATTTTATTATATACTTAGAATTTGCTAAAAGGGTAGATCTTAAATCTTCTCATATACACACGTGCACAAATGATAACTGTAGGGGTAATAGAGATGCATTTCACAATGTATATGTTTTCCAAAGCATCAAGTTGTACCCCTTAAATACACAGTTTTCATGTTCACAATATCTAAATAGAGCTGTTAAGAAAAATCATGGGTTCCATGCACTACTGATGGTTCTCACTGTATATCTTGGAGAAGGTGCAATACTCTTCCGCTGCACTGTTAGTACATTTAAGTAACATGTAAAATACAGCACCAATAAGCAATTTAGGACAGTAATATCTGCTTAAAATGTTCTGTAAATTCTCAGCTAGAACATTTGCAAATTGTTTCCCAAATGCATTGCAAATTTATGACAGTTAAAGTGCAGTAATGATTTAAAGACTGTAAGCAGTGTTTCCTGTATCTTATAAGACAAATGCTTTAGTTTTACCTTTATCTCATTAGAGAGTTATATGTCAGTGCTGAAAATGCCATGCTGTAAGGTATAAAAGGTATAAAATCCTTTCAAGGGGTGAGGGTTGAGATTTCTGTTAAACACCTAAGTGGAGATGTGAGGAAAAAAGTTGGATAAAAGCCTGGAAGTCAGGAAGGGACACCTAAGCGAGGGATGTTTGGGGAGTCTGCTGGTAGGGAAAGCTGTGGGACCAATGGGATCATTGGGATAGTTAGCAGTGCCCAAGGCACTTCATGACTTACAGGTCAGGAAGATACGAAGCAACTAGCAAAGGATACTAAGTCAAATGGCCAAAGATAGGAGGTTTGTATTAGTTTGTTCTAATGCTGCTAATAAAGACATGTGAGACTGGGTAATTTATAAAGGAAAGCGGCTTAATTGACTCACAGTTCAGCAGGGCTGGGGAGGCCTTAGGAAACTTACAATTTGGGCGGAAGGGGAAGCAAACATGTCCTTCTTCACATGCAGCAGCAAGGAGAAGTGCCAAGCAAAAGGGGGAAAAGACCCTTATAAAGCCATCAGATCTTGTGAGAACTCACTCACTATCACGAGAAAGGCAGCATGGGGATAACTACTCCCATTCTTCAGTTACCTCCCACCAGGTCCTTCCCATGACACATGGAGATTATGGGAACTAAAAGATTAGATTTGGGTGGGTTCACGCCAAACCATATGAAGGTTTAAAAGGAAAACAGTGGTGTCCTGGAAGGAGCATAAAATGGTGTTTTGAGGAAGAAGATGTGATCAACCATGTTCAGTGCTACTGAAAGGAAGGCAAGACTGAGAAGTAAGACTTCACCAGGGTAGCAGTCATAGATGACTTGCTTTAGAACATTGTGTTCGTGTGAGAATTTTTAGATCAATGGCTGCAAATAATTAAACTCAGCATATACAATTTGGGCATCTGTGACCTGCATTAATGACTGCCATCTTTCTTCTAACCATTTATCATGGTCATTATCATTTTAGTATTATTAAAGAAAAAACTTCTAGCAAAAACTAGAGTTTATCTGTTAAAAAAAAAAAGCTGAAATAGGGAGCTGTAAAGCTGCTTTTACAACATTTTCATTGGTTTATTCCCAGTTAAGTCATGTGACTGTGGGATCTTGCATATTGTCACTCCAGTTTCATTGGGTTCACACTATGCCCTTTCAGAGTTACTGGAAGTTTGAACAGATTAAGTACCTTTCAGCTCCTCTGGACAAAATGCCATCTGTGTTCTGCCCCCCACCCCACCCCTACCAATTGCTATTTTATGTTGCTAAAAACAAAAGTTTCTTTGATTTTTAAAATTTTTTAAAATTGATTTTTAAGTGTTTGTTGTTGTTGTTTCTTGTTTTAGAGACAGAGTTTTGCTCTCTCGCCCAGACTATAGTGCAGTGGTGTAATTATAGCTCACTGCAGCCTTGAATCTCCTGAGCTCAAGTGATCCTCCCACTCTAGCCTCCCGAGCAGCTAGGACTATAGGCACACGCCACCACACTGGCTAAATATTGTTTATTTTTTGTGGAGGTGGGATTTCCGTATGTTGCCTAGGCTGGTCTCAAACTCCTAGGTTCAAGCATTCCTCCCGCCTTGACCTTCCAAAGTGCTGGAGTGACAAGCATGAGCCACGGTGCCTGACTTTTTTTCTTTTTTTTTTTTTTTTAAGTAGGCTCCAGAACTGTAAAATAAGGTCATTGTGAGTAGATCAAAGATGTAGGGGGAAAATGCTGCTTATCTATTTAGCTAAAATGACATGTTGATTATTTACAATGATTTCATCTAACGCACTCAGGCTGAATTCCTTCCTATTGATTATAGAGGGAATTCTACTAGTGCTCAGAGGAGAAAATTAATAGATCAGGAAATTGGAGCAAAGGAAAAATTATTATTATTTTTTTTACCTTCAATCAACTTGCCCCAGCAAAGGGAAAATTAAAGGTAGAGGGGCGGGGGGAAAGTCACGGTGAAGTTAGCATACAAGAATGTATGATAGCAGATCCTATGTATTTGCTGGAAGAGGAGGGCCAAAACTTGCTTCTGGATTTCGTAGCATTATAACAGCCTTGGCAAAGAAGGAAACATGATTATGTGATTCAGTGTTCTGAAAGCAAAAGCAAAGCAGTTAGGAGAAGCAGAGCTTTTCTTGGTATTGAGGTCTGATAAAATTTTCCATAACATAGGAAATGTTGAATAGTGAACATACAGTGTCCTCAGCAATGTCCCTGCAATAGATAGTCCAGAGTTACCTAGAATTGTATAATATCTTACACTGAGAGATCATGCTAAAAGCATGATTACATTAGGGACCCAAACAATGTTATCATTTTTTGGAGAAAAACCTTCACAGCAGATATTGATGTTGTCCACTTCATGATATTGTCATCTTCATGTGCTTTGAAAGTTGAGTGGGAGAGTGCAGGCTGAGGTCTTTCGGAAATTGAGCCTGCATTGATAATCACCAATATCCAGGGACAGAGAGCCAAGGAAGGCTGGGCTTTTACTGGAATCCGTTTAGATAAAAGAAACATACTTGGCATATAAAATATGTTCTCCTTGCCCCCAGATTCCTGAAGAAGGCTTGTTGCAAATTCTGGTTTTGACACTGGTGGTTTTACTGCAAACTAGAAGAGGTGAGCATATTTTCAGGGAGATCTACATTTAATACCTGTGCAGTTAGCTGTGTGATGAGCCTGGCGGACTTGTGCCTTGGCCTCTCCCTTTGGAAGCCTTTTTCTTTCCATTCCCTGCTGTCCTGCTCTGCTCAAGTTTTAGCAAATTACTGAGAACATTTCATATTTAAGATTTTGAACCATTTCCACCTGGGCCCACACATATCTCCATTTATCTCAGTGAAAGAATTTCAAGTGGAGCTTCAGTGTGTTTTACCACATTTATAGCAGCTGCTGTCTGCCTGTCTCCCATTCCGTTGGTATAAATCAAAATGTGGTGGAATACTCTGAGATATTGTCAGACCACAAGGAATCGTCTGCCCATGGCCTCTGGGCTGCTGGGAGCTGATGAAAGAATGGGAACTTGTGGACTAATATTGAAACACCTTATTAACAAGTTGTTATAGTGTTCAATAATTTTAACCAACTGGAAAGATGTCTATGAGTGGTTAATCACATTTGAATAGGAATATAGTTTTATTATCGCTTCTTGGCCTTTTGGTTAAGATCAAGTGTAGGAATATAGTTTTATTTTGAAACTTTGAAATATTTGCCTTAACTATTAACTTGTAAGTAACAAAGGATGGAGTGGTGGGCTTTTTCAGAATGGGGTAAAAGGTTTAATACCAATTTTTAACTTGTTAGGTTAGATCTTTATAGATAAGAAAAGACCATACTAGGGAGTGGTTCTCAACACTGGGTACATATTAGAATCATTAGAGGAACTTGGAAAAAAAAATCCTTGGTCCCACTGTCTAGACCAACCAAATCAGACTCCTGGGAATGGGGCCTAGGTATTGCTAAAGTTTCCCAGGTGCTTCTGATGTGCAACCAGGGGTGAAAACCACTGCTCTAGGATGTCACAGACTCTGGCCATCAGAATGCAGTGATATCAAACCATAACTTCTTGGTTATAGACAATTAGTAAAGTCTTTAAAACTTGATCACTTTTGTTCTGCAGCATTATCATGTCAACTCCGCATCCTGTTTTCATCATTTTGGGAAAATTGTGACTCTTCAAATACAATGGGGAATAGTTATAATTTTGGATTTTGTGATTTGCGGGGAGGTGACTTGGGTAGTATCTAAACTGAAGTTTATCCTTGTTCTATCTTGAAAAGGAGAGTTTGTTATAGGCAGCATAAACAAAGTTGTAAGGGGAGTTTAATATAGGTTATAAAACAAATTTACAAACACTTTAGAGTTTATGTTGAAATTTAAAGTATTCACATATTATATATATTATTTTCTCTAAATGTTCTATAAGATTCCACCTGGCAAATCTCATTAACTGGTTTTTATCACAGTATGTATAGTTAAACTTGGACTATTTAGAGCTCTTTGAGAAAACATTATTTCATTATCTCAGTTTTCTCAGATAGCTTCTCCCAGCAGAGAACATAAGTACTTAAAAATAAAGAAGTGGTTCCATAGAGTGATCTCTCTGAATCTCTGGTGCCTTATAGATTTCTAGATAATTAAACTGTTTAACATTGGCTCAGGAATAACATCACAGACACATGTGCTAGGCCATAAAGGTGTTGCATTCAGGAGCAATTGGGAAGGCTGCTGTTTGTCCTTTTTCTGAGTGCCTTCAGACTACTGAGGTTTGGGTTCTACCTTATTTTTATTTGTATTTTTTAGTTTAAGCCTTGATCTGGCTCATACCTTATTTTTATAGTTTTTCCACAGTAGCCTCCATGTTTTTTTCTCTTTTAATTTGTTGATTCTGATCTGCCATGGATCTGGAAACCAGGTGATCAAATTAGTTAGTATTGTGGGCTAGTTAGAATTGTGGATCAAAAAGAATGAATAGGTTGTAAGTAAAGGCCTAAGGACTTCAACAAATAAAATCTGTGAGTTGCCATAAATGGACTGAACTGACTTTTTGTTTGTTGTCTTCTGGTCCTTTACCTGTGTCCTAGAAAGCTGCGATCGATGGTAATTTCTAAGTAGGGGGTAAGGAGTTGCTATACATAAAGCAGGGAATGAGGTATTAAATGAAAAACATTCTGGAATTTGGAGTTTCTATGTTTTGTGTATGCTTTTATTTCAAAATCTGAATCTCTTATTTCAATATTGGGTCTTGCTGAGGAGGTAAGACACATATACACACGAAGGAAAGGAGCCACAGTAGGGCTGAGTGTCACCGTGAGCTGTGGGAAAACAGAGTTGGGAGAGTGAATCATTACGTAATGCCTTTTGTGCGCTAGGTAATACTTTGTGTGTACAATAAGCTCCCCAACAACACCCCCAAATAATGTAACTTTGGACGTAAAGCTCTTGGTGATTGTTGGGTGCTTTCGAGCCAGGCTAACAGCAAAAGCTTGCCCTATATATAACCTCACAAGAAGAAGATTTTACATTTTGCATGATTTAACATCTTGGACCCTTTATATAGTGTTGTGATGAGATTTTATTGTACTCATTTAATTCTTGAAAGAAACCTATGAAGTAGATATTGCCATCCCCATTTTACCAAAGGGGAAATTGAACCAAAGAGAATTTAAATAATCTGGCAAGAGTTGTTCAGTTAATAATTGGCAGAGCTGGGATTTGAACTGAACCTAGGCAGTCAGACTTGAGACCCCCACGCTCCTACAAGTTATGCTCTGTTGTGTTGGGAGATGCTTGACAGTGTTCTATTCATCAGTTGATTTTGAGTTTTTATTACAGTGATATGCTTAAAATCATAACATTTTTCTCCTTTGGATTATTTTCCTGGGAAAAATCCTTAAAATCTAGGTGTCATGGGTTAGATTGTAATTGCCTAAAATTTATATGTTGGAGTCCGAAGCCCCACAACTTCAGAATATGGTGCTATTGATAGTTCTACTGTTGTCAGCTTCTGAAGGAAGCTGTTAGAAGTAATGCAGAATTATTTCCTTAGTGTTTTTCATTTGTTCTTTTGCAAAGTAACTCTACTGGAGTGGTAGAAATCTGGGGCTGGCATTTTTAATGGCATTTTTTTAAATGCCAGCCCTAATGATGGGATTCATGTTATTAATAGAAATTGAGTAGGGGCTTTGGAGAAGTTATTAATAGAAATTGAGTAGGGGCTTTGGAGAAGTCATCTGGGCTAAAATCCTAGCTGTGAAATGGGAATGGCAGTGTTTGTCTAATGTGGTGTTTATTTAGTAGGTGGAGGGTATTAGCCATTATTCACCCCTACATTTGTGTACAGTGCACCCCTCTGCACACTGTCTGCAACCTAGAGATCTCATTTCTAGTTTATCCAGGTAGTTCATTACAAAGTTCTACTGCTTAAGTTATTTTGATAAAGTGAGCTCTCTCTGTGTGTATGTATATATGTGTGTTTTATGGCTGATGTAGATACTTGGTAATACTCAGTATAAAATATTTTCAAGACTAAAAATTATTTTGGCTTCGATATATAGAAGAATTTCTTATGTAATTCAGGAATTGTTGATAAGTATGAAATGAAGTGTTTTATATATAGATAGGCAAAATACACATATACATATTTGTATAGATAAAACAGACATATAAATAGAATGATAAATCTAAAATAACAGGTAAAATACACAAATACACATAATATACACACTCATGTAAATTTAGTGCAAATGAGTTTGAATTTTTTTTCATTAATTAACCAGTAATTTATGTTAATTTTCTGGTAGTCTATTCAAATATCCTAAATTTAAATGACTACTTACCACTGTAAAAGGGATGCTTTAGAAAAATGCACCACCTTTCTTCTGTGGCTTACATATTCACATCACCAGTCATGTACTCCTTGAGGCTCAAATACCCCAGTTTGAGAGTCTGATTCTGGGGCCTTCATTGCCCCTTTGCCCTTGTGTCTGAAAAGACCTTCAAGATAATTTTTGAAGACAATCTGGTCATGCATGTAGCTGTTTCTTTGAATGACTTTTCTACAAAGGTGAGAAGCCATCTTTTCATGAAAAGATTCCTCAACACTACCACCTCCAGGTTGTATGAGCTGTAAAACATTTGAATGTGTACTTGACTGGCACCCGAAAGATAAACATCGGGTGTGTTACAGGGTGTACAACTGGGAATTCATAGACATGCAGTGATCTAACCAGATTGGGAGGGTAAGAGTTATGGAGACTGGTCTGCAGGTTATAGAGTCAATCCAATGTTTTTTAATTAAAAATATTTTATCACCATGCTTTCTTTGGCTGTCATTTGGTCCATTTGTATGGCAATATCAGGGGTTTCCAAAAGTCCCTCTGGCATCCTATTGGATTCTGTTGCTAGGAATGTTAGATTTTTAGTAATTAAAAACTTTTAAAGATAGTTTCAAGAATTCAAATACTTTGTCAAAGCATTCACTGGGGGCTAGGTTTGTTTGTTTTCCAACTAGGTTACCCACCTTTGTTGCTCAATTTATTTTTTTAAATATATGCCTATCATCTTCATTTTTTCGTATATGCTAAAATTTGTTGCTGGACCAGTTCAGCCTACCAGACAGCTGATTCCTGAAAACATAGTTTTAGACTTGGTTCTTCTGAATGGTGTTTTGGTGCAAGGCCGTCAGCTTGCACTGTGGCACACTCCTGAGAAAAATCCCTGTGAAACCCTTATTTACCATGAGGATCATGTTACACAGCTGCCTCATTATGAGGACACAGGGGAGACCTTCCCCTGCTCTCAGTACTGAAAGGAGTTGTGTTGTTCTAGAGTAACTGGTTTGTTTTTTTCTTCTTTTCCATTTATTTATTTAGAGACAGAGTTTCACCATTGTTGCTTAGGCTACAGTCCAGTGGTGCAATCTTGGCTCACCGCAACCTCCACCTCCTGGGTTCAAGCGATTCTCCTGCCCCAGCCTCCTGAGTTGCTGGGATTACAGGCATATGCCACCACGCCTGGCTAATTTTGTATTTTTAGTAGAGACAGGGTTTCTCCATGTTTGTCAGGCTGGTCTTGAACTCCTGACCTCAGGTGATCCGCCTGCCTTGGCCTCCCATAGTGCTGGGATTGCAGGTGTGAGCCACTGCACCCAGCCATGGTTTGTTTTTTCTTAGGAACATTGTTTTTCATGCATCTCATCCTGTTTCTTCTTCACGTTGTCCATGACCACACAGCCACAAGGCCTCGCTATAGTGCCTAGAATTTCGTATCATGGATTTTTGTTGTTGTTTTGATTCTTTAAAAAAATTAAATTCAGTCTTGTGCTCATCTTTTTTAAATTTTAGAAGATTCCTTTTTCCTGCTGATTTCTTCCCTCGTAGAAAAAAATGCCCCCCTTTTTGGGGACTGCTGTAGGTGCTTTTTGGGACACATTAGGGAGCAAATAATCATAATAGGCACTCAGTGAATGTTGAAGCCAATTTCATGTGGTCTTCTCAGCAATGAGCAATGGAAGTTGTTTACACTTTGTTGCAGCTACCTGAACCTTGGGGCTGTGTGAGAACGTTGGGCTGGGCCCAAGGTAGGGCTTGAGTGGTGGAATCAGCTGTATCTACCCCAGTTACTCTGTGCGGCCCAACCAGGCCCAATATTCTGAAGCCCAGTGTGAGCCCTCTGCTTCCTTCTCTTAGGACAGTGCTCTTCAGGGCTCCCTGGTGGTCCCGCCCCATCAGTGCTCCAGATGTGGCCAGATGTGCAGAAAACCCAATCCTGCCTCTGGGATGCAGGTCCTGCCATCCTAGTATTGTCTTTGAAAAGCTTTGGGCCTTCCTTCACAAGTGAGAGAGGTCTACAGCTTCTCATTGTTGTACATCAGGTACATCATTCTTGTTAGCCTAGGTTATACCACACACCTAAAGAGCACCAAATCTTTCTGGCTTAAAACAGCATTATGTTGCCTATCACAGGTCCACAGGGGACTCAGGCTCCCTGAACAGCCGCCATTTCCAACCTTGCTGGTAACCGTGCCAGAGTGAAAGAGCTCTGGGAAGTTTCTATCGGCAGTTAAATGTCCTGGTCTGGAAACGACACGTTAGTTTTGTTTGCAGCTTATTTGCTAGAACTTGATACCTGTTCCAGGCAATTCTGTTATGTTCCTGGAAAAGGAGACAACCAGAAATACTTGGCTCGTCACGCTAATGACTAGATTTTGTAATTAGCATTATATTTTGTTTTATTGTTTATACTTACTTTTGTTCCAGAAAAATGTTTTCTAGGATATTTGAATTTCAGAAAAACAAGAAAGTTTGGGGCAGAAATTAGTATAGGAATATGAACTGGAATCAGGTGTGCAACTGTTGCAACATGTGCATCAAAACAAACTGTGTTTGTTGAAGGTGGACATTGAAAGCTAAACTTTCCAGCAGCCCATGTGAAAAGGAAACTTGTGAGATAGAAACTTGACCCATAAGATTGTGGATTTTTTCTTTTTCTTTTTTTTTTTGAGACAGAGTTGCCCAGGCTGGAGTGCAATGGCATGATCTTGGCTCACTGCAACCTCCGCCAAGATTGGGGATTCTTAACATGGAGATAGGGGAGATGTCTCTGAGTTCCCTGAAATTGTATGCAAAGTCTGGCATGTGTACATGGAGAGAGAGGAGTCATAGCTTTAATCAGATTCTCAGGGTTATGTATGACCACACTTCCTATCCAAGGTTAAAAATCACTGCATAAGATAGAGACTGTTTTTTTTTTTTTTTTTTTTTTTTTTTTTCGAGACAGAGTCTTGCTCTGTCACCAGGCTAGAGTGCAGTTGTGCAATCTCAGCTCACTGCAACCTCCGCCTCCTGGGTTCAAGCGATTCTTCTGCCTCAGCCTCCCGAGTAGCTGGGACTAAAGACGTATGCCACCACGCCCAGCTAATTTCTGTATTTTTAGTAGAGATGGGGTTTCACCGTGTTAGCCAGGATGGTCTTGGTCTCTTGACCTTGTGATCTGCCTGCCTCGGCCTCCCAAAGTGCTGGGATTACAGGCGTGAGCCACCGTGCCTGGCCAAATATAGACCTTTTAATCAGAAGATGCACCCTTGACTTCTGATGCTTAGCCCAAGCAGCAGTTCCTCCCCGCGGTTATTTTAGGAGATGGCAATGTAACAAGTATTTCCCTCACTTACTGTAGACATGATGAATTTCATAGACATGTTTATTACAGTGCTTTGCAATATAAGCTGATGGGATTCCACAGAAGCTAATTCAATAAAAGCAAATATGTGAGGGAGGGAGAGGGTTGATACTCGTTTGTGGTGGTGGTTAGCACAATGAGATATGAGGCCAAACTCCTTTTCTGCTGATCTGCCTAATCTAGATGCAGATTAGAGAAGAAAAGGTAGATTCCATAATCCTGTAGGCTATGATCCCTAAACCCAGTTTTTGGTAAGTCACTTGTGGTAATGACATCGAGATTGTAGTTAGCAATTGTGCCTGGGGTGTAGCTTTCCTGTGTTGCGTGTTTTCTATGGCACAAATGGCCAGGATATATGGTATACTAAAGAGAATGTCGTGCTACCTCCACTTGGAGATGAGCTGAAGGTGTGTCTGGAGAGGTGCTGAGATTGTCCTTAGAAATCTTTCTCTTGCTTAAGAGGATGGTTAGCTTCCATCTTTCTCTATGTCCCAGAACATTTTAAACATGCAGATTATATTGTTTGAAAGGTAAATACTTTATTAAAGTAATGTGTCATTATTGTTAAAGTCTCAGAAACTTAAAATACAAAAATAATCATTTGTATATACCAATGACCTGGAGATAATGCCACTGTGGAAATGTTGGTAACCTTCTAGACTTCACGTACATGCATACACTTTTTATAAAACCAAACTGTGAATAATAAAAGACATATGATTTAGCAATCTAGTTTTTCCCCCCTCACTTGAGCATTTTTCCATATTAGAAAAGCTAGACTTGTAAAAAGTGATTTTGTATTGTATAGATACACTAAAATGTAACTAATTTTCTATTGGGCATAGGATTATTTCCATTCTTTTTTTTTTTTTAATGTTGCAGTTGCAAACCATGCTTTGATTATACTTTCACATAAGTATTCCTGTTTGATCTTCTCCTTAGGATAAATTCCTGGAAGTCAAATTGGTGGGACAAAGAGTAGATACGTTTTTAAAATGTTGGATATGTATTGTCACATCATCCTTTAAAAAAGTAATATAATGTATATTAGTATTTTTCTCATGTTTGTGGGTAGCTTGCTTTTTTCCTCCAATGTGCTTGTGTCCTTGGACATTTTTCTATTAGGCAATCAGTCTTTCTCTTACTGATTTATAAGAGCTGCAGTTATTTTTAGAGTATTGATGTATTGATCCCTTCCTATCAAAGTTAGAAATTGTTATATTGGGGAAATTTTCCAGCTTTTTCTGTAGCTTGAAAATTTTATTTTTTTTATTTTAAAACTTTCTTCTGTTACAGATAGAAAGTTTTGATATATCTTCTTTTTCTTTCTTTTTTTCTTTTGAGACAGGGTCTTACTCTGCCTCCCAGGCTGGAGTGCAGTGGCGTGCTCACAGCTGACTTTAACTTTGACTTCCTAGGTTCAAATTATCTGAACCTCCCACCTCAGCTTCCCTGGTAGCTGGTACCACAGGCACGTGCCACCACACCCAGCTAACTTTTGCATTTTTTGTAGAGGTGAGGTCTCACCATGTTACCCAGGCTGGTCTCAAGTTCAAGTGATCTGCCTGCCTTGGCCTCCCAAAGAACTGGGATTACAGACATGAGCCACCATGCCGAGCCTTTTGATATATCTTCTTTAGTTGTAATTTATTCCTCAGTTTTCTTAATTAAATTTTTATTGTTTTTGTTTCTGTATCAAATACCTCACATTAAATTAGCTGTCTAATCACCGTTAGGAACCTTCAAGAGCTCCTTACTCTTACACTTGTGGCAGCTCCTACTCAGGGGTTCCTACCCTTCTTTGTGTCCTGAATTCCTTTGGCAGTCTGGGCAGGTCTTTGGCAGTGGTGTTCCCAGCCAGGAATGGTGGGAGTGATCCCTGCTGTGTAGGCAAAATGCAGACGCATGGTCCGGAGAGAATTTAAGGACAATATTAAAACTGACAAACAGCTGGTTTCCTTTTCTGTGCTGGCAATCTAAGTAAGTCAATGATAAAATGCCTCTCTCACCCTGGGTCACTCCTGCCTCTCTCCCCTCATTATACCTCTGTAGGGTAAGTATCCCTTATCTGAAATTCTTGGGACCAGCAGTGTTTTAGGTTTTTAAAAAAGATGTTCAAATATTTCTATATACATAATGAGATATCTTAGAAATAGGACCCAAGTCTAAGCAGAAAATTCATTTATGTTTCTTATATGCCTTATACACATAGCCTGAAGGTAATTTATACCATACTTTAAATAATTTTGGGTAGCAAACAAAATTTATGGACACTGAACTATTGGAAAGCAAAGGTATCACTCTCCCAGCCATCTCTGTGGACAGTTGCATCACCATCATTCCTGACTCTGAATCTATATGCCTACTGATAAGCAGTTATTTTCTTACACTTGTACTGTGACCTGTCTTGCGAGGTTAGGTGTAGGATTTTCTACTTGGGATGTCCTGTCGGTGCTCAAAAGTTTCAAGGATGATGCTTGGGTTTTTGGTGTAATTGGGTGCCATTTACTGAGATGGGGAAACGAAGAACACTTTTGGGGGAAAAGCAGTAGTTAAGGGTTCTGTTTTGTACATGTTAAGTTTGGGATAGTTATTAGATCACTAAGTACCAAAGTTTAGTGGATGATTGGGTACCTGAGTTGGAAGCTCAGATAGCATGTAGATGATATTTAATGGCATAGGAATTGATGAATTGTATAGAGAGAAGAGAATGGGTCTTGGCTTAATCCTGAGGAGCTCTAATTGGTAGGGGTTTGGAAGAAGGGAATAATTAGAGTAAGAAGGAAAGCCAGGGAACTGAGGAAAAACCTAGATAGAATGATGTCATGGGAACCAAGAGAGGAGGGTATTTCAAGGAGGAAGTGGTCAGTGTGTTGATTAGTACTGAGAGGCAGCTTGTGTGTGTGTGTGTGTGTGTGTGTGTGTGTGTGTTTTAAGAAGAAACAGAAAACTGGACAACAACAAAAAATTAGTTGGAGAAGGAAACATAGAAGAGGAAACACACACCGTGTTTTGTACATTTGATTTTTGGAATTAAGTGTTTTACATAATTGTAAAGCAAAATTAAGACTTAATCCTTCAAAAGCAACATGTAACAAATGCACATAACTATATTGAGAAAGTGGTGTAACTATGTTCGGTGAAACTGTATCAAATGACTTTAAGCATGGTGTTTTAGTATATGCCTAAGGACAAAAAACAGCTCCAAAATGTTTCAAATGCTTTTAATAATCATATTGTTGATAATAGTATTAGTTTCACTATTCTGAGACTGTTATATGTGTATGTGGGATAAATGAACTATTTTGGTGGTGTTCAGAACTGGGATTTTTGATGTGTTTATGAAAGGAGATAAAAATGTAAAATTAAACCTAAGTAAGAACCTTGTAATCTTGAATTTAAATCAGTATTATCAGTATGAATTCATGATTTATTTTTATTTTAAAATTTTTATTGTATATATTTAAAGCACATGACGTGTTTTTATATTCATAGTGAAATCATTTGTACAGTGAAGCCAATTGATATATCTATCATCTCACATGGTTACCTTTTTTGTGTGTGGTAAGAGCATCTAAACACTATTCTCAACAAATTTCCAATATATAATACAATATGATTATAGTCCCCATGCTGTACATTTGATCTTTAGGCTAATTCATCCTACAAAACTGCAACTTTGTATCCTTTGACCTACAACTCCCCATTCCCCCACCTCTATTCTGCTTCCTTTTTCTATGTATACAACAACTATTTTTAGATTCCACATATGAGATAATGCAGTATTTTTCATCCTGTGTCTGGCTTTCTTCATTTAGCATAATGTCCTCCTGTTTTATCCATATTGTCACAAATGGCAGAATCTCTTTCTTGAGGGCTAATATTCCACTATTTGTGTAGATAGATGGATATCTCACAATTTGTTTCTTTTTTTTTTTTTTTTGAGACGGAGTCTCGCTCTGTTGCCCAGGCTGCACTGCAGTGGCACAATCTCGGCTCACTGCAAGCTCTGCCTCCCGGGTTCATGCCATTCTCCTGCCTCAGCCTCCCCAGTAGCTGGGACTACAGGCACCCGCCTCCACGCCTGGCTAATTTTTTTGTAATTTTAATAGAGTCAGGGTTTCACTGTGTTAGCCAGGATGGTCTCTATCTCCTGACCTTGTGATCCGCCTGCCTCGGCCCCCAAAGTGCTGGGATTACAGGCGTGAGCCACCGCGCCCAGCCCACAATTTCTTTATCCAGTCGTCAGTTGATGAACACTCAGATTATTTCCATATCTTGGCTATTGTGAATAATACTGCCACGAACGTGGGATTGACAATATCTCTATGAGGTGCTGATTTCATTTCCTTTGGGCATGTACCTAGAAAGGAGATTGCTGGACCGTATGGTGGTTCTATGTTTAATTTTTTGAGGAACTCTCATACTGTTTTTCATAATGGCTGTACTTTACAGTCCATTAGCAATGTACCAGGGTTCCCTTTTCCCTACACCCTCTTGAGCACTGTTGTCTCTTGGTGTTTTTGATAATAGCCATCCTAAGATGATATCTCATTGTGGTTTTGATTTACATTTTGCTGATTATTAGAGAGTTTGAGCACCTGTTAGCCATTTGAATTTCCTCTTTTGAGACATGTCTCTTTAGGTCCTTCGCCCATTGTTAAATTGGATTATTCAGTTCTTTTGGCATTGAGTTGCCTGAGTTTTTCATATATTCAGTCAATGGACTGAATTTTGGATGTTCACCTCTTACTAGATATATGGTGTGCTCATTATTAATTTTTTATTTTTTGAGACAGGGTCTCTGTCACCCAGGCTGAAGTGCGGTGGTATGATCTCGGCTCATTGCAACTTTGCCTCATGGGTACAAGCAATTCTTGTGCCTCAGCCTCCTGAGTAGCTGGGACTATGGGAATGTGCTACCATGCCTGGCTAATTTTTTGTATTTTATTTTTAGTAGAGACAGAATTTCGCTATGTTGGCTAGCTGGTCTTGAACTCCTGGCCTCAAATGATCTGCCTGCCTCAGCCTCCCAAAGTGCTGGGATTACAGGCGTGAGCCACCGTACCTGGTCTCATGATGTATTTTAAAAATGTATTTTCTTGTTCCTCCACTAAAAAGGCTTAGAAATAATGTTCAGTCCAGTGGCAGTGAGCATCCCTAGTGCTCAGATTGTGGTCTCTAAATATTACTTCCCAGCAAGAGGAACTAGGCTTTCTGGGAGAAATGGCTGATTCCAGCTCTGGAGTGGAAAATATAAATGATGAATCAGAAACAGCTTGTCAAACCAGAAAACAAGGAAGCTGTCAAAGACTAGTGAGGTTGTATTCAAAAGGATTCAGGAGTCTCTCATTAGCTATAAATGTGACAGTTTGGAGATCAATAAAAATAACAACTATAGAGGGTTGAAACACATTCAGTATATTAAAATCTATAACTTCAAAATTATACCAAAAAAACCTAGTTAGTCACCTTTGAAGGATTGGCTTGTTACTTTGAAAATGATAAATAGGAAAAAATAACCAATCTGCCTTTCCAGTCGGAATTGCACCTCCGGATGATGAATAGTTAATAATTTTCTCTTTATAGAAGTATTTTAGCTAATAAATGAAGAATTGATACATTTAGAATATTACCGTTTTGCACACCCTAATAAAATAATGGATTCAGGCAATGATCATTAATAACTCCTAATATCACACGGAGACAACTAGACATTATGTATTTCCTGATGGAAGTAGACAGCACCACCTAGGATATATTCTTGAAAAAAAATTGAATCTAATTCTGTTCAAGTCTCTAGATCTAACTGCCAATTTATAAGAAATATAGTGGAAAGGGGAACATGTTTAATGGTACCATGTGGATGCAGTCAGAAAAATCTGAACCAGGGGAAACTGTGCATAGGACAAATTATAGAGTTTCTTCAAATCACAAATGATGAGAACATGGAAGGAGGAACCTCAACATTATAAAAAACTTAAGTGTATCAATTGTAATGTATGAACATTATTTTCATCTTGGTTCAACAGACCATCTTCAGACAATTAGGAAAATTGGACAATGACTGGATATTTGATATTAAGGAATTACTATTCATTTTTTTAGGTGTGATAATGACATTGTGGTTATGTTTAAAAAGAGTTATCTTTTAGAGAGACGTACAGAAACTTGATATGATGTCTGGGGAAGTGGGCAAGGACAGAGGAAACAAGAATGACTGCCGATTTGTAATGGAAGCTGGATTTCTCTACTTGAAGTTGTTTCTTTTAAAAGTGACTCTTATTCTCACCCCCATCAAGAATAGCTAGGTATAATTATGATGTCATTACTCATGATTATACACACTGAGAATACTCAGCTCTGAGACTATTCAAACAAAATTGGTGGCTGAGCATTTTGTCAAATATTGGTTCTGAATTGTGTATTGCACTCTCTTACAACACCTGGTGTTTTTCCTCTGGGAGTTTAGGATGGGCGTGATGTTAATAATACCCTGGACTGTTATTTGCTGTGGTTTCTATGTTGTTATTTCTTATATAGCTGGAAAGCTGGGAAGAAGGGGTGCCATGCCATGAGTGTAAATTGAACCATACCTTTTGAACATAAACCATCATGTAAATACGAATTTCAGAACATGGACCGTTTAATTTCTCTTTGAATGGACTGAATGTTTAAAAAATATATATGGCTGACACGCTCAGATCTGTATTCTAGGGTAGAAATGTTTTTTGCTTGTCAGTTATCTGACATTATAGAATTAAACATAAAAGCTACTTGCAGGATAAACTTAGAAAAAATCCGCTTGATATGTTTGTGTTTGCCTCCCATAAAATGTCGGGAACCATATTTTCTCAGAAGAAGGGACTATTTGGACTTCCAGGAGTGCTGACTTCAGGAAATCTGTGCGGAGCTTCCCTTATTATTGAGTTGAAGCTCAGTAATATCTGTTGAAGCTATTGCTGTGTCCCTGTGATATGAAAGAGACTATTATAATGCCCACATTTGTCTTCTATTTAAACATTTTTGGTTTTCAGCATTACTGTCACATGTAAGTTCAAGGTAGCAAAAAGAATTAAAAGAGCCACAGTTTAAAACTGAAAGTAAACAAAATCAATATTTGAGAGGATTTTAGTGAGAGTGTTTTTCAGTAATTTATTGTTGTGCAGAGGACAGATACCCCATATTGCATCACCTTCAGACCAGGCCTCAGGCTGTATGTTTACATTTCTCTTTGGTTTCAGCTGTTTTTTTCTATGCCAGATTTTCCCTTTTGACATGCTTTTTGTTTTGCTAGTCAAAGTGAATTTCTTTTTTTTTAAACATCATACTCCTCTTGGTTCAATCTACCTCTGAAAAATTAAACTGTATTCATTCTGTTTAAGTCATGATTAAGTTTAAATGCAAATGGAAAATCCATTTGCATTCCTAAATTGTTGCTGATGTTTCTGATTCTAAGGGATTTATTGAGCAGGAAAGAAGAGCAATAGCTTGTGTTTTTTTTTTTTTTCTTTAAATTACATTTGGGTGACCCAAATAGCCTTCAGAAGTATAAAATGAATTTTGATCAAGAGTTATATTAGTCATTATTGGCTATATGAGTTAATAATGTGTCCTATATTCTAGAGTCCTCTTATAAATAAAAGTATTCATCTGTAAGCTTTAAAAAAAATCTGTGTTCTTAGATTGTTAGTACCTACTGTATTTTAGTAGTCAGTAAACTGTTGGAGAAAAGTCCAGTTTGACTTGATTTTTTTTTTTCAGATTTAGAAGGAAAATTAAGATCCTACTAGATGTATGTATGAACAATATCCATAGCTTGTCAAATCTTAAATTCTTGGAATAGTAGCAAACAGCTTTATGTAATAGGGATTTACTTACCAGTCCTTCATTTCTCTGGGGATTATATTCAAGGGATATTTAGGAGATTATTGGCTTTATGGCCAGTTTGCATTTAGGCAGAGGAAAGGATGAAAATGCTGATTACAAAAGCTTACTGTGCCAATCAAAGTCTATGCTTAGGTAACTTTTGTTCATACATTCCCACCATTTTTCTCTAGTTGCTTTGTTTCTTCATTCAACTTACTGAGAGAGAAATCTCTTTGGCTCAGCTTAGTTTAGAGATTGAATTTCCCTGAGACAGGTACCTACACCTTGTGGAATTATTATTGTTCCAGAACGGTAGTATTCCATCTGGTATGGTTGGCCTCCAAAGGATACAAGTAGGAATGGTCAAACCTAAAAGAAGCTGGAATCCAAACTGACACTATACAGTCTCCCAAATAGGGTTCTGGAAGAGATGACCATGAGGGCACAGTTCTGATGAGTTATGATTCTTTGTTTTGGACAGCTACATTTGAAGTAGTTTTTTTTTTTTTTTTGTAAATGGAAATTAGATAAGATGTCATGTATAGGATATTCTTAGGTCTTTGAAATGTACTTGTCCATTGTCATTGCCAGACTCTGACTGTGGTGGGTATGGCCCACTCTTTTAATTTTGGGAGGTAATTTATCAAGGGGTAATACCCTGATGACAGTGTCAGAGTATTAGAACTAAGTGGAACCTTATGAATATTCCACTAGAAGGATTAGAGGTGGGGTCAGTGGATGAGCTTCTTGTGGGGTGGGGGCTTGGAGGTTGGGGGAACTGGTCTGTGTGCCCAGAGTCAAACAGAAAGTGTTGAGCGTGTGTCTGTTTCTTTTTGAAGGTGGGATGGGAAGGGGAGACACTGGGTCTTTAATCCACATGATGTCACCTGTGCCCAGGCAAGATTAGAACCACTCTAAACCAAACTCTTTCATTTTGCAGATGATAAAACTAAGGCCCAGAGGGATGAAGAGCTGTACTTCAAGTCATTTTTCTGAGTCATTGGACAACTCTAGATTATGATCTAAGTTTCTGTTACTCTGTCTGTTGTTTGCATAGGCACACTGATTCTTATAGACAGTTATCTAAAACGTGGCATTATAAATTTTGTTCTTGAAGACTGTGAAGTGGATGGGGAAAAAGTTATTCCAGTTATTTCTCAGAATGAAGTGCAAAGACGATGCCTAGGCCAATGTTATTTTAATAATATGATTAAAAACTCAGCTGGGGCTTTGGGGAAGTAGTAGTGGTGTTAGAAAGTTGAAAGTTGTGGAATATTTCTTTCATTTTTATTTTCAAGTACATATGTTGACCATTCTCAACCAGTGGAACATAGAGAAGGTATTTTATGCTTTAATTAATTTAGCAAATGTCTACATATACAGGGATTTTAACACGTTTTTTCCTCCCAACCACTTAAATATCTTGAAATCACACATAGTATTTGTTTAACAGCCCTTTTATTATTAAAAAAGTAAAGGTAAATTAGGTTTAAAGTTATGTGCTTTTATTATAAAAAAGTTCGAACTGCAGCATTTACAATTTTACTTTTCACTTTTCAAATGCTGAAAACTTTTTGTCCTTCAAATTCTAGTCCATTCCACCTTTCTTTCCTTTTCCTCCTTTTCTCATATATGGAACATTCTTTGCAGATTTGAAATTTTTTCCATCTTTGGTTTTAAAACATTTTAGACAGAAATATTTTCTTCACATAAGACTTAAAATAGTTGTCTTTTGTTCTATATTGCTAAAGTTCTGATTTTACTCTAACAGGTTGAAATGTTCAGGAATTGAGATTGAGAGGATAGGAAATTATAGGGCATTTGCCAATAATTGAAACAATGAGATATTTTTGTAGTCGAATTCCCCCTCCCCCATCTTATAGTCATCCACCCTACAACATGCAGTAGGTAAATGTTATAAACACTTTTTGCCATTCAATCAGATATCAGGATTAGATAATATTTTGGTTATTAATCATTATTAATGGATATATTTAAAAAAATGTTTTATGGTAAATCATTTTTATTGTTTTTAGAGCCCAACATTTATAAGGGATGCCACTGATGATAGGCAGACATCAGAAATTGAACTGTGACAGCAACATAGCAACATATATCTTAAATCCCAATTATAGGCTCTGATTTTAACCCTTCTTACAGAAGCCTTGAGCTTCTCTAAGTGCTAAAAATTCTCTTCAATTGCTAGGCTTAAAAAAGTGACATTCTGTTCCTACTTGTCATTTCGGTTTATGTAGTAATAACAAAAACACGGTGATAAAGCATAAACCTAATATAATTTTTCCAGGAAGCTAGGATTGTAAGGAAGAATATAGCATTTATTACCAATATTCATAGAGATATTTTTTAATTCTGTTTTAACACCATGTATAAGAAAATCATTGTACCCTCTACTTCCTACTTAACTCCAATTCATGTTTCACTTATTTCTCAGCTTCAGTGGATGATGTTGGATGTGTCAAGAGCACTTTATGAAACCATTTATCATGATTGTGTAAGAATAGGGCAAATAACTCCAGAGTGCTGTAGCCCCAAGCAGCTCCGCTCGCTGACAGAAGCAAATGTCAGATTCAAGATAGACATCAGGTTTCTCTGTAATGCTGGGCTATATAACTTTAAAAGCTTATTGTTATCAATGTGATTGAAAATTTAAATGACTTAAAATAACCTTTAAATAAGATGTCTTTCTTAGCTGTTTGTCTAAGTCATTCCTGTTGATTTTCTTTTTGGATATATGCCCTCTGCTTCCAAATGTAATATAACATCCATTGGTTTTCCTAGCACACTTAACTGGCCATAATATTATAGGATTAAGATTTGGGGTTATGAATGTTAGTGCTTTGTATACTGAATTTCTGGCCAAGTCAACTGCCTCTTCGTAGCCTGTGTCCCCATTCTCTCCTAAACACTTGGGATGTTTTTCTAAAGTTTGGCTCCAGGATCACTGATTGGGACATTATTTAAATATTTTATACTTCTTAAACAAATCTTCAAATGTTTAAAGAAATGGTGAGGTAGGAGAGCCCTCTCTAACACTAGTCATTCTGGCCTCTGATTCACCTCTCCTCCCATTCCCCAGTGACTACCCCATGTCCTTGAGTACGACATCAAAACATTTTTTTTCGTTTTCATTGCAAAATATCTAAGAAGTTGTTTTTACCAAGTGACAGTGGGTATTGAATAAAAAATCAATAATGTATAAAGGAGGTTCAAAGTTATTACCCAAGGTTTTATATAAATAAACCAAATCTAAAAAATTTTATCCAGAATTATCTGCATTATTTCAAATAAGGAAAAAAAATAGAAGTTAAAATGTCCTAAATAATCTAACTGTGGTGTAAGTGGTTTGTAGTTTGATTGAAGACTTAGTATTGGTATAATCAAACAAAATTCCTGTGGTATGGGAGTGATGTGGGGTTCCCAGCTCCAGAACATAGCACAGGAAGTAAATGCTCAATTATATACTCACACCTGGCCAGCTCCTGCCTCTTTTGCCACTGGCAGGCCATAAATGCTTCTTGAGAATTTACTATACCATTCACTTTTCATGCCTCTACTCTTATTGCCTTAAACATAGAGGAAAATATCTGGATTTTTTAGTTGAACTTTAGAAATATAGAGGGAAAGGTGGGAATTAAACCTAATTCTAACTATCTGTACCTTAATTACTTCTGATAAGTCATTTACATTATTGATGCTCTACAACTTGAGGGAAATTCCTGACTTCATCTGAGTGGTTAATGTAGGCCTGTGTGTGTTAGGTAATGTGTGTGTGTGTGTGTGTGTGTGTGTGTGTGTGTGTGTGTGTGTGTGTGAGAGAGAGAGAGAGAGAGAGATTTAGTATTTCCTCTTTATTTTCAGGCTTTGTGGCAATGTGGTAATTTAGGCCATAATATATAAAAAAAAATCACAATTCTGAAGCTGCTTTTTGCTATAGATACCAGTCATTTTAGGGAAGCTTTACTCAGTTATTTTTACTGGAGTTTTCTGTGCTATGATTAGAACAAGAAGATTTGGGAAAGTTTAACTTGGCATGGCAAAGAAGGAGCTGAGCAGAAAAATATTTGGTGAAAAAAGAATCAAGTGAACAGGATGCTCAAGAGTGAAGTTCGACAGAAGCAGGAAAATAAAACAGGGCGCCTGTGTTACGTCTCTTCCATAATTTATATTTTGGTTTTTATACTGGAACTGCCTTAGGTGTATATTTAACGGTAGCAGAGAAAGACAGTAATGGCTTGGTGACTTTTTTTTTCTTAAATGAGATTATTCTGTTTTGTCTTTGGCATTCCTATTGAGTTTTTTACCCAAGACTCCAAAGAAAATGGCCTTATTAATTTTAATATTTCATTGCAGACTAACAATCTCAAAAGAATAGATTGGTGCTCGACTGAACTGTGTCCTGAGATGTTTCTAAATGAAAGCCTTGTCAAATATTTTATTTTTCTTCTGTGTTTCAATATTTGAATTGTCATCTGGTAGAATGATTTTAGTATGCGTGATTTACCAGTGCTGCCAAAATGAAGTCGGTTTTTACATTATTTGTAGGGTAGTCATACTTGTAGAATTAGTTCTTGAAGTAAAAATCTTAATAGTAAGACTTGATGTTTTATGTTTATGACCATTCGGTATGAATTGGGGCTGTTTAAATTAAAAATATTTAAATTTTAAAAACCTTTAAATTTCATTTTTCTACTTAGAGTTGCTTAACTGGGTGTCTGGACATACCTTCAGAAGTATAAGTAATAGGTGTATGCTTTAGATTTCAAAAAGTATATAAAGAATGTGGTGGTCTCCAAATGCCTGTGTTCTCTCCCTTGGTTGGGAGTTCAGAGTATTTCCGCTTTTGTGATTCAGTGTTTCATGGAAGCCATTGCCCTAACAGTGAATCAATCAACTTGGTTGTCTTGCCATTTGTAGAGAGTACTTGTGTATAAATCCTCTTATTTAATATGGGCCAAATTTGAGCTGTTGAGTTTTGTTACTCTGACATACTCAGGGTTGTCTGTCAGGTAAATGGATAAAGCATCAAATGAGAGGTGAGAAAAATTGTGTAATCAGTGCCTGAACACATGTGTTGGGCCAGGTTCTGTGCGTGTCTCTCCGGTAAGTAGATGCACAGGAGTCTTCTATGAGTGGCCTCCACTTGATGTAGAGGAGCAGAAGTGGGCCATACCCTCACCCTTTTGGTGTTCACAGCCATCTGTGATGCCTTTGATCGAATCATCTGTCAAGTCCAGCCCATGTCTTATCTCTTCTTTTCATTATAGTAGCTCTTCATGTTTTAGCCTTTAGTTATTTTAATTGAACTATTGGAGCATTCTCTGCTCAGAGATCATTTCCACTGGGAGGACTTCCCTGGTCCCATGAACTGGGTCACATCCTCTCCTGTGTGCTTCTGTAACACCCTGCCTTTGTTCTTTCTGCTGCCTCTTAGCACTCTGGACCATTCTGGCCTCTGTAATGACTGTTTCTTACTCCTCTGTAAGGACCTTGACTATAAGCACTCCCTGTTTCACTCTGAATCCACAGTGTCTGCTATAATCCCAGCACTTTGGGAGTCTGAGGTGGGTGGATTGCAGGAGCCCTAGAGTTCGAGATCAGTTAGTCAATACTGCCATCTCATACACTGCTATTTGGGGCATGACATTTTATCAATTTCTCAGTGATTGCCCATTGGCTTCTCACTTTCAGGGCCTATACCAATTCACCTTTTTTTTTTCTTTTTCAAATGGCAGTCTAACCACTTCTTACAGGCTAATTGACCATGCTCCAACTTGGACCATGTATTTCAGTCAACCGTTGCCACAATAATGTTGAATAACACTGTCACCTAAGTCAGCCTATTCAATAAACATTTATTCTCAGACTCATGGTCTTGCTAGTTGGATATGGACTGACAGATCTAGGCTCAGCTTGGCTGGTGGCTCTGCTTCAAGCTGTGGTCTGGCCAAACTTGTCTCCTTGCTCTGGCTTGGGCTCATATCTGCTTCATATATGATCCTTCTCGGGTGCCCCAGGATGAAAGAGCAGAGACTACTAGGAAGCATTTCTCATGGTGATATAAGCCTACCTGGCTCTATGGAAGAAAAGATACAGCCTGATTTGTAGCATTTGCCCATTTCTGTGGAGTAAATACTCCCACCACAGCCAATTTCAAGCCACCGATATGACATCACTGGAAAGAACAGCACAGTAGCATATCATTGTATAATATTTTTCATCATACAGCTAAAATAGACAACCTCAAAAGCATAAGTAATAGTATAATGTAACATAAGTTATGAATTTTGAGTATCATTGTTTTGCTATAATTTAATTATAAGCTACTGTAATTTTTATTAGTATGTTTAGCCAACTGCCATGTAAGTTCCTGAAAATTTAATGAGCATCATGAGCTGGTGCAAACTGGCTCCAGTATATCAGTGGGTTAGCCCAAATACACACATGGAATACTCTAATACAGCAGTACTCCAGAACATCACTGGGTTAACACAAATACATAACATGGAATACTCCACTTTAATACATCAGTATTCTAATACATCACTGGGTTAACCCAAATACATGTGGTAAAACCTAGGCTCCAAACTGGCACATTGTCACTTCTGTTCATATCCCGTTGATCAAAACAAGTCTCATGGCAGAGCTCAAAGTAACTGGATGGGCAAGCACGCTCTGACTCTAGGAGGAGGAACTGCAGTCACATGGCAAAGGGTGTGGCTACATGGAGGGTGAAGAATTGGGGCCAGTGATTCAGTGAATTACTGCTGTTACATACTTGCCGTGTCACATAGTAGAGCAAAATCTATATTATGTTAACTGCACTTAATCCCATCTTTGAAGTGTTTACATCATACTGCTGTGGGAGTACCCATGGCTATAAGTTCTGTTAGCAGATTTGATTGAGAATCTTTTTTTTTTTGAAAAAAGTACGTCTCATACAGTGTAATAGCTGCTATTCAGGAAAGATTTAGGGGTAAAAAATGAAGTCTGAATTTTTACTCTCCATGTTGTGAGGCTTTCTCAGGAATTATAGATGCAGATTTTCATTTCCTAGTGGATTGCTACTTTATCGTTTGATTTTTTTATACTTTTCCCCCTGAGGACCTTCGTCTGATATTATATACTCAGTCTTTTTCTCCCATGTGTTAACTTTGTGTGTCTTAAGTAGCATTGATATCTTCATAAAATTTGTCAAAATTCCTTTTTTGATAGTTTTTAATTCACTTCTAATTTGGGACAGCAACCAATAGTGATTGTTACCATTGGCAACTTAATTAGATAAATTTCAGATATACTAGATGACAATGGATAAAAGATAGATTACTTTATTGCTGTGTGACAAATTCCTCCAAAATGTAGCAGCTTTAAACAGCATTATCTGCTGGTTTCTGGTGATCAGGAATCTGGATGTGGCTTAGCTGGGTGCCTTGGCCTCAACTCTTTCACAGCACTACACTCTAGGTGTCAAGCCAGGCCTGCAGTCTCATCTGAAAGCTCAGCTGGGGGAAGACCTACTTCCTAACTCACTCATGTACTTATTGCTAAGATTCACTTCCTCACTGCTGTGGGACTGAGGGCCTCTCCTCACTGGCTGTTGACCAGAGAACTCCCTCAGTTCTGTGCTATGTGGACCTCTACATGGAGTGAGCAAAACAAGTCACAGTTTCTTTGTATGTCTGTAATGTTGGAAGTGATAGTCTATAATTTTGCCATGTTCTGGTCATCTGAAGCAAGTCACTAGGTCCAGCCCACATTTAAGGGGAGGGGATTACCTAGGGACATCAATCTGAGGAGGTGGTGATTATTGGGGGCCATTTTAGTTGTTGCCTACCATAATTACATTGTTGTATACTGGGTAAAATTGTTTCCCTTTTACAGATTAGGAAGTGAAGGAGCAAAGAAGTTAAATTATTTGTTTCAAGCCCTGGGCACTAGCACACAATATAACTGGTTTTTCAGCTTGGATCTTCTTCATCCAAGAAGACTATCTGAAACTCTGAGGTCAAAGCAAATGCTAGAATGTAAGCTGCATGAAGGAGATGTTCATTGTAATCATATCACCCTGCATAGTGCCAGGAATGTAATAAGTATTTCATAATTATTACAAAAAGAGATGGTACAAACTAATGAACATTTAAATTAAAAAAGTTCATTAGCTTGGCTTATTTATTTTATTGCAACTTGTTTAAAGATGGTTGCTCTGTTTTCCTAAGACTCAAGACTAAAGTGATATAACAAATTTGACAAAGTAGTTGTAATTAAAATTTGTTCATTTCTGAAAAAGATGTAAAAAACAATTTATCTATCTACCTAAATATCCATGTTGCCTAAGAAATAGAATTCAATCTTTAATGCAAGCTGAGAGAGAATAACATCGTTTTCCTAATTTTTTTTTGTTGCCAGTTCTTAGCTCATAGTAGGTCTTAGGAATTCATTTGCCTAAATGTTGTATGTCTGTTTATTTCCTTTTAACAATATGCCTGACTTTGAGAATTGTCTTTGGAGTTTGGGCATAAATAATATTACATTTAGCTTTCTTTAGGTTCCTCTTTTTATTTGAGGGAAAAAAATTTGTTTGCTCTCTTTGAGGCAAGCGCTCTCATTGCTTCTCCCCACTAAGTACCAACCTTGAACATTTGAATCACTGTGCTCTTGATCTTTACCTTGTTAATGTGTATGTCAATGCCTTTGTCAGGCCCCACGCGGTTCTGTCTGTAGGGAGTAGGTCATATCATAGCCTATGATGTCATAACTTTTCAAAAGGGCAGAGCTGTGCTAGATCCATAATAGATTTTCAGTAGTTCATTCTTGCCATCAATCTCATTTAGCTAGTCTTAAGTGTTACCAGTTGGTATAAGGACTTAAATATTCATCATTAATAGCACTATGTTGTCTCATCTACCAGGGAATGGTAGTGTACATTCATCTGATGCAAATGATGCATGTTAATTCTTACTCCCACTAAAATCACATCATTTCTCCCTTTCTGCTTTTATCCCCTTTTACTGACCAAGAGGTGGCAGTTGTGGGAACTTACACAGTCTTCAGTGTTTGTTACTTCTCTCTTTCCCTTGTCAGTACCTTAGCGACCATTCCACCTTTGTTGGTCCCCTGGCCTCCAGTCTTTTCTTACTTGGTGGATCCTGTAACTGCTGGGCCAGCCCCCTCACAGTGCCAGCATGACATTGCCTACTCAGCCTGTGGAGGTTTCCTTTTGATGATGTCAGATGTAAATACTTCAGTGTTGCATTCAAGGCTCTTTCTAATCTGGCCCTTCATAATCTGTTGCCATGCTGCCCAGCTTGCTCTCTGTTCAGCAGCATGAGTCTCACATGTGTCATTTCCAGATGGGCCAGGGTGATTCACATCTCCTCCTTGGCATCTGCTTTGCTGGCCTCCTCTCACTGTGCAAGGCCATCTGAACTCTTCTCCAGCCCTAATTTAATTCCTTCACCAAAGCCCAGCATAAGTCTGGCTTTCTCCATGTATCCTCTGATGGCTACAGTCATTCATTTGTCTCTTTCTTCCTAGGTGCTTGGAATCTATACTATACCTTTTGACAGTGTGCATTTTTATCTAGCTAGTGTGTCTTGTTTCTTCAATAAAGTTGTAAGTTCTGTAAAGGAGGAGCGTACCTGTTTTTTCCTTAGAGCCTGGCATAGTGCTGAACCACATATGTGTCCCAGAATTCATTGTTCAACAATTATATATTGAATACTTGTGTTTTAAGAAACACTGTACCAGACATTCAGCCTCCATTGTTAAATGAATCAGATAAAGTCCTTGCCCTCATCGTGCTTACAGATTAGGGAAGGAAGCAGACATTAAATAAACACATGCTGTGATAAGTGCTGTCAAGGAATTGGTGTGCTGCGATAAAGAATAGGGGCTACAGATGGGATGGCCAGGGGAGACTCCTCTGAGGAGTAATGTTTAATAATGTCCTGATGCTAAAGTTTAGTGTCTGGGACATAGAAGTGGTACAGAATAATCCTCCTTTAAGCAGTCAGAAGGGAGAGTGGTATCCATCAAACATCCTTCACCCCAGTCGTTTTTATGAGGCAACCAAAAGTGGTTTGGTTCTAAAGGACTGTGGTTGCTGTGGAGTAAGTAGATCTCTCCAGTAGCTTCATAAAAGGTCTGGGAGCCCAGAGGTAGAGATGGAGTGGTCAAAGAGACTGGGAGCTTGAAGATGAGGACAGAGCTACAGAAGGTACTGTTTTGCAATTCTTGATTCAGAGGAGAAATGAGATAAGGGAAATGTTCAGGTGCACAGAGGAGATAGGAGAAAATTAAAGATTTAACTGTTGAAGTTTCTTTTGAATACAAATTAATTATCAAATAAAAATTAAGAAATGAAGTTTAGAGGAAAGAATAATTTGCTTCATCAATAAAACCATTTTAATAGAACAAATAACTTTTCATTTTATTGGTAGGTGGCTTTATTCAGAATTATGTTAAGATTGTTTTTAAGCAGGAAACAAACAAGATTCAGCTCAAAGATGAGAGAATCACACAAAATTAAATATGGAAATTCTAGGTTGCTGGGATATGCTTTCTGTGATTATGTTTGGTTAGTGGCCAACAAGTGAATGCATCATTTCTTTTTTTTAGGGAATTTATGAATAGACTGAGTTCTGTCAACTTATTTACATTGAAATTGTAGGTTTTAATGAAAATCTAGGGACCTAGGTTCAATTATATTTGTTTCAATATTATAAATAATAATAATAGCTAGTATTTATTGAGTGCTTTACTAAATGTACAACATTGAGCTAAATGTTTTGCATTCATTCCTTGGTTTTACCTTCACCACAGCAGCAACATTGTGAAGTAGGCACTGATTTTAGCTCCTGTGATCAGCTCAGACATGTTGCATTGTGATGGGAGTCTTAGAACTTTGGTGTTAAGTGCTTCATAACTGTCTCTAGGGTGTTGATGCTTTCATGTTAGAAGATTGCTGCACATTAAAATAAAAAAAATTGGGGTTCATGGGATTTTCATAGATGAATAAGTTTAAGCATATTGTGTTGAAGGAGTCGAAAGAAATGGAAGTGATGTACCCAAGTTAATGTAGCTGGATAGTAGCAGAGCTGGAACCAGAACCCAGATTTTTGGTTCCTGGTCAGTAATAAAAGATGACAAAGAGCCAGTTTTAGAAACTGAAAGTTATTAGGAAGAACAGTAATCTGGATGTTGAGATTTCAGTTCTAGGAGTGAATTTGCCAGAGACCAATGATCTCAATGCAATGCAACCTTTTGTCCCAAGTTTCTTTGGCAGGAAACCAATCTCAGGGTAGGTCCAGCCTGATTTGCCAGCAAATACGTAAACCTAGGGCTCCCTGAGGAGAGAATACAAAGACGGCTCTTTGCTACAAAGAAAGCACCTAGAGTAGTTTCTCTCAAGTTTACACCCAATTTGGGAAACAAGATGCATCACTTTGTAATTATTCTACTCTTACTCATGCATCATAATGTGGTATGAAGTGCATGTGTGTTAACATTCATACTGTGGAAATTGCCTCATTAGTAAACAGGCCAACCTAGCTGAAGCATGGTAGCTAGTATCTGTTGTGAGGGCACAAAATGGCCTGATGCAGAACTTTTAATATATTTAAAAAATTGCAGTCCACAAACTGTTAGCAATATCTCCCCCTGTATTTATTTTTTTAACTTGGAAAATATTTATTGAAAATGTAAGCCCTTAGAAATTTAATGGCTTTGAAAGTTCAGTAGTAGTGTATAAAAGCTGGGAATGGCATCTTGAAGGAGATAAACCAAGAATCTGGGAATGAAGAAAGCAGGGCATGTGACTTCCTAGAGGATTTGAGAAAGGCAGGCTTGGTGCAGGCAGCCACAGGTGGGCCAGAGGCACAAGGGGGCCTGGTACAGCAGAAGGGCTGGAAGACCTTTCTGCTCTGTACTTGTCTTAATAATGGACTGACCACTGCATGTCAAATATTGGTCAGGGTTAGAGTTTACTTAATTTTTTTACAGCCCTGAAATAATATAAATGTTGTCTCCACATTATCTTCCATAAAATTTGCCTTCTCTGGCATGTTTTCCTCAGAAATTGCCTGTTTGCTTGCTGATGAGGTTGGGAACGTTGTTAAATCCTGTTTCATTAAATTCTACATTTAACCCTTTTCCATTTAGACAGTAATTGCAATAGCTTCCCTGGGTATATTAACTCCATTTAACAGGGAAAAATAAGCTTGTATGTCTCACCCATCAGTCACAGGGTTATCTGGTCTTTTGTAATTGGGCAAGAGGAAGCATTGAGGAATATTGATGAGAAGACTGTGGGGGTGGGACTCTAGATTCGATTAAAAAAACTCTGATATCCTCTCTTGATTAGGTTCACTGGTTTTTCCATGCAATGCAGAGACAATTCTAAGGTAGCTCACTTTATTGGCTAAAAGAATGCTTTTTGCATTGCAAGCGCACCTGCTTTCTGCTGTGTCTTGACTTTATGAAGTAAGAATACCTCCCAGTTTTAAAGTACTCTAAAATGTTAGGCCCACATGTATTTTATAAATTACTAAGTGAAATGTTTTTCTTCTCTAGTGCCTTGGAAAGGAAAAACACCTTTGTTTATACCTGTGAGACATAATTCTTGGGTATGTAATGCATGTAAGTTCAGATATTAGGTGTAGTGGTTTCATTTTTCCCAAGCAGAATTGTATTTTGAGAGCTCATATGTCTTACTTTGCCCAGTAGTATCAAATCTCTCTCTCCTTTATCTATTTATTTTTGCAGTTACTGAGTAAATATTATTCACCCTGTTTCTGAGAAGATTCAGTAAAGGTAGAAAACTTAAAAATGTTCATTCCAGAGGTTTTATGAATTATTTCTACTTCATGGATTGATTGCTGATCAGCTGAATAAATCATCTGTCTTTGCCTTCTTTTAATGACCGAATCTAGTCACCATTCATTGTTGTTTGGGTATTTGGATGTCCAGCCTAAATCAATAGCCTATCTAGTTTACTGAGAGACAAGTATAGATAAAAATTAGCATTGTTTTAACAGAGGACACTGTCTTATCACCAAGGAGAATATCTTCAGAGTCTCTAATAGTTTAGCAATCTGCAAACTGATTGCAATTGGACAATACCCAGAGACCCCTTAACATTCTAATTGTATCCTCATGGAATAAATTTATTTCTATCCTAATATTGCTTAGAAAAGAAATTGCATATTCTGTGTTAATGTGCTGATATTCTATCCACCTCCTCCATTCAGTAGTAATATTTTTCTTCAGCATTTTACAAATGAAGGTAAAATCGGTATTTGTAGTATAATTTCCTGTATACATTTCCAGTTAATTGAATTTGCTTCTGTAAATGTATGGCTCTGAATGAAAGATAACATGCGTGAGTAATATCAGCAAGGGAAGTTTAATACCCATTCAGCTTGAGTTCTGCTTATTTCTATGTGTTCTTTCTTCCTACTTTGCTGCCTGTCATTTCCTTTATCCATGAAGATGACTGGAGAATGTGCCGTGGTTACTGATGGTTGTACAGGTTCCTTCATTCTAATTAAATGTGACAAAACACAGAAATGGTTAAATGGACCCCACCCATACAGGTTGGGAGACAGCAAAGCAGAAAATAAATGAGGAAAGTAAAAAGTTGAAACATACTTCTTAAAATCCTCCATAGTGCTTTTATGTGGGGGAATATGTTTGTGTTAAACTATACGAAGAATAATTATATACAAGTTTAGTGTACGCATGTATATATTTATGTTATGGATACTAGTGAACTTTGGATGATCAGTTTGCATTTTCCAGTCCAGGGTAACCTGGTGCTGCCACTTCAGGACCTGCTGGTCATGCTGAAGAGAAGCATTAAGTGGAATATATCCAGCGTATAAAGAGAGCTGAGGAATAGGAATAATTGAATACAGGCTATATTTTTCTGCTTTTTAAAATTTGCATCATAAAAATATATAGGTTACATAGTTGGCTTTTAGGCATAATTATGGACATACCTTTGATTCTTCAGCTAAACATTTTAGGTTGGCCTGTCTGGACTAAAAAGGAATGCAGTTCCATTCTTGAGAAAAATGAAGTGTTACAAAGACGGGCCTATTTCCAGCCAAGTTTTATGTGAGCTTAAATGTGTTAATTGTAGAACTGTTATGGGTTTTTTCCCCTTCTTTCCTTTTAAATCAATATCAAATTAAGCCTAAGTAAGTGGAATTGTCAAGGCAACAATTAGCATATAGTTTTTCAAGGAAAACACTTTACTGAGAAAAGAATAACCAGTATTGTTAAAATGAATTTGCAGAAAAGCAGCATTTTGTAAAATAAGCATTATGAGCTTGCAGGGTGTGGTGGGAAAAAAGCCTAGTCTTTGAGTTCAAACACTGTCTCTTTAATGGTTCCTTCATTAGTGACGTTTGCATGCCCCCTGGGTGCCAGACACTGTACTCTGGTTTAGGGATGCAGCAACAAATACTTTTAGCTGGTGGGATGGCTCACGCTTGTAATCCCAGCAGTGTAGGCAGCCAAGGTGGGAGGATCACTTTAGCCCAGGAGTTCCAGACTAGCCTGAGCAACATGGTGAGACCTAGTCTCTACAAAAAATTAAAGAATTAGCTGGGCATGGTGTTGCATGCCTGTAGTCCCAGCTACTTGAGAGGCAGAGGCAGGAGGGTTGCTTGAGTCCAGGAGTTCAAGGCTGCAGTGAGCTATGATTGTACCACTGCACTCCAGCCTGAGCGACAGAGCAAGACTCTGTTAAAAAAATAAATAATTAAAAATTCTCACAACAGCTTGCAAGGTAGGTGGGGAAGCTACCTTGCAAGTAGCCTGGATGCCATGGATGGCATGTTGATGGTGGCGGGAGGCAGACAGGTTCCTGAGTGGGAAGGGGTGGGTCCCTGGTAAAACCCTTCCTTCAAGCCAGGAACAGCCTGAAGCCTGGAGACTGGGCTGCCAGTTCTGGGGGAAGTCCACAGCCTGGAGTGAGAACTTCCTTGATGACTATTCGGCCAATCAGACGATGGGAAGTATAGCTTCCTTGTTTGATAGCTGGGAAGTAGCAAGGCTGGGACTTGAACGTGGTTCATCTGATTTCGAATCTGTTTTCACTGATGTATCACGTTGCCATATGTATCCATCTCATTTGGATGCTGTAGGCAATGAGACAGTGGATTTGTAAACACATGTTAAAGTGTTTTTAATCTAAAAGCTGGTCTTAATATCCAGAGTTTTAAAAGATTTGTAGGCCAAATGGTGAGCTAAGCAACCCTGCATTTTCCTTTAAAGATTCTGTTTAAAGTCAGTTTAGGTTTTTGTAGATCCTATAAGTCATAACTTAAATTCTGATGCATTTTTTGTTATCATGTATTTATTGAATCATTCATTTTGTCATTTGGCCAACATTGATTGATATTTTTCCATGTCTTTCATAGACTCTAGAGATGCAAAGATGAAGAAAGCATAGTCTTCACAGGCAGCTTACAGCCAAACAAGAGATCCATAAATAAGTAATGATAATGCTGTGTAGCGCATGTGCTAGCAGAGGTGTGAATAACATACTGAGGGGATGACCTCACAAAGAGGACAAGACATTTGTTCTGGGTATCTTAGGATGAGTAGGAGTTTGCTGGGTGGGAAAGTGAAAGAGTGGCACTTGAAAGTGCCACATGCTTGTGAAGACATAGAGATGTGGTTGCTTGTGAAGACATGCTTGTGAAGACATAGAGATGTGGTTCACTGCTATATGTTATCCACAGATGGGTATTTTTTCTGGGTGTCTTAGGATGAGTAGGAGTTTGCTGGGTGGGAAAGTGAAAGAGTGGCACATGAAAGTGCTACATGCGTGGCTGGCCACGGTGGCTCACACCTGTAATCCCAGCACTTTGGGTGGCTGAGGTGGGTGGATCACCTGAGGTCAGGAGTTCGAGACCAGCCTGACCAACATGGAGAAACCCCGTCTGTACTGAAAATACAAAATTAGCTGGGCATGCTGGTGCATGCCTGTAATCCCAGCTACTCAGGAGGTTGAGGCACGAGAATCGCTTGAACCCAGGAGGCAGAGGTTGCAGTCAGCCGAGATCGCGCCATAGCACTCCAGCCTGGACAAGAGTGAAACTCTGTCTCAAAAATGGCATATGCTTGTGAAGACATAGAGATGTGGTTCACTGCTATACATTATCCACAGATGGGTATTTAGCCTCTCTATTCTCCAAAACCAGGGGATATGGGATTATAAAAGTCAAGCCTCACATCATCTCCAGCCTGACCATAACCGGGACTTACTTAGAGAACATCTGTAAATATTTAGTAAAACTTCACTTCATGTTTGCAGTATCTTGAAATTTGTGGTAAATACAGTAAAGCTGGTATGACTTGCCTGACCACAGTCTAGGAAACATTGTCTTCATTTACAAGTCAGTAGTTTTTGTAAGCCTTGGGAAGGATTTTAATTTGGGGGATAAAACTATTTTTTTGATGGTAGCAAATATTTTAGAAACATTATATACAAATAATTATATTGCTAATTACTAAAATAAAAGTAATATAATTGAATTCTGTAATTCAGACTTGTCAGTAATGGTGACTGGATTTCCCAACTCCTGTGTGAATTTCTAAAGTTAATTTCATTTAATAAAAAATGTGTCTTCTTGAAAGCTTAATTTCTCTTAGCACCAGACTATTGCAGTCAGGCTTTCAATATTAATGCTTTGCTAAAATGTGAAAAATCACATGTTAGCATGTAGCGTTTTTTTATTGCAGTAAATATGCTGAGTTAATAAGTTTTGGGAGAGTAGTATTTCCTCTGATCCTCTAGGCATCCCTAGTGTCTATATCAGTCAGGATTAGATTCAGTGGCAAGAAACGCAACGTGAACATAGTGGCTTTACCCTAATAGAGGTTCTCTATATTCTCAATGAAGGAAACATGAGGTGGGCAGTCCACAGCTGGTACAGTGACTCCGATGTTCCTTTGGGAAATCCAGGCCCTTCTCTCCTGACATTCAGTCATCCTTGGCATGTGTGTGTTCCCTCCTGGTCTTCAGATGATTGCTCCAATTCTAGTAATTGCATCTGCCTTCCATGCAGGATGAAGGGGGAAGGGAAAAGACATGCTCCCGCTGTCTGCTTGGCTAAAAGCCCGTCTGGCCACTGTTTAAATTCCTGTCACTGGCCAGAACTGTTTTGTGGCTACTCATAGTTACAAAGGAGTCCAGGGAATGTAGATTTATTTTTTTCCTTTAGTTTTTGCCAGGCAAGTTGCTCTTCTGAAATAACTCTGAACTTGGCTAATGAGAAAGAAAAGGAGGATATTTGGTGACTGCCTATAGTATTTGTTGCACTACCTGCCCCATCTAAGGGTTTTCAGATCTGCCTGTTCAGAGCCTGGGTCTTTCATGCATTTACCACATCACCTTTGGAGATGGAATTAATATTTCATCTGGCAAGAGAAAGACCAAAAAAGAAAACTCAAAGCCAAAGTAGACATCTGTATTTGCCCTTCATAAGTTAGGAAATGAAATGTGGTACAAAAAAGAATTTAATATTTTTAACCAAAGGGTACACTCTGAAGTATTTAGCAATGATTGAGTTCTAAGAGCTGTGGTCAATTTTATTAATAGGTCCACCTAAGTTTTTATTTTGAAAGAAACAGTGGGATGTCATAATATTCTCTGTTATAAGCTAATATACTTTTTGGATGCAAACCAAATCAGAAGAGAGTCATGCATTATAGGTGATACTTCTTTAGTGGTGATAATCAAAACAAGTAGGTTTGCCCTATACTGTGCCCAGTATTCAGTGTACTAGTTAATCCCTTTTTTTTTTTAATGAGCACTTATTATCAGCCACTATTCTAGGCTCTGGGGATATAACAGTGAAGAAAACAGACATCTCTGCCTTCATAGAGCTTGAAATATAGAGTGTTGAGTGAATTCTATATTATCTGATAATTGGGGCTATTTAAAAAAAACACACACAACACTCTTTGGACTATTCTTATTGCCCTTCCATTTTGCTTTCCTATCTTTCAGAGTTTTGTTGGCTATATGTGAGACATACTGGTTAATTAAGTTACAGTCTTCCATTTCAGAGAGGCAATCAAAAGTTGTGAGAGAAAGAGTTGTCTTTAGAGTCTGTCAAATCATTTCATTTTAAGCTCTTCATTTCACATTTCCATCATGTAAAGTACCTTAATTACAGAATCCTTTTTATTTTCTAATTAAGTATTGTAATACAGTCAAGGATTTTAGTTCTGTAGACACTTCGTAATATGCTTAAGAGCACTTAATATTTTGAACTTTGGGCAATCCACAAACACAGTTTGTTTTAAAGATAAAGGGACAGTAGTATTTTAAAAGCTATAGTTTAGTAATTAGAATGGGAAGCATGCCGGATGCCTTTTATTGCTTCCATCTGTTTAAAGATAATGAAAATAAGAAATTGGAAAAAAAAATCTTCCAGGAGACTGTAGATTATTAGCTACAGAATATTCCTTTCTTTTGAAAAAATTGGGTAATCCCTTAAAGATATTTATTGATAGTCCCTTAAAGATATGAAGATATTTAGTGAAGTCTTTGATAATTTTTTGTTTTGTTTTGTTTTGAGACAGAGCCTTTGTTACCCAGGCTGGAGTGCAGTGGCTCAACCTTGGCTCACTGCAACCTCAGCCTCCCAGGTTCAAGTGATTCTCCTGCCTCAACCTCCCAAGTAGCTAGGATTACAGGCACCCACCATCACACCCAGTTAATTTTTGTATTTTTAGTAGAGACGGGGTTTCACCATGTTGGTCAGGCTGGTCTTGAACTCCTGACCTCAGGTGATCCACCCGCCTTGGCTTCCCACAGTGCTGGGAGCCATCACACCTGACCTCTTTGGTAATTGTGGGCTTTGCTTGCTGGGCCCTCAGGATTGTATATTTGTGCTTAGGCTGTATGCCACCCACCTCAGTGCATGTGTGTATACATGGATTGTTTTAGTATCTTAATCACCAACTCCTTTTTAGGAATGGTCTCCTTTGTGATACATTTATTTTTTAGGAGTGGTCTTCACCTATTGCTGGTTTCTTAGCAGTGAACAAAACAGACAAAAATCCTGCCTTCATGGAGTTTCAAATGCAGAAAGGAGACAATTAAACTTAATTTAAAAAATCGATGTCAAATGGAGAAAAATAAAGCAGGTTAAGGGAGATAGCGAGTGATGAGAAGAGTTGCTGTCTTTTACTGGTCAGTTATGGGAAGTATCCTTGAGATGATAGCATTTGAATAAAGAGCTGGAGGAAGTGAGGGGTGATTCACATGGATGTCAGGGGAAAGGGTGTTCAAGGCAGAGGCAAGAGAAGGTGCACAGCCCTGAAAGGAGCATGTCTGACTTCTGACTTGTTCAAGGAACAGCAGTGGAAGCCACTGTAGCTGGAATAGAGTGGGCAAGGGACATTATCAGAGAGATAATGGGGCAGATTATATAGGACCTGTGGGCCATTTTTAGAACTTTGCTTTTTATACTGGTTAAGAAAAAAAGTCAGTGGAAGGTTTTGAGCAAAGGAATGAAAGACATTTCTTAAGTCTTAAAACCAAGATCACTCTGGCTACCATGTTGAGGATAGATTGTGGGAGGCTAAGATGGAAGGAGGAGACCAGCTAGAATTACTGCAGTGATACCCAGGAGTGGGGATGGTGTTTGGGCCAGGGTGGTGGTGGTGGAGGTGGTGAGAAGTAACCAGAGTTGCATCCCATATGCATTTTGAAGATGAATTCAAAGATTCGCTGATGGACTGGATGTGTAGGGTGTAAGAAAGAGAGGAGGTACCAAGAGTTTCTGGTGTGAGAATAGAATTGGCATTTACTGAGCTGTGGAAGATTGCTAGAAGAGAAGGTGCTGAAAATCAGGAGTTTGAGGCTGGGTGTGGTGGCTCACGCCTGTAATCCCAGCACTTTGGGAGGCCAAGACAGGTGAATCACCTGAGGTCAGGAGTTCAAGACCAGCCTGGCCAACATGGTGAAACCCCGTCTCTAATAAAAATACAAAATTAGGTGGACGTGGTGACGGGCACTGGTAATCCCAACTATTCATGAGGCTGAGGTAGGAGAATCGCTTGAACCCGGGCGACGGAGGTTGCAGTGAGCTGAGATGGCACCATTGCACTCCAGCCTGGGCAACAACAGTGAAACTCCATTTCAAAAAAAAAAAAAAAAAGAAAATAGAAAATCAGGAGTTTAGTTTTGACCATATTAACTTTGATGATGGGCTTACAAGACAGCCAAGTGTAGCTATCTAGTAGGCAGAGGGATCTAAGAATCTGAAGTTAAGGGGAAAAAGAGCTAGAAATAGTACTTTGGGAATTATTAGCATAAAGAAGTTATTTAAAGCCACAAGACTGGATGAGGCCATGAACTTGTAGTGTAGATAGAGAAGAACAAGGAGAGGATAAGACTTGCTCAAAAACCAAGAGAAGAAAAAACCCAGAATAGAAACCTACAATTCAGAAAATGGGCACAGATTTTAAAATAAACTATCAGTATGTTCAATGAATTAAAAGATGAGACTGTGAATTTTGTTAGGAGAACTGGAAATTTAAAAACAAATGGAAACATTACAACGAGAAAGTGAAATAGTCAAAATGAAGAACTTAAAGGAAGATTAGACTCACCTGAAAAGAGAGTTAACTGGAAGGCAAGTCAGATGGACATCTTCAGGCTGAAGCACAGATAAGAGCTGAAGAGTTATGTGTAATGTGGGTGGAAGGTCTAACATACATGTCAGTGGAGTCTGAAAGAAGAGGAAAGGTGGAAAAGAACAGAGTACTATCAGAAGAGGCAGTGGGTGAGAATTCCTCAAAACCGATTAAAGAGGAATGGGAGGAGAACTTGATATAGTGCATATAGAGAATATTTTCGAAGAGTTTTGTTTAAAAGAAATGAGGTAATAGCTATTGGGACATGGGGACAAGCAAGTCTTTGATTGTTTGTTTCTTTTTAGGTATTAGAGCATGCTTATATGCTGATAGGAATGATCTAGGAGGGAGACCAGTGGAACAAGAGAGAGTGGGGACAGTTGCATGCCATGTGCTATGTCTTTTAGCGGCTAACAATGGCTGGGATCCAGTGGCAAGAACAAGATGAACATTTCTTCATGACCATCTCCAAATCCCTATTTGCCTTTAAATAATTAATGACAAAAGTATATCTGCTGTAAGAATACTGTTTCTTAGCAGAGAACTATTTTAAATGGTATGATTCTTACTATCTTTTATTTGCTCTAGTTTTAATAACATATTTAATAGCAACATCTCTCTCATGCCCTCACTCTGGTGATCACCTAACCCCCAACCCCGACAGACTTCTTCAGTATGGAGGCACTTAGGACATCTCGGGATGTCTTTAGTGGTAGTATTTGAACTACAGAGTCGTTAAGACGGGCAACTTGGGAGACTGATAGCTGAGATTTGAATCACATTTTCTTCACTTATTGGGTGTGGAATTTTGGGCAGATTATGTAATCCTTCTGAGTCTCAGTTTCCTCACTGGTAAAATGTGGTGGGATGGTATATTAGTATCTATTCTATGGGGTTATTGTGAGTATTGAATGAGATAATAAATACATGTTCCTAGAGCAGTGCCTAGCACATAGAAAATAGTCCATAAATGCTTCTTGCAGCAATCTCTGGTTCTGGAAAAACCTATTGGAAGTAGAAGAGTAGTTCTTACATTGAATGTACGTTAGAGCCCCGTTGGGGCTTTTCAAAAATACCAGTACATGGGTACTCTCCTTTGAAATTCTAGTTTAATTGGTTTAGGTCAGATCCGAACACTTCAGTTTTCCTAATTTGCAACCAGGGTTGCAGTGGTCCAGGAAGGTTATTCATTTAGTTATTCAGTATATTCCTGCCCCCAAGAATCTTTGTATTAGTCTTACATTTGCCAAGACCACGTTTACAAAGGTGCTTTTGATTGAGCCTTTAAACCTTGGCTCATATTTTTATTCTGGATGACTTGGAAATGTCTGTGATGGTAATGATGTTTTTCTCTTCAGACCGCTCTCTGATGGTAATGATGTTTATCCCTCCAGACTTCCAGTCAGCTAGAAGTGTACCATTCTTGCTTCCCATGTCATATCTGGTCATCTGTATTCTGCTGTTTGATTCTCTTTCATGGAACTTGTAGTCTAATAAAAATTGCACAAATCACACCAAATGAATTGTGTGGTATGCCCCAAATAAAATGGAGTATTCATTGTTGCACATTTGCTTTTTTCATTTGACTTAAAATATACAGCCTTTGGGACAGTTGTTATCACATTAACTCTACTATGGCAAGGAAAGCTAATTTAGTAGAGAAATTGGCTGGAGTGTCTCATCTAATAGAAATAAGCATGAAACCACTTTGGTGTCTCTTCTTTTCAAGGACTGCTGTTTTTCCATAAAATGTGTAAGCCCACAGTTTGATACTGAAGCCCCTATAATTCATGCAGCTGTGACTTTATCGTTTTAAATATTACTTTCCTATAAATTAATAGTCCTGAGAAATGTGAGGCCATTTAAAAATCACAGCATGCAAATGAAATTTTGGAATAAACTTTTGGCATAGCTAGTAAAGGGGCCAGGTGAGTAAACAGGTTGCCTATAATGAAGTGTTGCCAATGCTAGGGTAAGAATAAGGGTTGGTTTGTGTGCAACCAGGTAGCAGGGCAGTGACTGGGGCTTGACTGGCAGCCTGCCAGAAAGAGGCGGCCTCTACAGTGAGAGCTGCAGGATGAGGAGGCGTAGCCAGATGCAAAGGGAAGGAAAGAGGCGAACATCATGCTTTGGGCTAAGGGGAAGAGCATATGGGGGTCAGAAAACAGTGTGGTCAAAGGGAAGTTTGACCATACCTGTGTATGCCTGTCTTGCATAATTATGAATAGCCCCTTTTTACTCAGAAAAATGAACTGCTTTAGACCATGAGTTATATATCTAGTCTCTCTACCCATGGGTGAAATGGAAACTTGTACAAAGGAATGATACAAGAAAATGTATGGGCGTTTGATTCATTAGTTGCTCTTCTTTCAGATGGCCCCTCATTCACACCTAGCTAATTACTCCATTTAGAAATAGTAGGTTATACTTAATACACTACTGTACTGTAACTGTTGGTATCTTGTTCCTCTGGGAGAAACCTTCTTTGTCTTGTTTTTCTTTTTCATGAGATTCAGTCGCATTTTAGGATATGTGATGATGTTTGCTGCTTATTACATTTCTCTCATCTTTTTATGTGGCCAGAACTAGGTCCCCAAATGCTGCTGGCAGAATTATTGAGTGCAGTGATATCCACTTAGCAACCCCAGAGTCATAGTTGGTCGCCAATTCTCACCTAGTTAATTCTTTGTCCTTGTTGATGCCGAGTTCCTACTCCACCACTTATGGTCAGTGAATTTTAATCTGTTCTTCATTTTACTGCAGACGGACTGAAATCTTAGGAACACTACCTATTTGCTTAATACGTTAGTCTATGGAATGTGGCTGCTGCTGCTAATAGTATCTCCAACAAATTATAATTGATTTTTTTTGTTCTTCAGCAAGTGGTGAAGAAATCTGGTATTCACCTTGTCAAAATGCAATCCATTTTCATGTATTCATTGTAAATTAAAAATATTAAGGGCCAGGGTCCAGTATTTATCAATAGTGAGCCTAGCTTTTAAAAGAATCGCATTTTGAAGTTTGCCTTATTTATTGAATCATTTCCTATTCACTATATGGTAAGGAAAATCTTCCATTTGAATTTAAATGAGGAAGTAATTCCATGGGATCAGTGAGTTGTTTCATGGCTTTGTACCAAATGCCAGATCACTCAGAGTACAATCAAAGCTGTGCTAATTTGGAACAGTTTTATTTTATGATAACAACTGGAAATGTAAAGAAATAATTAGTTATACTTTCTATCTTTGGCTTAATATTCTGTAATTAGATATCAATACCTATGGTCACGAGGCCTAATGTAGGGAACTCTAATTTCTGAGTGGATTTTATACAGAATATTTTATCCCGAGAGTCTTGTTTACAGCCTTTCTGAGTGTTAGTATCTCCTTTGCTTAATTACTTTCTTTGACTTTTAGTCTCCTTGCTTGTAGCAGATATGCAAGATGTTTGAAACTTAATCTCCAGGCTTTTTACTGACTTTATAGAAAGGATTTGAAAGATCACTTTTCTGCCTCAGTTGGTAATTTGTATCCATTTAAGAAGGGAGTCTAGAGTGGGTTGTGGAGAGATGCTGAATCGGGGGTATGTTAGTGGGAACTAAGCAGATTTGCCACGTATCCTAGTTAGATTTCCCCAAGAGGAAGACGACTCTTCTCTGTAAAATGGGAACAATAATAGTACTAACCCCACAAGGTGATTGTGAGGTCTAAGTGTTAATTCGTGTAAAGTGTTTAGAATATTGTCTGGTACATAGCAAGTGCTGGAATGTTAATTCTTGGTTTGGTATAATTTTGTTTAAGAGAATCTTCAGGACATCAGACTTTCTCAAGAGAACTGTCCATGTTTGTGAAATATGATTTGCTTAATATTCAGAGGTAGTAGGGGGAAGCCAGAGGTGGGAGGAAACCTGGCTTTGACCATATTTGATTGACAGCTCCTGGTTGCTGAGAGACTAGCAACAGTGGGACTTAGCAGATCTGCTTTGGCACAGTGGAAGGAGCTAGCGCGGGAGGAATCTCAAAACTACCCTAGACTTGCAGAGGGAAAAAAGCACCCAGGAAGTATCCAGAGCTCTAAAAATAAGGAGCTTACTGGATATAGTGAGACTGCAGCATCCTTAGTACATGTTCCTTTTTCTAAATCTCAGTCTAGTGCCTGTATAAGAATTCAGTTAGAGGAAAACTGTAAAATCAGCATGAGAATTTCCTTCTCCTCCACCATCTACCACATCTCAGGCTTAGTTTTCAGGGAAGCTGAAACTAAAGAGATAGAAGGGTGATCTTCTCAACCTCTAGGTGGATGTGCTCTGGGGCGGGGATGCTGCTTGAAGACTCAACAATCTCGAAATGTGCCATAGCTTCTACAGAGTGGGCGCTCCTGGTGGAGAAGGGGGTGTACCCTATGCGTATTTATTTAAAATGAGAAGAGATCAGTGGGTGTAGTGAAAAGTACCAGTTTCCACACAGCTCCTTTTCTTTGCAACACTGCATGGGTAAAACACATCCAAGGCTATTTGAGGATGGTTGCTGTGGGAGGAAGCAGGTGAGGATCACATACAAAGGACTGTAGAGTGTTGCAACCCAGTTGACATTCTCCCTCCTGGGCTCAGCAGCAGTGGGAGAGGTAGGGAGCAAATACCAGGAAAGCAGGGTAGAACTAAGGCTGCCTGGCTTTGGGCTGGGAAGTTGGACAGGTGAGGAGGGTCTGAACTTGAAGCTACTGGCTAAAGAAGGTGTTTGAAGTGCTGCTTGCAGTGCCTGCACTGGAGAAAAGGAAACTGTTGAGGGCCTGGAGAGCTTGCAAGAGCCAAGAGGCACTGTTTCTGGAATGAGAGAGTGAGAAGTACAGTGAGGGTGGGGGTGTGGAGGAAGGAGTTTTGCTTTTGGGCTGGGTTACTGGGTGTCGGCATTTGAAAGGTGACATTTGAGGTAAGCCTTGAATGAAGAATAGGTTTGCCAGGAAAAAATGGGCAAAGGCCAAGTCTGAGGATGAAGCTTATCTCCTTAGTGTGAAGTTGAATGTCTGTCTGGCATTCAGGTAGTAGGAATAAATGACAAGAGGTGAGCCTGGGAAGCCAGGTGACTGCTGGGATGTGCCGGGTTTTCTAATGCCTTGCTCAAATTTGGTTGTTTACACTGCAGAATTGGGGTGAGTTCCAGCGAAGGTGTGGCAATTAACCTTTTGCACTGCCTGGTTATAATTTTTGTGAGACCATTATGAAAAGTGACAGTCCTATGCGTCTTCATCTTATTCAAAGGAAGTATAGGAGCAAATACGCCAAGGTCAAATATAAATGGCTCTTGGAGTTACTGTGATTTTTGGATTAGTCATAGCTCTTGCAGACTCTTCTCCGGTGGTACAAATAACCACTCCTTCATTGTGTATGGGTCTCAGTTTTAAGAAACATATAATTAAAATATTTTAATTTTTAATACAATCATACTAATTTGCAATAATTTACCAACTCCTAATCGTTGATTTACTTTTCTCTTAGGTGAATTGATTCCTTCCCGAGTTTATTATAAATCAGGATTGTGGAAGCCATTTAATTATGTTACTTGGTGAACACGAACTGTATTATATTTTGGATAAAGTGTACCTCAATGACATGAAAGTTTGGCTGGGGAATTTCTCAGAAAAACTTTTTAATTGAAGGCATAAAGAAAAATATTAAGCAAGAAATTTTCTTTTCCTTGAGGATGCCGGGCAGTGTATCTCACTAGAACTATTTTGCACTGACATCCCTATAAGAACAAACACAGAGTAAGTTCCCAAGAAGATGAAGGGCTGTGATTAGGCGGTCGACTAGAGAAAGTAAGCATGATTTTTTTTTTTTTTGCCCTTTTGTAACTCAAAAGGTGAGATAAGGACGTTACCTGAAAGTTTTCAAACAAACTAAAAACATTACTCAGATATTATAGCTTGCCTGGGACAATCTCTATTTACACTTAACATAATTATTAATCGCGCCCTTTCGCTCTGAAGTGTCCCAATTTGGAAAGATAAATCATTTTGTCACTTTACCCTTCTATAGGCCTACCTCCTTGACACAACCATTTTTACACTGGTGTTGTATTTTAATATTTTACCATGCATTAGTTTTTTCTTATATGGTTGCTGTGATTGTGTGTGTGTGCCATTTCATAGTCTTGTTCACTTGATCTGTTATAAGCATTTTCTACTTTGCACAGTTTTTGTATTTTTTTAAATTGCTGCTGTGTCAGTTGAAAATGCATTTAGGTAAAACCCAACTGATAGTATCTTAACCAATAAGAAGTTTGTCTATTTCTATTTCACTTGGCAAGGGCTGGTGCAGTTGCTCTAGGACATTATCGAGGATGGAGACCTCGTCTTCCCATTCTTTTGTTCTTTGGGGCATGTCTTTTATCCTCCTGCTGTGTTTCCAGCATCACATTTGTGTTCCAGTGTGAAGAGGGTACAAGAGTGAAGGGTAAAAGGGAACCTACCAGCTAAGTCTGTCCCTTGGCAGAAATCTTTCCCTAAGACCTATCTAGCAACTTCTCTGAATGTTTTCTTGGTCGGAACTGACTCCCATGTTTACCCTAAGCTGCAAGAGTATCTGGGAAAATTTCCAATTCTGCATTGGAGGATGACCAGGAAGAAGGGGCTGTTAATGGCTTTTTGGTAGCCAGTCTACAAAGTCTGCCACAGCCATAAAATACGGTTTTGCCTTAATGTGGGAATATGGTTTTGGAGAGAATAATTTTCCTTCAAGAATTAACCACTCCCATACCACTACAAAACTCTATAACATCCATGACTGGGCAACAGTGATGAGAGGTTAAATTAAGCTCTTTCAAGTGAGGTGCAGTGATCTTACACAAAGTCCAAGTTAATTTTTTTCCTGATGTAATTGTGAAAATAAAACCAACTAATTCACTCACTCTTTAAAGAGTGTGTTTCATTATCCTAGATTGTGGTGAGCCCGACCAACTTTAGAAGATCATTAAAAATGTGAAAAAAATGCTGTTTAATTTTTAAAAGCATCTTGTAATGTCAGTGTCTTACATTGGCAAACTATAAGTTCTCCCATTTTTAGCTCAGAAACCCACCAATGATGTGCATGAATATTTTAACTTGTTCAAATCCTTCTAAGTGTCTTAATTTTGTTTGATTTAAACATGTAGTGTATTTTATTTAATATCTGCTGCTGCTGTGAATCCAAACCATGTTCAGTAAATTTTGGATACAAATAATGAAATATAATGGATTTAAACACAGACATATGTAGGTTTTAGCTCACCATGTTTACCCAGATCATGTGTGCATATATGCATAACCTTCCTCGCCCCGAAGAAAAACTGCCGCTAACTATTGACACCTGGGAAGCATCATCTTTTCATCAGTTAAAAGCTTTATTAAGTGAAATGTCCTTCCTTTTTCCCTCCCTTTCCTTTTATCCCATAGTCAATTTTTATTCTGTCCCATCCCCCACAGGCAGTCATTTTAATGTACATCTTTTTATTTGAATGAGTTATTGCACAACCAGTATTGTTTCATTTGAATGTATTTTCGTTTTCTATCTTATATTGCTTATATTATTTGCATCTTAAAAAGGTATATATCCCCACGGATTTTGGAAGAAATCAGGAGAGAGAAAGGATACATAGTATCTTAAATTACACATTATGTAAATCACCATGTTTCTCAGGCCCCTTTTATATTGGCCTGTGTGCATACAGTTCTTGTCTCTTTCTGCCGCCTGTGATGCATCCACTGCAGTTTACTAACCACTTTCTCATTGATGGGTTGCTTTTAACTTCTGGCCACCACAAAGAGTGCTCCAGTGAACATTTCTGTCCTTGTTGCCTTCTGGACCCGAGTGAGGAATTCCATGGGATTTATACCCAGGGGCAGGGCTGTTAAGTCATAGAATAATTATATACAGTACATCATTTTATAATACTTAATGCCTGATTGATCTCTCTAGTGGCCTATCAGGTACATATCCCCCAGCCCTTACATGAGGGGTTCCCTGTCCCCCACATCCCTGTCAGCCCTTGGTGTCTTTCAGCTTCCTGATATCTGCTGATCTGATTGGTATAGAGTAGTAACTTTTTGTTTTAATTAGCGTTTCTCTAATTACCATTGTTTGAGCATGTCATCAAGTGCATATTATTTTGTGTGTGTGAGTGTTTTTCTCTTCAGTACATTGCCTTTCATATCCTTTGGCCATTTTTTTTAACTGGAATTTTTTTGGTTGATCTGTAGGGGTTTCTTGGGTATTGTAAAATTTAATCTTTTGTCAGTTTTATACATTTAAATTATCTGCTTACACTTTCTCAGCTGCTTATAAATTAACTTTGTCCATAGTGGTCTTCTTTAGATAGAAATTCTAAAGTTTCGTGTTATTATAGTCATCAGTTTTATTGTTTTTTTGCGGATTCTTAGCCAATTACCTGTCTCCTTTCTTCTTTTGTTGTTAGATGTTCTAAAGGTATTTATTGTATCTTAATTTTGAAGAAGCATGATTTTTACTTACCACTTATGAAGTTACCATCCCTTTCTGAAACATAACTTGCTATATATTTATCTATTGGAACTACAATACGCTAGTTTTTTTTGTTTTTTGTTTTTTGTTTTTTTTTTTTTTGAGACAGAGTCTTGCTCTGTCACCCAGTCTGGAGTGACGTGGCGCGATCACAGCTCACTGCAACTTCCACCTCCTGAGTAGGTGGGATCACAGGCACGTGCTGCCACACCCTGCTAATTTTTTGTATTTTTAATAGAGACGAGGTTTCACCGTGTTGGCCAGGCTGGTCTCAGACTCCTGACCTCTGCCTGCCTCGGCCTCCCAGAGTGCTGGGATTATAGGCGTGAGCCACTGCACCTTGCCTAGGCTAGATTTTTTTTGAAAGATCTCTAGATGGAGTAGCTAAAACTTAATAGAAATGGAAAGTTTTAATTTCCTTCATGGCTTTTGAGCCTTCATCTTTCATTAGCATAACAAAGTGGTCATCTACATGAAACTATACCTTGTATTTTTATGTTAGTTAAAAATTTAAAAACAGCATTATATAATGTAAGGCTCTCAGGATTACATAAAGTCTGAAAAAGTAATGAGTTGGAAAAGTCTATTCAACTTTGTTTCTCCAGAAGAGAACTTAGATACATAATGCGAAAGTTAAAACTTGACAAAAATGTGGCTAATCATTGGGTCATACAACCTGATATTCCCTTAAAAATAGGAATGGTTATACTGCCTTGGAATTTTGAGAATATAAACTTAGGAAGGATGACTTGGTAATTAAATGCTTTATTGACCTATGCTGGAATAAAGTGTGATGACTAAGTTTTTTTGGGGAGGAAAAAGGTAGTAAGGCATGAGAGAGTAACTTTCTTTTAAATATATCCAGAGGCCAACCACCTGCTGTTTGCTGTAAGAGGGTTTCTGGACCCTCGTGGGCAAAGACCACTTAGCTATTCAAAGAAAAAAGCACAAGGATACATGACTACTACTTGGAGTTCTGGATCCATTACGAAGGAAAAATACTACATTTCTTGTTTGTTTTTGTATTCTTGTTAAAGAGACTGATAAGATGATTGGAAACGGTGGGAACAAGCCTTGGTAAGAGAGATTAGAAACATAAGACAAGTGAAAAGATTAGACGAATAGCACCTTTCAGTCTACATGAGTTCAGAGTCTCTCTTTTGGATGAATTGCATCCCAGTGTCCTGAGAAAACCTGTAGATGGAATTGCTGAGCTTACAACTGACCCATCTTTCAGAATTCCTGGGGAGTGAGAACAGTGCCAGAAGTGGAGATAGTCACTTCTCGTTTTCAAAAGGGGTAGGGGTGGATTCTGCTGTGTTGCTATGGACCCTGGGCAGAATTCTAGATTGATTAATCAATAGATTCGTAGGCTGTTGTCAGAGTCCTTGGTCGCAAACAACAGAAACCAAATCTGAATAACTTAAGTACAAATGAATATTTTTAGAAGGATATTGGATAACTTGATGGAAAAACTAGAGAGCCACTCTCAGAAAATGGCAGGCACCAGGAGAGGCCAGGCAGCTAAGAACACAGCCAGCTTGTGCTGAGGGAATGGAGGCATTAGAAGGCTGCCACAGTGCCCCTGCTATAGGACAGTCACTGCTGCTTGCTGGACCCTTGACTCTGCCTGCCGTATGCATTCTGAACTGCCCTCGCCTTCTGTGCCATGCACTCCAAACGCAGTCCTACATAGGCACACCTATTTGCTGAGCCTGGGTAAATTGTCTGTGCTCTAGCTGCCTGTGTTCTGTGAGACTGTACATGTGTTTAGCTTCCTTTTTACCTTCCTTAGTAGAAGCTGGAGTTCCCTCATCCCCACTAGGTCTCTCTCATTGGCAGAACCCTCAAACATAGGAAGGGTGTTCAGAAACTGGACATCCAAAAGGAACGGCAAACCTTCACTGCAGTAGTCCAGAAGAAGGGAAAGAGATTGCCACTGGAAACCAGTGTGGTTAATGATGAGCCATTCATATCAGAGGAAATTCATCCTTTTTGATAGGATTTCTCAGGAAATGGTTGTGCTGAATTTTAGAAAGGCCTTTCCTGAACTCCCCCACAAGTCTCATGTCTCAAGTCTCATGTACAAGTCATAACTGATTGAGCATCTGAATCCAAAGAGTGTTGGGTAATGTGAGTGATGCCTGGAGGCATCTCCAGGGAGTGATCCTGGGCTCCTTAATGACTTGGCCAAGAACATCACGGGGAGGCTCATCAAATCTGCTTTTGAAGTTAAGCTGGAAGGGCTAGGGGAGTGCATTGACGAAGAGAATTAGGATCCAAAAAGATCCCTGTGAACTGGAACAAAGACCTGAATCTAACAGAATGAAATTTAATAGGGAATAAATATTACATCTTGTTCTGATATTCAGGACACCAGCTGCGTCTACATGATGAATAAAGAAGGAGCCACTTTACAGCATCACATGTGAAAAATGCCTTCAACATTTTAGTTGAATGGAAGTATATGAGTCAAAAGTTTGACATCTTTTTAAAAACAAAAAACTCCTAGGGTGATCTTACAGTGTGTTAGTGGGAATCACGTGTGTCCATCACAAGGTAGAGATTTGCCTTATTTTGTGTGGCTTAGTTGACGCATGAAATCTTCATTGATTTTTGGACACACTCAAGAATGCTTTTTTGGGCAGAGAGTGACTAAAATGCAAGTGGATATAAAAGTTTGGCATGTGCAGGGCAATTAAAACAGTGAGTTGTTACCCTTGAGACCTGGGAGACACATTAGCTATCTACAAATACAGGCAAGTGTCTGGAAGGAAGCACAGGTGGTGTGTCCGTGGAGGGGAAGAGCTAGACCAGTGGATGTCAGTTGCAAAGAGGGAGGTTTACAATACCATACACTGACTGTGCCTTGATGGAAACTAGTAACTTGCACATCACTTGTGACCACTACTTGGGGCCAACTAGGCTCTTGGGGGATATTCAAATATTTAACAAGCATATTTGCCCATGTTACTTTCACAGGTCTTAAGTCTCCCTGAATGTTGAACTTCCCCAAGACTCTTTTCCTCACAAGGCTATTGAAAATTTTAATATCTTCATGGGGTTAGTGAAAGACTCAGAATAGCTTTCAGACCTGGGAATACGAATTCATCATAAAGCTGGAAGAGAAAGTCTTAATAGAGAGCAATATGAGACAGTAAATATTTGATTTGAAAAGATGGGACCATAAACCAATCAGCGGAGCACTTGCTGAGAATGAAGTTTTTTCTTAATTGGCGCCAGGCTGCCATAACACAAGTGGCTGCTCTTTAGGAGTTTGTAGTTTTCACGTTAAAGGCATTTTATTTTAAACATATTTTCATCCTAAGATGTCAGTATGTAGAATTGCCTGACTGATCAAGGAAATTCTAAAGGTAATTGCTATGGGAGTTTAACTTGCCAGAGACCTAGAGAAGTCTCTTTCATACTTTAAAAGATATAAACAAGTTGCAAAATAATGGTTCTGTCAAGAAAATCACACATTGATTCATCATCCATTATTGGGAGTTGGGCTAAAGGGTTTATAAAACATCTCCTTTTTGAAGGTCATCTGGTGGAGGGGTGGCTTTAGGATTTTGTAGATTTGCAGCCTGCATGATCACCTTTCTCAATAGACATTTATTGAGTGCCTCCTGCAACCATTATTGCAACTGAGGAAAATTTTGGCACAAATACCTGGAATGGAAGTTAAAAGTTTTAAAAGTGGTATTTTCAAGGTTTTTGGCCTTTACAGTGCAAACAAGTACATGTATCTTCTCTAGCAATAGTATTTATTGAGAGAGATTAGCATAAAAGTAGTTAGCTTGCAGCACGATTAGAAAATTATACCCTTGTAAAGGATCCCCAAGTTACAACGGCAATCACCAGAAACTGCATTGTAAAAGTCTGTGCTGGTGCCTGGACTAATTTCATTCCTTTGGCATTTCTCCTCCCTGTTCTCTAACCTCTCTTTTAGTTTATTGTTCTGGAGTAATGAAAAACTGTCTGAGGGTAAACACTGCCAGATATCCATTTTGCATTTGCTCAAAGTTTATGCCTTTGTTCGTTTATTCAAAATGTGGTCAGCAACATTTATTGGGCGCCTACTGAGTGTCAGGGTACTAGTGGTGATTTAAAAAAATCCCTCTCTCCTGCATCTCTGAGACTAGTAAGAGAGATAGAAAAGGAAATCTAATGTGTTGTCTCTGCTATGCAAAGGGAGCTTGGGATGCCCAGAGCAGAGATGTGTGTTTGAGGAATGTTCCCGAAGAAGTGATGTTTAAACCATGTCTGGAAAAGTGAGTAGAAATGAGCCAGGCACACTTAAATGGCAGGGTGACTCCAGTAGAGAGATTAGAATAGCATCTGCAGAGGTTTGGAGGAGGAGGTGGTGGGCCTGGAGATGGATTTGGAAAGCGTGAACTTTAGGGCAGGGTTCTTGTGATGTAGCTCTCTATCAGAATTGCCCGATGAACTTGTTGAAAATGCAGATTCCCGCATCCAATCCCTCCCCCTCCCCTTAAGATCAGTTTTTCTGGCAGTGGGACCGGGCATATCTGATTGTGAAGTCAGGAAGAGTTTGAGAATCTTCTTCTATAGGAATTGGAAGCATTGAAGAATCTAAAGCTGCAAGTGCTGTGACCAGGTGAGATTTTTAGGAAGATTTTTCTAATCTAATTTGCTGCAACATGGATGAACCTGGAGGACATTATGTTAACTGAAATAAGCCAGGCACAGAAAGACACATACTGCATGATTTCCCTTACTCGTGGAATCTAAAAAAGTTGAACTCACAGAAGCAGAGAGTAGAATGGGAGTTGTCTGGGGCTGGTGGGGGTGTGTATGGGGGGAATGGGGAGAAGTTGGTCAAAGGGTACAAAGTTAGGAAGGATAAGTTCTGAAGATCTATTGTACCACAGTGACTATAGTTAATAATTATGCTTAAAAATTGCTAAGTAGATCCTAATTGCTGACCAATAAAAATTGCTAAGTAGATCCTCACACACACAAGTGTGTGAGGCAAGTATGTTCATTAGCTTGAGTTAAGCATTTCATAAGGTGTGTACATATCAACTACATTTTTTTTTTTTTTGAGATGGAGTCTTGTTCTGTCGCCAGGCTGGAGTGCAGTGACACGATCTCGGCTCACTGCAACCTCTGCCTCCTGGGTTCAAGCAATTCTCCTGCCTCAACCTGCCAAGTAGCTGGGACTACCGGTGCACGCCACCACACTCAGCTAATTTTTGTATTTTTAATAGAGACAGGGTTTCACCATGTTGGCCACAATGGTCTCCATCTCTTGATCTCGTGATCTTCCCACCTTGGCCTCCCACAGTGCTGGATTACAGGTGTGAACCACCATGCCCGGCCCCCAATTTTTTTTTTTTTGAGACGGAGGCTCACTCTGTCGCCCAGGCTAGAGTGCAGTGGCATGATCTCTGCCCATTGCAACCTCCGCCTCCTGGGTTTAAGCAATTCTCCTGCCTCAGCCTCTCAAGTAGCTGGGATTACAGGCATGCACCACCATACCCTGGTAATTTTTGTATTTTTAATAGAGACAGAGTTTTGCCATGTTGGCCAGGCTGGTCTCAAACTCCTGACCTCAGGTGATCCGCCTGCCTCGGCCTCCTGAAGTCTGAGATTACAGGTGTAAGCCACTGCTGGTAGCCTTAACTACAATTTTTATTTGTCAATTATACCTTAATAAAGCTGGGGAGGGAGATGGTAAGAAAAGATTACTCTGACATGAAGTCAGGTGAAAATGATGTGAGCCTGGAGGCAGAGGGGATATTGAGATAGTTCGTTCAGGGGAGAGGTAAGGGCAGGGATTAAAGCCCTAGTGGGGGTTGACAAGGAAAGCAACAAATCTAAATCATGTAGAAGATAGAATTGGCCAGATTTAGTGGTCAATTGCATGTGGTTAAGTGGGGACAACTCCTCAGTTTCTGGTAGAAATCAAAGACACCTTGTGCTCAGAGAGACATCGGGAGCACTGTTGTGGGAGCTGCCCTGTTGGCAGGTGTAGGCTGGGAGCAGCTTCTGTGTCAGAGTACTTTGCCCTCTCTCATTTCCTGAGAAAAGAAGATGGTATGTGTATAAACTTCGCTGAAGAGGAGACCTGGTGAGATTTTTCCCTTCTTCATTTGTATACTCTCACCTCTCTTGCTTCCCCACTAAATATCAGTGTATTTGGCAATTTTGAAGTGAACCTGTCACATGGAAATCATCCATGGTTACACCATTCCAATGATTCTAAAGAGGTGGAAGTTGTTGGCTTCTCGGTGAGGGTGTGGGGTTGCAGGCTCTCCAGTTGGGGAGGCACTTACCTCTGTATTCTGAGCATATATGCTTTGCATATGTCCTTCACAGCAGGCACTCACCCTGCCACGTGCACAACTATTATTTGGCTCTAACCTTGACCACTGCCCCTGGCCTGATGGTGGAATTCATCGTCCTTCAAAGCCCATATTCTGAATTACTGAGCTCAGTGTACACTTTTTTCTTTATGTTACAGTTAATATTACTTATATTATTTTTCTATTACACATGAACTTACAAACTCTCTGCATGTAAATTGGCTCCTTCCATCCCTTTTGGGTAAAGACTGATCATGAGCAGCTTGAAGAAAAAAGGAGAGCCTTCTATCCTTAGCAGAGAGCCCAGTTTTGTTTGGATTGGGCCTCTGGCCTAAATTTGAAAAGATGCACTTAGACTGGAGGTGAGCTGAGGAAAGGCTGAGAATACACTTTGTTCTGAACTGGGGTCCCTCCTAATTTACTAGTTCCTGGCTCCTTTCATACTGGAAGGATGTGTTAAATTGAGGCAGAGTTCTGTTGACTTTGTTTTTTAGAGGATTCACTCGTTTGTAATCTAATTTATTTGGTTGTCTTAGAAGAAAATAAGGGAAGAGCCACGCAGCAGTTGCTAACCCTGTATCTGTGCTGTCATTCATTGTCTTTCCTGACTCCCTTTGTCCTCCAGGGTACTTCCTAACCTCATTGACAGTCCCCTCTGTGTCTGCTGCCAGTGCCCCTCCTCCCTTAGTAATTAAAGAGGGAATGAGAATGTCAATTCAGCTTCTCACTGAAGGCTGGCGCTAACCACAGATCTTATTTTAGGGCAAGTCCTTTCCCCTCTAGCTTCTTTAAATCCCCTATTAATTCAGATGCTTTATTTACTGAACAAACAAGCTGTGATTTCACAGAGAACAGTGAACAGGGGCCATACTTCTGGGGGAGAGAAAAATAAAGCTCTTTGTGCTGTTCTGCTCATGCTGAAGCACGGGGAGAGGTTTTTCCCCCTTCTTTGTGGTGTCACCCCCCAAAAAAGGCAAACCCGAGGGAGAAAGAGTAAAGAGTGCAGCAGTGTCCTGGTGGTTTTGATAAAAGTTCTTTTTATGGGCAAGATCTTTCAGGAGCCTCTTCCAGAGGAGGAGTCACCTTGACCTGGAGCAAGCGCACCCGAAGACATGCCCAAGGGCTTGGGCCTCCTTGCCACCTGGGCTGGTCATTGACACTCTTCTGGGCACAGTCCTCTGACCTCCCAGTCATGGTGGCACATGCCTTTGGCCACAAGGGGGACCAAGGCAGAGTATGATTCCACTCCAGAAGGTATTAACAATATGATACCACTCCCAAATCCAGCTTCACATTACCTCTCATACCTGGGCTGTGCATATGCATACCAAAGGTGCTAACTTTGCAAGTTTGTGAAGCAAAAATATATCGGGCTATCAGATTTAGTCTCAAAAGCACTTTTCACAGTGACAGTGTTTCAGAGCTAGAAGAGATCCTTAGCATTTCCATTCTCCTTATTTAACAGAAAAAGACCCAGAAATATTAAATGATTTGCCTCAGGCCCTGTAACTTCTCAGCACTTATAAGTCACAAAGTGAATCCAGATCTCCCAGTACTACTACTAGATTTGCTTCCCCAGCTGCTGGGCAGGGATGACTTGAGTCAGAGTTTGGGCCAGTGTCGTCCAGGCCACCTGCATCAGATCACCTGGGGTCCACTGAGAATGCAGGTTCCTGGGCCCTACTCCAGAGTGACTGAGTCAGTATCCTGGTGGGGGTGACTCAGCACCCTGCATTTGAAACAGACTTCCCAGGTCCCTGTCACCACACTGGTGTTTGAAAATTGTTGTCAGTAGTCCTCAAACTGAACTTGGGCTCTGCCCTTGTTCAGCTGCAGGCTTCTTCCTGAATGTGCTTCTTTGGCCCTAATTCTTTATATTTGTGCTTCTCATACAAAAAGGCACAGCTTGACTGATGAGAGGGCATTGCAGGAGGATCTGGGTGTTTTGGAAATGAACTATGATGGGGATAGTGCAGTTAGTGCTTACCCACCTGTATCTCTGCTGTCTTCTCTGTCCTCCCAAGCTGCCTCTTCATTAAACAACAAACATTTTTAATTGTCATTGTTTTTCTGCACATCTTTCCTCTAAGGGGCATTGGGCTCCCCTAGGTAGTTTTAGATTCATAAACTCAAGTTGGGCTTATTTGGGGGGTGGGTGACCATGCCTGGAGCATCAGTTAAGGTGACTGGTTACTCCAGAGAAGGCAGGAGGACAGGACAGCCAGACAGTCTATCGTGTGTGTGTGCTAACTGCTTACATGTGTACAAAGGTGTCCAGGCTTTATTTCACATCATAAACACATGTGCTCCCTGACCTACATGAGGGCATCTAGCTTAGACAGGCCTGCCGCCACTCTCTGGGATGAAGTTTCACATAGAAGTTATAAGGCTGCCCCATAGGTCAAGACCAAGAGTAGTCGTGAGTGGCCCCACACCCCAGAAATGGATTAGAGTCCACACCTGGCTTTGAGTGGTTGGTGCCTGAACTGCAGAGGCACTGAGGTTAATATCATCAGCATTTTCATGAATACAAATTGTAGTTTACGTGCCTTCTTGTTCTTATGAATTCTCAAAGAACAGTGTGAGGAATCGCCTAGACGTTAAATGTTTTCACACATGAAAGGTGCTGTGTCAGTGCTGCTAACAGTGAATTGCGTCAACAGCTGAGCTGAAGATAAAGATGGGTTCAGTTGAATTAGGGCTCTGGAGTCAGATCTGCTTTGAATACTGGGCCTACTGTGTGCCTAGCGTTATAACTGGGAAAAGAGGACAGTAGTAAGGACTATCCTTAGAACTGTTATGTTAGATAATGCATAAAAGCATCTACTGTAGTGCCTGGCAAAGAGTAAGGAGAGAAGTGAGCATTAGGTATTGTTGCCTTAGAGAGTGCCGTTGGTAGCAATCTACTTATCTGAAGAGGTGAAGGGGTAGGGAACAAATAACTGCATAAGTAAGTGAAGCAGACCATTTTTTTTCCCCTTAAGAAAAAGAGGTCTTGCTGTGTTGCCCAGACTGACCTCAAACTCCTGGGCTTATATGATCCTCAGCCTCCTGAGTAGCTGGGACTACAGGCCTATGCCACTGCACCCCGCTTCATCTGGATTTTAATTCCTCAAAGGCCCATCTTTGAGAAGGCTTTTTGTTGTATTGTAGATTGTTCTTTGGCTGTCCTCTTGGCTGGTGGTAATGAGGAACCCTGGATAGAATAAAGGGCAGGCGAAGGGGTGGTGGGGCCTTTGAAGGAAAGGAAGACTCACTGGAGCAGTCCTACACCCAGGGCCTCCCTCCATCAGGAACAAGACCCTGTGTTTTAGTGTTGGGTGTGCAGTCCCTTCTGATTCATCAGCATCTATCTCACTGTGCCAAAGCATAAGCTCCTGTTACTCTGAGGTCTCATCAGCATCATTTTGGCTGCCATGTAAAAATTAAATTCCTTAAACTTCCAATTCTAAATATGGAAGTTAGCCCTCTGACATCACTTAGGTTGAAGCAAGAATACCATTAAGAGCTAACTCTTGGATGCCCCTTTGGAGTTTACTTACTTTGATTTTTATTCTGGTTCATTGGACTGTTAAATGCTTTCTGTGGGCTGGTGACCCTTTGTATTTAAAAGGTACATGTAGTGGTGTTTCCCAGATTAACCTAGCATCTAGCACCTGACCTGATGTAGTAAATATCTGTCTCCATAGTGCTGTTTTTACACGTCCTGTCCTGTCCTCTCTTAGTTGTCTTGCCTTCAAGGCCTTTTCAAGCTAGGATCAAGGTTGATAGTTTACCAAAAGTAATGTAAGATGAAGATCTCAAAGGTAACTCTATTGTCATGCTGGCATTTCTGGGGCAGATGTCCCTGAGCAGCCGTGCCCACCTAAAAACCACTCCGGATACATACAGATGACCTGCCTTGGGGTTGTTAAGAATTGTGTGCCCCCAGAGGATTACCTGAGACTGGGATTTGATTTGCCCCAGGATAAGTAAGTTAGACTCCTGGGATCCATCCTCCAGCTTGCTTTTCTAGCTCTGAAATAACCAGTAGGCCAAAGGTTGAACATTTGTGTTCCCCTTGGTACTATGAGGCAGGCTGACAGATGCTGCAGAGACTGGTATTCCCATCCACCTGGCACCCAAGCATGTTCTTCAGGATGAAAGAAAAGTTGGAGTGGAGGGCAGGGGATTGTGCTGTGAAAGTAGGTATGATGCCTTAGGAATGACAGTGTCAGATCACATGAGTCGTGTGTTTTTCACTGTAATCTTTTAGATGTTGGAGAACAAGCTTTGAAACATTAAGTACTAATGTGGCCGTCTATTTTAAAAGACATAGTAGAGTGAGAGGATGTTTAAGGAAGGTTAGTGGGTTGTGTTCCTCACTTCTGATGAAAGCTGGGGCAGTGCTTGCTCTGCAGAGCCTTTTAAAACATCTTTCCATCCAAATAGGGCACAGATCTAACTGGCCCTCTCCCTGCATGGCCATCCTGGCTAGCCTACCACAGCACTTAAAGGCTGACAATGAAATTAGAGGAAAGGGAAGGAATCTATTGTAGAGTTGTTGGAGGGAAAATGTAGTGCTTCTTTTCTTCCAGCTATTTTTTTTTCTCTTTTCTTTTTTATGTTCTATTCTCAAAGAGTACTAGTTAATAATTCACATGCAGTTACCAATTAAGTAGAAATTTCATTTGAAGCGACAGTAGGTTCAATTAAATGCGTTTGGAAATCGGGTGCCTAAATTGCTCTGGAAGGAGTCTGAATATTTATGTATATATGCATTGTGAATGTGGGTAGTAGGTGCATATATGTTTTATACATACACATTTGAATAAAAGTCAGGGTTGAAAACCTGCCTAAAGGGCTAATTGCCAGTCACATGTCTAATTAATCACACATGTAAAATGTAACCCTTGCTTTGTGGGCTATAAGCAGAGAGATTTTAATTTTCATCCCAGAGTTCCTGGAAAGAATAATGCTAGTAATTTTGGGGGGCTTACAATATAAAAGCTGGGGAAAGAGGAAGAGGGGTCACTGTCTCAGTTTAGAAGTGCTGCAGAGAGCCAGCAGTTGATGGTTATTGAGTCAGCACCTGCTGCTCAGCGCTTGTGGGAGGTAAAAGGGTGTGATGCTGACTGCTACAATTCCAGTAAGTTCTTCTGGCATAAGAGCAAGAACAAATGGCTATGGGGTTGGGCATGAGTATTTATAAAAAGAATAGCTGGCCAGGTGGGGTGGCTCATGCCTATAACCCCAGCACTTTGGGAGGCCGAGGCAGGCAGATTGCTTGAGCTCAGGAGTTCAAGACCAGCCTGGGCAACATGGCGAAACTCTGTCTCTACATAAAATACAAAAATTAGCTAGGCGCGGTGGTGCACACTTGTAGTCCCAACTACTTGGGGAGGCTGAGGTGGGAGGATTGCTTGAGACTGGGAGGCAGTGGTTGCAGTGAGCTGAGATCACACCACTGCACTCCAGCCTGGGTGACAGAGTGAGACCTTGTCTCAAACAAAACAAAACAAAACAAAACAAAACAAAACAAAACAAAACCACACACCCCAAAAACCCCCAAAAACCCCCAAAAAGAATAGCAAAACACACAGTCAAATGAGTTCTTCACAGATAATTTGGTGTATTTTAAAGGATCAGAATATAAAAGAGCTGGAAGAAATTCATAGGGATTAACAAAACGTTTGCAGAATTGTTTTAATGGAGACAAACACAGTTGACAATTTTGCTTTCTTCCTAGAGAATTTTCTCCTAAAAGAAATCATTGATAAAATAAGGAAAGAAAAAAAAAATCATTGATCAAACTAGGGAACAAAATTCCCCCACAGAATGGTAGTGATTAAGTAGGTGTTTCATAGAAACAACTAGGTTCACTATAAGTTTGTCCTTTGAGTCGTCTCGGGGAACCATGTTTAGGAGAGAGAGCTTATTAGCACATCCACTGCTATACAAAGAGATGTGCTTTCTACTAAAGTTTGCTTCAGAAGAAAGGGTAATGCTTGATCCTGTCACTTAACGTAGAGGTTAAAAATGTGCACTTTAGAGCAGTGGTCCCCAGTCTTTTTGGCACCAGGAACCAGTTTTGTGGAAGACAGTTTTTCCATAGACTGGGAGGAGGGGTTTGGGGGGATGGTTTCAGGATGAAACTGTTCCACCTCAGATCATTAGGCATTAGTTAGATTCTCAAAAGGAGCACACAACCTATGAGAATTTATTGCCACCACTGATCTGACAGGAGGTGGAGTTCAGACGGTAATGCTTGCTCACCTGTTGCTCACCTCCTGCTGTGGGGCTCACTTCCTAACAGGCCACGGACTGGTCTGTGGCCTGGGTGTCGCGGACCTCTGCTCTAGAGTCGCACCACCCAGATTAAAATCTTGGCCCTGACAATATCTTTGTGACATTAGGGTAATATTAACCTCTCTAAGCCTCAGTTTCTTTATCGGTAAATGAGGATAACATTATTCACCTCATAGGTGGCTGTAAGATTAACTGCATTACACAGAACAGTACCCAGCACAGTAATCTGTTTAACAAATGTTGCCATTAGTAGTTATTACTATTATTATTATTATTGTATCATTGTGACTGTGTACACTTCCAAAAGTAGATGAAAAGTTTACAGAAAAGCCTTTCTGAGTAAGCAAACTAGAGTCCTAACAAATTTGCTAATTTTGAGATTTAAAAATGGGATCAAAAAACTGTCATGAAACTAAAGCTATTTTAATAAGACTTGAAGAATTGTTCCTTAACATTACTCAGCCATTCCCCATGAGGACAGGATTTTTCTTCATTAACTCTGCTGTCAGGATGGCATTTAAAAGTAGCACATTTTCTGGTATCAGGATTCCAATTGGATGCTTGGGATTGGATTGCTTCCTCATTAGCCCATAACCAGCTCTTCCCCTGTCATTCTTCCCTGCCCTCCAACCTACATTTTATGCTCTTTTAAAAAATTACTTTGTATGTTTCAGTCTCTCCCGGAAGTTGCCCCACCCCACTATCTTGTAAGAGTTTGTGAGCTCAGAGGGTAGGGACTACAGCTTATACATCTTTGGTATCATCAAATACCTAAGTTGGTGCCATGTACATAGAAGACATTTATACAAAATTTAAAAATTAAGAGTATCACCATTGTATGTCAGTATTATTTAGCTAATTAAAAAAATTTATTTCTAGGGGTTTTCAACTTTTGTCATTTGTAAGACTGAAAAGTGTGCAAAGAATGTTCTTAAATTTTTTTTCAGTGAATTAGTGGAAATCCTAATTTCAACTAGTTGTTTGATTTTGTAGCTTTCTTATTTCTAGCAGCTTTTTTTTGTTGTTATTTTAGATTCAGTGGGTATGTGCAGAGGTTTGCTACATGGATATATTTCTTAATGGTGAGGTTTGGGTTTCTAGTGAACCCATCACCCGAATAGTGAACATTGTACCCAATACGTAGTTTTTAAACCTTCACCCCCTTCTTTTCCCTCATCCTTATGGGGTCCACACTGTCTGTCATTGCCATCTTTGTCTATGCATACCGATTGTTTAGCTCCCACTTACAAATGAGAACATGCAGTATTTGATTTTCTGTTTCTGAGTTACTTCACTTAGGATAAAGGTCTTTGACTCCATCCATGCTGCTGCAAAGGACATGATTTCATTCATTTTTATGGCTGCATAGTATTCCACGGTATACACGTATTCCATAGTATACATGTATATATGTATACATACATATATGTATATGTATGTATACATAGATGTGTGTGTACATGTGTATATATGTATGTATACATATATACACATGCATATATACACATGTATATGTGTATATATATACATACATATATACACATATATGTATACATAGATGTGTGTGTGTTTATCTATCTATCTATCTATCTATCTATCTATCTATCTATCTATACGCACCACATTTTCATTATCCAGTCAACTGTTGATGGATACTTTGGTTGAATCCATGGCTTTGCTATTGTGAACAGTGCTGTGATAAACGTAACAGACCAGGAATCTTTTTGATAAAACAATTCCTTTTCTTTTGAGTAAATACTCAGTAGTGGGATTTCTAGCAGCAATTTTATTTTTAAGGATGAAGTTTACCTTAAAAAATGACTTGATGTTAAGTTCAACTGATGTTTTTGTTTGAAGATGATGTGGCAGTTTTTCAGGTGCACAGGTGTGGCACACAATGTTAGCTCATGATAAAGTCGTTGCATAAGTAGTTGGACTCTCCTTATGTCTAAATCTTATATCCATGAAAATTGTTGAGCATGTTCTCTGTTGGGTAAACCTTTAGCTTGGTTTGGACAGTAATATGGAATAGCCCACTCTCCATCTCTGGTCATGATAGCTTTTAGATTTGGCTTTTTAGCACACTTCCCAGTAGGTTCACAAGTCTCTGCCTTGGAGCATGTTGATGTCAAGTCTATCAAAAGGAATGGCCTATTTTCCAAGACTGCTGTGCCACATTGGTGTCAACTGGGCACATCAGTAAGGATGCCTGCAGTGATTTGACACACCCACTCAAATGGATATGAAGTAACCTTAGGAATGTCCTGGCAGTCATATCTCCTGAAGTGCTGTCTGCATCTGATTCAGTCATATCTCCTGAAGTGCTATCTGGAAGTGCTATAATGGTTTCAGACCAAGTTTGGATGAACTGAGCCTTATTAGGCAGGCTAATTTCCACAGTTGCCATTTTGAAGGGCTGAATTCTGCAGAAGTTGAACTAGAGGGGGTGACTGGGACCCTGACCTATGTTGAGAAGAGGTTGCTGTCTCTTTATACCTCTTATTCTGTTTCCTTGGACAAGAAAAGTACCAATCTTTCCAGAGACTCTCTTAGATCATTGGTGAGTAGAGTGCTATCTTTTTCAGTACTTCTGGAATAAGACAGAGGGAAGTATAATTTCTGTATGGTACCAAATTTACTTAGGGAAAAATGATTCCCATTCTAGTTTCAGTGATTTCAGGAGCTGAGAGCTAGGGTGACTTTGTGGACTCTTAGGCAATGGGAGGGGTGGGGAAGACCTTGCTTATACTAAGACTGGCTGCTAAAGCCAATAGGACAGAGCCTATGAGGACCTTCCCATGACAGCCCTAATAGTATGTTGGGACCAGGGATGTAGTTAACTGAAGAGGAACATTATGTGAAATTTACCTGAAAAGCCCTACATTTACAAGTATGTCTCTACCTCTCCTCATCAGAATAGAACCTCAAAAGGGCTTTTTTCCAAGCTTTTCAATGTTTATTCTATCCTTAGGAAAAAGTTTTAAAAGGATCAGAGGGTCTCTTGGTAACAATGTCTTCAGTGTCAGTAACTGTCTTGCTTAAACAGTTCCTTTTTTTTTTTGCAATTTAAGCTTTAGTGAAAATTAAAACAGTGGGTTACTTTGATCTTTAGAAAATTTCTTCATGTTTGTGAAGACCATTAATTGGCACTTAGTATTCTTGTCTTCAGGCTATCTAACCTGATGTTGCTTTATCATTCTATCTCCTGAAACATCTTGTGAGCTCTTAGAAGAGAGACCAGGGTGAGGTGCAATCTCTACTGTCCCCTAATCCGAGTTTCTTCAAATCCAGGAAGAGGGGAAGATTTGTCTCCTTGGAGTACTCACTTAAACTGAGCCCTCATCCACAATTTAGTGCTTTTGCCTACTCTTGCCATTCCTGTCTGTTGTTGACTTTTATCATTTTTAGGTGAGCTTTTCCCTTCCCAGGTGTTTCTCTTTCTCTTACTTTCCTTCGTAAACCTACCAGTGCTCTGTCTTCCCTGTTAAACTTCAGCCCAGTGCCTTATTGTTTATTTGACCTACCTTGATCTGAAATATCCATGTGGCTTTGAAAGTCATTTGGAGTTCTATGCCTGCCCTTGTCCAATGTACGCTGGTTACCTTTTAGAGTTTGTCTGTCCCCAGAGTTGATAAATAACATCTCCAGTGACTATGTAACTTTAGCTCAGCATTTCTGATTAAACCATTTACTGTTTACCCCAACAGTCATTAAAACGTACAGTGCCTGGTAGTGTATTGCACAGTGCTGACCATGTGGAAAGCATAAGGAGTGCGAGAAGGTGATGCCATCTCCAATTATATTTTTTGAGTATCCTACTAAGCCTACTGAGTAGTAGTAACCATAGGTCTTTTAGGCTTTTTTCACATGAATTGGGGACACCTAGACTTGGCCTCCTCTATTGGAAAGCTGCAAGTGTATCATAGGCCATGCTGTGGAAACTTTGAACAGCTGGAATCCTTTCAGTTGCATTAATCACCATAAGTAATGATTAATCTGTGTGAGACGATGGAAAAGCTCTGGCTTAGGGAAACTCCACTCCTGTTCCCTCACTTACTGGGCATGTGACCTTGGACAAGTCATTAGCTTTTTATATCTCAGTTTTGTCATTCATCAAATAAGAACCACCATACTTGCCTTGTTTGCCGCAGAGAATTGTTAATTTGAGGGTCAAATAATGACTGCAGAAGCATTTGAAGAACTTTGGAAACGCTTGTCAGGGTAAGATATTCTGCGTTGTTATTTAGTAAGTATTGTAGGATTCTAAAATCTGGGAAGGGGATTAATTTATATGCTTCTCTTATTTTAGAAACTCCACAACCCTTAATTGAGGAATTGTTGAAGTTTGTTTTCATTGTCCGGGATTAGAAAGGGCTTGCTGTATTTTTCTTCTAGTTATTGCTTCCCAGCCACGAGCTAAAATTTCAAATGCCACTGGCTAGCAGTTTTTGGAAGATTTTCAACTCCCTTTTCTTCAAATACAAGAATGTTCTGAATGACCCTATGTTCCTTTCTCTTCCCTTGATTACGGTCACTTCATCCAAGCAATTTTAGCCTTTCTTCAGATACTTGTTTGTAGTTCTGAGAGAAGAAAACACCGTCATTTAAAGAACTTCTTATCTAGCACTGTTGAAAAATTGAGGAGGTGATTGGAAAAATTGAGGAGGTGATTTTTAAGAGAGCCAGAGCAATGGAGGTTTTGGTGAAGGTGTCATCTGTACTTTGATAACCTCATTCCTGTTCTTCCGGAACATGAAGGTGTTCACTGGTGGTTCTGCTGATCACGCCTTTACAGGGGTGGCTACTCTTTCTCCAGAAATAGGTGTCCTGTGGGGCATTTTGAAGTAGAATGTTGATAGTTGCTTTCAATTTTAGACTGGTAAATAAGAATTGGGCATTTGAATTTCAATATACTCACTGTGTAACTGTTATTGAGTATGCTTTAAGTGACCTATAATACTGCTTCATTTAACTTTATTGTCCTAATAACTTTCTTAGAGTGACAATAACTTAGGTTAGCCACTTGCCTAGGGTTCTGAAACCAAGTAAATGGTGGAGCTGGAATTGCTGTTCTTGTCAGTCATTAGACTAGATCGGTTTTCTTCTTCCTACAAATTTTATATACTAAAAAATTTTGAAAAAAGACATTTTTCTTTGGGAAAAATAGGGAATGTCAGATCCCTTTGGAGATGGTTTATTAAGAATTCAGTATCTTTTCAGTACCTATTGGTTATGATAGCTTAATTTTAAATTACTACTTTTTCAAGTGTCTTAACTCCCCTAGGGTTTTTGCCAACGCCAAAGAAATATCTCACATTAATGCCATTTTTTGATGTGCAAAGACTAAATTGAGTAAAAAACTTTTCAGAGTAGATGGATTACAGTAAATAAAACGGCTACATAAAAAATGAATTTGGTGTCTTAGTCCATTCAGGTTCCTATAACAGAATACTATAGACTGGGTGACTTATAAACAACAGAAAATGTATTTTGCACAATTCTGGAACTTGGGAAGTTCAAGGTTAAGGTGCCAGCAGATTCATCGTCTCGTTAGGGCCCATGTTCTGGTTCATGGATGGCTGACTTCTTGCTGTGTCTTCACTTGGTGGAAGGGCAGGCAAGGGACCTCCCTGAGATAGCTTTTATAAGGGCATTAATCCTATTATGAGGGGATCCGCTTTCATGACCCAATCACCCCCTCCACAAAGCCCTGCCTCCTAATACTATCGCATTGGGGGTTAGGATTTCAATATGAATTTTGGCGGAACACAGACATTCAGTCTATTGTTCTTAGTAATGGCCATCTCTTCATTCTCTATGGTAATGATTGTGAGTGTCCTAGGCTAAGAGTTTATTAAGAATGTACAGTGAATGCTGCACAATTTTATTTTGATTCTCCCCAGGGCAAGAATTTTACATATGTAGGTGTAAAAATTACAGGAACCCAAGGACATATATAAAATGTCTCTAGTGAAAGTCATCTTTTGTTTTTGTGTAGCTGCAAAAGATGCTACAGGTTACACTGCACTCTCAGGTATATTATATAAAGTATGCTTCTTGCGTTTTTGCACTCTCTCTCACACTCTCACTCATGTGCTCTGTCTCTCGCTCGCTTGCTCTCTCTCGACCTCTTAGGTGTTCAATCGCATGGTAAGAGAAGCATCCCAAGAGTTATAAGAACATTTAACCTCAGTTCTAACTTCACTGGGCCTGAGACTTGAGCACGCTTATTCTTTTCGTTGCTTTTCTGTATCCCCTGTCTCCCTATATAAGCTCTTTTGTGCTCATATTTTGTTTTTTGTTCAAATTCACCTCTCTTTTGATGAGTCTCTCCTCTCTTGCTCTCTTTTTTTTTTTTTTACTTTATTGTAGGGCTGTCCTGAGTCACATAGGCTAGACCTAGCTAGGGGAATAGCCCATGTTCATCTTCCATCCCTGGGAGATGAACCAGGGCTATTCCGCAAGCTGGGCTTCCGTCCTTTGAATATTCGAGGCAATAGGTGTTCCACCATCAGAACACTTAAGCTAGTCTGTTACTTCTGCAGTGGACTCATTAAATCATTTTGCTAGGGGTCCTAATATATAAAACAACCAACTTGTTTGCATATCATTCATCGCCTTTTGATTCCCTTACCGTTCTGCAATCATCCCATTGTGAGGGCTCTGGTCGGGGCCTGCTTTCTAGCTTATTGCTGACTTTCTTGCTATGTCCTCACTTGGTGGAAGGGGCAAGGGAGTATATACATACTCAAAGTATATATATACTTCAAGGTATTCCAGTGTGCTTTGAAGTAGGTTGGTGGTAGCTGTCAGCCAGCTAAGAAGAAAAGAGAAGGAGTGTGCTTACACAGTCGTCTGTCCATTGAATAATGAAATCTATTGCTCATAAAAATATATTTCTCTGATTTTAAAGTTTGTATTTTTTTTTTTTTTTTTGCTTCACTAACATGCTTCCAGGTGAACTGTAACAATGAATATCCACAATAGTACAAAGGTTACAAAATTTTACAAGATAGTTTTTAGGGATCAGCAGGTCTCTTGCTCTATTTAATATGTTATTGGGACTGAAAATGTGAAAGTGTGAATTTAGCAGCCAATCCCCCGGGAACTAATGTTTCTTGTCATGGTTTGCCTTGCTTTCAACAAGTCATTAAAGATCAGTGTTGTAATCACATGAATTATAAATGTTTTACAAATGTTGACTGTGTTTGATACAGTTTTACAGTTGTAAGGCATCTAAAAAAAATCTAAGAATAAAATATTCCAAAAAGTGTGGAAGTTTTATAGGTACAACAAAAGCTGCAAAGTAAAGACTTTATTATTTATCTTTGTATTCTTTTAATAAGTTAAGCTCTTTTGGGAAAACCATGATTTGGAAATGAAATTGTTGAACTACCAAGTGTGTGTTTTGTTTTCACTTCACCACAAGAAAATGAAAGAAATGCATTTGCCACAATTCGCTAACAAGATGAGCAAGATGTGATTTTAGGAAGATTTGTTAAATGCCTGCTATTACAAAACACAGTGCTAGATGCTATCAGATGTCTTAAGATTATAAAATAAAGTGCTAGATGCCATCAAATCTCTTAAGATTATTAAATAGTGCTAGATGCTATCAAATGTCTTAAGATTATTAAACAAAGAGCTAGACGCTATCAAATCTCTTAAGATATGGTCCTCGCTCTCCTAGAATTTTTAAGCTAGATGGGGGTGCCTTTAGAGAGCAAAAAAAACTGTAAGTGTACAAATGTGGAAAGAGAAACAAGCTAGCAAGTACTTTGGGAGGAGTAGGAAGTTCTTACCCAAAGTTGTAGTGATCACACAAAAAAAGCTTTATACAAGGGGAGGGATTTGCTCCAACACTGAAGTATGGAAAAGGCTTAGGTAGCTAAGGATAGAATATTTTAGGCAAAGGGAATGGTACATGAACATACTTGAGGGGAAAACTCAAGCTAGATTTAAGTTGGCTAGACTGGAGGCTTACAGAGAAGATTAAGTTCAAATTCACGGTGGCTGAGACTGGTTTTCAAGATGGACTAAGCATCAGAATCGTCAGGGAGCGCATTGAAAGAATAAGTTACATGGGACCCACCCTGGACATCTTGAATTTGAATTTCTTGGAATAGAGCCTGGAGCTTGGGTGTTTTTTCAAAAGCTCCCCAGCTGAGTCTGAGGTATGAGGCTGTCTGGGAACCATGACATTGGCATGAGAAGCCAGTAAAAGTGTGCTGAAGGTCCACCCCTTTCAGTGGTTTCTGGCAGCCAACAGTCCCTCTCCCTTAGCTCATATAAGTCAGCTTGGAAGTAGGGAAGGTATTCTCCCTGCTGCTATTGTCACTTCCAAGCTACTGTTCTTTCTCCTTTAAAAATTTGCACTCCTCTAATGATCAGTGATGTTGAGCTTTTTTTTCTTTTTTTCTTTCTTTTTTTTCTTTTTTTGAGTTGGAATCTCGCTGTGTTGACCAGGCCAGAGTGCAGTGGCACGATCTCGGTTCACTGCAACCTCTACCTCCCAGGTTCAAGTGATTCTCCTGCCTTAGCCTCCTGAGTAGCTGGGACTACAGGCGTGTGCCACCATGCCCTGCTAATTTTTGTATTTTTAGTAGAGATGGGTTTTCGCCATGTTGGGCAGGCTGGTCTTGAACTCCTGATCTCAGGTGATCCGCCCACCTTGGCCTTCCAAAGTGGTGGTATTACAGGTGTGAGCCACCACGCCCAGCCAATCTTGAGCTTTTTCTCACATGTTTTTGGCTGCATAAATGTCTTATATTGAGAAATGTCCATGTCCTTTGCCCATGTTTAATGCCTTTTTTTTCTTGTAAATTTAAGTTCCTTGTAGATTCTGGATATTAGACCTTTGTTAGATGGATAGATGGCAAAAATTTTCTCCCATTCTGTAGCTTGTCTGTTCACTCTGATGATAGTTTCTTTTGCTGTGCAGAAGCTCTTTAGTTTAATTAGGTCCCTTTTTTCCATTTTTGCTTTTGTTGTAATTGCTTTTGACGCTTTTGTCATGAAATCTTTGCCTGTGCCTATGTCCTGAATGGCATTTTCTAGATTTTCTTCTAGTGTTTTTATAGTTTTGCATTTTACATTTAAGTCTGTAATCCATCTTGAGTTAATTGTCTAAGGTGTAAGGAAGGGCTTCAGTTTTAATTTTCTGCATATGGCTAGCCAGTTTTCCCAGCACCATTTTTAAATAGGGAATCCTTTCCCCATTGCTTGTTTTTGTCAGGTTTGCCGAAGATCGGATGGTTGTAGATGTGTGGTCTTGTTTCTGAGACCTCTATTCTGTTCCATTGGTCTATGTGTCTGTTTTTGTACCAGTACTATACCGTTTTGGTTACTGTTGCCTTGTAGTATAGTTTGAAGTCGGGTAGCATGATCCCTCTATCTTTGTTCTTTTTGCTTAGGGTTGTCTTGGCTATATGGGCTCTTTTTTGGTTCCATATGAATTTTAAAGTAGTTTTTTTTCTAATTATGTGAAGAATGTCAATCGTAGTTTAATGTGAATAGCATTGAATCTGTAAATTACTTTGGGCAGTATGGCCATTTTCATGATACTGATTTTTCCATACAACAATGAGATACCATCTCATGCTAGTCAGAATGGTGATTTTAAAAAGTGAAGAAACAACAGATGCTGGCAAGGCTGTGGAGAAATAGGAACACTTTTACATCGTTGGTAGGTATCTAAATTAGTTCAACCATTGTGGAAGACAGTGTGGCAATTCTTCGAAGACCTAGAACCAGAAATATCATTTGACCCAGCAATCCCATTATTGGTTATATACCCAAAGGAATATAAATCATTCTATTATAAAGATACATGCACACGTATGTTTATTGCAGTACTATTCACAATAGCAAAGACATGGAATCAACCCAAATGCCCATCAATGATAGACTGGATAAAGAAAATGTGGTACATGTACACCATGGAATACTATGCAGCCATAAAAAGGAATGAGATCATGTTCTTTGCAGGGACATGGATAGAGGTGGAAGCCATTATCCTTGCAAACTAACACAGGAACAGAAAACCAAACACTGCATGTTCTCACTTATAAGTGGGAGCTGAACAATGAGAACACATGGGGATATGGAGGGGAAAAACACACACTGGGGCCTGTTGGGGCGGAGGGTGGGAGGAGGGAGAGCATCAGGATAAATAGCTAAAGCATGCAGGGCTTAATACTTAGGTGATGGATTGATAGGTGCAGCAAATCACCATGGCACACATTTGCCTATGTAACAAACCTACATGTCTTCCACGTGTATCCCAGAACTTTAAAAAAAAAAAAATCTGTACTCATTGAAGCACTTGTCTTTAGGCTTTAGCACCTCCTACGGGTTTTAGTATCAACCTCCTAGTCACACCCACTCATTCACTGATGTCATTCCTTCCTCCCTCACCTTTCACCCCTTTTCCTGAATACTTCTGTCATTCTCATAACTTGAGCATCAACATGATGGTCAAGTCAACATTCTGACCGCTCTGGTGCTCGGCTTCCTCAGTCCAACTATGTTTTCTTCCCCCAACTTCAGCTGCACACATGCATTCATGGTCATACTCTATGCTAGCAATTGGTTCTCAAAGTGTGGTGGGTCACCCACTAGATCCTTTCAAGAATCTGCAAGATTAAAATTGTTTTTATAATAATACCGAGATATCATCTGCATTTTTTTTTTTACTGCATTTACATTTGCACTGATTGGCAAAAGCAATGGTGAGTAAAATTGCTAGCACTCTAGTGTCCAACAACAGTACTAGTAGTTATTGCATCCTTCTGCCACTCACTTGCAGTAAATAATGGCACTTTCACTTAATATCCTGATGAAGCAGTAAAAAAAATTCTTAATTTTATTGTATCTTAACCCTTGAGAGTACTTTTAAAAAATATTCTGCGTGATGAAATGGGAAGTATGCATACAGCATTTCTGCACAATGAAATATGGTTGTCTCAAGGAGAAGCACTTGTGCGATCGGTGGACAGACTATGGTTATCAGATGTAGACATTTGGCAGACACTTTCTTGAATGGAAAGAAGTCAACTTCTCACTTCAAGGAAAACAACTGTACTTGTTGCCAGTGATTTTAAGTCTTCAAGTGAAAATTAGGGTTTTGGAAAACTTATATCTGCTACCCTGAACTTGAGAGCTTCCCAATATTTAAAGACTTTTTTCATGTGTCTGTTTTTGGAACATCTGTATAACTTAAGGAACCAGTATTTTCCAAGTGACCGATGTACGATGTTTCAAAATTATGCATGGATAAAAGATCCATTCAAAATGCAAGATAGACTAATACATTAATGATAACCATATCAGAAAGTTCATTGATATGGTTTGAAATTTTAATTACAAATAACCTTTAAGAAACTAGTACTTGTTGAGTTTTAGGGTAGTGTTGAAGAATTTCCACAATTATCTGAAAGTCTGTTACAATAGTCCTTACTTTTTGCAACCACATGTGTCTGTGCAAGGGCAAATTTTCTTCAGGCAATTGAACCAAAATAAGATACCACAATAGATTGAGTGCAGAAGCAGATATGAGAATGCAGCTGTCTTTTAAGCTGGACACCCAAGAGATTTGCAAAAAGGTAAAAACAATGGCACTCTTTCACCATTATGCTAACATGTAATAGATTTATTTTTAAATGAATTATTATTTTTTATTTTCTTCTCTGGTGCTTGAATCAGGGCGAACTAATGTTTTTTAAATGTCTGCTTTAATTTCTAATATGGTAAATATCAACAGATATAATCACAAGGATTTATCATAGATATGACACCTAATAACATTTATGAGTACAAAGGGGGCCTGAAACCAAAGTCTTCAGGAACTGCTGCTGTCCTAAGCTAAGTCAACACCCATAAGCTACAGCACGTCCTAACTCGATTCCCAACATTCCATGACCTAACCACCACTTTCTGTCCTTCCACTCGTGTGTACTTCATTTCTCCTTGGGAACCTCTGCTTCAGTGGCTCTACCTGTTTCGCTATCCACCACCCATCTCGTGGCCTGGCTTCCCTCCTAACCCACTTTAGAGTATGTAGTCTGGACTCCTGCAAAATCCCTTGCCTCTCTCTCACCTGATGGACTGGGCTTAACACAGCCCTGATTTTGTAAATCCAAGTACCCACACTCTTAGTTCCCGCAGCTGAGTATCTTGGAGACAGCTGAGTAATCAATCTCACTGGTGTAACCTCAGCTCTGCTGTCCCATCTTACTCATTCTCATTCCCTCCTCCTCTCCTTGTCTCAACCCTACTCTCAGCTGTCTTACCCACCCCTTTCCACCCATCCCCACTCCTGCCCCCTCCCTTCTTAGGCTACTGTGTCCCTATCTGTTCCTGGCTGTCCTACCCCCTTGCTGGCTGCTGCTTCTCTATCTCTTTTACAGGTACCTCTTTCTCTGCCCAGTCTATGGAGGTTGGAGTAGTTTGGTGTTTTATTCTTGGCTCTCTCCTCCATCTGGACATTTGCTTTAAGTGATTCAGCTATCCAGCCCTCAACTCTAAATACTGCCTGTAAGGAGTGTCTCCTGTATCTCTGGCTCCAGCACTGATCTCTCACAGGAACTCCATATTTATGATCCATCTGTCTGCCTGGCATCTCCACTTGGATATCTGCTGGGCATCTTAGCATAACAGAGCTTTTGCTTCCCCATCTCATAAATGGCACCACCACATACCCTTAGACCCCCAAGATGTGAATTGTTCTTCATTCCCCTAGTGTTCTTCACATCCCCCACACAAGTTCTGTGAGTTCTGTGGCCACTGCCTTTAAACTCTCCCTCCATGGGCATAACCCTTCTGTGGGACACCCCCGTTCTCACTTGAACTCTTGTACTTCCTTGGTCTCTCTGCTTCCACTTTTACCTCCCTATAGTCCAATCTCTGTTTGTCAGCTTTTATCTTGTTTAAAGTATAAACCAGTTTATATCATTTCTCTGCTTAGAATCTATTGATAGCATCTCAGTACAACTAGGATACTAGTTTACCACCTCCAGGCCCTATGTGATCCAGTCCCCATCTTCCACCCTGACACGCCCTCCGGCACAATCTCCCCCAGCCATGTTAGTCCTCTGTCTTCCTCACTGGTACCCTGTTCTCATCTCAGAGTCTTTGGGTTTGCTGTTATTTCTTCCTTAAATGTTCCCTTCCTTAGATCTTATAGTCACACCATCTTATCATTTAATTCTCAGTCAAATGTTATCTTTCTCAGAAGTTTCCTGACTGCCCCAGCAGCACACCCTCCCCCAAGCCCTGGAATTCTTTAGCACATTGCCCTATTTTATTTTTTCTCCAGAGAACTGCAGGCCCTAAGGGGTGGAACTGTTTTTGTTGATGTTCATCCATCTCACTTTGAGCAGAAGTTCCAGAGGGATTTTTTTGTTAGTCACCAATCCATTAATTCTCTTTGTCTCATGGACCAACCCAAATGCCCATCAGTGATAGACTGGATGAAGAAAATATGGTACATATACATCATGGAATACTGTGCAGCCATAAAAAGGAATGAGATCAGGTCCTTTGTAGAGTCATGGATGAAGCTGGAAACCATCAGTCTTAGCAGACTAACACAGGAACAGAAAACCAAACACCACGTGTTCTCACTCATAAGTGGGAGCTGAACAATGAGAACACATGGACACAGGGAGGGGAACAACACACACCAGGGCCTGTTGGTGGGGCGGGGGGGAAGGGAGGGAGAACATCAGGATAAATAGCTAATGCATGCGGGGCTTAATACCTAGGTGATGGGTTGATGGGTGCAGCAAACCACCGTGGCACACATTTGCCTGTGTAACAAACGTGCATATTCTGCACATATATCCCGGAACTTAAAAAAAAAAACAAACCCCAAACTCTTTGTCTCATAGTAGGTATACAACACATTTTTCTTGCATGAATGAATCAATTATTAACAGTGCAGCTGTGATTGTGAAACTAGCTGCATGGTTGCTATTACCGACATTTTTGGTGTTGACTGCAGCCCAGTGTCTTCTGCTCTGTGGCTTTGCCTCTATTTCCCTCCCCTTCTCCCTTGAGGCATAATAAGGGTGTTATGGCCAAAATGGAAACTGATAATTTTGTTTTCTCTATTGGCAGCAAAGAGAATAATTAACTGTAGTTCGAAAAGCAGAATTATATTACCTTTGCATTTCTTAGCAAGATATTTTATAGAAATGATTCTATTATTTCATGATGGAAAATTGTGATGGTTTATCACTCCATTGTAACCCCATACAAATTTTTGTTCTCGCTCTTTTTTTTTGTATTCAAATTATCTTTAATCTTGATAAAATCCTTTAAGCCTTAAATTTTGATATGATACACTTAAATGTTTTGAATTTTATATTAACCTTGTCAGAACTGGTGGGTGGATCACCTGAGGTCAGGAGTTCAAGACCAGCCTGGCCAGCATGGCAGAACCCCACCTCTACTAAAAATATAAAAACTAGCCGGGCTGGTGGTAGTGGGCACCTGTAATCCCAGCTAACTGGGAGGCTGAGGCACGAGAATTGCTTGAACCCAGGAGGCAGAGGTTGCAGTGAGCCGAGATCATGCCATTGCATTCCAGCCTGGGCAACAACAGAGTGAGACTCCATCTCTCAAACAAAAAAAACAAAAACAAAAAAAACAACAACTGACTCTAAGCAAGTCCTTTCTCTGTATGGAAATGAGGCTGTGAGATTAAAAAAAAAATTATATATATATATATATATACACACACACACACACACACACACACATATATACACATCGGTGTATTAGAACTTGTGGATAACATATTCAAGTGTCCTTTTATTTGTATAAAATGGATTGCTTATGGCTCTTTAGATCTTTTAATATTAATATACTGAGATCATCTTGGGAATTATTTAAGACTGTTTGCAAATATGTTTTTAATCTTCTGTGTTGCATTATAAGTGCTATTTACATTTCCTAATAATAAAGCACATTTATTAATCATGAATATAATCATTAATGTAATTAAGTAATTACCAAAATAATTATTGGTTATCATTACTATTTTATTGAAGTCATTACTAGTGCATTTTTGAACATGTTTCAACAAATCATGATTAACTTAAGGTTTGCATTCTAGCAAGTGACCAAAACTTGGCTGTTTCTCTTTATAGGTTGTATGGGCACGCAGTGATTCCATGACCTTTGAGATAAATCATACAACTTGCTTTTTAATGAATTTACTTTAAATACATTTTGAGAGATTATGAAACTGCTACTCAATGTCTTATAGTACCCCACTGTGTTTTCTCTGTTGTTCTGCCTGGTTCTTTACAATTAGTAAGGTGCATCCCCGTGTCTCTCCTCACAGAGAGGGGTCTGTAGCTCTTGTCTAATTTTCTGTTTCACTTCCTTGCTTATCTGTATTTCAAGCCCAGGTGTGTTTAGCTGTCTAGTTTTTGTGGTACATTAGGCCTTGGTTTTCTGATCCAGCACACTGAGTTTCTCAAGAGTTCAAAGCTATTGCTATTTGAATTTGGATGCTTCTTTAGTGAAGTCTTCATTTCAAAGATTACTTTTTCTGTTTTCTGAACTTGGTTTTCTGTAAACACAACATAAATCATGGAAAAAGTCGTGCATTTGAAATAAAAAATAAGGTCAGGTCCTGATGCTGGAATTTCACTGCCTTGAGTGAGTTGCTTCAGGTTTTTTAACCTCCATCTATTATTTTATCAAATGGAAATGATGATCATATCAACCTTATAGGTTATAGGATTTTTTTTAATGAAAATTCCCTATGAGAATTGGTTTTCACCTTTTAGAGGACTATACTCTACCTAAAACATGAACTTTGCAAGTTAAAAACTTTAGAAAATTAAATTCATATATAGTTCAAAATATACTAGGCTTTTACATTCACTTTTGTCTTTATTCTTGTTACTGAAAAAATATTTTTCCCTGTGGAAATGTTTTGGGATATGATCACTTTTGCTCAGATAATTGTGAGTCCTGAGTGAGTGCTGCTCCCAGGAGCAGACTTTGAAGTTTCATGATAGAAAAAGTCTATAATGTTGATTGGCTCCTTGGCCCTTTCCTCTTTCTCCCATCAGGGAATGGGAGCATCGGCTGCTGGACCTGCTGGCCCAGGAGTGGGTAACTGCCTTATGCAGAGCAGAGGATCCTCATCCCAGTGGTCCCTCGACTGCCATGGGGTTCACTCTTGTTTTTATTCACTTATTACCACCAAGTATTTATTTAGAACTTTCTACGGGCAGGCTCCATTCCAGGCTCTGAAGATAGTCTTTCCTCTCATGGAGCTGACATTAGGGGTAGAGGGAATGTGGTGATGGGCAACACAGAAATAGTTACGTTATGTCAGTGGTCCAGTGGCGTGCTAAGATAAAAATAAAGCAGGGTAGGAGGGCCATGGACGGATGCTGTGTGTGTATGTGGGGAGTGATATTTTAGATAAGTTGGTCAAGGAAGGCCTTTCGGTTAGGGTAACATTTGGGTAGAGGCCAGAATGAAATGAGACAGCCAACTTTTAAGGGAATCTGCAGCAGGAGGCTTTCAGGCAGAGGAGCAGCAAATGCAAAGACCCTGAGGCAGGACTGTGTTTGAAGATAAAGAGGTGAGTGTGGCTGGAGCAGAACAGGCAAGAAAGGAAGGGCAGGTTGACAGAGGAAATCAGAAAGTTACCAGAGACCTAATCAGGTAGGACCTTGAGGCCATTGTTAAGTCTTGGCCTTTTGTACTGAGTGGATGCAAAGCCACCAGAGGGTTTCAGTGTGAGGAGTAATATAATTCAACTTAACGTTCTGAGAGGATCACTCTGGCTGCTGTGTTGAGAATAGACCACAGGAAAGTTGGTGGAAGCGGGGAGATCAGTGAAGATGCCCTTGTAGGAGTTCAGAAGGGGGATGTCAGTGGCTTTACAAGGAAGTGGCCAGATGGGACCAGAACCTGGACCTATTTGAAGGGTGGACCTGTTAGGATTCATTATGGATTAAATGCACATCCTTGTGGCTCCCCTCCCCTGACGAGGTGGCTGGCGTAGCACTGCTAGTGCATTCTCCATCCTTCATGAGTGTGTTCCTCATGTGGGGAGGGGAGTAGGGGGTAGGAGGCTCTCAGCTTCTCAAGAATTCCTTTGGCATTTTGAGAAAGGCTTGATTCCCAGCAAACAGATTCGGGAAGAAGATGACGCTGACATGATAAGAGTTCTTAAGTTTTAAGCTTACTTTGTGCAGCATTTATGGCATGAGCAGCCTGAAAAATGATGCCTTTACCAAGTCATGTAAAAGCAGTAATATTGACCATCTTATATGTATGCATGGATGATCATTGTCATAAAATCACTTTACATTTTGAGTAATATCTAGGTTTATTAGTTGAATCGGTGGGAGCATGGGGGTGTAGGGATAGGGAATGGGAGTAGCAAGATCAGCACTTTCTCTCCAGAGCCAGTGACCCAACTTCTGCAGGGTGAACTCTATAGGGATGCAGCAATGGATGCAGCAGTGGAGTGTTGTTTTTTAACAGCTTTATTGGGATATACTTTATACACATAAAATGTGCTCATCTTGTGTGTACCATTCAATGATTTTTTAGTAAACATACAGAGTTGTTGCCCTCATGCTCATTTACAGTCACTCCCTGTTCTCTCCAGAAGAATGGTTTTGTTATTCTTAGGCATGTCCAAGGTTCGGAAATAGTCATTAAGCTAGTATACAGGAGATCAAATCAGGAGGAAAGAAGTATGTTTATCTCTGCTCCAGTTTGATCTCTTTAGGCAATCAGAAAATGTGAGCTGCCTTGGAAACACAAAGATCATAACATTTTGAGTCACAAACTTTTATAGGAACCTGAAGCATTAACACAACAAACAACATTACCTTGTCCATGTTTTACATAAAGTATAAGAGTGTTTAGGTGGATGATGTTGGTCAGTGTGTTTTTAGTGATTGCCAGGGTAGAGGAAGGCCAAATAGACTAGGTTTCATTAACATTATAATGTTCCTAGGTTAGTATGTTCCAGAGTTTTATGATTAAGAAACACACTTCTTAAGTACCTGAGGTTTTTTTTCCCTGTAACCATTTGTATCTCATTTTATTATACCACGTCTATTTGGAGTGCTCAAATCACCCTTGCAGAAGTACACACCGTTGGGTTGACTCATTTGTTCATCAGAAAAATAGCTGTAGTGTATCAAGTACATACTAAGTGCCAAGTGTTCAACATCAGTTTCCTTATCTGTGAAATGGGGATCCTGAGAACTACTTCATTGGGTGCATATAAATCAGTTAATAAGTTACTCCTGTCTATGTAACAGGCCTCAGTTTTGAGCTACAGGCTAGACTTTGTTGACCTGACCATAGAGCTGCTGTTCCATCCTTCATCTCTGTTGAAAGCTCCTTTCTTCTGCATCCTCTCTGTTGCTTGTTGTTCTTTTTTTTTTTTTTTTTTTTTTGAGACGGAGTCTCGCTCTGTCACCCAGGCTGGATGGAGTGCAGTGGCACGATCTCGGCTCACTGCAAGCTCTGCCTCCCGGGTTCACGCCATTCTCCCGCCTCAGCCTCCTGAGCAGCTGGTACTACAGGCGCTTGCCACCATGCTTGGCTAATTTTTTGTATTTTTAGCAGAGACAGGGTTTCACCGTGTTAGCCAGGATGGTCTCTATCTCCTGACCTCGTGATCCGCCTGCCTCAGCCTCCCAAAGTGCTGGGATTACAGGCGTGTCTTCCACTCTTAAAAGCTTGCTGCTAATCACTGTTGTTCTTGCTCCTTCACTTTCCTCTTTCTTGTCTTTTGTGTATTCTTTTCATATGTAAGAATCTTGAGCTTGCTTCTCGGAAAGCAGTCAGGGAGAAGTTTCAGCTGTTTTAGAGTGCTAAGCAGTCCTAGAGGTGGGGTCACTCAACCCAGCAGGAGAGTTTTTGTTCTTCCTGGCCTGGGATCAAGCTGTGAATGTTAGGTGCCCACCAAGCCACAGAAATTGTTGCTCCACAGTCATCCATAGTTCCTCTGCTGACCTAGTTTTTGGATGGAAATTCATTCCAGAAATGTCCCGTAAGCCATCTCTAGAGAGTGGAAATTGGAGGATCAGGTTTCCTGCTTTTTATTTACATGTGGTAGTTTGGAATTCTGCTTGCACAAATTCACTTGAGATTATCTAAAGACTAAACTTACTGTGGTGCTGTCTGCATTTCCTGTAGCTTCCTTTTTTCTATTTTTAATGGGTATAGCATGAGCATGTTTAGAATGATAACACCAGAAACCTCACTGTAATTAAATACATGTGCTGCTTCAGTTCTAGAAAACTCCCAGGTGTGTTTCTAATCGCTGCTGCATATAGGGATTTTTTTAAAGATAAAAACAAAAGATATAAATGATAAAAGGAAATCTGAGCCAAATATATAATTATACAGATGAATGTTGTGGTGTTATATTGGACAGCAGAGTCAAATCATGTTTCACAGGAACGGTTTCAGGTTCCCCTGAGTCTACTTTGACACTTCCATTTAAAATGCTGTGAAATGAAAACCTAGTTGACTACAAAACTGCATTTTCAGAATGTATTTTTGTAGCCATATGCCTGGCACTTAACTAGTATTTAAAAACTGAGCACTCAAAGCTTCATGATTTTTTAATCAGAAGATATGTTTTCTTGATTCCCTTACCATATATTCATTTTGCTGTAATAAAGGGTTAATCAGTCATGCAATGAAAATTAATAAATTCAAAACCCTTTTGCATATCATATGAATAGCTAGCACTTTTGAATACTTGCTATATGTTAGGCAGTGTTTGATGGTATGTATGTTATTTTGTGTCATTCTTTAATACTTCTTGGAGGTAGGTATTGTTATTATCCCCAATATTTAGGTAGGGAATCAAGGCTTAGTAAGGCGAAGTAACTTTCCCATGGTTACACATGATGTAAATAACAGTGCTGGATTCTAAGCCAGTGGCCCTAGCAGGTTCTCTATGCTGCTTTGCATCTTAAAATATACTTGGAAAAAGAATCAATTATGGAGTTTTAGTACTGTGAAGATTCCTAGGCTCTACTTTAAGTCACAAAATCTAGCCCCGCCCCCCAGATGTTGCTAGTTAAGTTGATCCAGGGATATATCTTTAAGAAATATTGCCATACTATCCCCCAAATATGTTTTATCATCAACAGGACAAAGGACATTAGGGAAATGCAGAGACCTTAGATGAGCGAATCCATGCATTTGATGATGGCTGTAATCCACACCAGGGGCAGAGAGGATTCAGTAAGTGTCACAAAATGAGTTGGAGGACAGAGCCAAGCCCCAAACCCACCATTATTCATAATGCCATATGAAACGGGAGGACAACTTAAAATTTAAAATTAAATTCATGAGAAGAAGAGGCAGTATTTGAGCTTCATAAGACACATTATCCTATATGTTCTTTTAAGGGACATTTAGTACTTACAATGAGTACTGTCCATGAGTTCCTTTTGCTGAATGATATTCCACAAAAACGTAGAATTTTCCAAGAAAGTGTGTGTTCTGAGTAATGATGAAAGAAATAGTAATTTTTTTTTTTTTTGTTGAAGTGATCAGGTAAAACCCTCAAACTAATGATTCATAAACATTCTTCATCTTCAGTTAGTCCATTTTATTCTCCATACCTGGCTGTTTTGAGTAGCTGCCATTATATGAAAAAGAGACTTAGCTCCCTGGTGTTGATCCAAAGGTTTTGACTTCAGTTGATACATAACTGTTGCAGAATTACTCATTGTTTATTAAATATCTTGACTATAAGAAACTTTGCTTTTAGGCCTCATTAGAATGTTTAATAATAATAATTTCTTCATACTCTGATGTATGTTAGAGTTCGTAGTCAAGATGTGTGTCAGATTTGTAGTCAAGAAACTGCGGATGCCGTGCTAGCCTTTCAGTTACTGTAATTTCTACTTGGAGTTATACTCACAGGAACTTTCGAAGCTTTGTGGTGGTCTTGGACATTCAGGGTGTGGGGCTCTGTCTTCTGTCCCTTAACCTGCTTTCCTGCAGAGAGGCCCTCCCTGTGAAGAGAGCCTATTATCTTAATAAGATTTCAGTAAGAGGCTCCTGACTTCCAGTCCCTCCTTGGGGAGTCCTGTCAACTGGCTGGTGATGTTGAAAGTGCTAGAAGATGTTGCCCTTTTGTGGACTAGAAATACGTCACAAACGGGCTTCCGGCTCACCACTCATTTGTTTCAAGCCATTGTTTCCAGCCAGGATTCTGACACCAGGTGCTGTGATAGTAGAGCCACAGCTGTGTGTTCCTCATCCCTGGGTTGGGCTGCCGTTCAGAGAAGAGGTCACTTGGTGGGTATACCAGTTTGCTAAGTCTGCTGTAACAAAGTACCACCAACAAGGGGGCCTTAAAAACAGAAATGAATTTTCTCATAGTTCTGGAGGCTGGAAGTTCAAGATCAAGGTGCGAGCAGGGTTGGTTTCATTATGAGTCCTTGCTTCTCAGTTTGTGGTTGGCTCTCTTCTCTCTTTATCTTAACATATCCCTCTTTATCTTCCATGCCTGGCTGTCCTAATTTCCTCTTCTTATAAGAACACCTGTCATATTGGATTAGATACTTAACCTAAATACCTCTCTAAAGACCCTATCTCCAAATACAGTGAATTCTGAGTTCTGGGGGTTAGGATGTCAACATGATTTTGGGATATGGTGGTAGGGGGGAGCAGAATGTAATTCAGCTAATAACAGTGGGAAAATGTTAGCTCATAGACTGATGGAAACCAAGGGCAGGGGTGTGTGCTGTGGTAATGAACAGTGGGTTCTACACCCTGGAACCCAGGTTGATTTCTTTTGGTAGTATTTGCTCAGGAGTGCTTTATGAAAGACTTACCATGAAGACAGAGCCTGTATTACCATTGATGACAGTAACAGCTACCGTTTGAGTGCCTGTTTGTACCAGACTCTTTACACGTCAACTCTGGTCCCCACAAGGATGAGGATGTCGCTGGTAGGTCCGTTTTAGAGAAGACTGAAATTCAAAATAATTAAATTACTTTTCTGAGTGTGCAACACCAACCTAGATTCAAACACAGCTCTGCAAAGCTAGTCCTAGTTTCGCTGCACTGTGTGGCCTCTGTGTCTTGCTTGCTTTTATTTGCGGAAAGAGTGCGGGACTTGGAGTTGGAAGATGAGGTTCGTGCCTTAGCTTAACCATCGAAGTCTGACTACCTTGGGGCAAATTTAACTCTGTCTGAACTTTGGTTTCTTGACTAGTCACATGATATTGGTGATAATATCTCTATCACTGGAAGTATAAGCATTACATGAGAGTGTGAACAAACCTCTCATAAGCTCTAGGTCATGTTGAATTTTGTTGTTAAAGGAGCAGTCCATAATTACACAGAGAATCTGGTAGTGGAGCCCATCATACCTAACAGACTCTAGGTGAGCCACTCTGAGCTTTAGTTACCTTTTCTTTAAAAAGGAAAGTAGTACCTGGCATGTGGTAGCCAGTGTAGACTGTTCTGACCTCCTTGTCTGAATTGAGTTTGCTGTTGGTTTCTGTTTTGTCTAAACTTAGCCTTTCATTTTCTGTTATTATGAGCACCAAGCATTCATTTTCCCCTGGTGATAGTGAGCTGCATGTTTGGCTATTAAGGTTTTAGATGGGCAGGCTGTTGCAAACCCGTTTAGTAGCCATTAATCATTTAAAACAACAAAAGTACTATCCAGAAAGTGGAGTTTCAGTTTTCCATGCATTACCTTTGACCATAAGTGAATTTATTTCCTGGGTGGTAGCAGTGTTTCTAAAAATATAAATGATCGGGGAAAAAAAGCATTAAATGCTAAAATTCCTTAATAATGGGCAAATGGGATAGAAAATCAGTCGGTAATAAGAATTTTATATTGAGAGATAATTATGTCCTGTGCAGGCATAATACATATACTTTCTTTACTAGGAGCACAACTAGTTTTCAAACTTGGTGTTCTCTTTCCTCCATGACTGTCACTTCTTTATTCCAAAGGCACCTGAAATATTTTTTTGCAGGTGGCTGTATTATAGAAATATTCAGTGACATTAATTTTTCCTTCTTCTGTTGAAATTATGAAATATTACACATTTCCAGGAAAGCACCAAGAATATTGCGGATACCACCTAGATTTTGCTATTGCTGATACTTTGCTTTGTTTGAAATTAAAAAAAAAATTCTGAAGCTTAAAATTTACTGCCCTACTTTATAGGCACCAGGGAATTTGTTATGTTCAGGAATACTGAAGCATCAAAATGAATTTTTTTTGAGACAGGATCTTGCTCTGTTGCCCAGGCTGGAGTGCAGAGGTGCAATCATAGCTTACTGTAACCTCAAACTTCAGGGCTCAAGCAATCTTCCTGACTCAGCCTCCCAACTAGCTGGGACTACAGGCATGTGCCACTGTCCCTGGCTAATTTTTTTCATTTTTTGTAGAGATGGAGTCTTGCTATGTTGTCCAGGGTGGTCTTGAACTCTGGGCCTCAAGCAGTCCTCCCATCTCGGCCTCCCAAAGTGCTGGGGTTATAAGCATGAGCCACCATATGCAGCCCCCAAAATGAATGTTAAAGGCCAAATTGGCATTCTGGCTCTTTGTCTCTGTTTCTTTTTATAATTATTATAAAACATATCAATTATAAACATTCAATTAAGTTATATATAAAATACTTATTTTGGTCAAATATTATAAAAAATAATCACCAGACTGTTTGAATCCCCACTTTATAACTTACTAGCTTTGTGTTTCCTAACCTCTTTGAGCCTCCTGTGGCACCTGTGGATATTAGGGAGATTTTAAGCTTTAGAAAATGACGTATTCCACCCAAATTTGGTGCCATACAGGCAAGTGGGCTGTGAGCCATTCTAATGTTAGGACTGGCTGTCTCCTTTTCCAGCCAGTGTTTTCTAGTGGCCCATCATATAGCTTGATACCCTTGACTTTCACAGTAAAAGGAGAGAGAAGTTCTGGTCTCCACTGCCTCTCTCCTTACTTTGCTGAAGTCGGCCCTTGCCATCTTTGGAGTTGGTGTGATCCATTTCTGCTTTGATCCTACTGACAGTGCTGCAAGTTTAGCTGCTTCCATTTCTCTCCTGGATTTAGTAATTTTTAGTTGTAGAAGTGATGTGACTGCATTGAGATTCATCCTGATCTGATTTGCCAGAGGAAGCAAGCAATATTTGGTTTTCCAGATGGAGAAATATTGTGTTTTTTAAAACTCTGCCCGCAATAGGCAGTGTCTGTTTTATAATATATATTATACCATGTCAAGGTCAGACTATTTAGACTTTTATTCTTCTATTACTTGATAAGTGGACAAAAGAGAAGGGCACTTTAGTAGCATCTTGACCTTGTTAGATGGCTGGGATTTTTCTCACTGATCATTTTCCTTCTCTTTTCATCTTTCTTCCTTAGATGTGGGTCTATAGACGCACGTTACATCTTCCGTAGCCCAGGGAATTCCCTGGACTTGGCCACTAAATTCTTATTCTACTTTTGTTATATAAAATAATAGGCTGATTTTTTGGGGGAAAAATCTAGGTTATGGAGTCTTTTTTATTCACAAATAGGTATCTTCCTTCTGTGAGAAGCATTGGTTGGTTGGTTTGCCAGGAATGTAATTCTTTCTCTTGTGGACCCGCCGTCTGGGTTGTCAGTGGTCTTAACTTTCCCTTATTGTGTGAGAACGGCCAAGCTCTGGCATTGCTCCCAGGAGGTGCTTCCCCAAAAGGGATTTATTCTATGAGTCATTTGAATCTAATAATTAAAACAACATGTAGCTTTTAAAAAAATTTGTTCTTTATGTATCATATGTAGAGAGAACAGTATGCACATTATGTGTGTAAAATTTGATGAATTTTCTCAAAGTGAATATGCCCGTGTAACCAGCACCCATATTAAGAAAGCAGTTATTCCAGAAGCATCCTCATCTCCTTCAAGTGAGTGCCTCTTCCCTGAGATGAACACTAACCTCTAACACTGTGGATTAGTTTCGCTACTCTTTGAACTCTATATAAATGTCATCATACGGGATGTCCCATTGTGTCTTGCTTCATCTACCAAATGCTGCGTCCATGAGGATCATCCTTGTTGTGTGTGGCAATAGTTTATTCTTTCTCATTTCTGCATGGTTATGCCATTCTATTATTATTTACCTATTGTGATTGTGACAAATTATGACAAACTTAGTGGCTTAAGGCAGTACAAGCTACTTCTTTTCTGAAAGGTCTTTCTAGAGGTCAGAAGTCCAAAATCAGTTTCACTGGGCAAAAATCAAGGTATTGGCAGGGCTCATTCCTTTTGCAGGGTCTGGGAGAAGAATCAATTTCCTCGACTTTTCCAGCTTCTGATGGCCGCCGAGATTCTTTGGCATGTGGCCCCTTCTTCCATCCTCAAAGCATATAATTCCAATATCTCTTGCCTTTTCATATCACCTTCTCCTCTTCTGTCATCAACTCTTCCTGCCTCCTCCTTAGAAAGACGCTTTTGAGGCCCAGAGCAGTGGCTCATGCTTGTAATCCCAGCAATTTGGGAGGCCAAGGCAGGTGGATCACTTGAGGTCAGGAGTTTGAGACCAGCCTGGCCAACATGGTGAAACCCCATCTCCACTAAAAATACAAGAATTAGCTGGGCATGGTGGTGGGCGTCTGTAATCCCAGCTACTCAGGAGGCTGATGCAGGAGAATTGCTTGAACCCAGGAGGCGGAGGTTGCAGTGTGCCGAGATCATGCCATTGCACTTTAGCCTGGGTTACAGAGTGAGACTCTGCCCCCCACCCCCCAAAAAAAGATGCTTTGGATTATATTCAGGGCCTGCCTGGATGATCTTGGATAATCTCCCCATCACAAGACCCTTAATTTAATCACACCTGTAAAGTCTCTTGGCACATAGAATAACGTTCACCAGTTCAGGAGATTAGGATGTAGATATTTAGGGGGGCCATTTTTCAGATTGCCATACCTGTTGTGTGAAGATACTATCATTTATCCGTTCTACTGTTGATGGACTTTTTGTGTTGTTTTCATTTTGGAGCTATTATTAATCATGCTGCATGAGTATTCTTAGTATTCTTGTGCATGTTGTTCTGTGACTGTTATACACACCTGCTAGTGTGTACATACACAATGCACACTTATGTGGTATGTATATATTTAGGAACCAGTCACATGGTAAATGTAAGTTTAACCTTAGAACATAATGTCAAACAGTTTTCCAAAGTGGTTGTACCAACTTCTGCCCCTGCTAGTAGTATATGAGGGTGCCAGATGTCTTTTATAAAGAATAGAGCATAGTTTGGACCTGGCAGTTTTGTTCCAGAATTACACCCATTGTTAGCCCCCATTTTAGATCCTTTGTATGTATTCCAGGATTTTCCAAAGTGTGTTTAGATGAATAGGAATCTGCAGAGACTGTCGGAGAAAAGACTTATTTGTCTTATTTTATCAAATGAATTACTGGACCTTGCTAGGAGCCTCACACTGCTGATGAACACATTAAAGGTCTTAATCTTGTTTAACTTTATATTTGTTTGCTTTATGTCTGCCAAAGTGGATTGAACTTTGACTCAGTTTCCCTCTTTTGATATCTCAAAGAAATAGAGTTCCAGGAAATACCCTTTGAAAATTCTGGAATGAATCATAACTCAGAATGTTCTTTGCCGAAAAAGTAATGAGAAGTTTCCTTTTAGAAGGAAAAAATAAACCCACTAGTATGTCTTTGAGTATTCACTCCACAAAGACCTATCTATAGAGAAATAAAAACTATCAGAAAATGGGTTGAATTTGCTCCTATTTGGTTTTGTTTTAGTGAAACCTATACGTTAGGGAAAGTTGATTTGCAGTATTGCAATCTTAAATTTCACATCAAGGAACCCAATATAAGAAATAGTTTCTGGTAACTGAGAACAGTGTCAGTGGGATTCATCCAAAAATGTTTGTCCCTGATGTACTTATTTTCCATCTGGATCTCTCCACATATTCCCCCATGCCTACCCCTGTTCTTACCTTTTTTTACTTCTCTAAATCAGCATGTAGCAGAACAATCTGCTTCTTATTTCTTCTTTCTTTTGGTCTTTGTTTTTTTGTTTTTGTTGTTTATTTAAATACTAATCTTGTTTGTATGGGTAATGGTTCTCCTTGTACCATATAGAGGTCAAGATCTTTGCTCTGGGGCACACAGCCCACCTGGAAGGTACCCCGCTCTCCTTCCTCAAACAGCCCTGTACCTTTCCTGGGTCACACAGTAATCTGCTGATGGTGATCTGGGGAGGACAGGCTGAGACTGATGGGACCATAGAATATGAGTAGAAGAAGCACTGAGAGTGGCTGAAATTTAGTTTTGAGGTTAAAATAACCAGTGTATGGATACCCCTGAGCATGAGCTCTATAATTACTTCACCCTTCTACCTGGCTTATGTTGAGTATCAAGCAAGACATGAATATATTACTCAAATATTAGGAAATACATTACTCAAATAATATTTTACACTATGAAGTTTGGGCTTGTTTACCCTCCTCCATTTCCGTTGCATTTCTTCTTCAATTGAATCAACATCTTTACTATAACTTTTTAAAAAGGTTTTAGTTTGTACATTACTTATTGCAAACGTTTCGTAATATGCCCTCTTGTGGGGTATATTGTGATGCTTTTATTAGTATATTAGTTGTCAGTATTTATCTCTTTCCGCAATGGCTGGTGAGACAAGTGGAGAATTAGAACTGAGGTTCTAATCTAGTTTGGTGATCTCAGCTTTAGATCTGAAGACTTAGAAATGAGGCCTGGACCAGATGGCGTCTTATTTTTTTCATGATGGTCTAGTTCTGTCTCAGTGATGACAATCACAATAGCTGAAATTTATTTCCGTGTGCCTGATACTCTCATAAATACCTTATATATATCTCAACTCATTTAATCCTGATGATAATTCCATGATGAAAGTACTTTTGTATTCCCATTTTACAGATAGGAAAGTTGAGACACAGAGCTTTAAGATCACCCAGATGGTAAGTGGAGGAGCCACCATTCACACATAGGTGTCTAACACCAAGTCCCTCTACTTAGTCTTTCTGCTAAACTGCCTCTCTCTGGCTACACAGATGACTCACCCAAGCTGCTGTTTAGTCTCCGGTCTTTTTCAAACACCTAATATGCAAGGGGGAGACATGAGTCACCTGAGGGTGTGAAAATCAGGCCCTTTGTTAGTTGCGCATGGATATGTTCTTGGTGGCCTAGGAGATTTCACTAGCCACCAGTCTCTGTGCCTGTGCCTGTATCATCGAAACTGTCCATTAGGTTTTGGTGTTTTCTCCTAAGAGAACACAAGAATGAGGCTCTCTGACTTTAAAAATCTAGGAACTGAGAAGAACAGACCTCCTATTTATGAAGATAACATTGAGCACCTCTCTCTTGATGTGCCACTGTCTGGACAGGCCTGGATGAATCCTGCAGCACAGTGATTCGAGTCATTGTTTTCCCTTCTTCATCTGAATTTTACTTTGGTCCTGTGCTCATACTTGGCGTTTCCTTCTGCTGGCAAATCTTGTTTCTCCACTGAAAGTGAATTCCTTGCATTTTCTTAAATGCATAACTGAATATAATACCTACAACTTTCTTCCATAGCTTTTTCTGCTGTTACTGCTTTTTTGTCTTTTTTAAACAATACCACTTTTTGGATAATGAATTGTTGCTTTGCCGCACACTGAGTGGGAGCCCCTGCTCACTTCCGGTCACTGGAGAAACAGTCTGGTCTGTCTGTGGTACTTTGTGGTCCCCACAGGTCCTACCTGTGGTTTTGCTGGGCTTGTTTGGTCCTCTGCCCTAGTAAAGCTTTGGCTTCTCTCACGTACATTCTCTCCTTCCATTGGTATTTGAATCTGTTTCCCCCACCTAAGGACAGACCTCTGGCAGACTGGTCTTTGATGTCAACAGATATGGGTTTATGCTACCCCTGGGGTCCATGATGACTTTCCAAGAGGCACTGGGCCCATGGAGAGTAACAAGGAAATTACTTCAGATGTTCAGCTTCCCTATATACTCTTTCCCAAAACAGATCCACCTGGAGCACAACTGGACTAATGGGTTGCCTGGCTTTACCTCTCCCAAATCTCATCATGTCATGTAGTCACAGGAAGTAATCCCCACTCCTCAGGGTGCCAGAAAAAGGGAAAATGAGAAGATTGTTGTATAGAGGGCATGAATCTAATGTCTTAGAAATTAGTCCTTTTGCAAATCAAATGTCTTCTAATTTTTTTAAACAAAACTGAACATGACCCTGAACAGTTTGTCAAAAAATGATGATTATCATGTAATGTGTTGATGATTTTTTTGGCATAAATCTCAGGAATTTAAAGAATTAAGGGCCACAGCTATCACAACACTTCTTTCATTCCCATCAACTTATTTACATGAACAAGGCTTTTACTTTAATACCAAAAAATGGAGTGGACCGGGGACTGTTGTGGGGTGGGGGGAGGGGGGAGGTATAGCATTAGGAGATATACCTAATGCTAAATGACGAGTTAATGGGTGCAGCACACCAACATGGCACATGTATACATATATAATAAACCTGCACATTGTGCACATGTACCCTAAAACTTAAAGTATAATAATAATAAAATAAAAATTAAAAAAAAAATTTAACCTGAAAGACTGGTTCAGGCCATGACAGGAAAAAAAAAAAAAAAAAATGGAGTGGAATTACTGTTGAAATATTGCTTATTCTGACAATAAAAATACTCATTTATGGATACAGATATCAAATTATCCTATCCATCTCATTGAGGAATGCATTTCCAATAAAAATTTACTTTAATGCTTTAACTTTTAATCATTATAAAATTATACATTTGTTCTCTCAAATTGCATTCTACTAATAGTTTTAATGATAATCTAGATTAAATTTTTAACATTTAGAACCATTTGGTCACAGGAAATAAAAAATACATTTTAATTTTCATAACTATTTTTGTTGCAGAAGGAGTATGATAGTATGATCAATAAAAAACCCTAAAACATAAAAGTGTTTTATTAGGATAAAATTCTGTGAGAGAAATGGAATGGAAATATAAATTTAAGGGAAAAAAAGGAACTATAAAAATTTGAGCGTAAAAGGGAAGGTTGTTCATGTATTTTAAATAACAATGGATACATTTAAAAGCTTGAATAAAAGCAGTTTCATTTTAAAATTTCATTATTTACAGTATGCAAGAAATTATATACCATGCCACTATTTAAACCTAGGATGAACAATTTTAGATTTGATCTCTCTCTCTATGTGTGTGTATGTGTGTATGTATGTGTGTATTTAGAGAGGGGGTCTTACTCGGTTGCCCAGCCTGGAGTGCAATGATGCAATCACACTTACTTTGAACTCATGAGCTCAAGCAATCCTCCTATGTCAGCCTCCCGAGTAGCTGGGACTACAGGTGTACATCACCGTGCCCAGCTAATTAAAAAAAAAATTTTTTTTTTTTTTTCTGTAGAGACAGGGTCTCCCTATATTACCCAGGCTGGTCTTGAACTCCTGGCCTCAAGCAGTCCTTCCACCTTGGCCTCCCAAAGTGCTGGGATTATAGGCATGAGCCATTGTGCCCAGCCTAGATTTTGTCTTTAAATTGTGTTAGAAGATATATGGATTTTAAAATTCTTTGTAGACCATTTCTCCAGGGCATCTGACCTGGACAGGTAGGGCTCATGATAGAAGCATACATCCCTTGTTTGTTGTGTTTTTTGGCTATCACCTTGACTACATTAACCATTGTAGTAGAGTACCATGACCAGAACTGATGTCACCTTTATCATTTATATCTTTCCCTTCTGTTTTGACTGAATTCCCAATAAGCCAAGCAATATCCATTCAACAAACACATGTCTCCTAGTGCATTATGCATGGGTCTCACAGGTGAAGAGGACAAAGTTCTCCCTCAAGGAGCTCATTCTGTAGGGGGAGACCAGCGCTTCTGATCCCAGGCGATGAGTATTAAGCGGGAGGGAAGCGAGGCTTTCCATGGCACACTGGACCCTGAAGAGGAGCGTTTCCTAGAGGAGCCTGGACTTCAGGCTAAGCAGAGCCCTGGAGGATGGAGACCCAGGATGGGCCCAGGACTATCCAGCCAGGTGAGGGAGGAGGCTACCCTATACTCTGTGGCTTGGAGGTGGAGAGGAGGGATTCATTCCTGGCAAAAATGCTGCTATTAAGATAGAAAGAGAGCCATCATTCTTGAATTAGGGGTTAAGGAGGCAGGGAGATGCCTATTTCTATGGTTTTTAAAACATTTCTTCTCTAATTTTCTTATGTAGGCAAAGGTCAAAGTGGATATTTTTACTATTATAAATTAGTAGCTATGCCTATATTCATAAAGAAAGGCCTCCTTTGGCACTTTTAGTTTTGACTGTTTTCTAGCAAATTGTGGGTGAGTACCATATCCAATGTATTAATTTTGACATATGGTTACACCTAGTGCAGTCTCAGCCAGGCAGTCCCTTGGGGTTACAAAGGCATAGAGTTAAATTTCCCAAGTTGGAAAAAGGCTTTCAGAAATGAGTTTCTCACTCCACTTGAAGTGGCTTTGCTACTGTTTCCCTGGGGAGGTTGCTAGGCATTTAATAGATCTCCATGTTAGGAAAATAAATTCTTTCTAGCATTGAAGTCTAAGGTGTTGTTCCCCCACCCCTTGGCCTCAGATTTGTGTGGTGGAGGCTGCAGCTAATCTCCCTTATGTTTATATTTATAAAACGTTTCCAGATGATTATCTCTTCCTGGTATCATTTGGCTAGTCCCAGGTATTCATTGTCTCAGTCATTCCCAGTTAGGCATAGCCCTGCTCACTGCCTGAGGGAAGGAAGGAGGCCGTGGGACCGCTGGGTCTAAGCCTGGTTCCTACCACCTCCCCACAGCTGTTAGCCTTCCTCCATCCCTGAGTTCTCACTGGGACATGAGGGACTGCGTTTCAGCTGTGACAGTATTTTGTTGCTCTTGGCCATTGCACAGTGGCTTACATCCTGTGTGCTTTAAAAAAAAAATGTCTCTTTCAAAGGCTCTTTTCAGAGTCTATGGGATGAGATGCACAGAGACAGACTATATATATTTAAAACCAGTGGGTTTTTTTTTCTTTTTTTTTTCTTTTTTTTTTGCTTTGCTGAGAAAAAGCATAAGCAAATGAGAGGGACTCTATTTGAAGGTTTTTTTTGTTTGTTTTTTTGTTTTTTTGTTTTCAAAGCACCTTTTACAGCTTGTCTTTCGGTATAAATGATTAAGTTATGATGTCATCTTGCTCCTTAGACACACGGCTTCTTCTACATGCTGGCATTTTTGTATGGTGAAGTCTCTTTTGGTGCCTCCTGAACCTGAGGACCCCATGAGTGCCTGGGCCAGTTCAGGTGCCCAGGAGAGGCTGATATGAGAGTGAGTGTGCTTGGCCCCGTGTGTGGTGGTATCTGTCTCAGGGCCCCTGGCTCTGGCAAGGTCATGTGGTATATAGCCTTTTCAGAGAAAGGGCCTGAGGGTTTTGTGGACAGCCTGAAAGATATCTATTACAGTGTTGTTTTTTCTGTTTGAAAATAAGAGAACTGAGCTGTTTTGAGAAATATCACTGAGTTTTTTACTAATGCCTCATCTCCCCAAGTTTGTCTGGATGTGCTCTGTTCCGGTAAAGCCAAGTTCCTGTAAAGCTTCGTTATCCTCCTTGAATCTTCTTCCTCTTTTGTATCATGCATTCGAGGGCTTGTTCCCTCTTGTTCCCTCTCGAGCTATTCCATTTCTCTTCTGTGCTTCTTGCTTGACTTCGAGTATAGTTTGTGAGTGCAGCTCTGCATTTTGAAAGCATGACCTGGCGTCATTCTTAGTAATAGCTTTGTAAATTCACATGCTTAACCATGTAGACTGTAACTTCCCTCTTCTTTGGTCTTTAACACCAAGCAGAGTTATACACTAGCATTACCTAAGCAACATCCAATTTCCGAAAGTGTCTAGAGGAGAAGCGGCAGGTATTTCAAATGCAGAATGGTTGGGGTGAGTTATGGGAAGTGAACTGCATATGTTTGGGAATTATTTTCCTTTTGGGGGCTAAGAATCCAGCTACAGTGGACCAGTGTGAGGTTGCATTGATGTAGGTCTAACCACCACCAAAAGGCACCGCCTTGGGTACCTCCTCTTGTTTGGCTATTTTAAAAGCTTTCTCAAACCTAATGAGTTGTAAGAAAAGATATAACTATTCTTTTTTGGAGGAAATATAAACTAGTTTTTTTTCCCTTACGAATCTTCTTCCCAATGGGAAATCACAGAGAAACAGGGCAGGGAAGGAGGAATAAGAGTTTTAAAAGTTTTCTTCTCTAGGCTGAAGAATTTCCTATTTGTAAACTATCAGCTGAGTAAACACTAAGACCAAGTGTTTAATGGGTTATACATTATTGTAAATTGTTTACAAAATGAGATGAAATCTTGTCCTATTGTTCAGTGTTTTACAGATTTGCTTTTCTTTTTCTTTTTTTCAATTTATATTACTTTAAGTTCTGGGATACATGTGCTGAACGTGCAGGTTCGTTACATAGGTATACAAGTGCCATGATGGTTTGCTGCACCCATCAACCCGTCATCTAGGTTTTAAGCCCCACATGCATTAGGTATTTGTCCTAATGCTCTCCCTCCCCTTGTTCCCCACCCCCTGCTTTTCTTAATTCATTGAAATTTGGGCAAACACTAAGATCTACTACATTGTTGAAACAAAATGCAATTAAACCAGACCTTTTTTTTCCTTAAAGTATTTGTGTTTTGTTTTTTGTTTCAGAAAGATTTGTAATTACTTTGCCTGAATTTATGCTCGAGAATTTTCAAGCAGTTGTCATAGTCATTGTACCATTACCTCCTTTGAGGAGAGGGAAGAGTTATCCTTATAGAGAGTTATGTATCAGCAGTAGGAACAGATATTCTTGTTCAAATGTAATAATAGTAATACCATTAATACTGCAGCTAATGCTTATTAAGCACTTTACGTATTTCTGAGGTTAACGCAAAGGCCTTCGGTAGTTCATTGTGAAATAGGGTCTCAGATGTTTATTAGTGATACATATTGTTTAATATGAGTTTATTAAAATTTTTTTATCAGGAATGATAATTTTTTTAAATGGAATGTTGGTATTTAACAATATGGTCACATATTTCTTGTGCAATTTTTTGAAGTTTTGATACCAACGTTATGCTGACTTCTGTAAAAAATGAAATGGGGAAACTTTCCTTGATTTTTCTGTACCATGTAACATTTTCAATAGCATAAAAATTCCATTAAAAAAAATTTGATAGTGTCCCCTGTAAATCATTGTCAGCATTGTCTATTTCCATATAGTTATTGAATTTTTCAGAGTCTACTTTGTGAATCAAATTTTGATAATTTATATTTTCTTAGGAATTGTCTCTTTGATTCAATGTATTTTAATTTTCAGCATGAAATTTTATATATTCTGTATACTTGTATTAAATTTCCTTTGTCTCTTTGGCTCTATCCATCTTATTTCCTATGTTGTATAATTGTATTTTTTCTCTTCCTTGATGAGCCTCGCAAGAGGTTTGTGTATTTTATTGATCTTTTCAAAGAACCAGCTGTTCCACTGTTTATATTCTAATCCTTTAATTTCTGCTTTTATCTTTTTAATGATTCTTTCTTTTGTTTCCCTGAAGTTTATTTGGCAGGGGTTTTTTCAGCTTGTTGAGTGGAATAATTTTTTATTTTCTTGTTTAATAATTTTTAAGGTGACTTTTTCTCATTTTCTCTGTCCTCAAACTTTAAACATCTGTCCTTTCAGCTTTGCTTTTAGCCGATGACCTTGATGCCTGCATTGGTGAGAAAATGGAAACAGAAGAGAGCGTCCAGAGACTCCCCCATCCCATTTCAGCATCGCCACTCCCACTCTCTCTTCCTGCTTGTTGTCTTAGGTAACTATTCACACTTCTGCCTAGAGCCAGTCCTTTCCTGTTCCCCATCCTGTCTCCTCTCACCTAGTCAAAAGAAACCTCCTGGCGTTTCTCCCCACCTCTTACACCATCAGACTTTCCTTCTCTCCTGCATTGTGCGTGTCCACACATAAGTATGCTGTCATTGTTTCATCTTCCATTAAGCTTCTCTTGCCCCCACTTTCTCATCAGATGGCTGCAATTTTATTGCTCTGCTGTGCAGTCAGATTCCTCTAGAGTTATACTTGTCTCAAATTCACCTCCCCCTGCTCTCTCTTGAACCCAGACTATAGGCTTTCATCCCTTGCTCTGTAGAGACTACTCTTGTCAATGTCATAATCACCGCTCTCCACTGGTCATTGAAACATAATGGTCAATTCTCAGGCCTCATCTGGCATGACACAATAAGTTCTCACTCTTTTGTAATGTGTGGTCCTCACTTGGCCTCTGGGACACCTCCAAGTCTTAGTTGTCTTCCTAACTCACTAGTTGCTCCTTCTCACTCTCCTTTGCTGGTTCTTCCTTTTCTCCTTGACCTCTTAATGTTAGAGTCCCAGAGTGTAGTCATAGTCCTTCTCTGTGATCTATTTTTACCCTGTCTTTGTGATCTAGTATAATGGCCACCACCTATAAACTTATAGCTCCCGAATTTATATCACTAGCTCTGAGATCTCTCACGAACTCCAGATGTGCACATCTGACTGCTTACTCAACATCTCGAATGCCTGGTAGGTACCTCCAACTTAATCTGTGTTCTGAACTGAACTTCTTGTCTACCCACCAGTCCTGTTCTGCTGGACTCCTCCATCCCAGGAAATGCCTGCTTCATCTTGCTAGTTGCTGAGGCTATATTGAAATCATTCTTTACTATTTATACTCCGTATCTAGGCTATTGGGCAACTCTTTTTGCTTTACCTTCAAATACATCCAGAATCTCATCACTTCTCACCTTCTGCACTGCTGCTACCCTGGTCTAAAAGCAACCATTTCTCATTGCAAGTACTGCTGTAGTCTCCTAAGTTGTCTCCTTGCTTCCATCCCTGCCCTCTGCCACCTGCCCCACCCCCATGGTGTATGCTCAACAGAGCAGCCAGAGTGATCCTTTTGAGATGTCAGCCAGACCACTCTTCTGCTCAAACCTCTGAAGTTTTGAGTAAAAACCAAAATTCTTACATTTGACTTGGCCCGTTACTCCTTAGACCTTACCAACTCCTATTTTTTGTCCCTCATTCCGCTCCAGCCATATGCTTTCCGTGTTTTTTAGATGTGCCATGCTCTTGCCTCCTGGCTATTTTGAGCCTCTGTGTAGAAATTTTTACCCTATGTAGGGGCTAATTCCCTTAACTCCTTTAAGTCTTCACCGAAAGTTATCTTCTCCATGCGGCTTAGAGTGACCACCTGTTTAAACTGTAGTCCTTCTCCTTACTCATTTACCTGGTTCTGGGTTTTTTTTTTTTTACATAGTATTTTAAATTATCTATCAAATTATATAATTTTTATTTATTTATTGTCCACCTCTCTCATCAGAATGTGAATCCCAGCAGGGTAGGGATCTGTGTCTCTGTTTTTCACTAATGTGACCCAAGCACAAAGAACAGTGCCTGGAACATTGAGGGAACTCAATGAATATTTGTCAAATAAATGAGTGAATTAAGGCTATGATTTTGCTGCGAGAAATATTGGCTGCAGCTCATAACATTTTATATCCAGCATCCTCATTGTACTTAGTTTCTAACTAGTTTTCTGGGATTTGTAATCTATTTCTGAGTGGAGAGAGATGACTGGTTAGGGAGGCAATCATAGCTGCATAGCGAGGGAGAGGTGTCTGGGGAGAGATACCCTCCTTACTTCCGAGTCAGAGTCTAAGGCGGAGAACGGGACACCTGCCAGATATGTAGTTGAAAAGGGATGTGTCTGAATCAAGGAAGTGGTGGAATTATGAGGCAACTTCCCTCCATTTTAAATAAAATCTATTAATGGAGTGAAGTGAGGGTGTTATAAGCAGAAGCATGGGTATATTTCTGCCTTTTCATCACAGTGGGTGCTTTTCAAATTCTGGCAGTAATTTGTGCTTTCAGCAGCCTTGGTTTTTGGAGGTGATATGAATATTTACTCCTACGTCTTCAGTGGCACTTCAGTGAGAAATTGGGAGAAGTAGCACCAGGAACTTAGGTACCATTTTAAATCAGGAATCTGTTAAGGTATAAGTTCTTGGAAGCCCTTGTCCAGAATGTTAGTTGACCATTTCTCAGTCCTAAAGGGTTCTTCTTTCTATTAGTAATTGAAATGATTCTTCCTAAACACAGTGGGATCTATTTTAGATTCTGGAATCTTGCTCTCTCATATTAAGCCCTATTTATTAAATGTCATGAGAAATAGCCTAGAACTAAGTTTGTTCCACTGCTGTAGAAGTGTCAGTGCTGTAGACTATAATTGCTGAAAGAAGGGTTAGCTATGGAACTGCTGACTTTGCCCTTTCAGAAGGCTTCCTTCTGGAATTTTTAAACAATGGCATCAAACCTAATTGATGAGAAAGATGCTAATTATTTTTTATTTTTGATCACATATCGAGATGAGAAGAATTTGATTTATTAATGGAAAGTGCCTGTTCCCTTATGAAAAATTTGAGCTTTCATTATGGCTTTATGAATCCATAAAACTGGGAGTCTTTGGAGGTGCTACTTGTGTGCTTTTTCAAGGAATGATCTTAAGTAGATTGTTCCTTTTTACTTTTTAATCAGAGATTCTTGTATAAAATTTTTCTCACCCAGATCATTTAAGAGGAAAGACCAAATTACTTTAAACAAAATTACATTTTTGTTAAAACATTGCAGGTTATGACTTCCTGGTTTGTTTCAGTCTCATTTGTAGGAAGAACATTTGGTGATGGTGAAATTTACGTCAGGCAGATTCTCCCCTAAGCAGTTGCTGGACTACCTCACTATACCCCCACCCCTCTTTGCCAAATACATGGCCAGGATATTTCTGGGGATGGTGAGTTGAAGGGAAACAAGGGGGATATTTTAAAAGTTTGACTCAAGAATATAAAATATAAAATTGGCACTCTTAGTGGAATTATTCTCATTTTATTTCTTAGCAAACATGCTGATTGCATGTTGGCCCACTTTACCAAGCAAGGTATTAATTTTCTTCCTAGCAGAGGAAAGAGCTCAGTTCACTGTATTCTCTTTCCTTTTACAACAGTTACAACAACATTTGATTCGTGATATTTTAGTTGTAGGTTGTTGATTTAAAAATACACTTAGAAGGTGTGGAGCACAGAGGAATACAGGGCATGATTTTGTGTATTGACCTGTCAACCCTGGTTAACTAGCATGTCACAAAACAAGTTCTAAACTCAAATACAGTAAATTATCCAGGTGGGATTCTGGCCACTTGTGATGAGTTACGGATTTTGATTTGGATCATTCTTGCCCTAGCTTGGTAACAGGGGAGTGTATTTATGTATTATGAAATGTGAGACCTTTTCAAATAGTATTATGGTCATGTGTCACTCATGAATGGGGATATGTTCTGAGAAGCATGTCATTAAGCAATTTTGTCATTTCGCAAACATCATGGAGTGTACTTCTACAAACTTAGATGGTGTAGCTTACTACATACCTAGGCTATATGGTATAGCCTATTGCTACTGGGCTACAAACCTGTATAGCTTGTTACTGTACTGAATACTGTAAGCAGTTGTAACACAATCATAAGTATTTTTATATCTAAATGTATCCAAACATAGAAAAGGTACAGCAAAAATATGGTATTATAATCTTTTATAATATATAATTATAATATATGTGGGCTGTGGTTGGTTGAAACATTATACAGCACTGACTGTATCTTAAATGGTCAATAATTTTTACTTAAAGAAATCTTACTAGTTGATGGCTTCAAAGATTAGGCTCCCTCTATAGGCCACAGCCATCCCTTTGTTTCTTTTTGCATGTTCTTTTCTTTTTGAGAATGCTTAAAATTATTATTTCCTTATTTTTCAGCTAATTCTGCCTTGTTCTTAATGAAATATTATTTCATTTTAAAGAAATAGTGGTGTTTCTGGTCATATGATTTTTCTGTTTTTTTAATTTTTAAATTTCTGCCAATTTTGTTCAATTGATATCTTAAGGACAAAGTGATACTGTATACTTTTTTAAAAAAATCAAAACATTAATTTTTCCTCAGAAAGTTTAAAAGATGGCTTTATGCTTTTTTTCTAATTGTAAGTATTGTTTACAAATTTGTGTTTTAATAAAAATTAATACATGTGAGATTTAAACTTAAAGAACACATGCATAGTTTATCCTTCTCGTTACATTTTTGATTTTTAAAATGATCATAAATATTGGATGTGCCTATGACTTGTTGTCAAATAAAAGCCTCCTTCCCCAAAGAATAAGATGCCTGATGGTTCACTTGCTTCAGCTGCTGTCTGAGCTTTAATGGTTCTATTATCAACAAATATGAATGCTCAAAATGTGGATACTAAAAGCCCTGTCCTTTGTACCTTCATGCTGAAAAAGAGAATATCTTTTCAAAATAGTATTAACTTCCAAGAGACACTTCTCTGACTTCTAAAACTTCTTAGATGGGCTGCCTGTACTGCAGGTGTGTGATATTATAACATTTCTGATATCTTTTGGTCAGCTAGCTGGTCTGTCTAGCCTTATATTTCTTTCCATTCTGTGTCTATTGAATGAGATAATATGAGGCAAAAAGAATGCATCATATGTGAGTTTCCATTTTCACTTTTTAAAATGCAAATATTTATTGTGTACCAACTCTGCAGGAGGCACTATGATATGTGCCAGGGATTCACTATGTTATGTGCCGGTTGAAATAGGTGTAATCTCTGATGTTGATGATATTCACTCATTTATTCATTGAGCAAGTATTTTTTGAGTGCCTCTTTTGTAACAGTAATAAAACAGACAAATAATTTAGCTGGCATTCCTGGTTGTGGAGATACACACAAACTAGATAATAAGTTAAAATCTTTATACGTATATGAACATTTTGTGTGTGTGTGTGTGTGAAGATGTACACATAAGTTAGATTATAGTAATAAGGGGAAAAAAGAGAAACCAATGGAGGGAGCTAGGAAAGGGGTGGGGAGGCAATGATAGATTGAAAATTTAGCTAAGGTGGTCAGGGAAGGGAGGGAGGGTCTCACTGAAGTGATGTTTAAGACTTGGAGGAGGTAGATAAAATCCTTCTTGCCTAGTGGAAGTGGCAGGTGTATAGGTAATCTAATTTTCTTGGGGGCAGGAGAGCAGAGAGATGTAGAAATAGAGTATGCTGGAGGCCAAAGTAGATTCACTTAACCACATTCCAAGGTTCCAGCAAGCCTCTCTAGAAGAAAAGACTCCTGAGTGGAATCTCAAAGGCAGAGGAAGAGCACAGAGGCAAGGAAATGATAAGATAGCTGCTTGGGTGTTCCCACTGAGCAGTTATTGAGGCTGGAGTTGCAGTTGAATTTGGAAGATGCTTGGGGTCAGTTTGTGAAGTACCTGGTACACCATGCTAAGGGAACTTTGATTTGATTCTATAGACACTGAAGGCCTTTAAGTTGGGGACTGACAGAGTCAGGTCTGCATTTCAAATAGATCAGGGGTCGCTAACCCCTGATCTAAGGTTCTTACTGGTCCATGGCCTCTTAGGACCTAGGTCATACAGCAGGAGGTAAGCGACGAGCAAATGAGCATTATCACCTGAGCTCTGCCTCCTGTCAGATCAGTGGCATTAGATTATCATAGGAGTGTGAACCCTATTATGAACTGCGCATACGAGGGATCTAGGTTGTGTGCTCCTTATGAGAATCTAATCCTGCCCCTACCCCCAGTCCGTGGAAAAATTGTCTTCCATGAAACTGGTCCCTGGTGCCAAAAAGGTTGGGGACTGTTGAAATAGATCATTTGGCAGAGGGGTGGAGGCTGATTTAAGGGGACCCATACAATATAGTGGAGAAGGGTTTGGAGACTGTTCCAATGGTTCTGGTGAGAGATAGTGACCTTAGTTAGGAAGTGGTGTGCACAGGGAGGGGAACATAGTGGCCAGGATAGATTTAGGAAGAAAAGTCAGCAGAACTTGGTGGTTGCATGTAAGGGATGAAGATGAAGAAGAGTCAAGTATGTTTTAAACTTATAGTGAAAAATACATTTATATCACAACCTGGTACACATGCTACCAACACACACATAACTAACTGGTCATAAAATATGTTGCTGAAACAAACTTTCATGAAACAATATTTTACCTTATGGTAGCATACTCTGATATTTTCTCTTCCATTCTATTTCAATTTCTGCAAAATGCTATTCTATTTCAGTTTCTGCAAAATGACTCTGCATTGATTCCACTAATGGGTCAAGACCCACGGTCTGAAAGTCACCTGCACAGGCTTCTCCAGGTTATCCTGCAATGGACAGGATGTTTCTTCCTCATTAGATTTCTTTGTGGTCCAGTGTATCCAGACACCTTTCACTCAGTGGAGGGGAGAGAGGAGGAGGGCAGTAAAAAGTATAGTTTCCAAGTTCAGTGCACTATAGAAACATTTGAGGCAAAATTGTGCTGAGCACTTCTTGAGCCAACTGATGGCCACATGGTGAGACAGTTAAAGAGCTGCACACAAGGATGGTTATTTGTGTTGCAGATGTCATTTATGTGGCTTTTTTGGAGGGAGGGGAGAGGGCTATCGTTTTTTTTCCTACTCCCTTTGCTGCCAGAATGCCTGTTCTCATTAGAATACAGAGTTGGTAGAGTTTTGGGTGCCGGAAGAGCCTCAGAGGTCAGGAGTCCACAGGTCCCTGGTCCAAAACTAGTGACTACTTGGTGTTGCCTGTGGTCATGGGTCACTGTCAACTCCTTGTGACTCACTTGGATCACTCTTTATAATGTTGCAGTGGAAAGCCCCCTGCAGCTGTGGTGTTTGCTTCTGGGACTCTGGGTTGGGTTCATGTTGAAAACCATTGTTGGTTTTCTCTGATCAAATAACTCAGGTTTTTAAGCTCTAAAATGGGGGATAATACCATATACTGGGTTTGATTGTTTCATGAGGATTAAATGAGACAACATGCAGAAAGTATAGTGTCTGAGGCACAGGAAACATTTAAAATAAATGGCTACTGTTATTTTCTTCCTGTAACTAAAATATTATGGACATTGGCCTACTTTGCTCATTTTAATTTGCACTAGGAAAGATATGGAGCCTTTCTCACTTTCATATATAGAATGAGCTAAAATTAAAGTTCTTCTGTTGGTGTGTGCTGAAATTTTTAACAGTATAGAAATTTCCATGGAAAATAAAAATGCATTTGAATTCAGGAAGAAGGATACTAAAATACATCCAAGTTGAGATGGTTCCGTAGGTAGCTTCTTAAGGACCTCAGTTTTGAATTTGCTTAGGGTGAACAAAGCTGTTCAACAGTGCTGGCTTTATGCCTGTGAATGACATATACATATCTATAATATGGAATATTTTAATTTACTTTTGCTATAGTCCTTTGCGTCGTAGGTCTACAGTGCATGTCTAATGACTAAAAAAATTTTAGACATGAGATTTATTTAAATGATGGAAATGTCATGACTAAGAGATTGATTTCTTCTGACTAGTGCAAGTTAGAGTTTAGCTCAAATCATTAGTAAAAGTCTACGGAGAAAGGTAACAAACAAAGGACACCTTCACTGGAGGAATTTTATTGGGACCAGTTTTTATGTTCCCTTTAAGTCAAATGTGGAAGACAAGATGAAGGAATGTTATTTTCCTTTGGAAAACATGGCAAAGTCTCCTTAATGGAAGTCGTGATGGCTTTCTTTATACCAGTAGGTGGTATGTATAAGTTTCTAAGGAAATAACACCAAAAGTCTGTCCCTTCTGTCTGGGTCCCTTGGAGGGGATAGAGGCTTACCCTGAGGGGAGGAAGGAGAGAAGATTGTTGAATGCTGTTTGCTTCCTGGGTTCCTTGGGTACCATCAGCTTTTTTGATAATTTTTCTCTGTTTTGTAAACAAAATACTGTATTCTCAGGGAAGTCAAAGCAAAACCACGTAATAGTGAGCTCTTAAATTTGCATTTTAGAAAAGGGAAAGAAGTGCAACAGCACTTAACTGACCCATTTGAAAGGAAGGGTAAGTGTGTGTGTTTTATGTCAGTGAATGCAATGATTATGCAATTAGGAATATTTAGGTATGAATTTTGTACTGTGATTTGAGTAAGAATAGTATAGCTTTTATTAATGCTAGGCTTTGAAAAGGGATATCTGTTAAATGATGGAACACATTAGAAATCAGGTATTGGGGGTATATGTGTTAATATGAACATTTACATTACAAATGAAATATCTGAACAGGCTTTGTTAGATAAATGATGCTGTTGATTAGCTTTATGCCTTGAAATTCTATATATTTAAACAGCTTTGTACTTGTTTTGCTTCTGTTCAGCAGTGTGCCCACACATTTGGTCTGACTACAGCATTCTTTTTTCATAATGAAATGTATATTAACTATGCAGGCCCCTCATAGAGCAGTGTTTTAATCATTCTCTATTGATTTATACCTCACATCAATGCTGCATATTGAGGGCCTCTTATTCTAAGTCTGCTTTACTGGGATTCTCATTCTGTCTACCTGACTTGCATAATGTTCTGGGACCCTCTTAATTTTTCCCCCACTGTGGGAAGCCATCGTGATTAGGAAGGCACAAAAGATTAGACGTATCGTTGCTTTCTCTCAGCTTTCTGAGGTGCATAGGAGAAATAATGGGCTTAGAGAAATATTGTCATTGTCCATAACTGATAATAGGTAACAGAACTTATTTAAAATTAATAAGTGCTGAGTTTCAAGCTTTGGCATGAGCCTGAATGATTTATTGCAAGCCACGGATGCCAAGAGAATGTTTTGCATTTACCAAAGCAGTAGGGTAATGACAAGAGGACTGTCAGGGAGCAGCCTCATGAACAGTGGTTGTTCTTTGAACCTAGGGTTGTTGCTACAAGCTGACCAATACGAATGGGATTATTTTATTTTTTTTCTTTTGTCTTAATGTTAATTTTAGAGAGAGGAAGTATAGATCTGGTGGATGTGGATGAAGGATGCCTACATGGGCTTGAATAAATAAATCAAATCCCCTGACCTCTGCCTGCAACTTAGAATCTCATTTGGATTGAAAGACTAGAGCTAGATTTTACACATGAAGAAAACTCTGCTCACTTCATTATTATTCATGGTGAAATCCCCAAATCTCCTCCCTGAAGAGATGTATTCTTCCCAGCAAATTAAAACATCCTCTTTTTTTAGAGGCCAAATGATGATGATGTCAACTACTGATGAAGATGAATAGGTAATTCTTTTCTCAATTTATACATTCCCCCCAACCCCCTCTACTGTTCAGGATGGGATTTACTCATTTAAACCAAGATCCAATATTTCATTTACTCCACTCTTGGTAGGTTGTTCGCATTGTGTAAATCTCCTGGTCAGGTAATGGAGGAAAATGTTTGAAAATGTGATAGCTCATTATAAGGGCATTTGACATAAGCATATTTGCTGATGACGGATTGCCGATCAGTGGTAATTTAAACAGATTCTGAACAGTAGTTAAGGTAGAACATTTTCCTCAAATTAATCTGTTAAGATCAGGATAGCTTAAATTACAAACATCTTTCAAAGTCTGTAAGGAAAATGTAGATTTTTGAAGCGGATCATCCTGTGAATATACATACCCCTTATGCCTACCTACTCTGTGTGTGTGTGTGTGTGTGTGTGTGTTTCTGAATTCAATTATGAAAGAAAATGTTGATTGACAACATGCCATTTTGCTTTATGGATCCACATATACCAACCCCTCCCCCTCCCCCAAAAAAAATAGGGAAAAGAGTACTTTACACAAATGTTGGAAAATGAGAAACTGAGACTAGAATGGGGGAGTTGGCTTTTAAAGTTGTCTAGATATTGGCAATAGAAATAGATATCAAGTCCTACCTAAGTAGGTATTGGAACTTTAATCAAGTATGTCTTTATCAGTTTACCCTAGTTATACATACTATATAAAATAAGCATTATCCCACCTCTGAAAATTATTTCAGTTTTTGTTTATGAAAAAACTTAGATGGGCCACAGGTAATTGTTGTTAAGAGGCATTTTGGAGCTCCCATAGGGATACACAATTGAATAATAACACTTCAGTTTAATCATGACATGCTTTATGATAAAGTAGCATTGGGTGCAGCTTAGCAATATCCAAAGATCAGAACATCTGTTATCTGCAGAGACACTGGGGTATATCTGCCAGACGTTTGCATATAGAACAAGGTGTTTCAGTTAATGTGTCATGATAGTTTAATTACATCACCTTTCTTGGGAGTTTGCTCGATTCTAGGTTCAAGAGCATCCAATGAGATGGCAACCTATCAATTTTTCTTTCTTCACCAGCCTTCACTTATGCTATTGCTTAGTTAGGTTATATCTGCTTATTTCTAAAACATACATACAGAAAAAGAAAAAAATAGGTGCCCATCATTCTATTCAGCTTTTCTATGGCATTTAATCTTGGTTTTGAAAACCACTTTGTCTTTTTTCTCTTCCAACTTTTTTTTGTTGTTAACAAAAGGCAGTCTTTTCCTCTGGCTTATAGTCTTCTAGCTATCCTCCCTCCTTAAATAGTGGTTGTCTCACCTTTGTCTCCACTCTCATTTCTCTTGTGGTTTCTATATTGCAACCCCCAAACTGATTGCTTCTGCTTGATTTCTCTCCTCTTCCTCTTAGCTGGATTTTCACCTGCTTTCTTGATAAATCCATTAAGGTGTCCCAGAGGCAACCTGAATTCAACATGTGCAAGAACAAATTTCCTGTCTTTCCTCCTCAAGGCCAAGCCACCCTTGCTCCCCACAAGTAAGAACCCCATGGAGATCTGTGACTCTGTCCTCCTTCACCTTCCCTTCAGGTAGGCAGGAAGACTGTTCACTTTACTTTCCAAGTATCTGCCCAAGTGTTCTCCCTTCCTGTGATACCAGTCCCACGCAGGCCCTTTTGTCTCAACAGCTTCCTCACTGGCCTCTTTTCCTGACTCATCTCTATCCAGTTCACTTCCTAGACTACTGCTTGTGTGGTCTTTCTGAAGCATGGGCCTAATTTGTACTATTTCTTAGCTTTACAATGTCCGGTTTCCTATTGACTTTCAGTTACTGCTGGTCATTGTCAGCACTGGTTAGAAGACTAGTTCACAAACTAGTCCCAACTTCCTCTTCTGGCAGACTCTCCTTCCTACTGCCCTTTCTTCCACCTTCTCCATCTCTCCCCCAAGCCTCATTTTCTGGCCCCATTCATCATTTCTTCTACATACCACCCACTTTTCAGGCTTCCCCAGTTTGCCTACACTGTTGCCTCTGATAGAAAAGCTTTTCTTAACATTGCCTCTTCTTCCTGGAAGCCTTTGCTGACCCAGGCAGAACCACTCGCTGCATCTTGTGTGTTCCTCTAGCACTTTGGACACACCTCTCTCCTAGCACTGATCACTTTGTGCTATAGTTATTTGCTTAGGAAGCTGGCTTCTGACTGGTTTCTTAAGGGCAAGGACAATGCTTTGTGAACTTTATACATCTGGTGCCTGCGATATGTAGGCAATCAACATTTGTTCTTTGAATGAAAAACTGAACAGATGCATACTCCATCTGCAAATGCTCAGCATCTGGATGTGTTGGGGATTGGGGACAGAGATTGTCCCTTTTTCCACTTGAGCCTTGGTCTATTCTACCTCATGAGGAAAATAAGTAGATTGGATGAGATCCATGTGGTTGTGGAGTGGGTTGATCCGCTTGCTTCTATCTCTTGCTCAGCTGCACCTTTCCTTTAGCTTTCTTCTTAGTATTTCGCCATTCGGTCTCTAAAGCTCTGCTTGTTTTGGAAGATATGAGAATTATTTTTTCTGGTCCAATTTGAAAGTCCTGCTGTTTTTTCTGCCTGCACCCCACTCCTCCTTTTTCTCAGCATCATAATCCAGGTCTTCCCTTCATTGTGTTTGTTTTTTATGCTTCAACCTCCATGGCTGGCCTTCCAACTCCAAGTCTCATTCCAAGGCCACATTCTCCAGAGCTACCAGGCAAATCTGTCCCAACCTTTGCTTTAAACAAAAATGGGTTCCTTTTGCCTATGAAATACAGGCATTACATGTAAGACTTTTCACTAGACAACCCCTTCAGTTGTCCTGCCTCTGTCTCCCTGTCTCCTCCCTCCAACTCTTCTCTCTCTTCCTCTGACTATTCCTCTCCCGCTCCCTCTAACTTTCTCCGTTTCCCCTCCCTCTTCCCCCCACCACACACATGCACAGAGTTTTCTAATCCTATTTTTACAAATATGGTTTCCTTTCTTCAGATAGATAATTTACCAATTCCTACCACAGAAATTCATCTTATAGATATCTTTCATTCTGTAGGTTGGAACCCATGAATGGGTCATAAAATTGGCTTAATGGGTCATTAAGCGAGTGAGTCACCCAGGCTGGAGTGCAGTGGTGCGATCTCGGCTCATTGCAACCTCCGCCTCGGGTTCAAGCAATTATCCTGCCTCAGCCTTCCAAGTAGTGGGGATTACAGGCGCCCGCCACCACGCCCAGATAAGTTTTTGTATTTTTAGTAGAGATGGGGTTTCACTATGTTGGGCAGGCTGGTCTCAAACTCCTGACCTCAGGTGAGCCACCCACCTCGGCCTCCCAAAGTGCTGGGATTACAGGCATGAGCCACTGCGCCCAGCCAACTTGTGTTTTTTTTTTAAAGTGAAATTATAATAGAAGATAACAGAAAATGTGCATTGTAGTATGGCTAAATTATTGCTTTGTGAAATGTTTACTTAGTGGTATATGCCTGCTGGATAATAATCTAAAATGTCTTAGTATGGTTTGCAGTTAAATAATTTTGAAAGTTACTGACATACAGTAATACAAAACCATTAATTTCTTCAATATTTAACTAAAAGCTTACTTCCTTCATGAACCCTTTTGTGACAAGATAATAGGCTGTACATATCCCTGTTTTCTAAGCTTTTCTGTTACCTTGCTTTTTACCAAATTTTAAACAATTTTATGGCTCAAACTTTGCTTTTCTCCTTCTGTACTATGTCACCTCTGCATTTTAAATGAAAAGTTGTTACTCTGTGACCTTGTATGTATCTGCATATTTTGTAATTCTCCCATAGTTACTGTGTGAGGCTTCTAAAACTCCCAAATTAGATTGCAGACTTTTGGGGGGCTTTTAGTGACTTGTGGGCACCAAGTCAGATAATAGATATTAGGAACTTGGTACATACTGTTATTGGCTGGCAAGGAAGAATAATCCATAGAACTTCCACTGGTTTGGAAGCTCCTGAACTTGAATATCAGATGGAGTCCAGGGTATCATAGGCTATATTGTGTAATGTGGGCCATTGATCCATTGCACTCAAAATTCTTAATCTTAACTGTTTTCTACCTCATTTGCATCAATTTACCTTCCTTTATAAATAGAAGAACTTAGCCGAAAATGATGTATCTGTGAATCTGTATACTTTCTGTTCAAGACTAAGTAACTTCTTAATGTTTTCTGGGCTCTCACTTTATAGAGTATTGCTGTCCAATAGCGCTTTCTGAGATGATAGACATGTTCTATATTCTGCAGTGTCCAGTATGGTAGCCATTAGCCACATGTGGCTTTTGAGCTCTGAAAACAGGCTAGTGCAACTGAGGAACTAAATTTTTAGTTTAAATTAAATCTAAATAGCCACATGTGGTTGGTGGCCACTGTATTGGACGGCACAGTGTTGGAAGCTTGAAAACACATCAATTTGTATTTGTTTTTCTCCTATTTTCTAGCTGTCAGGACTCCCCACCCCTTGCAGTGTTGTTCTTTCTCTTTGTTCTAGTTATTCCTTAATTCTTCCACGGGACACCTGTTAGCATTCCATGCTCCACCCTTAAGAATATCTTCTGACCTGTATCCAAGAGCCTGTCTTAGAAGACATTGCAGAAACTAAGAGAGGAGATTTCATTTTTATATTTTTTAAATCCTTGGTGCCTAAATAACTTGTCATTCCTGTTTTCTTTCTGACAGCATAAATGCAGTTTATGTAGAGAAACTGAGCTTTTTTAAAAAGGGAAACATACAGGTGAATCTTTTCTACCAGTATTATAGCCCCAAATTATTTAAACCATTGAAACTAATAAGAAGTGCTCAGCTTGCTATCTTGGAACTACAGAAATTGTTTTATATTCAGAATTAATCATACAAAATAATTATACTCAGTATAAGGATGAGGTTAAAAATGTAGATCTCACAAATTTAGGTTTCATGCAGGTTTCATTTTAGTTCAATTACTATTGCTTGTAAAAAGTGATACCAGAAATAATAGTAAATGTTAATTTTATATGTTACTTTTATATGAACATATGTATTTTGTCCTCTGTGATATTTGGTATACAATAAGATGGAAGGTGGTGTTTTCAACTACTTGGAAGAGAGGCTAGGCTAATATCTAGTGTTATATATTATATGATACTTGCTTATTAAATAAATCTTGTATTTTTTTCTCCTGGTAGAGCAAGATACACTTATCCTAGGATCCATGCGCTTTGACAATTTGTGGATAACCTAAATTTGCTAGCAAAATTTTGTTTTTATGTGAATATGTTTTTATATGTATATTTGGAGAGAAGTATAGGATTTACAACGGGATCTGCGACTCTTAAAGGTTAAAAGTCACTTGTTAGGTTGAGAGATTCTTGACTGTAGGAGCTAGGTTTATCACTGTACCCTCACCCCCATTTGTGGTGTAATGTCATAACAGAGTAATTACTCGAGAAATGCTTTTGAAATGGAATTGGAAACCATTTCTTTCACAGGTGACAACACACTGCCTTTCTTTTTAAGCAGAAGGAATCTATGAAGACCTTTATTGTTTCATGCTTCTGATGTTAGGTTTCCATTATTGCTACAAGATAGGGTGATATGGAACATTTAATCTTAGAGCAAATAGCTGTGGGATTTGGGGGATCTGGAGAAGTTATTTTTCCCATTTCTATCACTTGTTTTCAGATATCCTGTTTCAAAGCTGACTCCATGGCAGACCCTAGCACCATCTTGTTTGTTTTAACCTTACTTGCATACCATTGATCCTTCCTTTCCATCTTTATTCATAAACATTGTTATAGAAGTTAAACCAAACCTTGGGCTGCTTAATGGTGGTCTCCCTGCTACCACTTATACTCCAACTAAGAAAGAGGCAAAAGATGCAGAATGCCAGGAGATGGAGAATACTTTGGCAACCATGTAGTGAGGGAATTTTTTTTTTTTTTTTTTGGTCCTTGTATGTGTGTGCCTTGCCTTATATGTGCCTCTTAGCCTGCTGACACACACACACACACACACAACTGGAGCTGTAGGTTGGCTCTGGGTCAGTCGCTGAATTACTATTTAAAAAAATAGCAAATTACCCAGAGAATGAAATGCAAGTTCTTGGGCAGGGAAGAAAGGTAGCAACAATGATTCAGCTGCTAAAGTTGGCAATGGGTCAGTGTCAGGGAAAGTGATTCCTACTATGGCTATTTTACTAAGTTCTTTAAGTCTTTTTTAAGACGAAGGTAGAGTATGAGGACATAAGGATTAACGTAGTTTTTCTGCAGTCCTGCATTCAGGTACAGTTAACAGTGGTCTATTCTTTTCTTTGCTCTTTTGCAGTTCTTCAAGAGTTTGAGTCATGAAGTGTGAAGCCTAGAGATGGTGTGATACACAGAGATGAAACTGGTTTTCACAGGTGATAGATGGAAGGCTGTTTTCAAAAGATCAAGGTAGCAGTGAAGGGTACTACTCTTGTACACTTACATATGATGAATAGGAAAACCTAGGGTTAGGAACCAGAGAATGCTGTACTTGGTTGAACATGTTTGCGTCCCCTCTGTAATATCCGAGTCATATGGGTTGGTATATAGTCCATTCTGTAAAGTCACTATGAACACATAATTTGTATAACATATGCATATACTCAGGCCAGAGGACACTTGATATAGCAGTTACCTTTTCCTGTGTAAGAAATTATCCCCCAAATTGAATAGCTTAAAAAAAGTTTTATCCCAGTTTTTTTGAGTTAGGAATTCAGGAGTAGCTTAGCTGGTTGGGTGGCTCTGGGTAATTCAGGAAGGTGCAGCCAGGACAGCAGTCCTCTGATGGTTTGACTGGGGCTGCAGGATCCACTTCCAAGACAGTTCCTTTATGTTGCTGGCACATTGGTGTGGGCTGTTGTCAGGAAGCCTCAGTTCCTCACCATGTGGACCTGTCCATTGGGCTGCTGAGTGTCCTTGTGTTGTCCTCATCAATGAGAGAAAATGCAAAGAGGAAGCCACAATGCCTCTTACAGTTGAGCCTCAGAAATCACACACCAGTATTTATGTTGTGTTTTGTTTTTCAAAAGTAAGCCACTAAGTACAGCCTGCACTCAAGGGGAGGGTACTACCTCTTGAAAAGAGGAGTACCAAGGAATTTGTCTGCCTATTATAAGATCACCGCGCCTGGGCAGCTGAGAGTCCCTCCTTGGCCTCGTATCTCTCCGTGTACTTTGATCCCTTCTGTCTTCTACTTCTGGATTCTTTCTGTGTCTAGGGTACATACTGAAGAGGCTGCTTCATCCTTTGAGGTCCTGTGCTTTTATGGAAGGAGCTTTAGGCTCATTAGAGGTTTCTGAGTGATACCTCTACAAGACAAGCCTTTCTTTTGCTAATATTGATCACTCCTTACAGCATAATTTCCAAGTCACTCTCTTGACTTCGATCAATCAGAGAATTCCTTAGGACCGCTTGAGGCAGATATGAAAAGAAGAGAGTGAGGCTGATGAGGAAAGAAAAAACCAAAAAGTCCTGCTTGTACCCTGACCTGCCATTTGGATTCTTCAAGAACATAGTTTTTGACTTAGTACCAGGAAGGACATGGGAGTTGTTCCAAATTAGAACGGGGTGCATTGTGAGCAAATAGGTCCCCTCAGAACTCATTATGCTGGATGAGCTGTGCAAAGAGAGCTGACAAATTCAACCACAGATTTTTACTGAATGCCTACCCTATCAGTTGGGAAGGGTGATGACAACCCATGACATAAAGCACAAAAGTGTATTTCTTACTCGTGCTTTATATCCATTGTGAGTAGACTGAGGCTCTACCTGGCAGTGTCCTCACTCTGGGATAGGCTGACAGAGCAGCCCCCATTTGGAGCAAGCAGTCACTGAAGCAGAGCTAGGTAAGAGTGTTCTGGAGGATCTCACACCCACAATTTAGTGCTTTAGCCTGGAAAGGACACACCCTGCCTTTTCTCACACTCACTGGTCAGACTTTGTCACCTGGCCCTGTCCAACTGCAAGGAGCTAGAGAGCACAATATTATTGTATGCCTAGAAGGTGGAGAGCCCAAAAGAGTTTACTTGGCACTATTGGCTTTCATACCTGCTATGTGCCAGGCCCCTCTTCTAGCCTCTGGGGATTCATCAGGGAGCAAAACAGACCCTGCCTTCATGAAACTTATGTTCTAATGGGGGAGGGAGACAATAAGCCAGCAAGTAAAATGTGCAGTGTGTTAGGTGCTAGGTACGGCGGAGGAGAATATAGCAGGAGCAGGTGAAGAATGGGTTCTGTGTTGCAAACATGTTTAATGCAGGCCAGCGTAGGTGGTTAGGATGCCCTCCTCCCGGTTGAAAGTGCTCCGACACAGGTCTGCTTTCTCGGATCTTGATTGTGCTGAATACTCAGCTGCTGTCAGGCCTTTTGCACTGTGAACCACACCATACTTTTAGGCTGTTCATAAATCCCTTTCTTCTTCTTTGAACTTTTATTTCTAACTTAAGTACCATTGTTGTTTAAATTTTTGTTATGAGATATTGTGACTACATAAGACCGAACTGTAAGAAACCTTAGAAGGTTTTTAGTCAATTACTTCCCTCTTTTAGAACAGTTATTGAAGTCTTAAATTATTGATACCTTCATTGCCATTTTCCTATAGATCTTTTTTTTTGCTTAATTAGCTACCGTGATGAAGAGTGCTTTATTATCAAGCAAAAAAGGCCATCACTTAAATGCATTTGTGTGATTTATGTAACAGTCATTCCTAAGATTTCAAAAGTAATTTTTTAGAGTTGAATTTCCTGCTTTTTCCTATATTCTCATTCATTGTGAAAATGGGGAAATGGCACATAGTTCTCATTTTTAGTGAAATATCATTTATGTAACATAAAGTGTAAAATTATGTTACACTTCCTTCCTTAGAGGACACCCAGTTGTTTAGTCGCATCTTTCTTCGGTTGTGGGGGCAGCAGTCATTCTTGTTTCCTTGACCTCTGTATTTCCTGGGGCAGGAATTTTTGGGAGAAAAAGAGGAGATGAGTAACACTGGTTTGCCTTAATCACAAAGGGGTAGAAATAGGTGGTAGAGAATGACTGGGGCCCTTCTTGACCTTGCTCCAAGGAGTTTTTAGAAATAGCCAGACCTCCTCTCTTTTCACATATATAGAGGCATTTCGACTTTGTTTCAGTCTTCTCTTCACTCCCCCTCAACAGCATATCTCTCAACGCCCTGGGGTAGTTGTCATCTAATAATGTCAAGTATAAGTAGATGTTTATTCCTGTGACACGTATACCGGATGTTAAATATGTCAAACCTTTTGCTCAGTGTTGGGGGCTGCACACAAGACACCGGGATTCAGAGCAGGCAGCGACCTATTAAGGAAGAATGGGATTATGTTTTCCCATGGCAAATGCTAAAACAGAAGACTCAGCTAAGCATTTTTGTACATGTTTTTTTTTCTGCCAAGCAGGATGTTATTTTCCATCACTCTTGTTTTTTTTTTTTTTTTCATCCTGCTTTTTGTAGGTGACATTTATTGAGGAATACTTCCTCTCCAAGACATGCTGCTGTTGAAGTTTGTTGTGAATGATTTTTAGGTTTCTTAGTAGTACTATGTTTAGGGCTATACCGGGGAATTAATCCATATCCTTTGTCTTGGGAATGTTGGGAGGTAGTGAGAAGTCATCAAGAGGCATAACTGCCTGAGGGCTGCTAGGCCTGTGGGAGGAACTGAGTGTGGATGTGGGTGGGTGGCTGCTGGAGGACTCATCAGTTGTGCCCTGCATAAAGTTGAAACCCTAAATAAAGTCGAAAGGCCATCTCATCACATGAGGAAAGCATTAGAGGCTGATGTAAACTCTTAAAAGAGACAGCAGAGGCTGGTGGAAGGCAGCAGAGAACATGTTGTGAGGCAGGAAAGATTAGGAAGTTGCTGTATGTCTTGGCTCAGAACATTGGCTGATGATTGATCTTGAGGAACACAGTGAAAACGTGCTGTCTCTTAAATTTAAATTATGTTTGCTGTGGAGACTCCTCAAGCAATTCCTCCTTGTGGAATGCACAGGTCCACATGGAAAATGCTGTATTTTCTACCTTAATATTCTCATTAACCATCATCTCCCAGAAAGAAGGTCCACGGAGTGCTTGTTACATCTGTGCTTGGCTCACAGAAGGCCTGCAAATGTTTGTTCCGTTTCTCCTTTCTTCTCTCCCATCCATCAGTCTTCCATAGCTTGGCTGTTTGTTTTGGAGGTGATCTTAGGAGGCTTACATAAATGTGGAGGTGGAGGAAGTAGAGAAATTCAGTGAGAACATGATTCAAAAAAGCAGAGTGGAAAAGGAAGCAGGCCCAGTGGAGCCTCTTCCACCTGTGCAACTTGGATCAGGTACAGTCGTCGCTCAAGCTGTTGGTCTGTGGCTGGGTGACAGTGCTGGTGCTGCCTGCGGGAATATGGAATGGAAAACAGTTCCGGAATGGCTTGTGTTTGACAGCTAACTGTGGGTCTCTGATACCTTGGGCAAGTCACTTATAAGCTTCGAAAACCTCAGTTTCCTTATCTGTGAAATGGGGATGATAATACCACATCAGAGGGTTGTTTTAAAGATCAAATGAGATAATGTTCTGAAAACACTTAAGATGGTGCCTGGCCTGTTTGGGAGAAGGCTGCTAGGTTGTGACCATGGAGAAAGGAGACATTGCTCACCCACCTTGCTTGCTTTTTCTCAAACATACTGAATGCACTCTGACTTCAGGGCCTTTGATACTTGCCATTTCCTTGGCCTGGAAGCTTCCACTCCCTGTGCAGCTCACCCCCTTCCTTCCTTTGGGTCTTTGTTCAAATGCCCCCCTCTTCAGAGCAGTCTTCTCTGGTCACTAATATGATAGACTAACCCTCATTCTTTGTCGCATCTCCTGCTTTCTTCTTCTTCACAGACCTTATTACCACCTGAAGAAAGGAACTTTGTTCTGGTCACTGCTGTCTGCACAGTGGCCAAACCACACTTGGCACATAGTAGATGCTCAGTGAATTTATATAAATCAGGCACCCACAAACCTGTTCTATAAAGGGCCAGATAGTAAATATTTTAGGCTTTGTGGGCTATATGGTCTCTGTGGCAGCTGCTCAACTCTGCTATAGTAGGCAGCATGTAGACACAACATAAAGAACGAGTGTGGCTGTGGTCCAATAAAATTTTATTTGGCACACAGGCTGTGTTTGCCAATCCCTGGAATGTCAATAACAGTGAAGGTCAGGAATGTACCTTTAGTGGATATAGTGGTTTGAGCTTTGTGGGAACGGGACCTCTCAACAGTGGACTCTAAAGGTGACTGTAACCTTTAGAGAAATATGTGGAATTGGAGGAAAAAGAACCCCATAGCCCTGGTGAGGAGGTGGCCTGGCTTCTGGCAGCTGTAATGATACTCATGGTCAGGGGATCGGTGTGCTTCACCAGCCAGGCCAGTCAGATGGGTATGTCTCCTAAATCAGAGCTGTTCTTTCATTTCTTGTGAACTGATTTTTGTTAATTTTTAAACACTTACATGGCAGAGGAATTCATTGCTTAAAATCCCTGTATAAGGAGAGGAAATCGAGTTGATCTACTGTAAGTTCAGGTTGTTATATACTAGAGCCCTAGATTTATTGAAAGGATGAGCATCTGTACTCCCAGAGCGGAGTGCTGTGTTCTCAGGCAATTTCAGGCTCTCACTTAGAAGCTTCCCCTTAGCTTGTCTCTTGTTTCCAGCCTTTCGATCCACACGCCTTCATTGCAGAGCTGGTCTACCAGTGAGGTGCAGGCAGGAATGGGAAAATAGACACTTGGAGCGTGAGAGACGGAGCTGGGTCAGATGCTGACCGTACAGTTGCTCTCGCGGTTCATCTGCCCGAGTCTGTTTTCAGAGTTCATAAGATGCCAGTGTGTTCACACTTCCCGAGGCGGCCACTGGTTGGCACTCAAGCTCATTAAGTTGTTCCCTGGGGTTCTTGTGTATTGGTGTGTTTTGTTTTTGCCCTTTAGGGGGAAAGGAAACAGAATTGCTACTCTTATTGGCTAAGATTAGTTGTAATTTTATTAATAATTTTAGAATAAAATTGTTTATAGACATGGTTAAAAAAACAAAAAGGAATGTGATGCAACTCTCAAAGCTCCTGAGCGCTCCTCCAGCTGCTGCCTTGGCCTTATTTAGGCAACCCCACCCAGTCCTTGGGGGCTGCCTGGAAGACTCAAGGGACTCTTGACAAATTATTTTCTGTTTTTACTACACTGTGGCTTCTGGTGAATACTTCTTTTAGTGGAGTTGCGAACCTGTACCCAAAGGCGAAATCTTTTCCTTTCCTGATTGCATGTGAAGGTGGGAACATCTTGAGTAACTTTGTGCTCTTGTAACCTACAGGAGAGTTTTCTTCTGGCAAGCGGAGGTGTCAGGCCTGTTTGGAGCCAGATCTTGTCGTCAAGAACAAATACATGAAGGAAGTTTGAGGAATGGTTGGTCAGCTAATCAGAATTCAGAGTACAGTGTCATCAAGTTGCTCACATGCTCATAACCCCGGGTGAATAGTAGAATAGGAAGAAAAGTTCAAGTAGATTTGTTTTCTGGGGAAATCTATCAAGCTATTAATTGTGAATAGTAGCTTGCACTCTGAATGCACTCTCACTTCAGGGCCTTGATGCTTGCCGGTTTCCTGGCCTGGAAGCTTCCACTCCCTGCGCGGCTCACCAGCTTCCTTCCTTTTGGTCTTTGTTCGAATGCCACATCTTCAGAGCAGCCTTCTCTAATCACTCATATGATAGAGCAGCCCTTGTTCTCTGTCCCATCTCCTGCTTTCTTCTTCTTCACAGCCTTTTCTTCTTTCTTTTGTTTTTCTCATTGCATTTCCCATGTCCCCTCTTCCTCCTCATGTATGTGTTTCTGTCATTTTCTCCTTCCCCTTTTTCTCTAGTTCATGTTCCCTTGAGAGGTTGGCAGGTTAGACCTGGCTCGTCTCTTGGGGACTGGGAATCCAGGTGGGGAAGTTTGCCTTGGGATTCAGCCCTGGGATGGCGTGACCTGGGAAGAGAGAAGCTGGGGTGTCAGTGCTATTACCCAAAGTTTTAAAGCAAGCCCTAAGTTCCTGCGTGCCTCCCACAGAGGTGGGGCGGGCATTTGGAAGTGCTTTGGGCAGGTTGGTGGCACAGGCCTGGCACTGGGTCAGAGTCCAGTCCTCCACAGGCTGCGTTTCAGTGGCAGGAGTTATCAGTGCAGGACGCTGGGCACAGGGTGGCCCCCAGACCTGGAGTTCTGGGGACACAGGGCAGGGAGACTAGTAATGGAGAGGCAGAGACTCAGCCCAGGGAAACAGGAGGATAGCAGGGCAGAAACCCAGTCAGATAGAATTCAGGGGTAAGACGGATCTATGCTGTGCCAGGGGGCTGCTGGTTTAAGGTCTTGGAATTTTAAAATTTTTTTCTCGTGGATTATACTTATAATTATTTATTAATAGATATTTATTACAATTGCATATTATGTATTGTTTTGGCTAAGAGAGAGATGATTGGTCTTTGGTTCTACAGTGGGACACAGCTTCGAGTGGAAGGGGGAGAGGGCACAGCTCTGGGGAACTCAGGAGCTAAGCAGGGCATTGCATTTTCTGAACATCTCTTATTTGGCCACTTTCTTCTCTTTTCCTCTTCCTCTCTCTCTTCTTTATCCCTCAGTCATTTCCTTCTCTTTCTTTACCATTCCCTTCATGTTTTCTGGTTATTTTTTTCCCTTTAAGAAGAAATAAAGCTGATAAGATAGCTCAAATGGCCCAGTGCCCCTCCATCCCCCAGAGACATCTCACCCTCTTACCATTTGCCAGTTGCTCAGCGGTTATCTTTCTGTGTCTTTCTGAATGATTTCCATTTTAACCACGTGGGGCCCCTGGGCTGCTGATAATTCGTGACTCATGTTTCTTAAGAATGCTTTTCTTAAGAACATTTATTTTGCCTCTTGGGTCAGAGCTATCCACTGTAGAGTTCCTCAAACAGCTCGTTTTCCCTCTTAATATGAAGTCATGAAATGAATATTAATTTTTAGCATTTGTCCAGTTAAAGAGCTTAAACGTTATTTTATAAGAAGTATGTATTAGTTCTTGCACTGCTATAAAGCAATACCTGAGTGAGTAATTTATAAGGAAAAGAGGTTTAATTGGCTCATAGTTGTGCAGGCTGTACAGGAAACATGGCAGCTTCTGCTTCTGGTGAGGCCTCAGGAAACTTATGACCATGATGAAAGGTGAAGGGAAAGCAATGCATGTCTTACATGGCAGGAACAGGAGCAAAGGGATGCTACATACTTTTAAAACAACCAGATCTCAGGATAACTCACTCACTGTCACCAGAACAGCACCTAGTGAATGGCACTAACCCATTCATGAAGGATCTACCCCCATGACCAATCACCTCCCACCAGGCTCCTCCTCCAACATTGGGGATTACACTTCAACATGAGATTTGAGTGGGGATACAGACTCAAACAATATCAAAGAGTTTATTTTAAAGCTTTTTCCAGAAACTTGTATAAAGTTTATTTTTGGCTTCGATGCATGTTATTGAACAGGTCAACAATTGATTGTTTTCCTTTATAGTTCTGAAAAAATGTACTAGGCTAAGAAAGCATAGGGAAGGGGGAAGAGAATAAGCAGTTGAGAGCCTTTTTGGTGTCAGGTATGATCCCAGGAGCTGTGTATTGATCATTAATTGACCAAGATCCTGTGAGTAGGATATAATTATCCTTATTTTATAGATGAAATTAAAACTTGTTCACCTTAAATTTATACGGCTGATAAGTGGCTGGATGAAGTCCCAGCTGTGGGCTTGCCTCAAACCACTGCCTTCCTCCTCACCACTGTTTTCTGATCCTTTTGGGTGGTGTAATGTGATGAGCTGCACGATGCCTTCAGCATCTGGTCCATAGGAAGCAGTTGCTGCCTAAAGAAGGGTAGATGTTTAGGATCTTAAAGGCCCACATTATGATGTATGGTGCCCATGGAGTGGGAGAGACTGCTCTTTCTCTCTTACCTCTTAGAACGTGGTGGATGGATTTGAAAAGCCCCCAATCAGAAGGAAAATAATTATAGCATGTGTTTAGATACCGCTAATTATCAATTAATCGATCATCGATTAATGATCAATATACAGCTCCGTACTGCTCTGTGCTCCATCCTGGACTGGCTTCTGGGTACCTGAGAGGACTGTAACCTATGTGAGTAAATGCAATTGAAGGCATTAAGCAATACCAGCATTGCCCAGCTAACAAGGTAAGGAAAATAATTTATTAGGTGTTGGACCACAGCTCTGCTCAAAGCTGTAGAATTGCTTGTACCTGACTCTGTCCCGACTTTTGCCATGTTGTCTTAATGGTTGTGGTTTTGTGTCTGTGGACTTGGATGGAAGTGTCCCAAGGAAGATGACTGTATCTTTTCTGTTTTCTAGCTTTAACCTTTAGCGCAATGTCTAGTCCATAGTAGACATTTGGGTAAACAAATTTTTTTAAAGCAATTCTGGGTTGATAGAGTATGTGGGAGTAGAAAACCAGAGGAAATCATACACTTGATTGTAACAGTGATGAATACTGCGGGACTGCAGGAAGCACAGCACATAGGCAGTAGGTTGTGGGTGTAGAAATTTGGGTTCTGGTCTGCGTTCGTGCACCAGTCATCTTTCTAAATCTGGGCAGTTCATTTGACTTGTCTGGGCCTCCATCTTCCAGTAAAACCAGGAAATTAGACTACAGATGATTTTTAGGTCCTTTCCACTGCTTAATGTTTTGTGATTCTGTAATTCTATCTTAAAAATTGCCGCCATAGAAACCCTAGAAACTACTTGGGTAGCCAGCCAATTAGGATTGAACTGGATCATTTGGATTGGTTGACACCAGGTTCTAAGAATCCTGTCTTTGTGGAGTCTTCTCAGACTGGGGATGTAAGAGGAGGTTAAGGTTGACTTTCCAAAGCTTTGGGCACCTTGCCACAGTGAGCCTTTCTGGAACACAGTCGAACAGAGGAAGAAATGTGGGCTTTGTAGTTGGGCATCTTGGGCTTGATTTCTCATAGTACCTCCTAATGAGCTGAGAGCTGTGAAGGATTTATCTTTCTGAATCCTTTTCCTCTTTGGTAAAATGGGAATACTACTGCCTAGTAGGGAGTCTACTTTCTCTCCCAAAGCTGGAAGCAGGCATATAATGTCAGGTTTTGTGGCATCGTGTGGGAATGTTCCCCTCTGACTTTAAATGGAAGGAAGATGATGGGTGAGCAGTATATTCTCTTCCTGCTTGTTAAGCATGGTCAGACTCTTTAGTTATGTTGCTGATGGGGACTTGATGGTATCAGGGCAATTTAATGACTTCAGATAGGTAAACAACTTCAGGCATAGATCAAACACCTAAATAAAGGTCAAGGAAACATCTAGAATATTAAAGTGACAGGAAAACAGGTGATGTATATGCAAAATCAAATTAGTATTTTCCGTGTTCTCCCAGTGTCATTGTTCCTAAAGTAAACTTTGAGAAATGATTCATAATTTGAAAACTATGCACAAAGTGTGCCATGTTTTAAAAAACTATAAAATGATACTAGCTTTATTTTTTTTTTTAACATCTTTAGACTGTTGACTTTATTGCTTAATCACAGTCAGTTGCAATTAAATGCCTACAGTGTCGTGCTCTGTCCTTGGGGCTGTGATGAAATTGTATTGCTGGTGGTGGATGTGTGCATGCGCATGGTGTGTGTGTGTGTGTGTGTGTGTGTGTGTGTGTATGTATGTGTGTGTAGAGAAAAGGAATTGACTTTCTTGAAGTTGACAGTCACGAGATAGCAGTATCAAAGTGCTAATATACATATTTCTCTTGGAAGGGAACAGAGAAAATCAATTCTCTTAAGAAATGAAACTAGTGCTACAGCTCTGTTTATGTGAATGCCACTGTAGTTTGATCTAATACTGTATTTTGGGATGTTTCTGAAACACTTCTTATATTTCTATTGAAGTTTGTGATTCAGAGAATTAATTATAAAACCAAAGATGGAAAATGATATTGGTATCTAGTACATCTTCTAGTTTAAACACATTCTATTGATGCATTCTTTCTTAAAAAATATGGACATTCATTGAGAAAGTGAATTGCAGTGAACAGTTAAATAGTTTGGGTAAATTGATGTTGCTCAGCAAATTATTTGCTTACCAAACCTTTGGTGGCATGAACAATTTTTGCTGAGATTCTATCTGTGCTCTTCCTCTGTCCCGCTTCCTGTTCTCAAAAGCTTTTAGGATGACCTACAACCTAGGTCATCTCAGCAAGGTGACGCACTCAAAAATAGGTGAAGAGAGACAAAAAGGAAAGTGAGTGTAGGGCGGGGGTTCTCAATAATGGCATTGCTGATGCTTTGAGCTGGATAATACTTTGTTGTGGGAAGCTGTCCCGTGCATTGCAGGAAATTCAGTTAGCCTCCCTGGCCTGTAGCCAACCCAAGTTGTGACAACCAAAAATGGGTTCAGATACTGCCCCATGTCTTCTGAAGGGTGAGGGGGTGGAGGGAAAATCACTATGAGTTCAGAACTGCTGGTTTAGAGGGTAAGGTGAAATCTGGACCAAGGTTAGCACAGCAGATGGACCCGTGAAGTCTCAGTTGGACATAGGACATGCTATGCTTGTTGGTGATAGGGTGTGGGCTTTGCCAGGGGATTTCTAGGGACTGAAGTAGAGAAACATGACTAGGTATGTGGGTTATGGTGTTCCCAGGATAAAAATAGTCTTAATGCAAGGAACTGAAAGGATTTTCTCTAGATGTTCCTCTCCTCAACTCCAATGAAGTTCCCAGTGGGCAGGGATTTCTGTCAGTTTCGTTCCTTGCCCTTTTGCCAACTGCTGTGTCCAGAGCAATACCTGGCACACAGCCGCTTAATAAATGTCTATAAAAAGAGATGAGTCTTCATAAGGAAGGATGCTATGCAATATAGGCCCTTCTTTACTTGTTTATAAGAACAGAGCAGCAGGATTTATAGGACCCCTTCCTTCCTTCTTTCCTTCCTTCTTTCCTTCCTCCCTTCCTTCCTCCCTCCCTCCCTCCCTCTCTCCCTCACTCCCTCCTTCCTTCCTTCTCTTCCTTCTCTTCCTTTTCTTCCTTTTCTTCTTCTTAGATGGAGTCTCACTCTGTCGCCAGGCTGGAGTGCAGTGGTGCGATCTCGGCTCACTGCAACCACTGCCTCTCGGGTTCAAGCAGTTCTCCTGCCTCAGCCTCCCAAGTAGTTGAGGACTACAGGCGTGCGCAACCACACCCAGCTAATTTTTGTATTTTTAGTAGAGACAGGGTTTCACCATGTTGGCCAAGATGGTCTCGATCTCTTGACCTCATGATCCACCTGCCTCGGCCTCCCAAAGTGCTGGGATTACAGGTGTAAGCCACCATGCCTGGCTGGGACCATTTCTTACAGTATCATTAAATGGAAGAATGCATTCTGGGTGGTATAATCCAACATGACTGTCAGCAAAATCAATTAATAGGTCCCAGGATGGTGTGGTCTAGGACTGTAGAGGTCTTGGTGGTCTGACTCAATCTATAGTTAGATTTTAAGATGCTAGGGAAGGGGCCTTGCATATTCTTCAGGCACTGCAGAGAATAATAAATGTTTTTCTATTCTTTGAGTGGTATAGAACAGAGATAAGAGTGCCTGAGAGGTGTCACTCAGGAGGGCCAGTTAAATAGAGCTGCTGCAGGTTGTAGCAGACATCAGGCCAAGGTAAGGGGAGGGAGACTTGAGCTGAGCCTAGGGCGATAGTGACATTTATCAGTATCACTTGTTACTGAGTGTGTCTGTGTGCCAGCTCTTTTCATGCATCATCTCTCTGCATCCTAACTGCATCTCTGAGGTCCAGTCTGAGAGAGAGGTAGCTTGCCCAGGACATGACATTGGGATTCTGTTCCTGGCAATTCCCACTGGGGCTAGGTCCCTCACCACTGTACTGCTCCGTTCATGCCAAAAACATAGCTACAGATGCCCGTAGCATAGGCGATCACACCCTAGAATTCTGTGCTCTGGAATACAGGTATGAGCATTACAGCCTGAAATAATGTAAAATCAGTTTAAATCAAATTCTCACTTGAGCCATAAAAACAAAACACAAACCAAAACCTTGGTATGATTGTAAAGAGTTTAATTTCCTTGTGAACCATTGATGATGATGTACACTCACAGAGATGTTTGCCTAGACAACGAAGTGACTTACTACAGGACAATGATATTAATAGTCATAGCTGTCATTCATGGTGCACTTCCTTTGTGCCAAGCACTGTCTTAGGTGCTTTACATATATGTACTGTCTTCATCCTTACTGCCACCCCAGTAGATAGATATTTATTGTTACTAACATCTCATGGTTGAGGAAACAGGTGCAGAAATAGTTAAATATCTTAATTAGGATAGTAAGTGTCAGCTCTCATCTGGGCTTGTAACCACTGTGGAATTAGTATGAAACGAATAATGAGTGTTTTAACTGTAGAAGCCTGTTCTATCAAATTTTAAAATATTGATTATAGGCTTCGGTTTAAAAGTAGATAAAATCCAATTTTGAAATAAAGTCATTTCAGGTTGCCAATTTGATTCTTTATTGGGTGGCAGGGATGAGAGAGAGAGAGCAGTTAATTAGGATTACAAGCATAGTCTCTGCAGTTTTATAATCTATTTTCATATCTTTGGTTTCTTAAGATATTTAATATCAAGAAACAGAATAACTGAACAATGTCTTCATAATCTATGTTATGAATCAGTCTCTTCTCTTTTTTTAAGCATAAAAAGGACTTTACTGGTGAGCCTCTCATTATGTATGCAGATGACATTGGTGATCCCTTTGAACTAATGAACTTTGGCCTTAGGGCATGTGCATACTGGATGAGTCTTTAAAATGCATGTGCTGAGGGAGGAGCCAAGATGGCCGAATAGGAACAGCTCAGGTCTACAGCTCCCAGCGTGAGCGACGCAGGAAACGGTGATTTCTGCATTTCCATCTGAGGTACCGGGTTCATCTCACTAGGGAGTGCCAGACAGTGGGCGCAGGTCAGTGGGTGCGTGCACCGTGTGCGAGCCGAAGCAGGGCGAGGCACTGCCTCACTTGGGAAGCGCAAGGGGTCAGGGAGTTCCCTTTCTGAGTCAAAGAAAGGGGTGACGGACGCACCTTGAAAATCGGGTCACTCCCACCCGAATACTGCGCTTTTCCGACCGGCTTAAAAAACGGCGCACCAGGAGATTATATCCCGCACCTGGCTCTGAGGGTCCTACGCCCACGGAGTCTCCCTGATTGCTAGCACAGCAGTCTGAGATCAAACTGCAAGGCGGTAGCGAGGCTGGGGGAGGGGCACCCGCCATTGCCCAGGCTTGCTTAGGTAAACAAAGCAGAGGGGAAGCTCGAACTGGGTGGAGCCCACCACAGCTCAAGGAGGCCTGCCTGCCTCTGTAGGCTCCACCTCTGGGGGCAGGGCACAGACAAACAAAAAGACAGCAGTAACCTCTGCAGACTTAAATGTCTCTGTCTGACAGCTTTGAAGAGAGCAGTGGTTCTCCCAGCATGCAGCTGGAGATCTGAGAACAGGCAGACTGCCTTCTCAAGTGGGTCCCTGACCCCTGACCCCCAAGCAGCCTAACTGGGAGGCACCCCCCAGCAGGGGCACACTGACATCTCACACGGCAGGGTATTCGAACAGACCTGCAGCTGAGGGTCCTGTCTGTTGGAAGGAAAACTAACAAACAGAAAGGACATCCACACCCAAAACCCATCTGTACATCACCATCATCAAAGACCAAAAGTAGATAAAACCACAAAGATGGGGAAAAAACAGAACAGAAAAACTGGAAACTCTAAAAAGCAGAGCGCCTCTCCTCCTCCAAAGGAATGCAGTTCCTCACCAGCAACGGAACAAAGCTGGATGGAGAATGACTTTGACGAGCTGAGAGAAGAAGGCTTCAGACAATCAAATTACTCTGAGCTACAGGAGGACATTCAAACCAAAGGCAAAGAAGTTGAAAACTGAAAAAAATTTAGAAGAATGTATAACTAGAATAACCAATACAGAGAAGTGCTTAAAGGAGCTGATGGAGCTGAAAACCAAGGCTCGAGAACTATGTGAAGAATTCAGAAGCCTCAGGAGCCGATGTGATCAACTGGAAGAAAGGGTGTCAGCGATGGAAGATGAAATGAATGAAATGAAGCGAGAAGGGAAGTTTAGAGAAAAAAGAATAAAAAGAAATGAGCAAAGCCTCCAAGAAATATGGGACTATGTGAAAAGACCAAATCTATGTCTGATTGGTGTACCTGAAAGTGATGCGGAGAATGGAACCAAGTTGGAAAACACTCTGCAGGATATTATCCAGGAGAACTTCCCCAGTCTAGCAAGGCAGGCCAACGTTCAGATTCAGGAAATACAGAGAACGCCACAAAGATACTCCTCGAGAAGAGCAACTCCAAGACACATAATTGTCAGATTCACCAAAGTTGAAATGAAGGAAAAAATGTTAAGGGCAGCCAGAGAGAAAGGTCGGGTTACCCTCAAAGGGAAGCCCATCAGACTAACAGCGGATCTCTGGGCAGAAACCCTACAAGCCAGAAGAGAGTGGGGGCCAATATTCAACATTCTTAAAGAAAAGAATTTTCAACCCAGAATTTCATATCCAGCCAAACTAAGCTTCGTAAGTGAAGGAGAAATAAAATCCTTTACAGACAAGCAAATGCTGAGAAATTTTGTCACCACTAGGCCTGCCCTAAAAGAGCTCCTGAAGGAAACACTAAACATGGAAAGGAACAACCGGTACCAGCTGCTGCAAAATCATGGCAAAATGTAAAGACCGTCAAGACTAGAAAGAAACTGCATCAACTAATGAGCAAAATAACCAGCTAACATCATAATGACAGGATCAAATTCACACATAACAATATTAACTTTAAATGTCAATGGACTAAATGCTCCAATTAAAAGACACAGACTGGCAAATTGGATAAAGAGTCCAGACCCATCAGTGGGCTGTATTCAGGAAACCCATCTCATGTGCAGAGACACACATAGGCTCAAAATAAAAGGATGGAGGAAGATCTACCAAGCAAATGGAAAACAAAAAAAGGCAGGGGTTGCAATCCTAGTCTCTGATAAAACAGACTTTAAACCAACAAAGATCAAAAGAGACAAAGAAGGCCATTACATAATGGTAAAGGGATCAATTCAACAAGAAGAGCTAACTATCCTAAATATATATGCACCCAATACAGGAGCATCCAGATTCATAAAGCAAGTCCTGAGTGACCTACAAAGAGACTTAGACTCCCACACATTAATAATGGGAGACTTTAACACCCCACTGTCAACATTAGACAGATCAACAAGACAGAAAGTCAACAAGGATACCCAGGAATTGAACTCAGCTCTGCACCAAGCGGACCTAATAGACATCTACAGAACTCTCCACCCCAAATCAACAGAATATACATTTTTTTCAGCACCACACCACACCCACACCTATTCCAAAATTGACCACATAGTTGGAAGTAAAGCTCTCCTCAGCAAATGTAAAAGAACAGAAATTATAACAAACTATCTCTCAGACCACAGTGCAATCAAACTAGAACTCAGGATTAAGAATCTCACTCAAAACTGCTCAACTACATGGAAACTGAACAACCTGCTCCTGAATGACTACTGGGTACATAACGAAATGAAGGCAGAAATAAAGATGTTCTTTGAAACCAACGAGAACAAAGACACAACATACCAGAATCTCTGGGACGCATTCAAAGCAGTGTGTAGAGGGAAACTTATAGCACTAAATGCCCAAAAGAGAAAGCAGGAAAGATCCAAAATTGACACCCTAATATCACAATTAAGAGAACTAGAAAAGCAAGAGCAAACACATTCAAAAGCTAGCAGAAGGCAAGAAATAACTAAAATCGAGCAGAACTGAAGGAAATAGAGACACAAAAAACCCTTCAAAAAATTAATGAATCCAGGAGCTGGTTTTTTGAAAGGATCAACAAAATTGATAGACCGCTAGCAAGACTAATAAAGAAAAAAAGAGAGAAGAATCAAATAGACGCAATAAAAAATGATAAAGGGGATATCACCACCGATCCCACAGAAATACAAACTACCATCAGAGAATACTACAAACACCTCGACGCAAATAAACTAGAAAATCTAGAAGAAATGGATAAATTCCTCAATGCATACACCCTCCTAAGACTAAACCAGGAAGAAGTTGAATCTCTGAATAGACCAATAACAGGCTCTGAAATTGTGGCAATAATCAATAGCTTACCAACCAAACAGAGTCCAGGACCAGATGGATTCACAGCCGAATTCTACCAGAGGTACAAGGAGGAACTGGTACCATTCCTTCTGAAACTATTCCAATCAATAGAAAAAGAGGGAATCCTCCCTAACTCATTTGATGAGGCCAGCATCATCCTGATACCAAAGCCAGGCAGAGACACAACCAAAAAAGAGAATTTTAGACCAATATCCCTGATGAACACTGACGCAAAAATCCTGAATAAAATACTGGCAAACCGAATCCAGCAGCACATCAAAAAGCTTATCCACCATGATCAAGTGGGCTTCATCCCTGGGATGCAAGGCTGGTTCAATATATGCAAATCAATAAATGTAATCCATCACATAAACAGAACCAAAGACAAAAACCACATGATTATATCAATAGATGCAGAAAAGGCCTTTGACAAAATTCAACAACCCCTCATGCTAAAAACGCTCAATAAATTAGGTACTGATGGGACGTATCTCAAAATAATAAGAGCTATCTATGACAAACCCACAGCCAATATCATACTGAATGGGCAAAAACTGGAAGAGGAGTGGAGTAGGAAAAGATTGGATTGATTTGGACAAATATATATGCTAGCAGGGATACAGTTAAAAAGTTCAATGGTTATTTAGGAATTACCTTTGGAGTTAGCTGTGTTCAAAAATTAGCATATTAGTTTGGTATATGGAACAGATTCTTTCAAATGATGTGGTTTGCCATAACCTAAGGGTCTTTTCCACACATGAAGTGTTCAGTTTTTCAAAATACTAGAGACTCACTTTAGTTTCCAGTATGTCACCTTGAATAACAATTAATATAATTTTATTCTATTTTTTCAATAATTAAAGCCCTTTATGGCATGTGTTTTCTATTTTTTTCCTGTTATATTTTAAAGTACATATCAGAGATTTGCAATTGATTTGCTCTTTCCACCAATATTTACAGGTGCTTTTTATGTAGTTTGCAGTGTTCTAGGGATACAGCAGTGGACAAAACAATATAGTGCATAATTTCATGTAACTTTAATTTTAGCAGGGGGAGAAGAGCAAGAAACAAGTACCAAAGATCTCATATGTCATGTGGTGATAGATGCTCTGAAGAAAAATAAGAACAAGGAATAAAGGTTGAGCGTGCTGTTTTACATAGGCATTTACAGAGGGCATCCCAGGAAGAGTGACATTTGAATAGAGACCCAGAGGACAGAGGGGGCACAATAGCTAATATCTGGAATGTGTCGCAGGTAGAGGAAATGATAAATGTAAGGTCCTGGGTGGGAAGAGCCTGGGGCATCCAAGGTCTGGCAAGAGACCAAGGTGGATCGAGTGGAGTGGCAGGAGCTGGGACTAGAGAGAAGGACTCCAGCTGTGGAATTGGAGCATCTGGCTTCATTTTAGAAGGGTCACTGCTGTGGTTCTGAGAGGATGGAAGCACAGAGACCTCTTGAGATGCTATTGCAAGAGAGAAAGGGGATGGCAGGGACAAGGGTGGTAGGCATAGAAATGGTGAAGTGATCTTGGGTGTATTTTGGAAGTTGAGCCTGGAGGATTTACTAGTTGGATATGGAGTGTGAAAGAGAAGTTAAGAACAACTGAAAGATTTTGTGACCTGAGTAGCTAGAGAAAACAGAATTGCCATTTACTGAAATTGGAAAAAGCTTTCTCTTTCTGCTTATATGACCACTGTTAATATTTAAAAACTATGAATTACAGAACCCATGTGCTTGGGAATAGAAGTGTCTGAAAATGAGGTCGGAGAAAATTGTCAGTTAAGAGGCTGAAAGTTCTGTTTGTGGACAGTTCTAATATGCCTTTTTATAGACAGATGGGTGGTATTACTAGGGCATATAGCCGTAGATAAAGAAATCTGTGGTGCTTATTTGCAGATGGTCGTGATGGTGATGGCGGAGACATTAACAAAAATTAGATCGAGGCTTGTAAATGATGTGCCTTCATTTTTACTTTTTAAAATTTATTCTTTTAATTGAAAAATAAAAATTCTACATATGTATATGCATCATAATGTCTTAAAATATGTATGTGTTGTGGAATGGCTAAATCAAGCTAATTAACATATGTATTACCTCACATGCTTATTTTTGGGGAGTGAGAACACTTAAATCTACTCTGTGATTTTCAAGAATACAGTACATTGCTATTAAATGTTAACTATGTGCTTTTAATTCATCTTCATTGATATGGCCAAGCCACAATGTCATCGTGGAGGATCTGTTTTTTTCTCAGCCTGATAATTTGTAAAACAGCATATAATGGGTGGGGGCAGTAAATACAGAAAATCTAGGTATAGAATTCTGGTGATTGGCATTTCTATAGAACTGACAGTTTTGGAAACTTTCTTTCAATTCTGCCTCACACTTCCCTTGGTTATATACCTTTTATCCCTTAAGATGCTAACATGTTTCCTGTGATAAACTGCTAGCAAGAGCGGGTGTACATCCCTCACTTGTAGGTGGTGTCCTGTGCCCCTGTCTGACTTCTGCATTCAATAATATTAAAGGAATCCTTCCAAATTTTCTATGGCTCTTGTTGGAGGTGGTAAGAACTAACGTAGGAAATTTTAAGCAAATCCAGTCACACAAATCAGTATTTACTATTGGTGCATGAGGTAAGGACATATTGCTGTTTCAATGCAAGATACTTTGTGGCCAGCAGCATGTAGGTGACCACGGAGTAGGACCTGGCCCTCTAGGAGTACACAGCCTGCTTAGGGAGAGGAACCACAAGTATTTGAAGCAGGGGTATCATGCCCAGGCTTAGATGCCCTTGAACATCAGTGAAAGTTTCAAGACAGCCTCTGTCTTTAGTTCAACTCCTTGTAGTATGAAGACTTTGGGAGTCTGGAAAAGTTGGAAAACATTAAAATGGAATCATTTAAAGGACGAAGTCCAAAGTGACATGTTTGATGTCTACCATAAGCTCTAGGGTGTGATGAAGTGTCTTAAAAGGGATCATGAGTATTTGACTCAGGACAAAAAATGAAAAATAAATTGCAGGGCTGCAGTGGACCGTTTTGAGAAGCTTTGACTAATTGTAGAAAGAATAGTAAAGCCACTGACAACAGAGCAAATTTGGAAAAATGATCTATTTAGAGAGAGCCTGTTGGGAGTGTGATCGGATGTGAAGAGGAAATGGGATCTTGGAGCACTGCACTATGCTTATAGGTTTTCTGCTCATACTGTGCCTGAAACATTGGCAGCCCTCACAGTTCACTGCCTCAGTTTTCCCAGATTTAAAATAATACTCCCTTCTTGTGATTTTGATTAAAAACCTTGGCTTGTGGACTAACAGCTCATGTCTATATATGTGCGATATGTGATGAATTAGGTTTTTTTTCTGTTTTCTCCTTGATTTCCTTCTCTTTCTTCCACATTTGTTTCATGTCTTTTATGGCTTTCCTATTTAGGAATTATCTTCTTTCCTCTGCTTGTTTTTCTACCCGCTGTTAATTTGTGATACAGCAGTCTTCCCCAGAGTAATTAATTGTAATTCTACAAGCTGAAAAAATTTAACATCAGGTGAAAAATAAGTAGCAGATGCTGATGAACCTTAAATGAGAAATATTTGTATTTTATGCAGCTGTCACTCATAATTAAGAGAAAATAAGTAAGTAGAATGGACCCTAACTTGTTTGATTGCTTCACAGGGTAGGCATCCATTCTTAGTGCATTTACTAGGACTATTAAATAGTAGCTGTTATGGAACATTTTGTTCAATGTCTATGGCACATTGCCACCTTGTGGCTGCAGATTTGTCTTGTGATGTAAAAGTAAATTTTTTAATGTTAAGTCTACCTGATATAATCTTATGTTACATTTTTCCTGGTATTTATACGTTACCTTGCTCACAAAAGATTTGAGACACCTTATAAGACTACATAGAATATAGGATAAGAGAACTTGAGAGAATATTCTTGTTCTTAGAACAGGCATGTTGAAGTATTGAAGTATTTGGAGGGGGGTGAAGAATCATACTGCCTGCAACCAACAGTCCCCGTGCATGTGTGAAGAGGAGAGAGAGCAAAAACGGTGTGACAAAAGGTTAACTCGCCACTGAGAATATGGGTGTTTACCGTTCCTGTAACTTTTCTGTAGTTGCAAATGTTTTTCTGAAAAGTTTCTAATTTAAAAATTGGCAGAAAAAATAATTGGGGTATGAGCACAAAATGGAGCCAAAAAGGAGGCAAAAATAACCTCTACATTCTTTAATGATCTGACTCTAGATGAACTCAGTGATTTGGTTCTGCATTTTCTAGAGGCTATATGGAAACTTCTCCTTGGAGGCCCTCCTAAATAGGACACTGATGTAATAAACAGCAGCCCTCGACAAATACCTTGTGATAAGTTCAGCTCTGCATTTGAAAGGGTGTGTTTTTTTTTTTTCCTTTTTCCCAAGTGCACTCTGGAGTCCCTTTTTCCTACTGATCTGGCTTTGATCTTGGAGTGGATGGGCTGCTAGTTCTTCAAGGGCCTCTCACTAAAATACTGACCGGCAATGAGTGTGAGATGGTACTTACAGAGAAGTGCTTGAAATCCAGGTGTTAGGTCTTACTAATGAATACAGTTATGCTTAGGGGAATCTTTTAGCAGCTAAGCCGATGAGGTCTGTTCTATCTCAACTAACTTGGGAAGGGTTGCTCATAAACAGGATCAAATTTCCTTTTGTGTAATAGTTTTATAGAACTATTATTATTAAATAAATAGAAATAAATATTTCTATTTATTTAATTATTTTTTATTTATTTTTTGAGATGGGGTCTTGCTCTGTTGCTCATGCTGGAGTGCAGTGCTGCAGTCATGGCTCACTGTAGACTTGACCTCCTGGACTCAAGAGAGTCTCCTGCCTTGGCTTCCCAAAATGCTAGGATTACTGATGTGAGCCACTGCGCTCCGCCTGTGCAATGACTTTGAATATGATGCAGTGCATGGACAGACAAAATGGATGACCTAGTCTCCAGATTTCTATTTCTTATAAATACATCCATGATAATCTTCACCTGAAAAAATTTGACAAGTATAACCAGGTGATCACCTCTTTTCCCCATGAAAACAAAACAAATCTCAGTGAAGCGGCTCTTAAAATGCCCGGCTTTGAATAATGTTACTTGACTCTTCTGTTTTTAAATTTCTACAGAGTTAACCTTTTTATGTACTTTTTTGAGGGATCTTTAATAACTAACTGGAAGTATGTAGGTGTATATGAAAATTTTTGTCCTTTGCAGCTGTCTTAGACACATATTCATATGTACTTACTTGAAGGTGAACATTTTAGATGGTATGGCTCTATTAAGTATGAGAGGCTTTCTTACAAAAACAGGCAGATCTTGAAATAAGTGTTGTGACACAAGGGATTCTTTTGTAGAATGCTGTCTCTTGAAGTGACTTTGGTTTCTCTGATTCTTGTGACAGGTTTTCTTTTAAAAAGCTATAAAGTGACGTAGGGATGTATTGATTTCCATTAAGGGCTAGGGTACTTAGAAATTTCTCTCCTGTACAACATATATTTGTGAGCAATATGTGAATTTTCTTTTGTAACCCACTAAAGAGAGTGATCTATTGCTTCTCTACAGAGCGACAATCTTCAATTTTGGGGGAGACCATGTACAGAAAGACATGTTTTATATAGTGACCTAGGATACACACACATACACGTATAACTGAATAAAACATTTCATGAAACAATCCTTTCCCTTTCTTCATTGGACTGTGATAATTTCTGTTCTATTGCATTAAAAAACACCAGTCACAATCTACCAAACTTGATTTCATGACCCACTAATGTGCTGTGACCCACAGTTTGAAAATCACTGCTGTCGAGATTTTGCAGCAAGCCAGACTCTCTTTCGGAAGGAAGATGTGACAGTGAAATTCTAAATTCTCTAACGTAGCAAAATTGAACACAGTGTTGGGAGAATGGAGTTTGAGAAGGAAAAGAAAGGAAGAAAAAGTGTGAATGATTGGTCTTTCATTCTAGGCTGTGTTGATGCCCTAGCCAGTGATGCCATTCTTCCTCTTTCTGCAGCTTGACCACATATTATCCCCTCCACCCATGCCGTTTCGGAAATGCAGCAACCCAGATGTGGCTTCTGGCCCTGGAAAATCACTGAAGTATAAAAGACAGCTGAGTGAGGATGGAAGACAGCTAAGGCGAGGGAGCCTGGGAGGAGCCCTGACTGGTGAGTCGCAGCGGCTTGGATGAGAGAAGGAATTGCATTTCTTTACAAGGTCCTGCATGGCCCCAGAGTTCCACATGTAATCAGCTTTCTTAAGAATGGGCCTGCCTCTGCAGACCATTTCATAAAAATCTTATCTAATCCAGAAAGCAGTTAAATTGAAAATTTTATTAATAAACTTTGCTGAAATATAATTTACATGCAGTGACAATATCCCCTATTTATTTATTTATTTATTTATTTATTTATTTATTTATTTATTTATTTTTTGAGACAGAGTCTCGCTCCGTTGCTAGGCTGGAGTGCAGTGGTGTGGCATGATCTCGGCTCACTGCAACCTCCGCCTCCCAGGTTCAAGCGATTCTCCTGCCTCAGCCTCCTGAGTAGCTGGGATTACAGGCACACACCACCACGCCCAGCTAATTTTTGTATTTTTATTGGAGACGGGGTTTCACCGTGTTGGCCAAGATGGTCGTGATCTCTTGACCTCGTGATCTGCCTGCCGTGGCCTCCCAAAGTGCTGGGATTACAGGTGTGAGCCACCGCACCCGGCCAATATCCCCAATTTTAAGTTTATGTTTGGATGGATTTTTGCAAATTTATACCTCAGTTTAACTACTGCCGTGATCAGGATATAAAATGTTTCCCATGCTCTTCCTAGTCAAACCCACCCTCTACTTCCACCCTCAACTCCAAATCCTTGGCCCTAGGCAGCCATAGATCTGCTCTGTTATTATAGATTAGATAGACCTTATCAAGGGGTTTACATTAATGGAAGCAGAGTATCTACTCCTTTGGTCTGGATTCTTTTGCTCAGTGTGATGTTTTTAAGATTCACCCATGTTGTTGCGTGTGTTAGTAGCGTATGTTTAACTTTATAAAATTAGGTTCTAGTGTTCTATACTACTGTAGGATAACTGTAATTAACAAATATATATAATTTCAAATAGCTAGAGGAATGATATTGAATGTTCCCAACACAAAGAAATGATAAATGTTTGAGATATGATGAATATGCTAACTACCCTGATCTGATCGCTATACATTATATGATTGGAACATCACTAGTACCTCATGAATATGTATAAATTATTCTTTGTTAATAAAAATAAAATTAGAAAAGAAACTGCTAAACGGTTTTCTAAAATTGTGCCATTTTACATTCCTGACAGGTATGGATGAACGATCCAATTGCTGTGCGTTCTTGCTAACCTGTGGTATTGCCAGTTTTAAAAATTTTAGCCATTTTCAGTGTTACATAGATGTATCACATTGTGGGTTTCATTTATGTTTCCTTGGTGACTAGATAATCTAGAACACCTTTTCAAGTGCTTATTGGACAATTATTTGTGTCTCGTGAAGTATTGGTTCAATTCTTTCACCCCTTTTTAAATTTCATTGTTAAAATTGAGAAATTTTCAAATCCAGAAAACTCACAAATTATTTTTGACTGCAAAATACCCAAATTAAGATAAGTTAAAGCCTAGCTTTTAAAAGGTAACTCACCACTTAAAATTGTATGTTATTAACTATATACCACTGAAAGCTGGATTTCTGTTATTTCATCAGAGTACTTTTTCCTCTAGATATAAATATTTTCACGGAACTTTGTTTCTTAAAATCCCCAAACAGAGTTTTCTTTCTACATGATGGTCTTGTCTACCAGTTTAAAAATGGCCTGGAAAGTAAGTTGAATTACTCATTTTTTTTTTTTTTGGAGAACTATGGATTTTGACGTTTTGAAGATGAAATTTCTGGGAACAGAAGTGCTACTGCCACATGATTAGTGGAGTCTGGGACATCTGACCCTGTGTGCCACTCTGCTGGAACAAAAGGCCAAACTACCTCAGGCCAAGGGGGAGAAATTCATCAAAAAAACTGCTGCAGTTTAAGGCAAATCTTTTCCCTTGAGTTTACTGATGCTCTTCTAATGCTTGTTAGGATATTTTTCTTTGCTTTCATTTCATAAATGCAGACTATTTGCTTTTTAAAGTAGGAGATCCCAAAGATTATTCTCTTGTAGGTAAGAAAATTAAATCTTAAAGGTTAAAAGACTCATCCTTTTATTTATTAATTTCACTTAGGAAATTTACTTACCTTGATTCAACTATTTTTGATAGATAGGAGGGGCAGTAATTATTCTATCCATTTTTGCTAAAGCAGTTTACATAAAGCTTTAAAATAATGCAAGGGTATGGCTGTTGATCAGATATATGATCTCAAACATGAAATTTGGCCTTTAGCTTTGAAAATAAATAGCCGGACTTGATTCTCTTGTCATAATTTTAACAGCTCTAGCAAGTCAATCCTTAGACAATTAGTTCGCTACACAATTACTTTTGGTAACTAAGTCTTTGGTCAGATAATTTTTTTAAATGTTTAATAGTCCTTAGAAGAGCTAAAAAAAAAATCCATCGAACGTCAGCCTGTTTTTGAAGACAGTTCCTTGAAAATTATATTAGAATATGAAAAAAACATTTTTAATTGTTCCTCTGTATGGTTTAGCTGAAGATTTAATGAAATAATATACACAAAGCAGCTAGCCCAGGCAGCTGTTAGTATTATGTGCATAACTAATTGAATTTGGGGGGATTTGGAGTTGATGGGTGGCATGGGCTCATGGAAATGAGTTTGGTACCCTTATCGACTGGCTTGCTACTTGGTGTTAGGCACTGTGTTCATGTCAGGCTAGTGTCAGATGTTGGAGCACAGAGAAGACAGCATCTTCCCTGATCTTTAAAAAATGTGTTTTCCACTAGTTTTAGGTAACCAAATAATCACATGTGATCTCATCTTGGGACATACCCTGTTGCTAAACTTAAAATAAGTCTTACTGGTTTTTCCATCAGAGGCCCATGCCTGATCTAATCTGTTACTTAACAACTGACCACCTTCTCATTGTTTTACTTTGTTTTAATCCAAGGATCTTTTCTTTGGCAGCATTCTGCTTTCCTTAAAACAAAGATTTTTAGTTTATGGTTGGACAGTTTTGCCAACCAATTATCCTTGATAAGGTTCACTAAACTTTTAGCTTTTTGAAAGGAAGATCTGTGATCAATTTATATATTTATCCCTTATAATGATAGCTAATATTAAAAGCTTACTGTGTAGCAGGCATTGTGTTTAGGGAATTATATTTACTGGCTTATTTAATCCTTATAACATCTGTGTGTGTCTATGAGGGAGACACTGTTAGCTCATTTTACACATGAGAACACTGAGGCACAAGCAGGTTGAGTAACTTCCTTGAGGTCACAGTCCTCACAACAGAAGGCGAGGATTTGAACCCAGGCATCATGGCTCCAGAGTTCATGCTCACAACTGCTACACTGTTCCTAGCATAGTCAGTACCTAGTAGGTTTTAAATAAACTCTTAATTCCAGCAGTATTAACTGGAGTGAATCTTAGGTGGGAAAATTGTTCACTCAGTTAAAATTTGTGGTTGGCTCAATCTGTAGGGCTCCCAGTCGTTTAATTGTAAAAATAAAGTAAAACTAGGCAATTAGTACATATTTAAAACCTTAAAATTCACACATTGGTCGACCCAGAAATTTGACTTCTCAGAATTCATCACAAGGAAACAGTCATATGTCAAGAGAATTAACCTTAGTTATATATAAAGCAGTACCATTTATAATAATTAAAATTTCATATTATCTAAATAGCTGGCAAATGAATACTGCTTAAACATATTATGGTACGCACATAAAATGGAAAACAATTGTAAACATTAAAGGTCATATTATAAAAAATATGTTTTAATATTGAAAGAGACTCACAATATATTAATGTGAAATCCCATTGTTAAATGGTCTCATAGTGTCTCATACTACCTAAGACTTACTGTATTTGTAATTAAATAATTGTATACAGACGGTCCCCCACTTACTATGGTTTGGCTTTTGACTTTTCAACTTTATGATGAGTTTAGTGGGGTATGAAATGCATTATTGACTTAAGATATTTTTTACTTCTGATGGGTTTATCTGGATGTAACCCCACTGTAAGATGAGGAGCATCTGTCTTTACTGAGGAGGAGGAAAACAATTACTTTCTGCTAAGGAATTTTCTCAAATTGGAGTGATGGTTGAGTAGGCTTCCTTTAAAAATGGGCAAGTGAAGGATGCTATGGCCTTTTTTGTACACTGCAGCTTAATCCACGAGATAGTTTTTGAACCCGAGTTTTTCTGTGGCATTTGGTGGTGTATCAGTCAGCAACAGTAATGTTGCATAACTGCAAACATCTCAATGGTAGACAACAAGAAGTATTTTTTTCTTGTTCAGATGGCTATAGGTTAGTTGGGGTTTGGCTGTAGGTCACTCTGGGCCCTACTGGGCTTGGTTCCAGGTTGCAGTTTGGGTCCAGATTTGTTCTATGTGTCTACCTTCTTCTTTAGACCAGCAGCTACCAAAGGCATCATCTCCTTATGAAAGACAGGAGCATGAGAGGGCAAGTTCTCCTGTACAGGCACATTTCAAGGTTCTGCTGGTGTCATATCTGCTAATTTTATATTGGCTAATGCAAACGGCATGGTGAAGCCCAGAGACAAGGGGTAGAAGCACACTTCACTTGATACCTTGTCCAGGATGCAGGTACAGTCATGTGCCACATAAAGTCATTTTGGTCAGTGATGGGCCATATATATGACAGTGGTCCCATAAGATTATAATGGAACTGAAAAGCTCCTATTATATGGTAATGTCTAGATGATCCTGACTCTGCATAGGCCTAGGCTAATGTGTTTGTGTCTTAGTTTTTAAACAAAAAAGTTTAAAAAGTAAAAGAAAAAAATAGAAAAAAAAGCTTATAGAATAAGGATATAAAGAAGAAAATGTTTTTGTACAGCTCTGCAATGTGTTTGTATTTTAAGCTAAGTGTTATTACAAAAGTCAGAAAGTTTAAAATTAAGAAGTTTATAAAGTAAAAGTTACAGTAGGATAAGGTTAACTTATTAAAGAAAGAAAAATATCTTTTAAATCAGTGTAGCCTAAGTGTACATTGTTTCTAAAGTCTACGGTGATGTCCTAGGTCTTCACATTCACTCACTACTCACTGACTCCCTGGTAGCAACTTCTATTCCTGCAGACTCTATTCATGGCAAGTATCCTATACAGGTGTACCACTTTTTATCTTTTATATTTTAAGGTAGCTTTTCTATGTTTAGATATGCACATACTGATCATTGTGTTGCAGTTGCCTACAGTATTAGGTGCAGTTGCATGCTATACACGTTTGTAGCCTAGGAGTAATAGGCTATATACCCTGTAGTTTGGTTGCACAGTAGGCTACACCATCTAAGTTTGCATAAGTACACCCTATGATGTTTGCACAATGACAGAATTGCCTAAGGAAGCATTTCTCAGAATGTATACTTTTTGCTAAGCAATGCATGACTGTATATACAGTTGTCCCTCAGTAGCCACAGATTCCAGGTTCCAGGATACCGAAGTTCATAGTTGCTCAAGTCACTGATATAAAATGGTGTAGTATTTGCATGTAACCTATGCATATCCTCCTGTAAGCTTTAAATCATCTCTGGGTGATTTATATCACCTAATACAATGTAAATATTAATATTCTATAAATAATTGCTGTACTGTATTTTAACATTTGTATCACTTTTATCGTATCAATATTTATGTTTTTTCCGAATATTTTTGATCCACAGTTCGTTGAATCTGGATGTGACAGCTGACTGTAATGTTACTTCAGGGGAGTAAAGAATTGGAACTGATAATTCAGTCTATCCTAGTTAGCTTCTTAAAAAAAATCTTTTACAATAAAATATTTTATTTAACTATTTTTAAGTTTCAAAGTAATATGTATTCAATGTAGACAATTTAGAAAATACAGAACAGTATAATGAAAAAGCCCAAAACCCCATAATTTCACTATGCATAGACACTCATGATTGAAATGTTTGCATTTTCCTCCCTAGCTAAACTTTTGAATCACTAAGGGCATTAGATTAAAGACGAGAAAATAACCAGTGCCCTTTTTGCAGGGCTGGCATTTAAACAATAGACCTGGAGCTCACTATGCACATTACTGCCTGGATTTTTATTTTAGAGGCTGATGTGTTTCCTGTCTTGAAGGTCCACAGCTTGCTAAATAAGCACCTAGAAGCCTCATGTAAACATTGACTGAGCTTTGGAGCCCCCTGATGAGGAAGTGCAGCATTATTCTAATCATTATAGAGACCCTTAAGTCTGGGTATTGTTGGTAATATGCCTCACAGCTCACAGTGAGGAAGCTGCAGAATGAAGGACAGAATCTTGGGATCTTGAATCCTGGCTTCTTGATATGCAAATGCATGCCCCAAATCCTTGTCCTGCATTCTACAGCTGTGATGTATGTTACAGCCGTAACAGCCAGAGAATGAGTGCTGCTTTTCTCCACGAAGAGAGTTGTGTTTTTTTTCCCCCCAAATGTTTGGGTTGGTTGGAATGTAAAAGAAAGACAAAAATCTATATATATGTGTATAACATGCACATAATAATAAGAAATCAGCTTTGCAGACAATATAAACTAGAATTTTAAAGCTGTTAGAATCATGACGTTCTATCTTGGGAAGAAAGTTGAGAGGGTTTTCTTTTTTGGACTATAGAAATCAATTTGGAATAACGTCTGAAAATTTTTAAAACGGCATTTTTTAGTGTTTTTTTTTTACTTAGAGAAAGGAACAACACAATCCCAGAAAACATTCTTTCATTTAAAATTAACCTGGAAGCTATTGCTTTTAATTACTCTGTAGTACCCAATGGGTTTCTCATCCTAAAGACCTCCTTAGCTTAGTGGGCAAGCCTGAAATAATTCAGATTAAAGATAATTTATATAAAGTATGGCTGTTTTATGGGTAGCTTTGGTATTTACTAAATATCACACTTAAATACAACTTAAACTTTCCTATACACTCCAGATTTCTTCAGTTTTGTAGCACCATCAAAAGAATGCCTGTATAAAAATGGTGTGTGTTAAGATAATGCTACATGCTATGACAAGCAAACCAGAAAATATCAATGGCTTAACACAATAGTAGTTTATTTCTTGCTCATGTAGTAATTCAAAGTAAATGTTTGGGTTCATAGGCAACTTTCCTCCCGTGGTGACTCAGGGACCCACATTCCATCTTCTGGTTTTGCTCTTCTTAATAGCCTTGAGGTACCGTTTCCAGTTGGCAGAAGTGGAAAGAGAGAGGAGAAACCCTTCTGACTTCTTAAAAGTCCCAGCCTGGAAGAGACATGCTAATTTCCGTTCCTATTCTTTTAGAAAGATCTAATCACATGGTCACAGATGAATGTAAAGTGCACGTGTGTGTGTGTGTGTGTGTGTGTGTGTGTGTGTGTGTGTGTGTGTGGTGCTAGGGAAATATGGTCCCTGCTGGCCTTGCCTCAGCATTCAGCTAGATAAGAGATGGGGGAGCAGGGCACTTACTAAGTCAGGAAAGACCAGGAGAGAAACAGATTTTAACAAAGACATAGGATGTGATGAATTCTGTTTTGAGTATGTTTGAAATGCCCGATAAGACATGATAAATAGGCATGTCAAGTAGGACTGTGGAATCACAGAAGGAGAGAAGCATCTTCAGAGGAGGAAATGATGGCAAACCATATATTGGCTGCATGTGAGAGAGTAAGATGAGGACAGGAAAGTCTCATTGGATGGGACAATGTAGTCACTGAGTAGTCTTGGACCTGGAGAGAGTTATTACGGTTTTCTAGAGGGACAGAACTAATAGGATATATATACACACACACACACATATATATAAAGGGGAGTTTATTAAGTATTAACTCACATGATCACCAGGTCCCACAATAGGCCATTTGCAAGCTGAGGAGTAAGGAGAGCCAGTCCGAGTCCCAAAAGTGGAGAACTTAGAGTCTGATGTTTGAGGGCTCCAGGGCAGGAAGCATCCAGCACGAGAGAAAGATGTAGGCTGGGAAGCTAGGCCAGTCTTGTCTTTTAATGTTTTTCTGCCTGCTTATATTCTAGCCATGCTAGCAGGTAATTAGATAGTATCCACCCAGATTAAGGGTGGGTCTGCCTTTCCCAGCCCACTGACTCAAATGTTAATCTCCTTTGACAACACCCTCACAGACACATCCAGCATCCACACTTTACATCCTTCAATCCAGTCAAGTTGACACTCAGTATTAATCATCACAAGTAGGGAAGTGCAGACAGAAGTGAGAGTGGGATGGGATAAGACAAAATAGTCATTAAGGAATCAGAGATGGCTTATATCTGGATAAATAGAAGTACAGATAACTCTTTTGAGAAGAAAATGTGCAATGAAAGGGACTAGAAATATAAAGTATGAGCTGGAAGGGTATGAAGGGTCAGTGAGATCCATCTTAATGCGGGAGTCAGGAGAACTTGTTTGTAAAGCACTGAAGATGGTTTGGGTGAGAGAGACAACAGCTGAAGAAGGTGTTTGGAGGAACAGGGCTGGGTATCCAAAGCAAATGTGAAAGGGTTGACCTTTTATAGGAGGAGGGGCACTTCCCACATTGTCACAGGAGGAAGGAGGAGAAAACAGATGCCAAAGCAGGTAGTTCAAGTGCACCTATACCATGGAATACTACTTGGCAGTAAAAAGGAACAACTGTTGATACATGCAGCAATCTGGATGAATGTCCAGAAAATTATGTTAAGTGAAAAAGTCAGTCCAAAGAGGTTATACTGTATAATTCCACTAATATATAACATTCTTACAATGATAAAATTATAGAACTGGAGGACTGATTCATGGTTGCCAGGGATTAAGGAGGGGATGAGGTAGGAGGGAAGTAGGTATGGCTATAAAAGGGCAACATGAGGGATCCTTGCGATGATGGAAATGTTCTTTATCTTGATAGTCTCAATGTCCATTCTTGGGTTGTGATATTGTACTAAGGTTTTTCAAGATGTTACCATTGGGGAAACTGGGTAAAGAGTTCTGTATTATTTCTTGTAACTGCATGTATATCTATAATTATATCAAAATGAGATAATTTTAAAAATTATATCAGTAATATTAATACATTTGCTTTAAAAAAAAGCAGAGAGTTATTGGATTTAATGGCTTCATTTTTCTCAGTGCATTGTGAGAGACCATGGGGGAAGGGGTTCAGTTGGGAGGGTTATATGGGAATTGAGAAGAGAAGGAGATATGACATAGTCTTGAAGAGTAAGAAGGGAAGCTATAAATGTAGTAGGATTTCTTGAAAGCATTGACAGCCCATTTAAAGTCTGAGATCATGAATTGAAAGTGAAGCCGGTCTACGTGTTTGTGCAAAAGGTTAAAGCACTAGGGAAATTCATGTACTGGGTATACTGGTTCCAGAAAACAGAGAGAGGCCTGGTCAAGGGTCATTCATAAGAGTGGTGAGGAGGGTGGACCTGAGCTGTACAGGAATGAGAGGCAGTTTTAGTGCCCATGGTGTGATATTTCTGGGGCTCGAGCCAAAGCCAGTGGGAATTTGGAAAGAGGACTAGAAGCTGGGACTTGGGTGCATGGTGGGGCTGGGGAGTGAGCAGCAGGTGGACTGAGTTTGACTTAACCAGCCCCTGAAGAATGACTGAAATGTTAATATAGTCATGCATCGCTTAATGACGGGGATACGTTTAGAGAATGTGATTTCCTAATGCAAACATCATAGAGTATACTTACACAAACCTACCTGGTTTAGCCTACTGTAACCTGTTGCTCCTGGGTCACGCATCTTTACAGCATGTTACTGTACTGCATACTGCAGGCAACTGTAACACAATGTATAACAAAATGTAACATAAGTATTTATGTATCTGACATACCTAACGTAGAAAAGGTCCAGTAAAAATACAATATTATCCTGTTACAGGACCGCCCTCCTATGTGTAGTCCATTGTTGACCAAGACATTATTATGCGGTACATGACTATGTTTTGAAATTTGGCACCATTTGAAATTTTTAAAGGGCAAAGATCTTTACAGTTCTCCTGATGGTGCTCTCTTGTGATACTCCCAATTTGGGTTCTTGGCTCTTCGCCAACCAGAAGAAAAAGCCCAGATCCACATAGAATTTACACTTAAGGTTTTACTGACTTAAAAACATCCTGCTGGTATTTGTTTTACTAGTTCTTAATAGGTATAAAATTGCTATGCTGAAGGCACATAACTAATGACAAGAATTCTCTTGAGTCGGTCTAGTGTGGTTTTAGAACTTAAAAAATTGTGTAGTTCATCAGTAATAGCTTATGAAGCTGAAGAATGTCTCTACATATTTTTCTGAGTCACCAGGCAATAAACAGGCAATTCTGTTAGCATCTTCTTCCCGGTGACAATGCATGGTTTTAAGAAGCGTTAAAACCATTTATTGTCTTTACTGCTCCTATGACAGTTTATAGCCTGGATATTTTGTTTGCTATCTAGGTGTTCTAAATAGAAGGTGTGACTACTTTGATGTATTTTTGTAAGTGTTGCAATTCCTCCTTGTCAGGAGTAGTAAGGTCTCATGAGACCTAGACTTAATGGGAGGCGCAGCTGTCAGTGAGTTCCTTTGGCAGATGCTGCCTCCCAGTGGCTCTCTGTCAGGGAGCCTTCTGCCGGAGCTCATCTCCCATGCAGGTGGTCTACCGATGAGTCATTGCCCCTCTAACAGGCTCATATGGTGGTTCCCAGACCCAGGTCACCTGCCACTTAGAAACTGCCAAGTGGCCACCACCTTGTTCAGAGCCACGCTGCAGCCTCTTGGAAGCCCAAATCTCTCCTTCAGGCCTTTTGCACCAGTGACAAGACAGGCATGAGGGGAAAATTAAGGAAAGAGGCTGAATGAGGACTTTAAGAATCAGAGTCATTTCTCTTATACCCGGGGCAGGTGAGAGACTGGGCTCTTTGCTTTGATGTGTACCTGAGCCCTGGATAGTGTTGGGAGCCAGGCTTCATTAGCAAATTGGCACTTCAGAAATCAGTTTTACAGTTCTGTACCTGATAGTTTGAAAAACTTAACACTTGGACCTGAGTGTTAGTTAATGTTTTCCACAGGAGGCCCAGTTTCTCTTAAGATGCTTGAAGCCCCCTTTGCAGAGCAAAAGGTAACATAGGCCTTCAATCACTGTTGACATAGAATTTCAAGATTACTGGGGCAGGAAAATACTCAGATACAGCTAAACCATTATCAGCTGCAAAATATGTTGGCTATCTGGACCTTTGGCTCGGTGTGTTAAATGTGGCAAACCAAACTCAGTAACTGGAATTCTTCAACATGCACCAGAGAGGAGGATGTCTGGTAGTCATTTAAAGTTTTTTCTGGCATGATTTTAAAAGTTGTATGTGTGTAAATATATTTCTTTCTTTTCTTTCTTTTTTTTTTTTATTTGAGACGGAGTCTCACTCTGTCGCCCAGGCTGGAGTGCAGTGGTGCAATCTTGGCTCACTGCACGCTCCACCTCCCAGGTTCACACCATTCTCCTGCCTCAGCCTCCTGCGTAGCTGGGACTGCAGGCACCCGCCGCCACACCCGGCTAATTTTTTTTGTATTTTTGGTAGACACAGGGTTTCACTGTGTTAGCCAGGATGGTCTTGATCTCCTGACCTCGTGATCCTCCCGCCTCAGCCTCCCAAAGTGCTGGGATTACAGGCATAAGCCACTGTGCCTGGCCTGTGTGTAAATATATTTCTATCGGGAGGCTCTGTATGCCAATTAGGCTAATGAAGAAACTTAAACCAAAAATGTATAGAGTAACAGGATCCGTGAACAGAAGGCTTCCTCCCCCCACTCCCCTGCTCATTTCTTAGGTTCTAGCGTGATTCTACAAATAATGGGCTTTGGTCCTTCCCGAGGAAACAAGATTAATTATTGAATCCATATATTAAAAATCTAAGTTGCTTTGTTCTTAAAATTCCCTTTAGAATAAGAAACTGGTTTCGGGCTTTTTTTTTTTTTAACCTGTTATCAAGGTGTTGAGCTTTTTGGATGAGGCGTAATCATATTCCTTTTTCTTTCTACTGCTTTTTAGTTTTGTCTTTTTAGTACTTCCCTGAAACTCTCTTTTCCTCTGACAGGATAGACTGTGGCCCAGGCACAAGTAGGTATGGCTTTCCTATCCTTCATGCATTGTGCTCTTTTAGGTTCTGAAAAGCACACTGATCCATGCTCATCTTCTCAGTTCCTTATATGTGTAGCCCCTCAGAGATGAAGTGGCTTTAGCTCCTCTGTGAGTCTTTAGTAGAGATGAGGAAGCCACAAACAATGACTTGATTATACTACAATTAACAGCGTGAAAGATTTATTGAAATGCTAGAAAATTAGTATGAACTAGGAAATCTCACACTTCATGTCCTTGAGGTACTGGGGAGGAGGAGATAAGGTAGGGAAAGGTAAGAAGATGGTGGGTGGTACCATTTCACACAACACTGGAACCCATTTACAGAGTTGGACATAGGTAACTGGCTCTTCTGATGATGTTTCAGTTTCTATTTTATACTTTTCTTTTTCCCTTTCTTCATGTTTCAATTTATGTTTTTTTAAGATTTTACCCTCTTATAGGAAACATGGGGAAAGGCTATGTGGCTTGACATACGCTACTGGGTTCCAAAGTATAAAAGGCCAGTGACATCTTATTTCATACAGTCAAACTGCAGTGCTAATGAGGTGCTAACTGCTCGTGTACTGGAATTGGTAAATTGCACTATACATGAATCCCCTGGACAACAGAGGCAGAGAGTAACAGGGTACAATACAGTAGGGAGTGGGGAGATGTAGATCAGAGAGAGAATGGGATCACTGAATTAAATGGAACAGAATTTAAAGAAAGCAAGTGACTTGCCTGGGTGGAGACAGCATCTTGCCATCTTTTACTGCTGTTTTAGGGTGTAAATGGAAGGACGTGAACTGGAGATCTGAGGCCCAGATTCTAGTCCCAAGTCAACTTCTAAGTAGCCTTCATTGCTGGGCCTTAGATTCTTCATCTGTAAAGTGAGTGCATTGGATCCTATACTCTCAAGGTCCCTTTGAGTTGAGTAGTAAATAATTTTAGCTACCATGGTGAGGGAGGGAAAGTCTTTGTAGAAAATGGGTTTTCTTCATTTTCTAGTCACTGCACCCTCCCTTGAACCCCTGTGCACACACACATGCTTTATTTGTTGCTCTGCAAGGAAGCCCACCTTTGCCTCTATCAGAGCTGCTGGTAGGTGTCCTGTCACTCGAGCATACCCAGGCCATTCATCTCTTGCTTACAGCTCATTTTTGGTGGCCAATCAAAGCCACTGGGAATGTAGAAGTTTTTTTAACTTCCCAGTTGGAAACTGAAAATGATGCTGACTCTAAGTCAGTTCCACAGGAAAAAGAGTAGGTCAAGAAATGCAACCAACCGGGAAGTTGAAAGATTTATAAAAATTAGTGTTTCTGATATATTAATGACTTTGGTGGCAGTAGCCTGCATTTGTCATTGTCATGTTCCATTGTCATTCAAGTACTTAATCACCACACATTGTCAGGGCTAAATTTATTTTCTTGTGTCTGCCTAGCAAGATAATTTCTCTATTCTTTGACAGTATTGTCTCAGGCACCTGAATCAGACCTAAGCCTGAAGGGAGAGCAGAGGGTAAGTCCCCTCCTTGCATTTAACTCATTGCTGACTTGTGAAAGAGAGAATGATATTATTGAAATGTCTGTTTCCTTCTTTGAGTAAGAATAGAGGGGGAATCATGTCATGGTTTGTGTCCTCTCTAAAATTCGGGTGTTGCCAGTTTGATAGTATTTAGAAGTAGGGCCTTTAAGAGATGATTAGGCTATCCTAGGGCTGCTCCCTCATGAATGGGACTAAGACCCTCTTAAAAGAGGTTTCTTTTACACAGCAGCTTTTGGTGAGCTTGCCATTCATTCTCCTTCTGCCATGCAAGGATGCAACAAGAAGGCCCTCACCAGACTCACATGCCAGTACCTTGATCTTGAACTTCCAGCCTCCACAGCTGTGAGAAATAAATTTCTGTTCTTTATAAATTACCCAGTCTCCATTATTATGTTGTAGCGGCACAAACTAAGATAAACTGTGACTGCTGTAAATTATTAATGCTGCACCCAATTCAGCTTTAAGAAGGATTTTGCATAAGGTTGTGCAGCTCCCAGCTTCCCAGTCTGTGTTAAGAAGAGGCATGTATTAAGTGACATACATGGACATTTATGTGTTTACATGTATGCATGCACACACTGCATTGCACCCTTGGTTTTTATTTAGTTCCAGTAATGTAGGATGGCCTGTATTTTTGCCCTTAATTACTCTGAAGGACAGTTAACAATTATGTATGTCATTGACCTTTTATTAAAACTTCTGAAACAAGTTTATCTGTGCTCAGATCAAGGAAAAAGGGTTTAGATTGGTCTGATAAATTTGAATTATTCTTTTGTTAAATAATGAGAGCTGGGTAAACCCACTGTTTCTGTCTTGGTCTTGGTTGCCAGGAATCTCAAAGTATTTTATTTTGGTTTTGCTCCATTTTGCTAGCTTTTGGCTGCAGTGGCGTATACGTAAATAACAGTAAACAAAGGGGGGAATAATACATCATGCACATACCTGTGGTTATGAGTGCTGTGATGCCCCTGCCCTCTTAGGTGTATAAACTGATCATGAAGCATGTAATCTTTAAGGCCTTTTTCTACATTCAGATTCCATTCCAAACACCTTCATGTTACTTTTGCTGACTCTTCCACCTCTCTCTCCTTTGATACCACCTTAATGTTGTTCTTTTCTTAAAAGAGAGATTACTTTTAATTTTTATTATTTGTGTACCTATCATTCCATTTGCTAGTTTATAAATTTCTTGAGGACTTTTTCCTTGTATCCTCAAAGCAAAGCCTTGTGCATTTCTCATTCTAATATGATTGCCAGATAAAATATGGGGTATCCAATTAAATTTTAATTCAGATAAGCAACTAATAATATTTTTAGTATCCAGTGCTATATTAGCATACATATTCAAGTTTACTTGAATTTAAATGTAGGTATGCATCCTGTATTTTTATTTGCTAAATCTGGCCATCTTATCAATAAATACTGGAATGGTTATGTGCCTAGGCGTTATCAGACATATAGTCTCATAGGTACAGGCATGGTATGAATGGCAAGTGTTTAGAGGCATTACACATAGACATTCGTTCAATATCCTTTTCCTGTGTGTGTGTGTGTGTGTGTGTGTGTGTGTGTGTGTGTGTATGTGTGTGTTTTCCCCCTGTAGCTGCTTAGTCACATGGGAGTCAGACAGCTCTGATATATGATATACTGTACTCTTTGATGTCTAAAAGTCTGTGTGCATATGCCCTGTTACAGTGCCTTCAATAGTCACAGTGCTCTTTGTGGATCAAATAATGGGAGATTTAATGCATTTAATGAAATGGCTAGAAGAAAATGACCTGGCTTTCAAGCTTGAGAGATGGCCATTTGGAGGGTGATTGGAGCAACCAAAAGACTACCTTCCCCCAACTCAGCCCACTGATTTCCCCATAAGCATGGCTGAATTTGCTAAAAGGGAATGCTAAGTAGCTGGCAAAACTGTTACTATAAAACATGAGGCATTGACCCTGGAGTTCAGGGCTACTTAATGTCAACTGAGCTTTCAGAAGTTGTCAGTGGCTAAATGATAGACCAGAAATGGAAAGGATGAATTCCAGCCCTACACCTACCATTAATTTTCAAGCATTGCTGAGGCAGTCATGATGCTAATCTTGGCTTCAACTTTTCTCATCTTAAAAACAAGGGCATTGTTTTGTGAAGCAATTGGCGGTTTGTTAGGATTTAATTCAGTGTGCAGGGTTGGATAACAATGGTTCTTAAAAATGGTTCTTCAAAAGAACAATGGTTCTTTTGCTTTGAAACCAGGCAGAATGGGCATTAACTTTCCTCATAAGGGAGGAGGGAGAGCAGGTTACACAGTTCCTAATTGAGATCTGTCACTTCAGAAGTAGGGACCTTTAACAAATGGCCATTTGGAGGCGCTGGGGGAGATGTACTCTGTAGTATTTTTGAGGAAATATTTTATGATTGTGCTCTAGGTTTCTTGCTTATTCATTGATCAATATTGACAAGCATTCCTTAAGACAAAAATATTACATTCTTCAGGTAGCATACATAGATATTGTTGAGAAAGAATTTGAAATCTACTGGAATAGACCTAGCAGGAACTAGAAAGTGTTCCAAAGAAATAGATGTGATTACATGATTATGAAATACACGATTATGTGAATTAGACTGTATGTAAGAGTTTCCTTGTAAAAATAGAGAACGTGTTAGGAAATTTAGACTTGTCTGGAAGTTTCTGCATAGGTTGTGATATGGAGTTTATTTTGTCACCTCTATGGCAGCTTTTGTTCTTTTTGTTTCTCTTGTAAAACTACTGGTCCCCAACTCCTTAGCCTCTGTCATAACTGTTTAGATGTTGGATGGTTGTCAGAAATGTTTTGTGTCTCAGGGTTGCCAGTGACATTTGAGTGCATCCATCAGAGCATCTTGGTGAGCAAAAGAGCGTCATTGAGTAGGATTCATAATTTCTCCAAGAAGTAAGATATCAAATATAAGTTGTCCTCTGGGGTATTGAGGTTAATTAGCTTACCTTGAAAATAGACATTATATTGTGAAGATGGTAGACTCTTTTTGAGATGGTTTTTAGAAGAGAAAATCAAAGCTATAAGAAGTGACACAGTCTTCTCCATATCAAGTTTAAGGCCTCTGAGTTTTCTTCATTACTGTTATCATTATAAAACAAACACTTGAGCCAAACTTAAATATTCTTCTAGGCAGTGTGTGACTAAATAATAATGAAAAATATGATCCTTGGGAGAAATATAAATGAGAGACAGATGGAAAGTCAATACACACAGACTTAAATCTGGTTCTGTAAAGACTAGTGTGTTTCACATGCAGGATATTGTGCTAGGTGTGACGTGGGGCTACAAAAACAGATGAGATGCAGAAGTTACAGTGTAGTAGAACATACTGCATACAGAAATAAATGGCACTCTGTACATGTGCACCCACACACAGCAGTGGGTGGTATGATGGGGGAAGGTAAGGGTAATAGCCTTCCTGGTTGGCACCACTGGCACTGAATCCTGCTTGTGGATTCAATGCCAATGGTGCCAGAATCGGTAAAAGCATCCTGGAGGGGGACCTGAACTATCACTGAGCACAAATTCTGTGTTCAGTTTTGTGCTGGGCACTTTAACATGTGTTACCTACTATCATCATCACTAGAGGTGAGGAAATCGAAGCTCAGAGAGGTCAAGGTATTTATCCGGGACTCTCTAGCTAATAAATGGTGAAAGGAGGATGCAAACTGATGTCTGACTGCTTTTCCATTCTGTACTCCTGAGTCCACCTGTTGGATGGAACAAGAACCAGGTATGCTCCAAGTTCCCAGTGCTGGAAAGAATTTGATCTAATCCGAAGATGACACCAAGGAGGAGGACTGTTGCCAGGAGGAGCTGTTTAACAGTGAAAAGTAGAGTGGATAAAAAGTAATAATTTATTTTGGGCCTTTTGTCAGATGATAGGTTCTTTGTTTACATTCTAAATTCTCATCACCTCGTAAGATTGGTATCATCGCCATTGTACAGCATGTTTATGGTAACTGAGGCTTAGAAGGTTAAGCCTGTCCAAGGTCACACGGTGGATACATGATAGTAGTCAGGGTTTGATTTTAGGATTTAAACCTCGTGTCTGGGATCTTTGGTGATGGACTTGAAATCAACAGTTTGATTTTATGAGTTTAGAAATTAAGGGTCTTTCAAGGATCTGGAGGGGGCAGTGAACACATTTAGATGGAGTGAAATCTTAGAAAGGGTTGCACTGACTGGATTGAGAAGTCAGACTGTGATGGGGAAGAGGAAGAGATGACTCTTAATCATTTGATTATTATTTTAAAGAGGGCCAGCTACTGGTCCTTAGGGAGGTTTTAGAAAGGTGTAGATAAGGCAGCTGGGGAGAGGGAGGATGAGGAGGAAGACAGAGAGGGAGCTGACAAGTAGTTTAACAGCTGTTCCACATACCCACAAAATGACTCTGAGAAAAAATGGTTCTATTTATTTGCTGTTTCCTTCCATATATCTTGCCAGCAGCATTCATCAATATCTGTCATTTCCCAGGGGGGTTAGACATGTCTAGCAATTCATTCTACTGAATTATATTTCAGTATGCGAATTGAGGGAGGCCAGTTTGCAGATGTTAACACTGACCTCTGCCTAGCATTGCTCAGACACCACCACCACCCACTTCTCTGGGTGCCGTCACGCAGGCATTCATTCATTCTCAGCAACACTGCTTGATGTCAGAATCTTGTTACCATGTTCTCATTAGTGTAGACTCTATTTAATACTTCTTTAAAAATCAATTTTAAGTTGTCACATTAGTCTTTGGTCTCTGCAACTGGAGTTTGGGGCCAAACCATTATTTATTTTTTGATAAGAATTTTAAATCCAGAAAAATGCCACCTGACGGACAACTGCCTTGGTGGTCTAGGTAAAACAGGGAGTTGGTGGCCAGGGCTGGGCCTCATTGCAGAATGGGAGAATTTGCTGGGTGTTGGTAAACCCAAAGGTAGTGATGTGCTTGTAATAATAGAAACATTACAGCTTACCAAGCTTTATTGCATGCATTAATTTGGTCCTAATATCTGCCCTTATTAGAATTTGACTGAGAGTGATAATCTTGGTACATAAGAAGAAATAGTTTTTTTATGAACAAGTTAAGGGAAAGTAAAAGAAAGGTCAAATATATTTCTCTTTAAGTCTGACTTTAATGTGTTTCCATTTAAAAATAAACTATGTGTTAGCATTTTTGCCCTTTTGTCATATGGCAAGAGTAACAGGGTGGCTATCTATGATTGAGGGTGAAAAGATGACTTTATCTTTGAATCACCTTGCCATATTACCCATACCAAAAATTATTCTTAACACTGCAGCTCTGGTTCACAGTGGCAGTGGCAGCTTGAGTTTCTGCTCCATAGCCTCATGGTTTGTTCAAAGACCTTGATTTCTGTATTGTAGACATGTATGTTCTGTTGTTTTTCACCCATCCCTAGTTCTCTCATAGCATGGAACTGGGCTTTTTAGTGACTCCTTAAAACATCTGTCAGGTACTTAGTCTGTCTGGGCCCACGTGAAAGAAAAACTTCTGATACCTGTCCCCCTTGCTAGGAGCTTCCTTTCACAGCAGTGCTCTGACTTGCTCACCAGGCAAATTTTATAGTTAGCAATGTTGTGTTGGCATTCTATGTTAAGTATGGAATGCTGGTGATAATATTCTAAAAAGTGAAATTGGGCATCTCTGGTGGATTTAAGTCTTGTGGAAACATAGTTTAGCAAATAAATTTCAGTCTTACAGTCTTAAGACCTTGATGCCCTCTTGGCATCACCCTACTCCCAATACCAGCCTTCCAAAAGACTTACAGCTGCTCTTGGTCCAGCTTTCAGTTTCCTTGTCAGTTGGAGATCATTGGTCAGTAGTCAGTGATGTCTTTGAGCACTTAGAGTCACGACTCTGCTTTGGACTTCCCTTGTGTGAGTAAACACATAGCACTTTTTTTTTTTTTTTTTTTTTTTAAGGCTAGAATAGCAGTTCAATATAGGAGTCAGTGAACTTCTGCACTTTCTGGTCACAGGTCTGTTGGTTTCTCAAATTGTATCCATTTATGCCATTAAGAAGAGTGATTTAGCAGCATTGTTGATGCTGTCTGGGTACGGTCATTCTTTTGCAGTGAGGACAAGAAATTGGAAGTCAGTCACCCATGTGAGTGGAAGATGAAAGAAACCATGTCTCTCTTGCGGGAGCACAGCTGAAGATGAATAAGGGAAGCTGTAATTGCCCATGAGGATGAGAGTCAGGACTATGAGGGAAGAAATGTTTAGGAGTGAGCAATGGGGCAGAGAAGAAGAATCACTTGATGGTGACGGAATTAGGGTGATGGCTGCTGAGTCATGAATTGTGCCCAGATTTAGACAGTGACTCTTTGCGGTCTTTGCCCCTTCTTCATTTCTTAAGTTTGACAGGTTCTTTAAAAACTCATTTCCCCTAACTTATAAATGATTGGGAGGGCTTATGTTATGAAGTATAATTTGCAAAAGCAAGTGGTGTTATAGTTAATGTGGATACCTCCTTTTGGACAACAAAAAGGATCCTCTTATTTTTTTCTTCTATAAGGTACAGTGGTATTGGCCAAGCAAGGGATTGGGGGGCAGGCAGGTTAAACATTGTGGTAAAAAATATACATACCAAAATTTACCATTTAACTATTTTTACATGTATAATTTAACGGCATTAAGTACAACCATCAGCACTATCCATCTCCAGAACATTTTCATCATCCCAAACTGAAACTTTGTACCCATTAAACAGGAACTCCCCATTCCCCACTCCCCCCAGCCCCTGTAAACCACTGTTACACTTTCTATGAAAGAATGCATTTGACTATTCTGGGTACTTCACATAAATGGAATCATACTGTGTCCAGAATTGGTTCCTTCTGGTGGGTTCTTGGTCTCACTGACTTCAAGAATGAAGCTGCAGACCTTCGCAGTGAGTGTTACAGTTTTTAAAGATGGTGTGTCCGGAGTTTATTCCTTCAGATATGTCCAGAGTTTCTTCCTTCCAGTGGGCTCGTGGTCTCGCTGACTTCAAGAATGAAGCTGCGGACCTTCGTGGCGAGTGTTACAGCTCTTAAAGGTCGTGCGGACCCAAAGAGTGAGCAGCAGCAAGATTTATTGTGAAGAGTGAAAGAACAAAGCTTCCACAGTGTGAAAAGGGACCCAAGCAGGTTGCTGCTGCTGGCTCAGGTGGCCAGCTTTTATTCCCTTATTTGGCCCTGCCGATGTCCTGCTGATTGGTCCATTTTACAGAGTGCTGATTTGTCCATTTTACAGAGTGCTGATTGGTTCATTTTTACAGAGTGCTGATTGGTGCGTTTACAGTCCTTTAGCTAGACCCAGAGTGCTGATTGATGCATTTTTACAGAGTGCGGATTGGCGCATTTACAATCCTTTAGCTAGACACAGAGCGCTGATTGGTGCGTTTACAATCCTCTAGCTAGACAGAAAAGTTCTCCAAGTCCCCACTCAGCCCAGGAAGGTCCAGCTGGCTTCACCTCTCAATACAATATCTCACCTTTTGTGACTGGTTTATTTCTTTCAGCATGTCTCCAAGGTTCCTCCATGTTGTAACACAAGTCAGAGGTACCTTCCTTTTTGAGGCTGAGTAATATTCCATTGCGCTCCATTCATCCCTCAATGAATACTTGAGTTGTTTCCTCCTTTTGGCTATTGTGACTAATGCTGCCATGAACATGGGAGTACAAATATCTATTTGAGCCCCTACTTTTACTTCCTTTGTGGATTTACCCAGAAGTGAGATTAAGCAAGGGAGATTTTACTAGACACAGGGAAGGTAAAATGGTGAGAATGTCCCTGCTCCCAGGTTAGTGGTGGGTGTAAACTTTCTGGGAGCTGCTCTGAGAGCTTCAGTAGAGATGTCTAGGCAAAGAGAGGCTATTAGCCAAAACCTATTAACCTATATACCTGTAAAGATATAGGACAAGAGAACAAGGTTTGGCAACAGAGCCTGTGCCCTGTCTGCCTGCTCATGGCACCAATTCAGTGCCAGCTTGCCATTGTTCTTTTTGTTTCTAGTCCCTTAACTTCTGCAGTGCTACCCCTGTTCTTCCTGCCTTCCTTTTATGGCTGTCCTTAAAATCTCCCCAAAACCCTTGAGAGCGATATCTGGGCCACTTCAGCTTCCCCTTTTCCTGGTTGGTACCTTAGAGGGTTGTACACATTTTTTCAGAGTTCTCCTCTATGACTGAGAACCAGAAGTCACGTCAAGAGAGAGCTTTGTTGTATAGTTACTAGGTCTTATTTTCTCTTTGATATCCTGCTTATAGTCCAAGAAAAATCACCCAAAATTTAAGACTATGGATTGGCTACTAAATATATATTGCACTTCAGGTGATACGGAACTTTTTTAATGGAAGCTTTCAAATCTAATCGGGTACCATTATTCCCCAGTGATAAAGTAGATCTCCAGAGGCTATTATTTAATTCTTTATATGGCCATTCTGCTAAAATTATTGCAGACTTGGTATTTTTCTACTTCAGAGGGATACTTCCAGCTTCGGGGTGCTTTGAAAGCATGTATCGTGGCTGGGCACAGTGGCTCACACCTGTAACACTCCCAGCACTTTGGGAGGCTGAGGTGGGTGGATCACTTGAGGTCAGGAGTTTGAGGCCAGCCTGGCCGACATGGTGAAACCCTGTCTCTATTAAAAATACAAAAATTAGGCAGGCATGGTGGTGGGCGCCTGTAATCCCAGCTACTCGGGAGGCTGAGGCAGGAAAATCGCTTGAACCGAGAAGGTGGAGGTTGCAGGGAGCCGAGATAATGCCACTGCACTCCAGCCTGGGGGACAAGAGCGAGACTTCGTCTCAAAAAAAAAAAAAAAAGAAAACACATTCTAGGAGAGGTCATATATAGCCTTGATAGAACCAAGGCATGATCTGGGTCTAGATTCAATAATGTATTTATTTTAATGTACATATAACCATACAAGGCTACAGAACTTTCCACTCTAACTCTGTTAACTAGAGGCCCTTTGGCTAAAACAGCAAAAATAACCAGTACAAGAAGTCCATTCAAACAACCCACACCTCTATGGTTGAGACCTGACACGCTCTTGTATCAATCCGTCCAACTGATTCCAGCTTTAATACAGACCTTTATTTATTGCCTCTAAATTTCTAGTCATGCCAGTAGAAAACATTTGATACATGTTTCAATAAGCATAGTAGAATTTTGGAAACATTTTTCCAAAGAACACAGAGCTAATCCAGTTTCAATTGTAACAACAAGCTCAATTTGGTATTAAAATAGAGCAGCCAGATTGCTAGGCAAGCTCACCTCTCATACAACAAATTAGAAATGGTATTATCCATTAATTTCCACCCTGTGTAGCTGAATAATGCCATTGACAGATGCTAATTTTCTTAAATTGTAGGCAGCAAATGATGCATGAATACGACAGCAACACACTTTTTAGAGGCTCTTGATAGTCATCAAAAAGTGAATTTATATAAAGTTTGATGTAATCACTATCAACTGTGTATCATGTTAGTGCCTTCTAATGACTGTCTTAAATCCATCTGTTGTCCTCTTTTCTCTATTAACACTAATGGGGGTCTAGGCAGGAATAAAATATCCCATGTGTTGTATTAACAGACCCTCCAATTTATAACATTCATATGATTCCTCAGGACAAGACCTACGCAAATAACGACATCTAAAATCTAACCCATCATTGCATTATAGGCATTTCATTGTATATGTATGTAAGTGCTTCCTAATTTTTTCCAGTGGTTTAACAAAATTTTATTTCTGCTCACTTTATAATTTAATGTGTGTTGGGTAGCTCTTGGTGTTTCTTATTTTTTAAGCTTATATTTATTGAGTGTTCATTCTATATTTTCTATTTTTAGATTTTACAACAGCCCTACAAGTTTGGCCCTGTTCTACTCAGGAACTTGAGGTTTGGAGAAGTTCATGTTATAAGTGATGGAATCAGTTTGGGAATTTAGAATAGGAACTCAGCAGTCTGACATTAAAGTCAACCACAACTAGAGCAATTAATTTTTACCATTACTGGCAAGGATCTCTCTATCCTGTTGGGCTTAAAGAAGGTGTTATATAAGAATATGGGCTAAGGACAGATCAGTTACTGGATGTCAAAGCCTTGTCTTTTGCGTTAGGCTGTTGAGGTAACAAAGGAATTGAGGGCACACCTTTGGTCTTGTTACCAAGATTGGACTTTCACGAGATGGCCACAAATAAAATGTACATAATCATGTTAAATTGAGTGATTTCAGAGAAGGATGAGATGGCATGCATGCTTGTTCTCAGTGGTCTCTGCTTGCTTTACAATATCCTGTGAGACGTAACAAAACTGCAGTATTGAAAGCGTGGCTCAGAGTGTGGGGAGAGAAAGGGCATGGCTCAGGTGTTCCTTTCTTTGTGTTCCCCAGCAATGGGTGCTGGTTCTGGATTCTGTTCAGAGTCCAACTTCTTATTGAACCATGCTTGGTCTCATTGAGCCAGGGTCCTAGCTTATGAATTTCCTGTACTGAGGCCTTACCTGGGAGTTATGCCTGCTTTGTTCTGCCCTCCCACTGGCAGGGAGCCTTTCCCAGTCCCTGTTGCCTTGACTTTGATGTTGAGATTCCTTGTGGTACCTCTTTGCTCCCATTCCCCATCAAATCTCTCCCCTGGCTCCTTGCTTTTCAACCTAGGACGTAGGAGTCCTCCACGATCACCCAGACCTCTGGGGTCCCTGACCTGGGCCATAGGAACTACCATCTTGAGGAGTTGAGGGAATGTGCTCCTGGCCAGTTTGCCATGCAAGAATACAAAACACATTTTTTGCTAGGAATTATTAAAAGTAATATTATAAAATATGTACAGAAATTAATAGAGAATAATTCTATACAACCCCATATACCTATCAGCCAGCTTTATCAAAGCTTAATATTTGCTACATTCTCCGGATACATTAAAAAATTTCTTATTAAATTTGTTAAAGCCACAAGTCAAAAACTTAATTCTTCATTTACACTTCTAAGTTGAAGTAGCAAACCCTGTTATTCCCTGCTGGTAATTTTTAAAATAATAAAATATGACAGATCTACCATACTCCTCCCTGCACCCACCCCTCATTTTTTCTGCCAGAGATGACTACAATTCTGAATTTGCTGTTTATCACTTACAAGAAGAAATATTAATTGTTTCAATATCTTTCAATATTATTCTTTTGTGTGTGTGTGACCCGGCCTAAGAACCCAGTTACCGTGTTTTATTCTGTTGCTGTGGTGGTGGTGGAGGATGCAGGTCTTACGATAATATGAAGTGTGACAGTACATTGACTGCTTTTCCATGTCCTAGGTGGAGTGACTAAGTGTATTATCTCCTTTCATCTTATCTGCCACTTTGTAAGGTATTATCCCCCTTTTAGAGATGGGAATATTGGGGGCTTGGAACTAAATAAGTTGCTCAACTGCATGTGACTGTAAAAACTGGGTTGCAGATTGAGCATAGCGGCTCATGCCTGTAATCCCAACACTTTGGGAGGCTTAGGCGGGTGGATCACTTGAGGCCAGGAGGCAGAGGTTGCAGTGAGCCGAGATTGTGCCATTGTACAACATGGTAAAACCCCGTCTCTACTAAAAACAAAAATTAGCTGGGCGTGGTGGTGCGTGCCTGTAATCCCAGCTACTTGGGAGGCTGAGGCAGGAGAATCGCTTGAACCTGGGAGGCAGAGGTTGCAGTGAGCTGAGATTGCGCCATTGTACTCCAGCCTGAGTGACAGAGTGAGACCCTGTCTCAAAAAACAAAACAAAACAAAAAACGCTAGGTTGCAGACCCATTTGTGCCTGATGCCAAGCCTGTGGTTTGAATCACTCTGCTCCCATCTTTCCAGGTGCTTTTCTCTTTATAAATAATATATGTTATTTTGTGATTTTTGTATAAATATAGAATCATTCTGTCTTAATTTATAACTTGTTCTTCACCTAAACATATGTGATGAATATTTTCCTGGGGTAGATGGGGCTTTCGAGTCAGAATCTTGATTTTTGCCCATTTGTGTAGCTGTATCCTCTTGCCTAGTTATGTACCTCTCTGGGTTTAGACTGGAGATAATCATACCTATCCCATACGATTGTTAGGATGTTGCAGTACCTGGTATATAATAAGGCCTCAATGTATTTTAGCTATTACTTTATACTTAAAAAGGAAGTTTAAGAAAATTATCTGTTCAGTGGTTTTCTTCCTTTTGAGACTTGATCAGTATTGTTCTAATAGTATGGTTTCCCTGCATTTCAGTCAACAAACATTTATTGAGCATTTACTAAGTGCCAGGCCCTATAACAGGTACTGGGGATACAGAAAAGAATAAACTTATTTCCTCACATCAGGAGAATTATACAGAGACAGTCTAATAATTATTTTGTTTTGTATTATTATTATTATTTTATTTCTTGAGATAGTGTCTCACTCTGTCACCCAGGCTGGAGTGCAGTGGTACAATCTTGGCTCACTGCAACCTCCACCTCCTAGGCTCACGAGGTCCTCCCTTCTCAGCCTCCTGAGTAGCTGGGACCACAGATGTGTGCTACCACACCTGGCTAACTTTTTAACTTTTTGTAGAGACGGGACCTCACTATGTTGCCCAGGCTGGTCTTGAACACTTAGGCTCGAGGGATCCGCTCACCTCGGCCTCCCAAAGTGTTGGTATTACAGGCGTGAGCCACTGTACCCAGCCTAATAATTATTTTCTACTAAAGGAAAAAAAGATTTTTCAAATTCTTCACTGAGTAAAAATACTTTGCCTTTAATTTTTTCTATTTTACATTAAATTCTCCCAAGTTTTTTTTTTTTTAATCTACGTTCAGTTTTCTTTAAAATGAAGCATATGGAGGCAGAACAACAGTGAGGCTATAGTGGGTTCTCTCCATCATATAAACTGTGGCATCATGTAGCTTCTGTACCTCTCAATCATGCCCTTTTCCAAAACATGAACAAAGAAAATGCAAATAAAATACAAATAAATAAATACAAATAAAATATAGAAAATGACATAGGAGGGAGGAAAAAGTGGATTCAGATTATTAGAGGTTTTTATATTTTTAACAAGTGAGTCCTTCAAATACTGAGTGATTTCTGTATTAAGGAAACCATTTATTCCTGTAATATTAATGCAGCATTCCTAAATGCACTCTATAGTTTTCCTGCTCTTCCTCATTAATTACCTGCCTTTGGGCCTACAGGGGACCGATTTCTCAAAGCCGTTCTTAGTTCAGCTTTTAGTGCACATTTCAAAATAAGGAAAGGAAAAAATTAAAATTCTAGGCTTCAAATGCAACATACCTTGCCCAAAAATATGTCTGAATGTTTTTGAGATGGTGATCAGAACCACAGAAGTTCACTGTCATTGAATTTTCAATGATAGTGTTAAATTAATTGACATTTGCTACATTTATTTGCTTGGAAAAAATCAATCTATTATGTAGGGTTGGCAGGAAGCAGGTGACAAAAATCAGTATCACATTTTTTTTGCAATAAAATATAGGTTGTAAAAAGAAAGTCTAGAGGAAAATCACTAAGGTGTTGATAGTGGTTTTATCTGGTGTGATGATAGGTAATTTTTGTTCCTTTGTATATATTTGCATTTTCTTCTTGTGAATGAAAAGCCCATCCCAAATAAAGAAGATACTTTTCATTTTTACTGCTGTTATGGCTAAATAGTTAACATTTACTGAGTACTGTACTTACAAAATTCTCTGATCCCCTCAATAACTTTACATAGTCAAGTCTATCACCCCCATTTTAGAGATGGAAAAATCAAGTCCAGGAGAGATTGACTAACTTTCCCAGTGTCATTCAGCTACAGAGCAGGATTTCAAAAGAAGATCTAATTTTTCTCCAGAGTCTGTGCTTTCACTCTATAATAAAAGAGTGAAAAAGCAATTCTGGCAAAAGAAGCCATTTTTTCCTCTGCAACTAAAATACAAATTTTTGAAAGCACTTGACTTAAATAAAGCAGTGGACTTCTTCACATGGACAATTGATGGGAGATGCCCCTAGCTCCTGTGCTTTGACAGTGCTGGTAGTTAGCGTGTGCAGTAATGGTAAACTAGTTAATACACTGCAATCGTTATTAACCAGTACAATGTGCTTGTGAGATGCATGCCTGAGGGAAAAGCGAGGAACAGATGTTACCTGTGCTGCAGGGCCACCAGCTACGCATGCTGCAATCCCTCATGATTCTGGAGAGGAATGAGGCTGGGGTCCCCAACACATGGCCCTAAGATGAGATTCTTTGTGTGGTCTGCTATCTTTTCATTGTCTGTTTTTTTGGAAGGAAATGTGTACATGTCCTTTCATCATTTAGTAAATATTTATTGAGCAGCTATTATGGCCAGTAATTCTGCTATTATTGGGGCAAAGCAGATGAAAATTAAACACAGTCTCTACTTTTACTGACCTTTATTGCTATATGAATATTCATGTCCATCCTAATTTTCCTGAAGTCAAAAACTATCATTTCTTGTGTGTTAATATTAGTCAAGTCCATGTACCAAGGAAGTAATGTAGTGTGAATTGGTTCAGCTGTTTGACTTTTAAAAACATATATGTATATATTAGAGTTCAAGGTTGATGGAAATTACTCAGTGAACCTAGACTGACATTGATGTCCTGATTTATGCAAATGGATATGATTATGTATCCCACAGACACAGTTGGATGGCCACCTGCACTTCAGAGAAAAAAGGAGCTGGGGGAGAGGCACCAGCCCCATTTCATCTTGAAAGAATTCTGTTTCCTTTTGTTGGTCATGATCTCCACTTTGTAGATTATTTTATAATTGAGTCCTAGATCACTTTCCATATTAGATTTTTTCAAAGAACACTTACAAATGCACGCGCTTACTTCTGTGATGCTGAGAATGCTTTGTGTACTTATATATATTCTCAACACATTCCCTTGGTATAGGCAGACGGGAAAAAAACACCTCATCCTACCTTGATGAGGCTACACTCATGCAGGAGATGATGTTGGAGGTCAGGGCCAGACCCTGCCACTGGATCTCCTGACTTAATTAGAACAAGTTTTCCCAGGTTGCTATTAATGTTATTACTGGGTATGGCAGAAGTAATACAGAACAAGGTTGGCCAGGAAGAGACACCCCACCCCCACCCCCATTGCAATAAGACTACTACCGGCTGCCTGTCACTTACATTTTCTTCTCTTTAACTCCAACAGGGAGGTACCTTCTTCCAAACCCGGTGGCGGGACAGGCCTGGCCGGCCTCTGCAGAGACGTCCAACCTCGTGCGCATGCGCAGCCAGGCCCTGGGCCAGTCGGCGCCCTCGCTCACCGCCAGCCTGGTGAGTGTCCGCGGGCGCCGGTGGAGGCTGCTCCAGCTCACCACCTCTCTAGGGACAATTTAAGTTAATTGAGTTTAACTATATTTAAACTTACCCACATGTGACGTTAAGCACATATTTGGCAATGTGGAATTCCTTGCTTTCAATGTGCTAATTTCTGCACCTGTACCCAGTTTGGAGGATTTCTCTCAATTTTGGCCTCATCTCTACCCTTCTCCCAAAAGAAATGAAAGTATTTCTAGGCCTTTTTGTAGCTTTTTATTTTGAAATAATATAAAACTCATGGAAAAGTTGCAAGAATAAGAAAAATTCTTAGAATACCAGTTTATCCTTTATCTAGATCTGACTAACACCTTGCCCAATTAGCTTCATAATTTCCTTTCTCTTTGTCTATGTGTGTATGTATGTGTGTATGTGTACATACACACATGATTTTTTGAGGTATTTGAGAGTGCATCATCTATATATTATAGACCTTTGTTATCACAGTTATCAACTGGAGTAAATTTATGACTGATACAGTCCAGTTATCTACTCTGCCATCTGTATTTCAGTTTTATCGATTGACTCATTAATGTCCTTTATAGAATTTTCCCTCTCCAGTGTAGGATCCAGTCTAGGGTCATGTGTTGCATTAAATTGTCCCTCTCTTTAGTCCCCTTTAATCTGGGATGTTTCCACAGTCTTTGTCTTTTATGACATTTGACATTTTTGAATAATTTTTTAATGGCTTATTTTTAAGGGAATATTTCTCATATTTGTTTGCTCTCTCCTCATGGCGAGATTCAGGTTTTTGCATTCCAGGCAAGAATACGACACTGGTGATGTCAAGTCCTCTTAAGGAATGAGGTCTGGAGGCCCATCACATCCATCTGCCCCTCTCTGTGATGTTAATTGTGATCATCCAGTCAAAGTGTTGCCTGATTTCTCCACTGTAGTTACCACTTTCTCTCCCACAATCTATGAGCAACCTGGGAGGTACTTTTAAGCAATGCAAATACGCTTTTCATCAAAATTTTCCCCAAGAATCCATTGATGATTCTTGCCTGGATCACTCTTTTCTATGTTTGAAAATGGTGATTTTTCCAACTTCAGCACTCTCCATAAATATGTGTGTATTTGTTAGCAGCATGGATTCCCACATTTCTATTTTTACCCCGGTGTAGACCTTTATGTTTAACATGCTTATTAGAATTTTTTTTTTTTTTTTTTTTTTTTTTTTTTGCTGGTGGGCCCTTCTTTGTTTTGGCCTTTGGCTCAGCTTAGAAGTCTGTACAAGTTACTTTTGCATGGGTGGTAGGGTTGTATGATATGGAAATAGATTTTAAACACCTTTTATTGATGAAGATGCAAATGATATATAAATCAATGTATTGTGTCTTATAATTTTATGCATTGGTAATAAATTATGTTGGATATTTGGAAATAATGCAGTAATGGATGCAGATTTTGTTCAGGTCTAGCCTCTAGTCCTGCTTTTGCCATTAGATAGCTGTATAAACTTGGACAAGTCCGTTTCTCAAATTCTCTCATCTCATTTGTACTTGTAAGATGAAAAGAGGCATTAAACAGTCTATAAAGTCCCTTTCTTCTCTGGAATTTCCTGATTCTTCTTTCAGAATAATTTTGAATGTGTGAAATAATTATCTTTAAAGAAATTTCTTTCAGGATAGTTTATGACTTCAAAATTGACTATTTAAACCAAAATTCATATTTTTTCTCTCATGAAAATATTGGGACTTTTAGTTCATTTTTATTTTCATTTTTAGGGACAAAGTCTTGCTTTTTTGCCCAGGCTGGAATACAGTGGCACCATCATAGCTCACTGCCACCTCAAACTCCTGGGCTCAAGAGATCCTCCTGCCTCAGCCTCTTGAGTAGCTGGGACTACAGGCACATACTACTGTGCCTGGCTTGGGCTTATTTTTAAAAGATACAATTAACCTGATGGTAGAGAGCATTTTCCTCCATCCCATCCCCAAGTCCAAAGTGACTTTTTCTCCTTAGGGAATTTTATTAAGAGCTTATTTTACTCTGATTATTTACTTTTTAAGGAAAGAGGAAAATACTTCACAATTCATGATTTTTTTTTGACAGAAGTGTTTTTTAGCTGCTGCAACATTATTCTTTACACCTAAATAGTAATCCTGTATGTTTATCGCCAAGTCAATCATTGTAATTCAAACAACACTGTCACAGAATAATATGTTTTCTTAAGTAATATATCTTCTTTTTGTTTGTTTTTTGAGATGGAGTTTCGCTCCTGTTGCCCAGGCTGGAGTGCAGTAGCACAGTCTTGGCTCACTGCAACCTCTGTCTTCTGGGTTCAGGCGATTCTCCTGCCTCAGCCTCCCGAGTAGCTGGGATTACAGGAGTACACCACCACGCCTGACTAATTTTTGCATTTTTGGTAGAGACGGCGTTTTGCCACGTTGGCCGGGCTCGTCACGGACTCCTGACCTCAGGTGATACGCCTGCTTTGGCCTCCCAAAGTGCTGGGATTACAGGCATTAGCCACCATGTCCAGCCATTCTTAAGTAATCTATCTTCTTACTAGTACTAACAGTCACATACCAAGAAACAGAAACTGACTTATTCATTGATGAAATGCATGTCACCTGACCTAAGATATTTGGGAAGAGGTTGCAGTAAGAACTATTAATAGAAAACATGAGAAGAGTACCTCCCAAAATCTATCAGATGACATTGTTATCAAGGAATCACTTAAATTATTAGCTTGTTTACCTGCAGGTTTTTATGTTTATAGTGTTTGCTTAATATAACTCTGGGGAAAATGCTGAAATACCATGTAGAAAAAACTTATAATAGTACCTGGCATATAACAAGTCACAAATGTTAGCAATATTATTATTTCTGTTGTTGTTATTGTATTGTAGGTAAGCTTGGGCACAGAAGCCAGAATGTGATTAGTCATTTACTACTAGATAGTGAAGGTTTAAAATTTAACCCTTATCTTTCCCTTTCCCTTCAGAGAGTTCATTAGTTCCTAATTATAGTCTACAGAAAACTATTTGCCCCTCACCTTCTGTTGTATTAAGAGCAGCAGCCAGAGGAGAGCTGCCAGACAGACGACCATCTTGATTTCTTTATTAATCTGCTGCCATGTGCCCAGATTTGGATGCCATATCACTTATTTTGACGTGTCACTCAAGTACATGTTAGTGACCTTTCCTGCTTTTGGTACCACTTGTCGAACCACACAGCTAAAGGGGCATTAAAGTTGATCTGTTTCGTGTTTCTGCCTCATTTAGATTGGATTATATCAAAATTATCTCTGCCGATTACAACTAATAGACCTGAGAGAGAATTGTGCTGAAGAAGTGGGAATGTACACCTTGTATAATTTTTTCTTTTTCCTTCTTCTCTTCAGCTTTCTCTTTTCCTTGTCTTCAAACAAATTGACATTTGCGGAGGTGCGTTGTGCAGTAGAACATTCCTCATGCTGATGATCCTCTCCTCCTGGCCTCTCTGTCTACCCCTTGCCCCTGTCGTAGAGCTGTAAGCCATCCTTCCCCCGACTCCGCCTGACATGTATCATGGCACACCTTCGTTTTTGTTCTTTGTGTTTATGTCGAATACCTCCCTGCTAGACTGCAAGCCCCTTGAGGGCAGAATTCTTGTCTGATTTTTACTTTCTACTTTTCACTGCTCTCAGGACAATGCCTTGCACATAGAAAGCATTCAGTAAATAATGTTGAAGGAATAAATAATTATTTATGGAAAAGTGACTTTTTTTTTTAGTTGCAGGTTGAGCACGATGGTGTGATTCTTCATGCTGTAATGGGTGACCTAATAAGACCATCCATCTAAAATCTCTATGGCTTTGCTGTCCAGTGTGCATCTTACAGTTGTGATTGGCCTTAAAGTCTATGATACAGGCTAAATCCCATTGAGTTTCACATCAGCCACTCAAAAAATATGGTGACAAAATTTGTGAAGAGATTATTAGTGTCTACATTCAAGGAAATTTCATTAGTCTGCTTTTAAGCAATCATATAGTCACATTTGTTTATATATTTTGATTCATTGACTAAGTTGAAGTGATGTGTGTGTTCAAGTATGGGGGGGATTGGAAAAACAAGGAACCAAATTGGTTTATGTCCAGATGATAGCATTATACTCAATATAACAGTTCCGTGCCCAATTGCAACAAAATACATTTCAGAAAAGTATAGGCCCTCAACGTGAGAGGTATTAATATGTTAGTAAGATATAAATGAAGGCCCTGAGGTTTGGTAGGTATGAATTTTAGTAAATGCATGACCTTTAGTGATTTAAATGCCATAGGCAAGCTTGAAGGTATTGCTAACTACCTTCTCAAGGAGGAGATTAATTCCTAGCCTGAAGTATCTAGTTTTCCTTGGCTATGCTAAATATAGTTGTGTTCCCTTTCCCAGACACATTGGGCATTTCAGATAAATGGCATGTTGCCAGTTCATCCTAAGTAGCCTGGTAGCTGGCAGAATACATGCTCAGCCAGTGTCCGCCTGCTGGGACACCAGCCGGGAGTGCTGATGAAGTGTCAGATGTATACTTCATATACATTAATCTGAAGAGGGGAAAACTCATTTTCCCATTTGCTTCTTCCATCTTTCTGTCCCTCCCCACACACATGGGTAGTTTATCACAGAAGTCATAGTCGTCAAAAGCCAGGGGATTTATACAGATGCTGCTTTCTGGCAAGAAAGATGGAAATTTCAGGAGGCAAAAGCAGGACCAGTGGCAACTTATTTCTTTGTAGGAAAATAAGGGTGTAAGCCTTGATGATGGAAGTTTAAAATGGCTACGTGGCCATCATCAGAAATATTCACTCCATTTGTACTTGGGAGTAATAGATAGATGGCAGAAGCACCATGAACATTAGTTTCTGGTATTTTTCTCCAATTTTCTGGTTGGTTGGAATCCTGTGCCTCATCTTTTTTGTGTGAAGGTTTCATTCACATTCTTCCCATTGAGGTTTTCCTTGACCATCCTGTTTCAAACTGTTCCCTATATTGCTTGCCACATATTTCATTTCCTTCATTCATTTTTCGCCATAGCTTATCACTGTCCAGTATACCATATCGTTTGCTTATTTTATTATATATCTCTTACTACTCTAATGTAAATTTCATGAAGGCAGAGATAATTCTGTTTTCCAAGCTGTCTCCTCAGTGCCTAGAATAGTGCCTGGCACATAGTAGGGTGCTCAGTGAACTTGTTGAATGCATAAACATATGTCTCCTTTCTGTACATTTTCAGTGCTCTAGAACAGACTCTTGTATATTTATGGTTTTGTTTTTAATCTGTGATAAATTTTTTGCTTACATTATGTAGCCTTACTAAGAAGCTATTCTTCAAGCCAGAGAGAAATTAGTTATGGAAACCTTATTCAGGAATTAAGCTGTAATCATTCAGTTAGAAAATGAGAATGAAAGGGAAAAGCAGAGTGGTTGAGAGCATGGGGTGCCTGAGCTCAACTCCAGCTTCTGCCATTTATTAGCCTCAGTTAGGGCTGACTGTGTAGACTTCAGCTTCTTCCTTTGTGTAGTGGGGCTAATGGTTGTAATAACCTCAGAAGGTTATTGTGAGGATTAAATGAATGAACTCTTGTACAGTACTTTGCATAGTGCCTGTCACTCAAGAAATGCTGTCATCAATGTTCTTGGGGTTGGTAGAAAAAGTGTTTCTTGGAGATTGTGAGGTAGCTTTAGGTGGGATGGTATTATCCAGAATGGAAGAAAACAAGCACTTTTCCCTTAGATCATTTGAATTGAGGTAGGAATTTAACCTTTTTGTCCTTACTTGCATGATGTGGGAGTAGCTTGTTTCTTTCTTTCTTATCTTTACTCAAAATGTGCCAACCAAACTGAAAAATATCTTTCTAGAATTCTTAACTTTTTTGAAGGGACAAGGTGCTTTCAAATGCTATATTTTAACTTTTAAATATTAGGTTAAGTGGCTTAATTTTATGTTTCTTTAGTGGCTGTCTTTTGACATCGTATACGTTTCTTTCAATGGAGAAATTACATTTCATGATGTTCTATAAATATTAAAACCAAACTATTTAAACTGTAATATATTCAAAGAGCCTTGATGAATATTCATCTTTTCCATTTGCAAAAAAGAAATGCATTATAAGAAGTCAGGGAAAATTTACTAAATGTATGCAAAAGTGTATTTTTCCTTTTTAATTCATTCAGAATGTAGAGACATAATGTCAGCATTTATTTAGGGTACAGACTTTATTTGCAGTCATTTAGTATTATATCAATACTTCATTAGCCTTATAGCTCAAAACCAAAAACCTGATCCGAAGTCTAATTAGTTAACTCTGAGAGAGTATCTGTTAAATATTGATGTAGGAACAATTTGAATGCCCTTGAATAAATTGCTTAACCAAAGTTGTAGAATTCATCTATGAATTAACATTTCTCTATTGCCATTATGACTCAATTTAAAGGCTGCATAATATTCCAGTATGTGGATTTATCATAATTTACTAAACTGTTCCCTTTATGTTATTTCCAGGTTTTTCCTACTGCAAATAATGGTGGTGAGTGGATTTTAAATAAGTCCTTATTCACCTCTAATGATTTCTTCAGGTAGATTCTTGGAGTGGGATTACTGGGGCAAAGAATATAAGCATTGTTGACATTCTCCATAGCTCTTGCTAAGCTGTTTCTAGGAATGCCGTACAAATTTATACTTTTAGATTGGTAAAGTGCATCTCACTATACCCTGGTCAGCAGTCAATAGTGTTATCTTTAAAACTTAGTTGGTTTGGTTATAAAATTATTCTTTTAAATTTATGCTTTAGTGAAATCAATATGGTTATTGGACCTGTTGAACTCTCATGCTAAAGTCAGTAGATAAAGCGAATGTGAAATTAGGATTATCTGTGCTGCCTCCTATAACATCTTTCCTTTATTCCCTAAATCAGCTTACCAAACCAACTGTTGGTAACCTGTATTGCTCTTGGGATACAGGAACTGCTGAGTGTGATTACAGTGTGTGTAGCTGAAGGCATTATTCCACAGCTCAGAATTTTTTTTCATCTGGAAAGTAGTAATCTCAATTGTGAAATAGTGCCTTCAGCTGTGGACATTATAATCAGAGTCTCTGGAGTGCTTGTATTCGAGGAGTAATACATCTCATAGTTATTACCCTCTGAGCTAGGTTCTGTTTATAGTGAAGGGATGAATTTTCATAACTCAGTGCTGAAATAGCAGTAGGGAGCCCTGAGCAGATTATTATAGGTCAGGCCTAATCCATGAAGATAAATCTCATTATAGGCTCACCTGAGCCCATCCACAGAGTAGCTGGTTTAACATGAGTCTGTAAATCAAAGATCAGCTTAAAATGAAGTGTAAAATCCTCTCTGTAATCCAACTGCTATCTCTGTGAAAAGATATTCTAAATGTGTATTCTGATTGTAAACATGGCTGGCTGCCCAATGGGTAATTAGTAGGCATGTGAAGGGTATTGCGATTCGGTCTAAGAACGAGTGAAGAACTACATATTTGAGGGAGAAGTTTATTTTTCCTAAAATGAAATTCCACTCAGCGCAGTCACTTAAAATGTCCCCATGTCTTAGTTTTTTTCTTCTTTTCATTTTGCAGAGGTTAAAAAATGTTCATTACCTTCTTTAGGTGTTGTCCTTCCTGGAAAGGATTGGGCACCAGCTGGAGCAGCTCTCTGCATGGGTCTCTGCGTGGGTGTGCCTGGAAAGACCAGTCAAGTGTGACTTCCTGTTATCAAAGGTCCATTTGACAGTGAGGCGAATGGTGTCCATATACATTATGTGGGATTTAAATAATAGAAACACATGCCCTCTTTTAATTGTTTACCATCACAGAGGGGAGCAAAACAAATTTGGAACAGCAATACTACACATATATGTACGTAGATCTCTGCATGTTAGAGCTTATTTATTACCTGTTTACCCAACTGGTGTGCCAACCATTTAGGAGGTCGACAGCTTGTCCACCAAGTATGAAGAGATGATCCATAGGGTGGTAAATGCCTGCACCTAGCTGTCCTATTCCTTACTGTATCTGTAGCACCAAGGACAGTGCCTGGTCTGTGGTTAGTACTTAGAAAATAGTTGTTTATGAAAGGAACACTGAGGAGATCTTAATTCTGTTTCTGTCATTTTCAGAGGCTCCTGGTGCCCAGACTAGCTAAATGGTTAGGCTGTTCAGGATTTTACTGGTTTCCGTGTCTGAGGAAATGATTAAAATAATGTGGCAAAGTAGTGACGGCCACTGTTATGGAAATGCCCACTGGTGTGGACAGGTTCCCCTCTGGTGGACTGCTGGGGTGGCACAGCTTGTCCTTCTGGCATCCTATTTCCTCCTTTGTTAAAATACCAGCATTGACGTGTTTGCTATCTTATTCTCAAAAGAAACCAAGAAACCCATAATAATTAGATAGCGGTTTGTTGGGGGAAAGATTTTGGGATGTAGCATTTCCTGTCTTGGGAAAAATGAAAAATTATCCTTTTACTTCAGAGACTTCTTAGGAAATCCCTGGTTATTGTGGCTCTGGGAAAACATGCCTCATTATGTTTCCTATCTTGCTTTTTCTAGATATAGTTTTGTGGTTAGTATAATGAGTAGTAGTGGTAATTATACTTATTCCGGGTTCATTGGCACCTGAAGCTTCAGTCTACTCTGGGATTCTGAATCAGTGTGTTCCCCAGGATGCTTATTGATCAGTTAATTGGCTATTAATGGATTCCCTCTTATTTGACTAGTATGAAAATCTGTGCGAAACGTGGTCTTGCTTTTAAGGAGCCTATAAACTAGTTGCAAGAAGACTTTTGGGAAATCCAAGATCAAGGTGGAAGCTAACAACATGCTGGAGAGTTTGCAGCCATGAGAATTCATAGAAGCAGAAGAAAGACTTGACCTGCAGGTGTCTGGGAAAACTTTGCAACTTGAACTGAATGTTAAACGTTGAGTAGGTTTTGGTTAGGCAAGCTTCAAGGCCAAGTGGAAATTGCATACAGTGTGATGGGTGGGGAGTGGTAGATAAAGGTGGACAGTGCAGTGGACAATAATGTTTCTTCTTAATGTGATATTTCTAGGATAGTTGAGAAGGCAGAGGAACCACCTGAAAACTCAGAGGCTCATGTGTATCAGTGATGATGAAATGAGTTCTGACTTAATCTGCACCCTAGAATACCACCACCACCACTCATGGTGATGCCATATAAGGTGGATGGTGAGCCTTCACTTCATTTTCCTAAGTTAAGCTAGTCTTTTTAATTTAGGAAATCTCCAAGGTGGAAAGCATGGTATTTTCCGGTACTTTAGCCAAAAGGAAGTAAGTCTGTGCATTTGTTAGATTCAGTGGCTACATATTCATCATGACCTACTGGACTGTGAGATCTTTGTGATCTGACACTGGTAATTTGTTTTTAAGTGAAATGTGGAGTAGTGTGGTAATGTCCAATTTAGTTACTTGGGATCTACTAAATCTTTTATTGTTCAGGGTACATCAGCTTCCATTAAAAAAAGTCTTCAATAATGAGTGCTAAGTAGTGGCAGGCATTTTTACAAATAATATGTAGAGGCATAAAGCCCTTGCTCAAGTTTTGATAATTCTGATCCCATACTAGGACTGGCTGTCATTCCAAGCCCTAGTGCTTCTACAGGTTTGTTTCCTCAGATCCCAGACTTCTGTTCCTCCTGTCTGTCATTTACTTATTTGTCTCTGAATCTTTGTTTCCAAGATGATTCACCAACAAAACTTGAATTCTTCTCTGGATGGCGTATGTTCTAGACAGTCTAAGAATTGAAGGTACATTACTGTTTTCACAGTAGAATTCTGTATTTAGTGAGTAATAATTGGGTTCTAGTATGTCACGGATGAATCTGTAACCCTAAGAAAACAGGCGTATACATTTATCATTCTTTTCATAAGAATTAATGCCTGTTCTAGTACTCTTAAGTATGAAATATCTCTTCATTGCCTGTAACCAACTTGTTTTCCTTTGATTAGAGATGCATCCTGCCTTGTTTATATGGGTGCTTAGTTAGGTTTGTACGGGTATTTCTTTCCTTGTTTGTATAAGTGTAAGTTGACATTTTTCCCCCTTTGGTTCCTAAATACAGTGATGAAGTTTAGCTTTATAAATAATGTTGAACAAGTGATACTTTGTACCCCCTTTTTATAAAGCTCTGATTTTAAAGTCATCAGTTAAACTTTTAAAAACCTCCGAGTTTTGTTCCTGTTTTCTGGACACATTCATCTCCTTGACAGATTCACATGATGGAGGGTTGAGGTTTCTCATCTTTATGTGCTTCTGGAGTTTGTCAGAATAATGGGTGGTAGTAAACCACCTGCCATTCGTTCCTCCGACCTCGGACTCCTCTTCCCAGGCTCTTCCTTATTCTGGAAAGAAAACTCTTCTCTATGTAACTCTCTTCTCTGCCTGGACAATACCTGTCTGTACTTTAGTGTACACACTGCCTCTTCCTTGCCCTCTTTACCCACCCTCACCCCAATCCAGGTTACATGACCCTCCTTGGAATAGTGCATATCGGAACCAAAGCATTTATTATATAATTAAGTAGGACTGGAAGCATCTCTTCCTGCCTTCTCCCCCTTCTCTCCTCATCCCCAAAATGGCCTGAATGCCTAAAGAGCTCAGGAAAATGAGCTGTAGCTGTTGAAGATGTGAACCTAGGATATTTCCTTGGGTGGGTTCTTTTAAATGACACCAGATGAAATATCATGGACTTATATTTGGTTGTGCCTATAGCACCTCTACATTTTAACTGAACTTTGAGAGCTCTGCTTTTGAATATGAACCCTGTTATTGGAGAATTTCTTGGATGGAACAGATAGACCTTGGCTCACCCCTTTCCCATTGTCCAGAGGGATCATGCTCTGCTGTGGCCCTAACCTGAATTGTGATCAGTTGTGTAAGTACTTGATTTAGAATTTAATTGTTATAGGCAGTTTAGAGTAATGTTTAAGAGCATGGGCTCCAGTGCCTGGCTGCCTGGGTTGGAGTCTTGACCTTACCACTTACTAGATATGTGACCTTGACCAAGGAACATAACCTTCCTGTGCATCTGGAAAATGGGAATATTAATAGTACCTATCTCATGTCATTGTTGCTGGAGTCAAGTGAGGTCATACAACTGAGGATATCCACTTGGAACACATAAGAACACAATAAATATTAACTATTATTGTCATCTTGGACAAGAGGAGCTGATGTATTATTAGATTATGGAATTTAAGTTTCATTAAATGTACATCCCAAGTTTATGATTTATAGAACTGATTAAGCTGGCCTTGTGACGATAAGCTTTTCTATGATTCTTTTCAGATAACTGCAGATTTGCCATGTTTTCTGCAGGATAACTTGTCAGACATAAGGCTTGTTTGAAATTAGAAGTTATGGGGGAAGGATAATATAACATCTTTGACATGAGTAGAGTTTAAGAGATGATGCCTTTAAAAAATAAAAAGGCATTCTTTTAGTTACATTTTGGTAGATGGGATAAAGAAAATGTGGGTGCAGATACATCATGGAATATTATGCAGCCATAGCAATGAACAAGATCATGTCCTTTGCAGAAACATGGATGGAGCTGGAGGCCATTATCCTCAGCAAATTATCACAGGAACAGAAAACCAAATACTGTATGTTCTAACTTATAAGTGGGAGCTAAATGATGAGAACACGTGGGCACAAAGTTGGGAACACCAGACACTGGGGCCTGCTTGAGGGTGGAGGGTGGGAGGAGGGAGAGGATCAGGAAAAATAACTAATGGGTACTGGGATTAATACCTGGGTGATGAAATAATCTGTACAACAAACCCCCATGACACAGGTTTACCTATGTAACAAACCTGCATTTGTACCCCTGAACTTAAAAGTTAAAAAACACTACATAAATAAATAAAAAGACCACTAGAAAAAAGAAACCCAACTCATTTCTTTTCATTCTTCTCATTGGATTACACAGAAGATTACACAAAAGATAAGGATCCTGCTCTTCATGAATCTTCTTTTTGTATAAAAAATATGAGTTGTAGGTGTCACCATATACAACAAAAATGTGACTTGAACAGATGTCTTGCTTTCTTTTGAATTAACATTTTGTATACTACTACCACACTACCTGTATATTTGGATCTTTAGAAGATTAACAGGTTTTTACTGAAAGTATTATTAATATTCCCATCTTTTTTTGCCTTTGTCAAATTTGGCTATCATTTGCCCAGGTGTAACAAAGTTAGAAGATGCCTTTTGGGCCTCTAACATTTTTCCTGGCTCAGCCCATCAGTAAAAACATTTTTTAGTAAGCATCCCTAATATGTAAATGTATTTTAAAGTGATTGTTATGTGCTTAGAGGAGGTTCTGAAAGAATTTTAACAGGCCTGTGTATCTCCACTAGGAAACCGTTAGAGAGGACATTTACTGTAGAATTTCAGAAGGGACCTGGAGGCAAATTCGGTTGCCACCATCACCGAGAGGATTGGAGAATCCTGGGGTAGGTGATAGGGAGGTTAGGGTGTACTTGGAGTGTTTGCGGCTGTGACTATCAGCCAACCTGTAAGGAAGTGTGTTAGCCATCAGTACTGGTACATACCAGCTATCAGCTTCAATATCAACATATGAAATGTTCTAAAACCAGTAAGAAGAGATGTTAAAAAATGAAAACTGATGTTCTAACATTTGTTTTCTAAACCCCAGTTGATTATATTGTGCACCACTGGGGTGCTCATACCCCGATTTTTAGACCCGTGGAATAAACTACAAGATCTGCTTTTTAAATCATCTGGAATAGAGCTTTACTGGTTAAAAAGAGTTTTAAATATTCAGTGAGGCTGCCTGTCTTTTCTTTTTGGAAAGGTTTATTTTATTTTTAAGTGGAAAAAATAGCAGATCTTTGTTACACATGTCATTAACTGCCACTAAATTGACACAAGTGTTGACAGCTATTGTGAGAACTATTTCAAAGCTAATTATGTTAATTAGAATGTAACATACCAGTAATTGCATGTATTCAAACATCATACCATCACTTTTTGTGTTTTCTTTTCCAGATGTAAGACATTCATTTGTTGCTTGAAAAGCTGCAGAATTTATAACTAAGATAACAAATAATTGTCAGCAAATAAAATTGGTTCCTTAGAAATATACTGTAATTGGTTAGCTATGTAAAAGACAGAAACAAATGTTAGCATGTTAAGAATATAAATTAAGAACATTGCTTATGAAATCCTTAGTTTTGGGCTTTTCATTTAAATAAGCCCTCTTATCGCAATTAATATTATTGTTTGGTTTATGATCCTTAAAAATATATTCCCTTTCAGCATTTCTTGGGGTTCTAATTTAGCTTTCTTATACATGTTAGATGATTTGCAATTTAGATTTTAATTTGATTTCTATTCTTTCAAATATCATTTTTCTTGTATTTCATTTTTATTTAAAGCATGATTCTCTCTGTATTCATGGAAGCTGGGCATAAACAAACTGCTAGAAAAATCAAGCTATTAAGTGAGCTGAGAACATAAAACATTTTAATAGGAATTTCATATAACTAAACTAAGTATTTGAGAGCCCAACCAGAGAATTATGGCTCTTTGAAAACAAACTTTATGGGACTTAGTGTTCTTAGTCTACCCTCTATTACAGTTCTTAAAAAAACTATAGCATTTCTATCGTTGACTTTAAATCTTTGTCACTTCTTGCATATGTAAAGGGTTAAATGTGTCTCTGCTTAATGACTTGGGGGCCATATCTGTTTGAAGACTGAGTTTTGGTCTCTGTAGGTCTTTAGAGTTTAGAGTCTATTTTTTTCTATTGAGAGTCTTAGTGTGAGTGTCTCTCTTCTAATTTGGGAGTGTGGAGGATTGTTTTATTTTTCCAGTTGTGATCCTCATAAATCACCCCAACACTTTCAGCGTCATGACCTTAATTCTCTAGGACATGCAATATACCTTTCCCAATTAAGTGGACTCATGGTCTGGCTCAAGAGTGATATTCTCAGAATGGAAGAGCACTTCTTCCTGACCCCTCTTAGAATGACCACTGTGTAATTCTGCTTGCCTACTTTTCTGCTAAGATTTTTATTCAGTGGTTTGGAGGCTGCTATCATCCTTAGCATATAGGCTCTTTGCTTTGCTTTATTAACTGTTCTTCAAAACTCAGCAGATGATGAAAAAGACTGGTATGTTTGAGGGTGAGAAACTTAGGACTGAATTCTAGTACTGACGTTTCTTGGCTCTGTAATTTTGGACATCTGTCCCTTAACCTCGTGAGGCCTGGGGGTGTCCATTAGTAAAATAGGAATGGTTAATCCTGGCAACATTGTTGTAATAATTGAAGGACATAATTCATATCAGAGCAGATTTCTAAGTATTGGGTGTATTTCTCTATATACATGAGTCTGTTTCTGGGCTCCATTTTGTAGTCGGTCAATCCATCTGTCCCTGTGCCAATGTCACACTTCATTAATTACTGTAACTTTTAACAAGCCTAAATAACTAGTCAAGAAAGTTCCCTCATGCCATGGTTGTTCTTCAAGAGCATTGGCTGTTTTTGGCAGGTTTATCTTCTGTTTAAATTTGCTCATGAAATCCTGTAAGCTGATTGAGATTTTGATTAAAATTACATTAAATGTGTAGATCAATTGGGGGAAATTGACATTTTTATTATGCTGAGTTTTGCTATTCTAGACCATGGTATATTGCTCTGTTTATTTAGGACTTTAATGTTTTTCAATAAGGTTTTATTTTTTACAGAAAGAATTTGTACATCCTTTGTTAGATTATTTTTAATAACCTTAATATCCTTTAAAAATAAACATTTCTAGCTGCTTGCTAATGTATGGGAATTCAGTTGGCTTTATTAAATTAAGATTACTAATTTATAATGATTCTTATCTGTAGATTTGGAGGAGGGGGTAATTTTGCAAATAATAATTTGCAAGTAATAACAGCTTTGCTTTTTCCTTTTCCAATCTTTGTAGCTATTCTTTCTTTTTTCTTATTTTCACTAATTAGGACTTCCAGGATTAAGTTGAATAGACGTGGTGATACTACACATCCTTGTCTTAATCATAAAGAGAATGCTTTCCACATTGCCTACTGAGTATGATAAATGCTATGGGCTTTTTTTTTTTAAAAAGCTCTGTATCAGGTGAAGAATACCCCTTTTCTTGTTTCTTAAATTTTTCTTTTGCTATTAAGTGCTTTTTCTACATTTATTGATGGCCATTAATCTTACATTTTCAGAAAAAAATACAACATTATCGTGACAAATATGTTTATATAATATTTTCATGCATTTGGTTTATTAATAATTTGCTTAGGATTTTTCTGTGTTTACAAGTGGCATTAACCTGTAGTTTTCATTTTTTGGATTATCTTTGTCTAGTTTTAATATCAAGGTTATGGTAGCTGAACGAAGTAGGAATGTATATCAGCAACTATTAGTATAATAGGGCTGCATAATAAATCACAATTCCCCAGTGGCATGCATTAATAAGGATTTCTTGCTGTGGGTCTGTGTGTTGGTTGGGTCAGTCCTGCTTTGGCCATGGATCTGTGGTTGGCGTGGCTTCCATCCAGACTGCAGGTCCGATGTCTGTCTGGTCTACATGTCTTCCCGTGGGACCCAGGTGGAAGGGCAGCACTTATCTGTGGTAAGTTCTTCACATGCTGAAGGTTGGAACCTCCTAGAGTGGTGAGCAGAAACAAGGACTAGACTTGGAACTGCCACAGTGTCACTTCTGCCCACTGGCCAAAGTAAGCCACATGATTAAGTCTGGCATCAGTGGAATGGGGAAGCCTATCCTTCCAATGAAAGTAGAGAGTGGGAAGGGTGTATTTGCTAAACAATAATTTGATCTACCATTTTTTTTCTCATCTCTGGAAGGGTTTAAGAGTGGACTCTTCTGTATGTTGCCTATAAAGGCATCTGGACTTGATATTTCCTTTGTTGGGGGACTTTTAATTGATCCAAATTTTTAATGGTTATAGGACTATTCTGATTTTTAAATTTTTTCTTAATCAATTTGGTATTTTATGACTTCATGGAAATTTGATTATTTAAGTTTGAAAATTATCTGTTTTTGCATTCTATGTGGCATCTTCAGTTTTAAGTCTTTCTTCGTTCTTAATATTGTTTAGTTTTGTCTTCTCTCTCTCACTTTGTTAGTTTTTCCAGAGGTTTGTCTACTTCATTAATTTGAAGTGGCTTCTGAATTTCATGTCATGCTTAGAAAGGTATTTTGCCATCTTCAATTCTACCAATACTGTCTCATATTTTCTTCTCATATCTTTAGGGGTTAATATTTAGTGTTTAACCTGTTTGGAACTCATTTTTCAAAGGAGTAAAGGAGCGGTTCATCTTCTTCCTCTTTTTCCAGAGATAGCCAGTTATTCCAGCAGTATTACTGGGCAACTTTACTAATCTTTAATACTACTTTTCGCATATACTACATTCCTAAGTACATTACAGATCTGTTTCTTGACTCTGTTCTAGTCCTTTGATTTGTCTTCCTGTATTTGTGTCACATCATAAAATTCTTCTCATTTCATGGTATGTTTAACATCTAAGTAGGACTGGTAGAGGAGCCTTATCATGCTTGCAGTTAAATTTATTTTCACTTACATTTAAAAGACTTCTCCCCATTTTAGCATTTTTATATCTCTGGCAGTATCTTTATCATTTTCTTTGAAAACCAGTGAGAAAAAAATCATCCCTTGTGAAAATATTGAACTGCAGCTACTTTTATATAGTCATAGTCCTTTTGGGTTGTCATTGGGGAATCTGTAGTTTTGTCAGTTTTCCTTGTTCAGCTCCTAGCCTGGGCACTGCAGTGTTGAAAGGCCATCCCCGAGGCTGATGTGACTAGTTCTCTTGGAGTTTTATGACACATAACCCTGGACCTTGTTGTTTCCTGGAGCAGAACTCAATGATGACTGAAGCCATCAGCCTGCGAAGCTGGACCTGGGTGGTGGCAGGTCTCCAAAGGCTGGGGATGTTTTCAGAGACAGGCGTTGAGATTGTGAGGTCCAGATCTTCTTTCGACGTGGAAGTTTGCTTCCATTGCCAATCTCAGGGGCTACTGCTTTGATTTTATGAAGGGAGAGACCAAGCTTCCTTTTAATTTGCAGTTGTGAAATTATAAATGCCTCCAACTGCCATGCTAGCGGTAGAGGTGTTCTCTGCTATGGAAACTTTTTCTTGCTGGCAGTGTCACAGGAGCCAACTAAAGGAGAAGCGAAACATTAATGACTGCACCACTTTGCTGGGCATGAGCTTTTTCCCTGAACTATCTCTACCCTGAGTTATTCAGAACATCCTCTGCCTCTTGTGCTGATGAGAAGGATGTGCTCAAAGGGAGATGGGTGCTGACAGCACATCAGGAATAATTCCCCTCATCCATCAAGCCTGACAACCCTTGGATTCCTTACCCTGTCAGAGCAGGGAGAGGCTTGGGCAGGATTGAATGGTCCTCACTTGTCTGGCATTTTAAACAAATCTGCATCTGATATGAAGTTAACTAGATGCAGCTGAAGTTGCTGATGGCAACAGTTTTCACTAAAGTCGGAAGCTTCTAACCTGTCCCACAGGCTGTGGAATGTCACACACTTGCATCTAAATTATGGGCATCATCTGTGCCCCGTCTGTGCTGAAAGCTCTTCATTAAGAGGGAAAGACTGGGAATCCTACACCAGGGCAAATAAAATCATGTTGTTGATCAGGTAGAACTTAATTTAGCTTCCTCTCTCAGGATCATAGACCCACTTGATCAGTTGGGAAATGTAGGATTAGATAACTTCTGCATTCTTTATTGAATATTTTCTATCATAAGTTGAAAAATTCCTAGACAATTTTTAAAAATGTTCTTAAACTGGAGAAAAATCATGCATAATATACAACCATTCTTAACATCTTTAAGCATACATTTTCTTTTTGTGCATCCTAGTAACATGTGATAGAAAATGTGTACTTTTTTATTACATCTCCTGTTTTCCCCAAGATGCCAGTCTTGGGCTCAATTTCATATCTCCTTGGTTTTCTTGCCTGTGTGATTCTAATTTCTTCCTTTGGCTTTCTCTCTAACCCCATTTTCCTTTCCTGTGGTTCATAATCTGGCAGTGGAACTCTGAGGGCTTCAATGTGGTAGCAGGTACTAACCCTTTGTCCTGGGTACCATGTCTCACATCACTCTTATCTACATTAAATTTTTAAAAAGCTTTTAATTTTTGTGGGTACATAATAGGTGCATATAGTCATGGGTACATGAGATGTTTTGATACAGACATGCAATGTGTAATAATCACATCATGGAGAAAGAGTATCCATCCCCTCAAGCATTTATCCTTCATGTTAAAAATCCAATTACACTCTTTTAGTTACTTAAAAATGTACAATTGGCCGGGTGCGGTGGCTCACGCCTGTAATCCCAGCACTTTGGGAGGCCGAGGCGGGTGGATCATGAGGTCAGGAGATCGAGACCATCCTGGCTAACAAGGTGAAACCCCGTCTCTACTAAAAATACAAAAAATTAGCCGGGCGCGGTGGCGGGCGCCTTTAGTCCCAGCTACTCGGGAGGCTGAGGCAGGAGAATGGCGTGAACCCGGGAAGCGGAGCTTGCAGTGAGCTGAGATTGCGCCACTGCAGTCCGCAGTCCGGCCTGGGCGACAGAGCGAGACTCCGTCTCAAAAAAAAAAAAAAATGTACAATTAAATTATTACGGACTGTAGTCACCCTGTTGTGCTTTCATATAGTAGGTCTTATTCATTCTTTCTATTTTTATGTGTATCCATTAACTGTTCCCACATTTGATCTCTTCCCACTCATTCCTCTAATTCTCTGTGCCCCACTTTCCCTGCATAGAGGAATTTGCATTCTCATACTCATGGGAACCGTAGGGCTAAAGGCATCCTGTCTGTTGGGCATTTCCTCCTCGCCCTCTCCCTAAACTGGATGAGGACCTGGTTCCAGAAAGAATGGGTCCCTCAGGCAGCTGCTTCCCTAAGACTGTGCCGTCTTCCACTTCCACTCCCATCAGTGCTTTTGTGTTGGCTGCATTGATATCAAAGCCGATATTCCTGGATATCTCTAGATGGCAGCATCCACCTCCCTCTGCCTTGAGGCTATGATGGAAAAGAACAGTTGACTCACTCCAAGGATAATGTTTACTGTGCCACCCTGGTCTTCACTGCACATGTTTTTCCTTGCCCTTTCTTCTATTACTACATGTGTTTGAAACTCTGCAGACAGTCTTGAGGTGGAATGTCCAATGCACTCTTTTCCCAGCTTCCGTGTCACAGTCTTCAGCTCGCCAAGTGGGAGACATGAATCTAATCATTCTGTCGTGTTCAGTCCAGCGGAATTTTGTGGGAAGAGCATTGCTTTACACCGCAGCCTGAGGTTGTTAGGTAGTTTTTTACAGGACTGCTCAGGGGGACTCGTGGATAGTGCTGCTGTCTCATGAAGGAGGTGAAGTGTTAAATGGCAGGTCCCATTCTTGTAGGCATGCCCTGTGCAGGCTGGGCAGCCCCTCTGGCTTGCGAAGCTCTGTTCTGGTTTTCTAAACAACTCAGTTTAACATTCATGTCAAATAGCCCCTATTAACTAAATTAGGTTTTTTTTTGGTTCAGAATACTTTATATTTAAAGATAATGCAGAGGTCAAATCAAGCAAGAAGAATGTTCTGTTTTTAAAAGTAGTATTGTGTGCGAATTTTAGGCTAATTATACTTTTTGTTAACCTACCTGTTCTCCCATGAAACTTTGGACTCCTTGAAGCCCAGCCAGTGTCGTGTCTCTGTGTCCTCTCCCATTGCCAGATCAGGGCCAGGGCACAAGAGAGTGCTTCAGAAACATCACTTGCGTTCACAGCATCCTTTTGCCCTGCATTTGGTAGTGCCTGATCCCGTAGCCCAGACATTTATCTCAGAATATTTAAACACACATTTTCTCTGCCTTACCTTCTGTGTTCTGGTGGAATCGTGTTCAGGTGATTTAAACAAAATCTGGAGCAGCTCAGGAGGCACCTGTGTTCTACTGGAGGCGGTGCATGTGTCCCAGACCAGCCTTTTCCCTGCCTTCGTGGAAATTAAACCCACGCAATAGAGATGAGCCAGACTCTGAATTGTAAGAAGCATTTTTGTATAGCACTTCACTGGGAGCTGAAGAGGTATTTCTTTTCTGAGGGTACTTAAAAAATGAGACCTAGAATTTCTCCTTGGATCAGAGGGATCATTCCTAACTGTTGATTACACTGTGGCTGCCTGTCAGCAGGTATACATCTCCTGCATTCTACATTTTTCTTTCTTGATGCCTTTCTCTACATAGTTTGAAACAGAACTTCCCCTCAGCCACCAAAATGTGGTGTTCAGACAGTTGGCTTTGGACTCAGAGGGAAAGGCGTATGAATTCATCTGGGAGAAAACTTAAGTGGAGCTGTTCCTTAAGGCATTTCTACAGTGATCACTAATTAGAAATGTTCTTGCCACATGTCACTTTTCTAATCAACTAGAGGAGCCTTAATGGTCACCCATGTCACCATTACAAATTCAGAACTGTATAGTTGTGATTGGCAGTTGATCAACAACAACTTGTAGTGTCCTCATTTGGGGGATAATCTTCCTGGGAGGAAGAGGTTCAGTCATCCTGTTGTCGTGTTCCTTCCTTCATCGCTGCTGATTTGCATTTTCACAGTAGCTTTTTAAATACAGGGATATATGAGAAAGGAAAAGGTAGCCCACAGGGTTGTTATTCCATTGACATTTTTATAAGAAGTGATATGTATACAATATTAGAAAATCCCAAGAATACAGAAAGGTATAAAATAAAAAAATGATTCCTTTATCTCTCTCTTCTCCCTGTGAATAATTATTGCTATTTGTTTCTTGTTCCAGAAAAAAACTACGTACAATTAAAATATATGACTTTTTGTTTGTTTTCTGAGACAGAGTCTTGCTCTGTCGCCAGGCTGGAGTGCAGTGGTGCAATATCGACTCACTGCAACCTCCAACTCCCTGGTTCAAGTGATTGTCCTGCCTCAGCTTCCCGAGTAGCTGGGATTACAGGCACGCACCACCACACCCAGGTAATTTTTGTATTTTTAGTAGAGATGGGGTATACACAGTTTGAGACTTGCTTTTGAACTTATTCTGAAGATCTCTTATGGTAGTACTTACAACTTTCCTGTGTCCTTTTTAATAGTGGCAGAGTATGTCATTGCACAGATACACCATTGTATAAATTGTCTGACCAGTCCCTGGGGGGTGGACTCTCAACAGTTTTAAAGCCTGTGAGTTCTGTGACGTCCGGTGTGAGAATGCTTGGCACACCATTACTTTTAGGTGTAAGGGGATTCGTAGTTGGTGAGGTAAGTCTTCTCCTGGTGTTTAGTCAGGATGCCTTAGAGTGTGTTGTGTTGTATTAAATGATGGATGGTGTAACAAATACCCTTGAAGTTCTCACTGGCTTAACATAAAGAGTTAGTTTCTTCCTTACCTACGGGCCATTTTTGCAGGCCCATGCTCCGTCCCACGCGGTCACTCAGGCTGATAGACGTTCTGCTATCTTTATGTCACTTCCAAGGTCCCCCTGGGTGTTGACACCCTGATTGGGATATGGGAGAAGGAGTGCATGGGAAGTGTTCATGGGCCAGATCTTGAAGAGTGGCACACATCTACCCATATTCCATTGTCTGGAACTCAGTCTGGTGACCACACCTACTGCAAGGAAGGCTGGGAAATTTATTCTAGCTGTGTCCTCAGATGAACAAGTAAGTAGCCAGTTAATATGGCCAAAAGCATGAATAGGAGTGCCACCAAAGCATCTGTTGCCCTGAGAAGTGGTGTGTCTGGGCTGCCTGCCTTCTTCTCCAGTGTAGCCAGCATTGGGCCTACTGACAACAGTTCTGGAAGGGCTGCTACCCACTCCTCTCTGCAATTCTTTCTGCCTTCCCTGCACCATCATAGGCTTTACTGACTGTCATAGGGTATTGGCCATATGTAGAGATTTTGATCCATACTTGTGGCTGAACTTGAGCAGAGAGGGGAGGTAGCAAAGTGAGATGGGAAAGTGTCTGCTGAGTCTCCAGAGGACTTCCCTGTGAAAGCAGAAGTTATGATAATGCTGCTATCACTTTGCAGAATGACCACATCCTTTCCCTCTATTCTTCTAAGTGGGGACTGTTTGCAGGAAAAACATCACTAGGGGCTTTTCAGGCAATGGCTTTCGGGAATAGAGCAGGGCCAGGCACGCACAGGAACCGGGCAGAGACTTGGAGGATCTGCCAGGCAGAAGTGGCTCATGTTGGCCTCTCCTGTGCGGCCACCTGGGCTCCCTCACAGTTGGCCTCTGAGCACTGCAGAGAGAGATGTCAGTAACGCTCTGCTGCCTCTCAGCTCTGCTGCTGAGGAATCCTAGGCTGGCTGTGGCCAGGAATAAACGGCTTATGGCCACATGTAGCTTGATTGTTTGCAAATTAGTGAAGGTAATATATTACTCTGCAACAGCACTCTGCTTTTTGTTTTTAATGACACCATTTTTGGGTAGGAGGGAAAAATAAAAAGCAGCCTATATTCATGAAAAAAATACCTAAAGGACAGACTCATCTAAACACGTTAGAACTTTAACTGAGAAAATGATCCAGGAAAGGTTGGGAAATAGGTTCTTGGTCTCTCTACCCAGCCCCCTTCTTTGCCACTTTTCTTTGTTTTTATTCAAATAAATTGGATGCATTTCCGAGCTGGGGAAAGCCTCGGAGTATTTCTGATGTCTTGATAGAACATATAATACATTCTGGGTAGGTTAACATCTGTTATCTTAAGCTTTTTAGTAGTCAGTCATGTCAAGAAAGTCTAATCTGGTGAACATCTTGATTTAGCCATCTGTTGGGTCCTAGTGCACTCACATGTAAAGGGAGCAAATGGGCAATGAAAATGAGTTTGACCTGTTACTCTCAAACGATGAAGGCATTGCACACTCTAAATAATGGTACCTGTCAGGTTTTTGGATGCTTTCCTCAGAAAAGAGAAAAGATATTTAAAAGATAGTTGCAAATGCAGTAGGGGTGGGTAGAGAACCTGGTGACTTTAGGAATCAATACTGGAATTGTGTACCTAGGCTGTAATTTATCAAAACATCTCCAAGTATTTTACAGGGGAGTACGTGAGTGCCCTAATTTTACAAATGAAGCAGTTGATGGCTGTAAACTGCTTCTTAGCCATGGTCTAGGGCTGTGTTTGGGTCGGGAGGGAGAGAACCGCAAACAACATGATGCAAGGCTGGCGCGGGCTAGTTGGATAATGGTGAAATCTTATGCATTAGAAGGCTATCGATAAGTCTCATTACCACACAGCCATTGGGTACAGAGCTGACCGCTGAGCCACACCAGACCAGGAAGTATGCCAAGGAAACAATCAATAGAAGATATATTACTGAAAATTAATATTCTGCTGCTGAATTATTTTTATCGATTTAGGGATTGTGAAAATGGCCTTAGATAGTTTTATGAACAAAAAGCCTTTGTATTTCTTGAGTAGAAGACCAAAATAACAGAGGAAATCCCATCGCTAACACAAAACCTTGAAACATGGCCCAGGAAACAGAACACTTATCGTCTGTCCTCAGGAGAGCCCCTGCCTATGTTCACTTAGAGAGGTGGGTTATCTTGCAGAGCCACACGGGTACAGCTTCATTGCCATGGTCAAATCTTGGCTCCGATAGAACCTGTGTTGAGGAAATAATCAGAAGAAACATTAATAGCGTAATCTACAAAGCGGAAAAATAGAAATGCTTGCATCGTGTGAAGTGGGTCAGACGGTTGAATTAGGGAGTTGTAGGGCTGAGGGTGAATGTGTGGATTTTGCACATTTGGTAGTAAAAGGCTGTGGTTTGCTTAGATGGACAGCTCTTCTGCATTGCCCTTGGTACGTAGTAATGCTGTGTGCTGCGGGGCGCTGTCAGTGGGTTTTGGGAGCTGGTGCTCTTGACAATGTGTTGTTACCTGCTCCTGCTCCCTTCCGTTCACATCTTCCCTATTCTCTCCTTTTCCTTCTGAAGTCACCACCTCTCTTGCAGTTTAGAAGTGTATTATTTATGGGAAATAAAAAGTTAGTGCTGATAAGAAGCAGCATCACTGGGGCTCAGTTTGCGCATCATTAAAATGGAGCATTTGAAACACATGGTTTCCAGCTCCGAAGTGGAATGTTTCTAGGATTCAGCTAAGACTGACCATTCTTATGGAAGCATTTCCTGGAAAGTGTTAATGAGAATGCTGTTGCATTCCAAGAGCTTTGAGGAAATCTAATTCCTGACAAAAAATATTCTTAGGAAATCTTGCTCAATATATAGTTATTAACTTTTTATCACTTTGTGGGGAGCTTTTCATCTCAAGACTTTTCTATTAAATTGAAAAAATTGTGTTTGGGATGCATTTTCACAAAATATGTATCGCAATTATAGAGGAATGTTCACATTTGCTGATTCTGGGTATAAGCATGTTTATTCTTCCAACTTTACTGGAGGTTTGAAAAATTTTAAACTAAAATATTGGAGAGTAAAACCAGACAAGTGTATTTTTCCCTCCTTCAAGGAAACTAAGACAAATGAAAGGAAACAGTTTATTAACTGAGTTTTCCACAGTCATACAAGAGTGTAGTGGAAGAACCAGAAAGAGATTCCAGCTGTTCAGTTGCCTTTCTTGTACTTTTCGGCCATCTCTGCTCCCTTAGGAAAGGCAGATGCAGGAGAATTTCCTCCAGGTGCAGCTTCTGAACAGAATATCTCTGAGTCTTGCAACATTGCCATGTATTTTTACTTATAAATTATCCAAATGGGAAAAGCAGAAGATTGGTACTTAAGTGTCAGTTTTATAAAACTGCTAATTACATGGCATTGAGTAGATATTTCACCTAATGAGAAGAAATAGGTGGTTTAACTCTGAACCTGGAATTTTTATTTCTGACAGCTTGAAACAGAAAAATGAGTCCATGGGAAGTAGTAGTTAGTTGTGAAAGAAGGAATGTTAGATGCAAATCTAGTAGTTTGATGGGGAGACAAAATAAGAATTGCATGCTGCACTCTTACATTGCTTTCAGAATTGTTTTGTTGGAAGGTTACTGGGAACATGAGATAGTGTGATAAGGTCTTTAATTATCCTACTTGTCTGTCATCTCTGGAAAGTCAGGAGAGAGGAGTTGAACACTTTCTGCTTCACCTGATCCGGGGGACCTGATCCGGGGGACCTGTGTGGGTTAAGAGGAGGATGGGCCTCCAGGGGCCACTTCTCAGGAGCAGACAGTGCTGTTCTGTTCCTTCTCTCTCCCCTGGGACCTTAGGGAAGGAGATATTTTTCAGTTTTGTGATGTTACCTGGCCTAGTAACAAATTATGAAATCAGAATAACCTGTTTATGATCAACATGTACTTCAAACATTTGGAAAAATAAAGAATTGCTCACTGTGCCTCCTCAGTGCTAGGGAGCTCTTGGATGCTGGGTCATCAACGTGGGAGGGAGGTGATCACTTTCATTATGGCCTCGGGCAAGCATTTTCCTGTTGTGGGGCTTTTTTTACCTTTGGCTACCTCCCTTGCGCCTAATCAAGTATGAGGAGCAGCCACAGATATGTAAAAGAGGCCAGCAGTCCCTTCTGGCTCATTCAGAGCATCACCTTCTAGAGCACCTTTGATGGGACAGGCTCCGCATTTCTCATTAGATGATCCTCTGAAATATATTTCTTCTGATCTTCATCTCCAGAGACAAGGTGAAATGCACTGATGAAGGTGGTAGTTTGTCCACTAGGTGGCACATCAGCAAATCTCCTTTGCAAGGGATGGAGGTAAAAATACTGGGGATTTTTAAAAAGATGTATCTGTCAAGCATGTGAGATAAAGGTATGCCCTACGTGCAAGGTGATTTGCTAAGTCAACTGGGGGAAGAAAACATTCTAATTCTCTCATTGTAACAAAATTGCCAGGAAGAACTTTTTAAATGCTAATAGACTTGTTGAAATTAAAAAGCTTTATGATGCATCCTAGAGATTTTTTTTTTCCCCACAAAAGTTGGGCTGCAGATCACTGCTGCAAGTAAGAGAATGCTGTTAATCTTGCTAGCATTCTGAGTATATAAAATAACGTATGGAAGATGTTTAGACATCCTAGGTTTATATATTTGAATTATGTTCTGAAAATGGTGCATACTTGAGCTAGAGGGATTCCTACCAGTAACTTTTTAAAAAATTAGTGGAACATGTTAGGTATAACTTACATTTGAAGGAATAGACTTCATGTTGCTAGAATGCATTATCAGTAATTCTTATTGCATGCACAACTAAACATAGCTAAATGAATAACTCCATGCTGAGCACATATTAGTTATGATTTTTATACCAAAATGTTTAAAAATACTTCTTTAGAAGCATATAAAGGAAGCGACATTTCTATTTCTTAATCCAAGTATCCCTTCTGAAAACTGAGCAGTAAAATTAGTAACATATTCCCCCCTTATCTGAGGCTTGACTTTCTGTGGTTTAAATGGGTGAATACAGTACAGTATTTTGACAGATTACATTCACATGACTTTTATTACAGCATAGTTATAATTGTGCTATTTTATTCTTGTTAATCTCTTACTGTACCTAATTTATAAACTTTATCATACGTATGTATATATTTTAATAGAAAAAAAACAGTATATATGGGGCTTGGTACTATCTGTGGTTTCGGGCATTCACCAGGCATCCTGGAACTTATCCCTGGAGTGTAAGGGGAGACTGCTTTCCTTGTATTTCAGAAGACAAATAACGTTTTTAAAAAATTCTTCTTTCTGGTAAAGCATTCAGATTTTATTTTATTTTTCCCCCTAAAGAAACTGGTATTATTTATGATGGCTTAGGGTATTGCTTTACAAATAAGAATCAGATTTAATTTATTAGGTTTGTCTGTAGGTAAAACAGGATACATACATCCTTTTGAATCCAGTTTTCTTTAGAGGACAGTTGAAGTGTACAATTAACAGGCTCCTCACAAACGTCCTTACCTGCTGTCCCAGAGGAGAGTGGTGACAGGTTTTCAGGGTTGTCAGGTAAAGTATGGAATCATCACCAGGGTTCAGGTGGCATTAGAGAAACCTCAAGGAGGAAAAGGAGGAGGAACCTGTTAGCTTTTAATAATTGAGTCATGTAATGTCTTCAGTAAAGCCAGGATAGACAGGACTTATCCAGTTCACTGAACTTCAATTTTAGAGGAAGATTGAGGAAAAGTGCCCTGCCATTCCATGCAAATGCTAGTCTTTGGTGAAAAGAGATTAAAAATATTATCTTATGGCATGCTTGTCTAACCCGCAGCCCAGGACAGCTTTGAATGCAGCCTAACACAAATTTGTAAACTTTCTTGAAACATTATGAGATTTTTTTTTGTGATTCTTTTTTTTTTAAGCTCATCAGCTATTGTTAGTGTTCATGTATTTTTTGTGTGGTCCAAGACAATTCTTCTTCCGATGTGGCTTAGGGAAGCCAAAAGACTGGGCACCCCTGTTCACGGCCACAGGAATCAGTGCTTCCTTTCCCTCTGTTTCTAATCAATCACCTCTCTCATCCCCTCACCTTTCCTCAAGTTTTATAATCATTTATGATAAATATTACAGGAACATAGTAGGAAAGTCTTTTAGGTATTTGAGCTGTTTTATGTAAGAGTGTAGTAAGCAGAAGGAAATTATACTCTGCGAACCTGGAAAGAGAAAGGGACAGAATTTGTGGGGTCTGGTTTTGTAGATCTGTACAGGTATCAAAGTCCAGGATGGTTTGAGGTTGGAGAGAATGGCTGCCTTTAGGAGCCAGGCCCACTGTACCCCGGCTGCCATCACACTGCATTTTCAGCTCCATTACCCATGTTTGCCTTTGCACATGCGGCTCTCTGGGCTTGGCATTCTTCCCCCAGCTCCCCATCCATCCTCTACCCCACTTAGAATTTCTGCTTCCATTAGACTTGGGATTTCTAAACTTGTCTGCACTTTGGGATCACCTGGGGTGACTTCAGAAACTACTTACTTCCAGAGATTGTGATTTAATTGGCCTGTTTGTGGCCTTAGTTTTTTTGAAATTTATAAAAGACCCTCCAGTGATTCTAATGTGCAGATAAATTTGAGAACTACTGTTTTGGACTCTGTTCACCTCGTCTCTCAAACCTACCCTTACCCTCTACCCACCCTTCTGAGTTATTCCCTTCCTCGGTGCTTCTGCCCCACCAGCACCTGGAGTATCTTGTCCTGGGTCTCCACTTATCTCCTTGTATTTTATTTGTTTATCCATGTGTCTTGCGACCCCATGACTGCATTCTGGTGGGACTGAGCCTTTTTCCTCTGTCTATTCTTAACATCCATCATAATGCCTGATTCATAGTAGATATTTAGTGATTGGCTTTTGAATCAAGGGGATAAAACAAAATAGTAATACAATGATTTAAACAAATCGATTCATGTACTTCTGACTCAGGGCATTTTTATTGCCCAGGTAGATAGTTCTCCTTTACTTGAAAAACCATTGACTCCCTAATCTCCTGTCATTGCTTAAAGCAATGATAAGTATATAAAATTAAAGAAGAATATGTTCTGTTGTGTGGTATTAGCTTGAGTCACAAAAGCCAGCTTTAGATAAGGGGACAAAGAGGGCTAAGCCTATGTTCAATAAAGCTCAAGGAAGTGAGAGTAAAGTGCTGTCAATTTCTAACAAAATAATTCCCCATTGCCTTACTTAAAGAATATTAATTTATCTAATTGATGATAATCTGGTCAATTTATTATAGCATTAAAAATGCAAATCAGTTAATATACCAAAATATTCATTGTCGTGCCTGAGAATTTTTAAATTTTATTTTATTTTATTAGGTGATAATGGGAGGCATAATTGTGAATGTTTGATTCTGGCAAAATACAATTAGTTTCTGTGAAACACATTGTGCATTAATGATATCATTAAGATTAATGAATATAAATGAATGAGCTGGGGATTTCAAACAGAACAGAGGGACTTTATATCAGTGTATAAAACTTGAGATAGATTGTCTTGATTTTTAAGGATAATGTGCTAGAGCCCCTATTAAATTCTTATATAAGCTAGAGAGAAAATAAATCCAAGAAGTTAAATCAACTTCCAGAAGGATCAAACTTCTTAAACGTCTACTGTCATTTTTTGGAAGAGTGCTGTAAATGGATTTTGGTAAAAGAAAGCCATCCTTAAATTTTACTTTAAGAGCTATTTTAAAGACAACATTTAATAGTAGTTTCCAGGTCCTGTATACATAAGAGTGCATGTACATTTTGGTTATAAATCATTGCTCATTTAAATTAGATATGACTTTAGGGTGTTCTTGTATCTTCCAGATGTTCTACCATAGACATCTATTACTTTTATAATTTTAAAATGTTATTAAGAAAACTAGGCATACGTTTGCTTTTCTTGAACTAAGAGACGGAGAAAGGCAAAAGAGAGAGCAGCTGCTCATCAGAGTCTTAGGGAAGAGCCATGGACTCAATGTATACCTTGACCCCAAGAATCACATGGTATTTTGAGTATTGATGCTTGACTCTGTGGTTTTGTAGTATAAAGAGAAATTTTGCCACTAAAAATAAAAAAAAAAACAGAACAGATTTCACTATGGTCTGTGCCCTTGTAGTTTAAACATTGTAATTTCCACATCCTCTTGCTCAACTAGATAAATACAAATACTGTGTCCTCAGGTGATACTTAATGTGACTTCTTCCTATGTATATCTCCTTGGTCTGATCTTCACTTAATGCTTCTGTTTCTCCCACTATATGCATATGTATGTGTGGGTACGTGCACATTTGGTTTTTTATTTGTTTGTGTGTCTATCTGAAAGTTCTGCAGGGCAGCGCTTGCCCTTGGATTGCTGCTGCAGTGGTGATGAGAAGGATGAGGAAAGTGCAGGAAAAAGGGGAGGTGTTCAGGAACATGGCGGCCACCTGGGCCCTTCGTTCTGGCATACAAAGCCTGAATTCTCTTGTTAGCTCTGCCTTTTTTACTATTTTCATGACCTTGGGCTCTTCTTGGAACCTCATTGTCTCACTTTCCTCATTGGTAAATTGGACCGGTCTCTTTTCTTTCTACTTCTCAAGAAACTGATGAGGATTAATGAGATAGAATCTGGAGCCCGTTTTGTGTTAAAAAGAGTTAAGGGATGCTAGAAGACGGAGTTAATGTCATAGAGAAGGGGAACACACATTGCTTACCGTGTGATGTGATAGAGTCTCAGGGAGCACTTCTCTTTCAACTGTTAACTGTTAACTAGTTGGCAGGTGGCAGCCTCATTTCTATTTGTGTCTGAAGTGGATGACATGTTAGTGCAGGATGATAGGAAGTCAAACCAAATGCAGGGACTGGTGGAATGACGAGCAAGATTCATGGGGGAACATCTAGCCTTCTGCATTGCTACCTGAAAGAAACTTAGCTATTTAAAAAAAATAATTTATATATACCTCTCAAACCTATTTGGCTGCTCAATATTGGTGAAAGTCACCAGAAGTGCTTGGCTATGTGTGTGTAATGCAAACAAGATCAGAGTGAAGCTTGTGGTCAAAATCTCAGAATTCATTTAACGTAATGCCTCTAGGTAGACTAAGGCTGAAGACATGATCTTAAACTTAGGGTTTAAAATAGTCAGCTTGCACAGGCGCTTCAGATCTGTGTTGTAATGCCTGTCAATATAAAGACACAGGTGTAAGAAAGAATGCTTGATTAATTCACATGAGGGATTCCATACTAATTTTAGTTAACATGTATGTCTTTGGTCAATCATATTTTAAATTCCAGGGTGACCAGCTTGGTTTTTCTCCTTAGAAAATTTTCCAGAGTTTTTTCCATTTTGTGTTTACATTTTTTGTTTTTTTGGGGGGGAAGTTTGGCTAGGCAACAGTGCATTTAACCTAGAACTTAGCTTCTCCTCACTGTGGGATTTTTTTTTTTTTTTTCCAACAGGGTCTCACTCTGTCCCCAAGGCTGGAGTGCACTGGTGCAATCTCAGCTCACTGCTGCTTAGATCTCCCAGGCTCAATTGATCCTCCCACCTCAGCCTCCCAAGTAGCTGGGACTACAGGCACACAGCACCATACCCAGCTAATTTTTGTGGGGTTTTTTCTTTTAATTTTTTTTTTTTTTTTGTAGAGATGGGGTTTCAAACTTCTTAAACATTACAAACTATGTTGCCCAGGCCTGTCTCGAACTCCTGGGCTAAAGCAATCCACCTGCCTCAGCCCCTCAAAGTGCTGGGATTATAGGTGTGCATCACTGCACTCAGCCACTATGGGATTTTTAAATACATGTATAGCCTGAATGTGCTTTTCTAATCTCTGATGTAGTAGCTATACTTGGAATATAGAGTACAAAATTAAAAAAATAATAATTTTCCTTGATCTTTTATCTCTAGGTATATCTTTTCACTTTAGGGATAATTGTAGGAATCTGTGTTTCAGAAGCTCATAAAATACTTAGATGATGCCAGTAGTATTATCTTCAGTAAATATACATGTTAACATATGAGTTTCTAAAGCTTTTCAATTGATAGGTATCATACAATGACAATACTGCCAACATCACTTCACTCATCTATTCTCTTCTTAATCTATGTATTAATATGACATATGGGACTTTGCTAAATATTAGTTCATGGTCCCAGCGTTAGCTGTGCATCATTTAGACATGAAGGGACATAATTGAAAAAATATATATTGGAGCTATTTCCAATTGTCAGATCTTCATAAACACTCTCATATGAAAAAAATGAAGTTCTATTACCCAGTTTTATTAGAAATGCTATATTTTGTTGGATTCGTGTGTTTGCAAAGTAGAGAATATTTTCCTGCTGTGATTGATGTTAGGGCATTTATGAGGATAGTCTGCTATATTTCATATGTATATAAGGGTGTCATTGTTAAAATGTTCAAAAGAAAATTATGTATGTGATTTATATTTTATTATTTCCTCCTAGGATGTAATTTTTTCAATACCATGATTCCTGTCATATTGTCAGTAGTGATTTGATGGCTAATATGCCAGAAATAATAAGAGAAAAAAAAAGATGATGCAAACGTCAAGGCAATATAGCTTTCTTGTGAAAAGCCTTAAGCAAAATCATGCATGTTACGTTGTAGAAATCACCAATCGCATACATTTAAGAAGTCTTCAGGATTGCAAGTGGGAAGGAAAACTGAACACAGGAAACATGGGATGCGGCATATTTCATAGGCATATGCTTGCTACTGATCCCACCTGCAATTTTTGCTAAATGAAATGTGTTTTAGAAAATGCTACTCTGGATAAATTCAGACTTTGGTGTATTATCAGTGGGAAGGTGTTAGACCCTCTCTTTTATTTGGAGTGGGAAAAATTCCTACTTTCCCTGGAAGGCAGACTGCCGCTTGTTTTAGTCTTTCTGACAGGTTTAAAGTCTGTTTTATTTGGTGAGAAAAAGACATATACAGTACATGTCTGCTGTTTCTTTACCTTTGTTAACTTTAGAGGTTAGAACTTTATTTTAAAATTTCAAATGACTATTTTAAAATATAGGGAAAGAAAATCTGTGGTTTTGGTATTTGTTCCTGAGTGTAATATCTCCTGGTACTTTAAATATTGTGGAACCTGTTTCCAGGTGTCATTTTACTTTTGAGTTTTGATGACACTGGTAATTAATATCTGGTTCATTTGTATGTTACTTTAATGAATAGTAAATATTCCTAAAGAGTAGCCATTAATAACAGCAGGCGGTAGTATTGTAATATTATGGCATTAATTTTATATGGTAATAAAGATTCATGTCAACCTCAGTTAAGGATTTAACCTGTTCTCAGAGTGAACATTAATGCTGTAGTGTGTGTTTTAGGCATGTGAGGCTCAGCTCATCACTGGTTTCTGAGCTTTGCTGTCTGACTTGGGTGTTGAGGAGGGGCTGCTGGGAAACCTCGGTGCCCTCCTCAGCCTTGAGCATGTTCAGGGCAGGATCCTTGAAGCCAGGAAGGTAGCTGAGCAGCTGTGTGAAGCAGATGCTTGGTGAGATGGTAATGGCCTGGAGGAAGATGGGGAGGGTTGGGAGACAGGACTGTGGGTTCAGTAGGGAGGGACCAGGTGTCCCCAGTGAGGGGCATGGGCTGCCCTTACCTTGAGGGCAGTGAGACCAGTTTCTCAATTTCCCAGAAGGTTGCCTCTTCTTCACTTCCCCAGCTTCCTGATGATAAGCCCATAATATTTTCATTTTACAAATGAGAAACCAGAGCTCAAGGAAGTTCAGGGACTTGCCCGGCCTGCCGAGTTTCTCTTTGGCAAAGCCTGCATGGGGACTGGCTCTCAGCACCTGGTACTTCTAAGTACACTGGGGAGGCATGGCTTCCAGGAAATCAAGGCAGATGTCAGAGTTGGGGTTTTTCCTCCTTTCTTCCCAGAACTGCTCAGAACAGAGTGAGCAGCCTTGCCCTGAGTCATTTCACCTAAAAGGAAAGAGAATTAAGGAGTTGCCTTCAATGGTAAGTTCCAGAAAAAGCATCAGACTAGAAAATGAAGAGCTGCCAGAACCCCCGCAAGTTAGCAGGGATGTGTATTATGCCTGGCATGGCAATGGAAAGGGTGCTCTTGGTTTTGTGGAATCCACTTGATTGTAAATAAATGTGTTATATTTAGGACTGTATAATTTTGAAGTCAGAAGGATGAAGAGTTGTTCAAACTCAGAGTGGAGGCCCAGAGACATTTAAGAGGAAAGTAGAAAGAAGCCTGTTTCTGACCAGCCCTCTTCCTCCACCCCTCCTGCCCAGGGGGGTATCTCTAGTTTCCCCTCTAAAGTAGCTGGGGCCCTGCTGCGTTTCTCTCTTATAGGCACATGGCTCAGAGAATTGGGGATTCAGAATGTTCTTTCTGGTGTTCTGACCATTGACAACTTATGATATGCTCATTTTTCCTTAGGAGCTAAAGGATCTGACACCTTTCACATTATGAATTCACTTTGAAAGCACTGTTTCCTTCTTTGTTTAAACTCCAAGAGGCAGTAGAGCATGGTGTTAGGAGCCCAAACTCTGGAGTCAACCTGACCAAGGTTGGTATCTTATCCCAGCTGATATGGTTTGGCTTGGTGTCCCCAGCCAAATCTCATCTTGAATTATAATCTTCATAATCCCCATGTGTCAAGGGAGAGATCAGATAGAGGTAACTGGATCATGGGGGCAGTTTCCCCCATGCTGTTCTCATGGTAGTGAGTGAGTTCTCATGAGATCTGGTGGTTTTATAAGGGGCTCTTCCCTTCTCACTTGACACTTCTCCTTCCTGCCATGTCGTGAAGAAGGTGGCTTGCTTCCCCTTTACCTTCTGCCGTGATTGTAAGTTTCCTGAGGCCTCCCCAGCCATGCTGAACTGTGAGTCAATTAAACCTGTTTCCTTTATAAATTTTCCAGTCTCAGGCAGTTCTTTTAGGTATTATGAAAATGGACTAATACACTACTTCTACCTTGGCTTGGCTGTGGAATCTAAGGGAGTTATTTAACTTCTCTGAGTGTTGATTCCTCATCTGTGAAATGGGGATTATAATGGTTCTTCACTTATGTGGTGAGGATTTGATGAGATGATACATATAAAGTACTTACAGCAATGACCGGCACGTAATGTGATCAACAAATGTTGGCCTTTGTTTTGTTTTGAGACTGAGTCTTGCTGTGTTGCTCGGGCAGGAGTGCAGTGGCGCGATCTCGGCTCACTGCAACCTCCACCTCCTGGGTTCAAGAGATTCTCATGCCTCAGCCTCCTGAGTAGCTGGGATTACAGGTGTGTGTGCTGCCACATCCCACTAATTTTTATATGTTTAGTAGAGATGGGGTTTCACCATGTTGGTCTCCAACCAACATGTTCGGCTGGTCTCGAACTCCTGACCTCAGGTGATCCACCTGCCTCAGCCTCTGAAAGTGTTGGGATTACAGGTGTGAACCATGGTGCCCGGCCGGCCATTGTTATTAATATTTAGAAGTGAAACATGTGGGAAAATAAAGTACAAAAATTAAGAAGGAATTTAAATGTAGACACTAATCTCACAGCTGTGTTGCTCTTTGGCATTCAAGATATGATTATAATCACAATAATGGATGTATGTATTTTCATGAATCATCTGTTTCTCCTTTGTAATCTTTTATGAGCTAATACAACATATTCATTGGCCACTGGCAGCTATCTATGAATGGAAAGAAGTAATCAGTGAATGAATGGAGATATTCATCCACTTGGCCATATTGACTTACCTCTGAATGAACATTTAGAGAGACATATGAACCCTTGGTCTGTTGTCTACAAGTAACCAACGGAATATTTACTTTATGGCTGTCTACCTTGTTGAGAAGTAGTGATCACGGTCACACTTAACGCAAGAAGATGTTTAGGAGAGATCCCACCCCAGATTGTACTGATGGTATTGGAAATCACATTCCTAGCACACCAAGAACTCTGACTGGTGGGACGAGGGGCAGGGCAACACAGTGGTACTCCTCTCTGTCACACTCCTCTGTCACTCTTCCTTCTGGCTAGTGTGGCGGGAGAAACAACTTTACCAGAGGACAATCCTCTCCACTGCCCTCCGACTTCAGCTCCCATCGCTTTTGGATAGGCAGTTCAGCGAGAGCTGCTGGATGGGGCTGGATTAGGCCAGTGGAATGGAGTGGGAACTCCTCAAATGTTCCTCACAGCAGTTCCTCGATGAACATTTCAGTTACTGAAGAATGGGTAACATCGGAAGATTTGCTTACTTTGGGGTAACCAACACAGAACTAGTGAAGAGAGGTAACTTATTTCTAAGTACAGTCATGCGTCACTTAACAAGGACATGTTCTGAGAAATGTGTTGCTAGGTGATTTCATTGTTGTGTGAACATCATTGAGTGTACTTACACAAACCTAGATGGTATAGCCTATTGCTCCTAGTCTACAAACCTGTACAGCATGTTATTGTACTGAATACGTAGTCATTTGCAACACAATGGCAAGTATTTGTGTATCTAAACATAGAAAACATACCTGAAAAATACAATATAAAAGATATTTTATATCTGTATAGGGCACATATGAATGGAGCTTGCAGGATTGGAAGTTGCTGTGGGTGAGTCAATGAGTGAGTGGTGAGTGAATGTGAAGGCCTCCTACATTACAGTGCACTACTGTAGACTTTACAAATAATGTACACTTAGGCTACACTGAATTTATAAACAATATTTTTCTTTATTCAGTGATAAATTAACCTTAGCTTACTGTAACCTTTTTACTTTATAGACTTTTTAATTTTAAAAACTTTTAAATTCTTTCGCAATATCACTTAGCTTAAAACATGCATTATGTGGCTGTAGCAAAATATTGTTTTCTTTAAGCTTTTTTCTATTTAGAAATGTATTTTTTAACTTTTTAACCTTTTTTGTTAAAAACTAAGACACACACACACACACACACACACACACACACACACACACACACACACACACAGGCCTAGTCCTACACAGAGTCAGGATCATCAAGGTGTCATTAGGCAAAAGGATGTCTTCAGCGCTATTACGATCTTATGGGACCACCATCATATATGTGTCCCATCATTGGCTGAAATGTCAGTATGTAGCACATGACTGCATGTGAAAAATATCTGGCCGTGTAAATCAGAGGGGAACCCATATCCTTGTACCAAACATCACCATGGACAATATTACAAAATCTCAATATACGCTTTTTTGAAATGTGTTCAACCAAACGTTTTCTTTCCCCCTTGTTTTTCTCAGTTGGTATTTGGAATTGTTTTTGTTTCTGTAAACCATTTAATTGCAATAATTCTTAAAATTTAAATTTGACCTTTATTACAGTGACCATGGATTTTGAGTATTCCAGGAAGTAAATTATGCCTATAATAGAGTGGGCATGTGGCGTATCCATACAGGTAATTTTTTTTAATGAAATACTGCAAAGCCCCTGGCTTTAGATTACAATTAATGACAAAGCCTACCAGATTTTATGATTTGAATACACATGTAAAAGCAATACATATTGAGGCTGGTACTTTGTGAATTGACTCACAATATTGTGAATATATTCCATGGAGGTATAAAATCACAGGAAAAATGAGTTTATTAATGGAAATTAGGCTAGATCCTGATTATTACCTGTGAATAGTGTCATCATTTGAAGTTTTTATTGCATTTTAACACATGGCTTATCTTGATGAGAAAATATATAGCAAAGGGTAAACGTAGCAATTTTCCTTTTACTATTCCCTCCGCTAAGCCATTATTGCTTGATGTTATTTTTCAGCAGCCTTTCATTTTTGTCCCAAATGTTTTTGCCTCTGGCTGGTTTTATTTCTTTAAAATGTATGTGTATCACTTCTCAAAATGATACATTTTGACAGGTAATCGATATTTTTTCATACTAGATTTGATGGTATGATGGTCATAATCCTCATTTTAGACTTAGTTAATGGTGGAACACTCACTTAGATTTTATCTCAAAATATTCCTTTGTTAAGAAACATACTTTTCGTCCTTAGCCAGATTCCTATTTATCACTCCCACCACCTCCCAAACACCTCGAGCTGCAGAGTGCCTAAGATGCATGCACGTCAGCTGACATTTTGACAGTGTGTCCTCGAAATGTCTTCTGATAGTACTTCCAACTAGCTTACACGATTGGTCACAGAAAAGATACTTCTGGGCTCTCTACCTGTTTTGTTTTGTTCTCCTGATGACCCGATTTGTGTTTCAAGGGGAAAACTGGTTTGTCCTCCCACCACCCCCCCCAATCCCCCGTCTCTTTCTCTGTAGTGGGAATTTGTTGCCCTCCTCTAGACCCTAGTTTTTCTAGAAGGACCAGCACAATGAAGATTGTAGTCCTCAGAGTAGAAGTGTATATGAGTACACCATGCTTGGCTTTTGCTTTTAAAAATTGAGCTTCTTGGGTCAAGATTTTTTCCAAAATCTGTCAGGACTTCCTTTTGCCTCTGTGGGCAGATAGCAATGACACTGTAAGCTGGTAAATATATTCGGAGCTGCTGCCAAGGCTTTGTCTAAAACAACTCTTGACATTCAGGGAACTTTCTGTGCTCCTCTCTCAGGAGGGTGACTTGAGATAGAAAGCAGGCAACAATTGTCGTTCCCTTCGTTTTCACTGAAGAGCCAGATTTTCTCTTTGCAGGAACAGATTAAAGTGCAGGTGAGCCTGTGAAGGTTGGGGGTCTGTTCTCCACCAGCATTACAGATTGCCAAAAGATAGAACAAGGCTGGCCCTTTCTCCTCTCTTAAGTGGCTTTTGTTTCTTTTATTTTTGTCCTTTGATTTAAACAAAAAACGTAGTTTTAAAAATCTTTTTTAAAAATTCATTTGTGCTAGAATTCGTTGATACACTTTGACTTGAAGAATGACCAGTTTTTGTGCTGTATTTTGCTTTAGAGATGATATTACTCCTCCACATATAAGCGAGAGCTAAAAACTCTCTGGGGTTTTCTTCCTTAAGTGGTATCAAATCAACATGCCTAAGTGGAAAAACACCCTGACACCCTTCTCTGCTGGGGTGGCATTTCTTGACAGGCTCCTCTTTGTATGTCTGGAGATATATGCAAAGACCGTTTGGGAACATAAAATGCAATCAATTTTCCTCAGTGGTTAGATTCATAAATCCCTGAGCTATTTTTAATGACATAATCTAATCAATTGAGAGCAAGCGTATTAGTGTGTTGACAGACAGAAAGAGATGGAAAACCAGTGGAATAGCAGGTGAATGGGTAGGGAACCACTAGACACTTCCTTCCCCTCTCCCACATTTAAACATCACTAGATAACTGGGTTAAGTAAAATCCAGGAGTTAGTGATTTAAAAAAATGTTTATACCTGTCTTCCTAACTTTCAAGAAAAATAATTATTCTAATGGATAGAGTGAAAGAGGTCGTTCTTAGACAAAGTACAGTTGGTCCTTGTATCTCTCTCAGGATCAAACTATTCTCTCAATTTAAATATCTTTAGAATAGACACCAAGGAGGAATAATTTATTATGAATTGGTAGTGTCGTATGTTGTTACTCCTGTGCCATGCCAGTAATGAAAACTTAATATTCATCTCTTGGTTGCTTTCAATTGAGATAAGATGAGGATGAACGGAGTAAACAAGCTGAGACAGACTGTGAAATTGCACGATGGGAATTTTTTCTTTAGCTGCTTATACACTATACATAGGTTAAATATTCCAACTAATGATGGCTCTTAGAATCCCCTCCACCCAACCTTTTTACATTTTGGTCAGGTATCAGCAGAACTAAGTTATTATCATGAGGGAAATTAAACTGTTTCTGTCTTTGAGCTAGTAGGAACTGAAGGGCAGGTATTTATGTAAATGAATGGGCTTTCATGCTGGGAGGTGTAAAGGGTTTGGTGGCTGGAGAGCAGCTGCCCTGAGCCCTCCGTTTTCAGGTTTGCAGGCAGCATGTGTGTTCTGCTACATTTTTGTTTTCTTTGATGCCTTTGGAAGAGATGAGCGCCAGGCATAGTGGTGCTGCTTGGCTGACCAGCTGTGCCCTAGTTTTTCACCATCCCAGTCAGCGGCTGCCTTTTACAGAGGTGTCTGTCACCGCTGATTTACTTAGCCACTGTGACCTTATAGTTGCTTCAGATGGGGCTTGACCCAAAGCTACTGCCGAAAGCCATTTAGTGGTCTCCTGAAATGCCACAGCCAGCATTCTGAAGAAGAGAAAACAAGGATCTCACGATTTCCTGTCTAATAGCAAGAGCCTCCTCCACCTGGATAAATGCATTAGGTGTCTGAGCCCACTTGCTGCTCTCTCCCACCGAACTGCAAGCATCCGTGATCTCCGAAGTTGCTGGAGTGAATAACTAAGCTGGACCAGCTGACTCCGGGCTCCAATCAGCTAGAGCGTGATGTAAGTGTTTAGCAGCTGCCGGGCTCTGAATTAGCGTGCTGAAGTAGAGGTAGTACAGCATGGCTAGACTGTTGTGAGAGGCTCAGAGAAAGCAGAGGGTGAGATGGATGAGTCCAGCATTCTAAGACGAAGAGGGCTCCAGGTAGGAGACTGCTCCATTCTTGACATGTAGCATTGTCAGTGGCCAGCCATTGAGGATTTCAAAGTTCCCTTGTCATTCCTTTACTGGGCACGAATATGTGCATAATTCTTAGTATCTACATGGCAACGCTATACGGAGTTTCTGGTTACAGGTATGACACATCACAGGGTTCAGTGAGGAAGCTGCTTTTGTCAGAGACAATAGATATGACTTTTAGTTTGACACTTTGGTGGTTTGTTTTTCTACTGGTTATTCAAGAATAGTTAAATTGTGGCTGGCAGTGACAGCTGATGCACTGATCTGGCATGCCGTCAAGTGTCTGGGAAGTCTGTCGAGGGGTAGCAACTCCTTTCAATTCTGGGAACGCAGGACTCAGTTTTGTGTCGGGATCAACCTCCGCTCGGCGGCATCTGTCTGATCGCCTTGCAGTTGTGTGCAGCTGCTGGGAATTTTCCCCGTCAGTGAAATGAAAGTTTTTGCTGGCAGCTCAAAGTTTGCTGTAATTTGTTTATGTTGAGATGAGAAAAGATATGTAACTCACTGCCTTGCTTTTTTGTACCCAAGTTTCTCTGATGAAATTACTCTGACTTTATTGTACAAATACATTCTGAGTTAAAACTTGGCAAATCAGAAAACTTGGAAAAAACAACAACAACAAAACATCTGCTTGGCAGTTTATAAGTTTAAGGAAGCCAGAACATAAGTATGTTCAACATTAGTATGGTTAACTCCTGCATAACTCTTTGTCCTGTATATAAGTGATATTTTTCTTTGTGAAAGAATCTAATCATTAGCCATTGTTAAACTCTTATATATTATTTTGATATTAAAAAAAATGCTTGGAATACAGAATATACAGCACATTTAGAAATGTTTCCTTAATATTAAGTCTTTGAATTTCAGCTGGTCTAGCTGTCTGCTTTTTGTTCTAAGTATCAATTATTAATACTAATATTCATATTACTATAATATTAATATAGGCAACGAAAGGATTATTTGCAGCTAAACAAAAGAGGGATTAGAGAAGTTGGGGTTACATACCATCTATTGTTCAAACCTAAGTAAACAGACTACCTCCTTAATGAATTTCAGTGTGGTCATTGTTTTTGAATGCACAGTGTGGTTAGTCACTGCTGTGGATTTCCTTTTCTTTGTTTTCATCACCTCTATAAAGTTCTGGTAATGCACAGCTGTTTGTGTCCACGTCCTCTTTGGGGTCAGTTGTTAAATATGGAAAGGCTCTTTGTTAAAAAGATGATTAACTCTGTTAAACTCTGAATAGTTCAGATTATTAGTGACTGGATAGTAATTCTTCTGTGAGTTTTCTCTTTCCTTTAATTCATTTTAAATGATCTGAAAATGTTTTTCAGAAGAAATTCCTTTTTTAAGTTTTTGTTATTTCTGTAATATGTCTGTTATCACAACTTCAGAGGAGATAGTTGAAGCATATAGTGCTTGTGAGGGGCATGGTTTTCATGGGCCTTTAATTTTAGAAATAAAGGAATCATTATTTTTCATTAATTAAAATAATGGAGCTATTTTCTATTTAAAATATTTGCTACAAAACAAAGGAATACTTGCTAATATATTATTAGAGTGCTAGGTTTTTATTGTACTTAATATACTTTTTCTACACCTGCCGTCCTCTGTATAATGGATAAGGAATATTTTCTCTTCTGGATGAGATAAGTCTTCATGCTGTGAAAAATAACAACATAAAAGTGCTTGAAAGTTCTGCCACTTCATGGTTACAACTTTACTGTGGCTTAATACAAAACCTATTTTGCTTTTACTCCCATTGCATCTAACATTTAAAGAAAGACATTACATAGAGTAGCTGTTTTTAGAAATTCCACTGTAGGGAAACTATTTACAGAATACACACTTTATGTATTTGTATTACCACACATGTCACTGTAGAGTTCATAAGAGTAACGCCACCTAGTGAATTTAAGAATAAAATTAATTTACAAATATAGATAGCTATGTGGAACATTTGAACCTGCCAATGAGGTATACCTGTGTTAGTAAAGCTAGGCTGAAACCTGCATATCTCTATTCCTGGCTCCAATCCTGTGTTGTGAGGTAATCCTGACACACCCTCTTGGTGTCTGTGTATTATTCTGTAAAATGCATACTGTAATATATGACTTTTGAGTGTACTAAATAAGTAGATGGGTAGAGTTGAGTTCTTTAAAGTTAAGGGTCATATAATAAATGTACTAGCATCTAGGAGGAACCCAATAAATATTGTTGAAAACCAAGGGATGATTTCTATTCTCTATAACATTCCATATCATTGCTTATGAAATGAACTTGTTGTATTTATACACCATGTTTGTTGTCTGAATTTGTCCTTAAGTTAGAACAGTTATCAGTAAACCTAGTAAACATTTATTTACAGGGATCATTATGACAGGCTAATATAGGGGAGTTTACATTATTTTTAAAAGCATCTGTGCATTGAATAGATACATAGTATGTGAGACAAACCAGCTCTTTAACTTAAAGCCCAGTGTCAAAAATCTGGAGTATACACTATTCTAATTCTCAAATCTAATTTTACAATAATGTATTATGTGTTTAGTATAAAATGATGCAGTATGTATTTAGGACCAATTTTAAAAAGTTCAGTACCTCTAGTTTTTAAAACACGAGACTATTAGTGGTGTTTTTAAAATTTGGACTTTGAAAAATTATTTTCAGTCAGAACATATAATTTCTCAAATCATGACAAGCTCATAAAATGGCAGCACAACTGAGTTGTTCATCTTAAGTGACTGCACTTTTCCATCTTTTCTATGGACTGTATTCATATTTCCAGTACTACTGATAGCACTTCAATCACTGCCTTTGAAATGAGAATGAGAGAAAGCAGCCCCAGTGGTTTCTAGTGTTAGAATCTAGAAAACTTTTCAGATTGCATCTCAAAACATAGGAAATTCTGATGGATGGATGGGCTTGGGCCGACCTTGTACTTTGGGCAATTTGAATTTCTAGACAGGTCTAATTCATCAAGGGATAACTGGTTCCTTTTGGGCCTAATATTCCTCATACGTGGATCATATTTTTTAACTGTCAGGGAAATTAATTGTTTCAGTGATTTCTGTTATATGTTTCTCTTTATTTGTTTTAATGAAAGTATCCCTATCCCTAATGTGATAGATCCTAAGGCTGGAGAACAATGAACAATAGGCATCGTAAGGCAGGCATGACTTACTAAAAGAGAGGGGCATCCCAGAGCGGCTGACGATGCCTTTCCTGCCATCCTCTGGTGCTTTGCTCTGCCTGGCATCATCTTCTCATGATCACCTCCCCACACACGCCCCCCAATTAAATATTACCATTTCCATCCACTTCCAGACTCTCACGTGCAGCTAGAATGTGAAAAAATGTTTTCCCCAAATTTCCTCTATGATGCAGTTAAACATCAACGAAAAGCAATGAAATGTTTATTGTTTAGACTTCTAGATCTGTGAGTGTGTTTAGGTTTTTTTTTGTTTGGTTTGCTTCTCTTTCTTCTAAACCCGACTGCACACCCCCCACCCCTGTCCCCTGCCCTTCCCACCTTATTTAAAACAACAACAAAAAGATAACATTCTTACGCTGGCCTAGGCTCTGATTTTCCGCTGGCCTTGGTCTAGAATTCAATTTTAGGAAGCAAAATAGCAGATAGATTCTTATGTTCTAACTGAGCATCAATCTGCCTCTGTCTCATGGTGCATGAATGTATATTCAAGTCACAATGTCTCAATGTTTCTTCTGTCTCAACCTTAATATAATTATGGGTATGTTTACACTTTACCTGAAATTCAATAGTAGGATCATTACATGGGAGTATTACTCTGTCTATATTCATTTGAAGACTCTGACTGGCTATAGGGAAGAAGTCTAGTTGGAAGATTATAATAGAAACATTTATGATAATATTAATTCATCTTTGGGATAAAGCACTTTTGTTCTTCAGCAATTCCAGAAAGACATTGAGACTTCTTTGGGACAGGAAGTATCCAGATGGCAAATGAACTTTTTGCAGTTGTGGGTCCTTAGTTTATTAGACAAATCAATGCCATATCCGAGTGGTGTTTCTTACCCATTGGAGGAGTTCAATTTCTGCCTCTGAAATAGATATAGTACTGTAGTTTCTATTTCCTGATCCTTAGGGGATAAAAATGGCATGTCCTCAAAATCTTGTGTTCAGAAAAAATTCTATTTTATACTCTAAGAGTGGATTTTAACTGTAAAATAAACAAATTTGTTTACTAGCTCCTCTTTTGCACCTTTTGGCTCTCTGGTGTAATTGTTAATAAACCACAACGTTGTCATCTCTGTATTTTGGTCAGTGAAACAGCAATTCTCCAAGTCATTCTAGTTCCCACCTTTGATTTCTCCATCTCTTGACTCCTGTCACCAAACCCTGTCAATTCTACCATCAAAGTATGTCTAGAGGCTAGGCCTAACTTCTTGCACACCTGGATTTTGGAAATGTCTGGTACCCCACTGAACCCAGACCCATCTCCTATTCATCCTGCTTTTTAGCCCAGAGTCCATATCACTGCCCTGGTGTAAGATCCTCCTATGACTTTTCCTGATCTACTCCAGGGTAGGCTAAAAATGCATACTGTGAGTTTAGCCACAGTCTTGCTTTCAGGTCTCATCTCTAAATCTTTGCCTTCCAGATTCCTGTTTCATAACCTGTTCTCCCAGTGTTTGGAACCTCCAAACTGCATGTATCCCGTTTACCTACAATATCCTTTCTTTATTTTGCACACATTCTTCTGCTTATTAGAGATTAATGTGAATTTTAATTTTCATGAAATTTTCTATATTCACTGCATTCTGTTCTGAACTTGCTAATAGTCATGATTTTATTTGTTTGCAATCTAATCCTATAACATGCATTATTTTAAATAATTTAAAATTATTTCATGTAGGAGTATGTTACACTGAAACTATAAAACCATTGAGGATTACTGGTTTTGGAGTCAGATATGTGTTCAGTGACATTGAATAGCTCTGTAACTTGTGTTAAGTTTCTTGACCACTCTGAATCTCCCATGTCCACGTCTGTAAAATGGAGATAACTAAATGAGGCATTTAAAGATTGAAGGAGATTACAAATCTTTTAGCACAGTGCCTGGCACATTGTACTTAGTTAATCTTAGCTGTCTTCCCTCTGTCACCACTAAGACTTGCACAGCAATTTTAAGTAATTAAATACGGGTATCAGGCAGGGTCCAGGCAATGAAAAGATGGCGTACATGTCTTAGATAATTTGAGAAGAACTTAATAGAGGGTTTGTTGTAAAAAGGATGAGCAGGAATTGGGAAAATTTAAGGGATGTTGCAGTACCAGGAGCTAGAAGTGACAGGGAGCCATTACCACCTCTAGGCCTAAAGGGGTGAGAGAGGGAACAGTTATAGAACCCGGAGACGCGAAGACGTGAGACAGGACCTGTGACCTTAGGTAAAAGGACACAGCCAGTCATATCTGCAGGGAGGTACCAGGAGGTATCTCAACCTTATTTTCTGAACTCTTGTTGTGCTCCCCATTAGCAGAAGCCAGCTTAGACACCAGAGGGAAAGGGAGCCCATGGATGTTGTCCATGCAGGCCAGACTCCGGGGCCCAGCATGGGGTGGAGAGTAGTTCCAGATGGGCAAATGAAGTACACCTAACATGGTTTATAAGGAACACATGCCAGGCTGCCCCTTACTCTTAGCATTTTGCAAGCCAAAGTCAGTGTTCAGGTGTTCATGGCCTACATCACTGGGGCCTGAACAGTTCAGGAATTTGAACAGATTCTAAGCTGCTTTTCATGAAAAGCCATGGCCCCCAGCCATTGCCCACTGTTGTGTGAGATAACATAGACTGACTCTCCAATCAGACTCTTAATCCTCATGGGAAAATGTTAGTTCATCGCCTTCCATTTTAGTATCTGAAGCACATGGCGCTCCTTTGAATCAATAATGCAGGATACCTGTGCTGCAGGTCGTGCAAGTAGTCTCAATTTTAAATTGCTCTGCTCTACAGATCCTGTGATAGCTTGGCTCAGAGGAGTGATGTGTGAGAGGAATAGCCCAGGAGACCTCTTACCATTTATCTCCTGGATTCCCAGGGGTCTGCCCTACAGCAGGTGCTATCACCGGAATGCAATGCACCTACACCACCCATCTCTGCTCCCCTTGAAACCCCTTACAGAATTACAACTTCACATTATGTCCTTGGCTTTTATTGAGTGTTGCTAAAAGGAATGACTGTGAGAAAACATCTTTGTGCTTTTTGTAAATCTCCCTTTGAAGTCTCATCCATTATGTTGTGCCCTGTCTCTTATATTAGGCCCACATAATAAATTAGCTTAGAATTCAGCACTAAAAAATTTCTCCCTCTCTAGGTGAACCAGTTTACTTCTTTTAATCACATAATGAGAGCTGTGACCTATCCTGTGTCTTTCCATTCTTGCCTTAGCTGTCCAGACCTGAGTTTCATGCTCAGTTGCAATAGCTTTCTAGATAAAATTAGCCACCACTTCATTGTTAATCTTATGGTCCCTTTTTACGAGTAGTGTGGTTTTATTTATTATATAAAAAAAAAGTTGCCTCAAAAGATTTCTCACGATGACCCAAAATTTTTGATATTGCATTTAAAACAATAAAATTATTTGAAAGAATGACAAAAGACAAAGGAGACTGAAAGCCCAGCTAATCAATAAACTAGATAAACTATAAAAATTGAGAATTACATGAACTTAAGATCAATATGCATGCAACCACCAATCATTTTGTTGTTAGCACTAGAGCGTAACTAAATAAGATGTTTGAATTTACTTGAAACTTATATTTCAAATAAATTATATGTAACCATAGAGCTTTTTAAAGTGTCTTAGAAATTACTTTTTAGTTTTTGGAAGCAATCAAAGCCATTTTACAGATGTGGACATGGAGATTCAGAGTCGTCAAGAAACTTAACACAAAATTGCCTTCATTGCCATTAAAATCATGCTTTTGGGATGGGTGCAGTGGCTCACACCTGTAATCCCAACATTTTGGGAGGCCGAGGTGGGCGGATTGCTTGAGCCCAGAAGTTCGAGATCAGCCTGAGCAACATAGTGAAAACTTGTCTCTATAAAAAAATACAAAAATTAGCCAGATGTGGTGGTGTGCACCTGTAGTCCCAAGTACCTGGGAGACTGACGCCAGAGGATTGCTTGAGCCTGGGAGGTTGAAGCTGCAGTGAGCTGTGTTCGTGCCACTGCACTCCAGCCTTGGTGACAAAGTGAGACCCTGTCTGGAAAAAAAAAAAATCATGCTTTTGACAAGTATTTAATGATATGGGGAAAAGCTGAAAATAGTGTCAAGTGAAAAAAAGAGCAGGCTGTCTATGTAATGTATGTACAGATCATTTAAAATATGCATTATATGTTGGTGAGGTGCAGAGAAAAGGCAATGCTTATACACTGTGGGTGGGAACATAAATTAGTTCGGCCACTGTGGAAAGCAGTTTGGCAGTTTCTCTAAGAATTTAAAATAGAACTACCATTTGACCCAGCAATTCCATTATTTGGGATGTATCCAAAGGAGTATAAATTGTTCTATTATGAAACACATGCACGCATGTGTTCATTGTAGTGCTATTTATGATAGCAATGACATGGAATCAACCTAAATGCCCATCAATGGTAGACTGGATAAAGAAAATGTGGTACATATACAATATGGAATACTGCACAGCTGTAAAAATGAATGAGATCATGTCCTTTGCAGCAACATGGATGGACCTGGAGGCTGTTATCCTAAGCATACTAACAAAGGAACAGAAAACCAAATACTGCATGTTCTCACTTTGAAATGGGAGCTAAACACTGAGTACCCGTGGACAAAAAGAAGGGAACTTAAGACACCAGAACCTACTTGAGGTTGGGAGGAGGGTGAGGACAAAAAAATGACATAGGGGGTGCTATGCTTATTACCTGGGTTATGGAAGAATCTGTACACTAAACTCTCATAACACACAATTTACCTGTAAAAGAAACCACATGTACCCCAGAACCTAAAATAAAAGTTAAAAAAGCAAATAAAATGTGCATCATACACAGATACATAGACATACATACATGTGTCTGGGTAAAAGACCATGCAGGATCATGTGTGTGTGTGTGTGTGTGTGTGTGTGTATGTATACTGTAGCCTAGTGGGATAGAAGGAAAGAGCATTCATGAGCTTTTGAATGTTAACATTGTCTCTACCTCTTACTGCCTGATGTTGGCTAGGCTATTTAATTCCTCACCAATAAAACACTAGCACTTAATTTTAGCAGAGTTGCTGAGTATGAATTCAAATGAGGTATGGAAAGCTTAAAAATATGTATTGTAGTTAACGTTGAGAACGTATTTTCTTTTTCTTCATCATTATCATCTAAAATAACATGAAAATGTACTAAAATGTTAATATTCATTATATCTTAGTGGGATATAAATTTTTCTTTGAACCATCCAACAGTAAGCATGTTTTACTTTATAATTAGTTAAATAAGTGGGTTTTGGGTGCCTGTTTTTAACTTTGCTTTCCTTCATTGTCTAAGAAAAGCCTTTATGTAGTATTTAGCACCATCAATGAAAGGTCCTTCAAGGCTCTTTTCTATTTTGTGCTGTCTTTTGGAATTAAGCAAGATAAATCAACTTTAATTTGGTGCATGTCTCTAACCCTTAGGACGTGGTTCACCTGTAGCTGGCTGCCCTATTGAACCACCTGGAAAGCTTCCTAAAGCCTATAGTCTAGATACAATCACAGCAATTCAATTAGCATCTCTCAGTGGTGTGCAGCCAGAGTTGAAACCCACTGCTCTTAGGGGACTAGGGGTCCAGGTAACTCCCAGATCATCAAACCTACAACTTCTCAATATCCAAATGTAAGGTTTGACAGCCTTTAAAATGTATGTCAGTGCTTTGGTCTCCTTTCTATCAAGTCTCAAGTGAGACTTGATTTTATATATATATATATATATATATATATATATTTTTTTTTTTTTTTTTTTTTTTAATGTGGAGGTGTTTGGAAGGTGGATATACTCACCATATTTGTTTGTTGAGCTTCCAAATAACAACAATGATAGTAACATGAGAGCTCAAACCATTAACCAATCTGCCTTGGGGGGCAATTATCATAGTGGGGTAGCTGGAGGCAGCTCTAGACCATTACCTCTAAGGGACCCATGGCACTGGTAGTGTCCAGGTGCAGTTTTATGTTTTTAAAATTGCTGGACATGCTCCATGGTTTCCATTAGAAAACCACCTCCAGGGCATGATGAGACAGTTGCTTTGTCCCTTAAAATGTTTTCCTAATGCTAGAGACAATAATGCCTGTGATTTGGAAACCTTTATCTTAGATACTCTTCAATAATGTACATGTTTGAGCTCTCAAAACATTGGCTATTTTATTTAGATTGTGAATGTATGTGCTTTTTTGATGAGGCAGTCAAGGACAGAACCCCATTCTTTGCTTTTCTTTCAATAAATGTTTAATGATAATAATAGCATATATTGAACTGTTTGTGTCAGAGAACTGTGTGCTGTGTCTTAAACTTACCCTATTGTACTTTTATCTTAGACTCTAGCAGTACAAAAATGAGTGGAATATGACACTGACCTGTGAAGGGTTTCTGTTATGGTAGGTGAGACAGACAACAGTTTCTGAAATAGCAAATGCTACAACTATCATCAGTCAAGATACAGGGGCCTTGAGCATGGTGCCCTGCTCTGCGGAAGGAAGCCGGGAAGCCTTCATGGAGGTGGAGATATTTCTGCCGGATGGTGAAGGATGAACAGGTACTGATTAGGCAAGATGAGGATTCTAGGCGGAGGAAGCAACAGTGTGTGCAAGGTGTGGTGGCTGAACAGGGTGCATCTTTTTCAAGGAATTGCAAATAGTGCATGTGGGAAGCAGGAAGTGTTTAGCAGAGTCTCAAGAATGATGCTGTCTGTGTTCAGGGATTTGGGCCTCATAGTCTAGCAATAGGAAGCCATTGAAAGACTGTAATCAGGGCATAGAAATATTTTATCAACTGTGAACTATTCTGTCAACTATTAATGAAGAATGCTTAGGAAGAGGCCAAGAAAAGAAGTAAGATAAACAGCTAGGAATTTAGAAATGAGGAGGTGGTAGATGATGCTGCTGGACCGAGGTGGTGACAGTGAAATGGAGAAAGGCAACTGAAGGTAGAATTAACAGGACATGGTGACCTGTTGATGGTTGGCAAAAGAGAGATGGAAGAAGCTTGAGGTGACCTTATGGTTTCAGGAGTTAGGGATTAGAAACAAGAGCAAGAGATAAATGTGACTTGGATGCTGAGAAGAGAATTAGTTCGTTCTGTGAATCTTGAGTTTGAAGTACCTGTGGAAGCCATCTAGGTGCAGATGTTCAGTAAGCAGTTGGATATGTAGTTTTAAACTTCTAAAGAGAGCTCAAGCCTGGAGAGAGACTGTAAAGTTACCAACTATAATAATTAATTGAACTAGACTGTGAATAAAGAGAAAATGCAATTTCTCCCAGACTCATAGATTTCTGTTAGAATGGTTTTCCAGAATTGTACCATAATGTGTATTTTAACACTTATTTTGCAGGAATGGTTAAAATTACATGGTGCACAAAGTAGTTCTGTGGTTTAGTATCAGGCCTTGAAAATAATATGTCCAGCTTTGAAGATGTGTAGGTTTTTTTTTTCCCCAAATTGCTTCCAACTTTGACAACTTGCCTACAAGTCTCATTCCAATACAGTTTTTGAAAGGCAGAATGAAACATCTCAAACTAGAGGCTGTAATGGAAAAAGCAATTTATTTTTAAATGAAGATGATGAGGTTGGTGTACTGTATTACTTGAACAGTGAGTGAATTTAAAAGAGTGAGATTACATCAAATTCAGCCAAGATTTTTGTTCCATTTGAATGGAGTATCTGTAATTGAAGATGGGTGTTCAACTAAGAAAAACACATGACATGTACATTTTTATCAGTTTTCTTGCACTCTGTTTCCAGTTTCTTTGTGCATGTGTGTGTGTGTGTGTTCACAAAGCCATTGCATCATATTGACAATTTTTTTTTTTAAACTGACGCGTTCTTGGGCAACAAATGAGAATACAAGCTTAATTTTACTAGCTTCACTTTTTTTTTGAGCTTTGGCCTAGTAGTTTAGTATGTTGAGAATATGCACTCCTCAGGAAAGTGGTAGGAAGTCAGACGTAGAATCTGTAACAACTAGCTCAAAATGATGAGAGAAAACATTAAATATTTTCTAATTGGAAATTTTAAAATGAAAATTTTTTAGCTTTGTGCTAAAATTTAGAAGCTAGGTCTAGAAATATTTCATTTTATATTTTTATCTTAACATTTTTCATGATGAGATAGTGATTGTTTTATCTTTTTTAATTACCTGTTTTCTCAATTTTAGCATCGTTGTGAATGAAGGTAAAGATTGAATTATATTGATTCAAGATTGATTTGACTCTATTTTTTCTTTAAAACTATATTCCAAATATAGATTGTTAAGCTCACAGATTCATTTTCCATTTCTGTTTAGCAATCAAGCTAAGAGACAATATGGTTACTATGAATCAAACTTGGGTAGTGTGATAGATTCAATCCTTAAATTTTTTACTTCCTGTAATAGACATGTACATTCATTCCTTGCTTGGCCTCATGATAGGCAGAGCCTGCCCTCCACCTCTTGACTCTGGGCTCAGCCATGTGACTGTTCATTGGCCAATGAGCTATTAGTGGATGTATCATGAGCAGAGGCTTAAAATATGCTTCTGCAGGTTCAAAGTCTTGTGCTTTGGTCATCTATCTTGAGAAGAATATACCCAGGGTAGCTACTGCCTGTTTACTCTGGGTCCCAGAACAAACCTCTGTGGAGCTGACCTACGTGAACCTGTAGCCTGGAGTCAAGACCAACAGACCCACATTCTCCCTCTAGACCTACAAATGTGAGAATAAGCCACTAAGTTTCGTAATGAGTTGTTACCCAGCTTTATGATGACAAAGATGACTAATATGGGGGACAAGCATATGTTGTGGTTAAGAGCACTGAAGCACACTACTGGAAGCACTGAAGTCTATTAAATTTCTGTTTGAATGTTGGCCCACCACTTATTGGCTTTATTTTCTTGGGCATGCTGTTTTCTTCTAAGCTTTATTTTGCCATCAATAAGATATATTACTTACCTCCCAGGAATGTGGTAAAACTAAATAAGATGTGTGCATGTAAATTACTTAAAGCAGTGTGAAGCAGAAAGTAAAAACACCACAAGTTCCTAATAAGTTGTGGCTGCTGTTACTGTTGTATTTGTAGACAGCTGAGCCTCCTCTTCTCCTTCCCTTGCATCATATGGCTTTCCCAAATTCTACATTTGTGACTCTGGAGCAGGTTAAAACTTTTCTGAGGCTTAGATTCATTTTCTGTAATATGAAGATACTAAAAATTACCTGACAGGATTATTACAATGACTCTACCAATGGTAGGCAAATATCTAACTGTCTTAGTCAGTTCTGGCTGCTCTAACAAAATGGCATAGACTGTGTGGTGTGAACAGCAGACATTTGTTGCCCACAGTTCTGGAGACTCAGAAGTCTAAAATCAAGGTGCCAGCAGATTTGGTTTCTGGGGAGGGCTCTCTTCCTGGTTTGCAGACAGTTGCCTTCTTGCTATATGGTGAGAAGAAATCTCATGTCTTTTCTGTTTTTAATAAGGGCATTAATCCCATCATGAGGGCCCCACCTTCATAACCGAATTTAATCCTAATTACCTCCCAAAGGCCCCATCTCTAAATGTTAATACCATCACTTTGTGGATTAGGGCATCAACATATGAACTTTGGGGAGGGGGATACACACATTCATACCACAGGGCTAGCTCTGGCGAGGCAAATGGGTACTTAATAAAAATAGCTTTATTATGTTCACAATTCATATATTCCTGCATTCTCTTATTTACTCATTTCTTTAAGCTGAGTTTTCCATGCCTAGTTTTTGAGTTTGTATTATGAGCCATACGTAAGGCCTTGTACTTTTGACTTAATTCTTGGTTTCTAGCAATCCCTGTTTACATTACAATGAAATAAGAAAGACTGTGGAAGGCAGGAATTGAAGGAACAAAAGTGCTGCAATTAGGAAGGCATGATATATTAATAAGGTCATTCAAATAGTACTTGTGTGTTTATTGTACAATCCTTTTGCTTCTGTGGGCTTTAAAACAGTAACTCTTTGGAATAAGGGGATTTATAAATGGCAAGGAGTTGCTAATGTGGAACCAGTAAAGGCTTTTGATTGCAGAATTACAAAATGCAAATTAGTAGAGATTCAGCATTAGAGGGCATGGTGAATAGGGTAGGGTGTGGAATCACAGGGGACCTCATGTATAGCATGTCTCTATTAATCAATGTAGCAGAGAAGGCATCTAAAATGCTTTTGTTTTAAATGGACAAAATTTGCCAAACACCTTTTTACCTTTCTGCCTGGAAAAATGTTTTGATGTGTTGGCTTTCCACCTCCTGATTTTTGTGTGTGGCTCCTTCCCCTACCCCCTCCCGCCCCGCCAAATGTTGTTGTACACTGCCTTGTCTGTTTCATTTCCACGTGTGGGTTCACTGACCACATTAGCTGGTAGCTCCTGGTATTGTATGCTTCCTATCCAGAATTTGTTCCATAGAAAACCTGTGTCTTCAACATACTTGCTTTGAAATTATTTTGATCTGTATCAGCAGGAATAGGTTTTGAGATCCTGGATATTAACTTCTGGGTGCCACTCTCTCTAGAAGCTAATTGACTGATTTGTGGTGGAGGCGAGATGAGAGTCTATACATTTGACCTATTTCACAGAGCTTACCTTGCAAGCTATTGAAATGCAAATACAGACTAGCTTAGAGATTCTAAGAATTCACACATTCAGTTCTTTGTTTTTTTCTGAAAAATAAGCATTCAAATTTCATGCACATTCTATTATTCATGTGCCTTATATTTAGGTTCCGCTTGTATGTCTAGATAAATCTTATCACCATTATTTAAAATTTCATGAATGAAACTTTGCATCTTTAATACTAACACTAGCCTAGACCAATCAAAATAATTTGAAATGCAGCCCTTAAATGAACTCCTCCGTGTGTCTGTATATATACATTTACATATACACCTTTGCCAATGCCTTATCTACCACTGTCTTTTAAATCTACTCCATGTAAAATGGGGAACGATTCAAAACCTCTTTTATATTGTTGTGCCTCAGAAAAAAATGGAATCTTTGGAATGTGCTGCTTAAAAGGCTTCTATGAGATAGCACATTAATGTCAAAGCACATTTTCTTTGTTTGATAGTTGTCACGTTAGTGGTCCTGAAACAGAATACTCTTTTCCGTGCTGTCCATTCATTTGTATTTTTAAGTCATCCACCACTTTTCATTTGTCAAGCACTTGAAAAAGAATATTGTGTGTCAGCAAGATAGTTCCTCTGTCATTTGATCTACAAGTTAGCCTTCCTGAACAGTTAGTGCCTTCAGAATCCTTTTTTTCTCTGAGCTATGGTCGCTTAACAGAGAGGAGAATGATTTTCTTAGCCAGATCCAAGACTCCCCCAACTGAGTCTACTGCCTAATGCCTATTGGTGCTAGCACTAACATTTTCTGATACAGTCTTCAATATGTGATGAGGCTGAGTATCCGGCATTAAGTTTGGAAGAAGGAACATAGACTTAAGTGAAGTTCTTTGTTAAGCCTTATGTCCCCATAGAGTGTTGATGATGGTTTGAATTGAGTCACTTTCTGTCACTTTCTGGGAGCCATATCAAAAAAGACTTTACCAGTTCTCTTTGCTGCCTTTGAAGTTCTGTAATTTCTAGGTAGGGTCAATTTTCTGGGAAAAATAACAAATATTCATGGGAATTTTGATACACAGCCAGGGTATATTAGCGGCTCATACTTGGAGCACAAAGCGGTTGCACAAAGTAATGGAATTGGACCCTCTTTCGTAGTTTCATGAATTATCTCAGGTTTTAGCTCCCCTCACCCCCAGGCTTTCAGATTTGCTCAGATGGATGTGCTGGCGGGGATAGTGGTGGTGGTGCCCAGTGGCTGCATCATTTCCTGCCTCCTCATGCAAGGAGGGTGTCTTTCATTATAATAGCCCTTCCCGTCATTGTCAGACACTTTCCTTAGGTTGTTCTAAACTGAAAGCTGGTGTAAAGTCTGGCATTCATCTTTAACAGCTGGTCCCAGTCAGCCTGTGTGTGTGTGTGTGTGTGTGTGTGTGTGTGTGTGTGTGTGTGTGTGTGTGTGTGTGTTGGGGCGGGGGGATTATGGGTTGTTGGTTTCTGCTATCCACAATTCCCCTTACCTCCTGGGTTTTCTCAGTTATGGACTCCTATGACCTTTTCAGCTTTGAAATGCAGGCACACATTTATGTTCTTTTCATCAGTATTAATGGAACCACTTTGGACATAGTATAAGAATGTTGATTTCTTGGAGCATCTTTGGATTTTATCTGTATGCTGAAAACAGTAATCAGCTACATTCTTCCTACTACTGTTGTCTCTTGGTATTAACTTGTGATCTACGGGAAGTGTTTTAGCTCTATGGGGTCATCATTGGACCAGTCTTATGGGAACATTCATTCACTCACCCAACGGATATTTGTTGTGCATTTTTGCTTTGTGCCAGGCTGGTTAAACAAGGACAAATAAGACCCAATTCTGGTTGTCTTCCGGGAGCTTATGGCCAGAAGTGGAGATGGCAGACTGGTAACTAGACAATGCAGAGTGAGTACTATGATGGTTAGCCTGACATGACACATAGTAGATGCTCAAGAAAGGGATAAGTAGATGAGTATAAAGAGTGCTGTAAGAGTACTTAAGAGGATGCTCATCCAGCTATGGAGTTATCAGAAGCCTGGCATCAGTGGTTGAGTTTGGCGGTGATTATTGTTCCATTCACCTTACATTTTGGGTCCTATTGAGAAATTCAAAGGGAAAGATCCAATAGATAAGAAGGATACATATGAGCTTGGAGAGAGAAGGATGCAAATGGCCTAGAGATAACAATCTAGGTGTCATTATCTTATGGGTGCTAAATGAAGCCATGGGAGTGGAGGAGATTAGCCAGGGAAAGCCTGAGGCACAAGAAGAAAGGAGGACCTGGAAAATAACACTGACCCATTAAGGTCACTAATCTTTATATATATATATATATATATATATATATATATATATATATACACACACACACTTGAAGTTCTAGGTTACATGTGCACAACGTGCAGGTTTGTTACATATGTATACATGTGCCGTGTTGGTTTGCTGCACCCATTAACTCGTCATTTACATTAGGCATTTCTCCTAATGCTATCCCTCACCCATCCCTCCACCCCACAACAGGCCCCGGTGTGTGATGTTCCCCGCCCTGTGTCCAAGTGTTCTCATTGTTCAATTCCCACCTATGAGTAAGAACATGCAGTGTTTGGTTTTTTGTCCTTGCGATAGTTTGCTCAGAATGATGGTTTCCAGCTTCATGTCGCTACAAAGGACATGAACTCATCCTTTTTTATGGCTGCATAGTATTCCATGGTGTATATGTGTCACATTTTCTTAATCCAGTCTATCATTGATGGACATTTGGGTTGGTTCCAAGTCTTTGCTATTGTGAATAGTGCCACAATAAACATACGTGTGCATGTGTCTTTATAGTAGCATGATTTATAATCCTTTGGGTATATACCCAGTAATGGATGGCTGGGTCAAATTGTATTTCTAGTTCTCGATCCTTGAGGGATCGCCACACTGTCTTTCACAATGGTTGAACTAGTTTACATTGCTACCAACCGTGTAAAAGCGTTCCTATTTCTCCACATCCTCTCCAGCACCTGTTGTTTCCTGATAAGGTCACTAATCTTTAGGAACACTTTAAGATTAGTGGACCAAATGAATAAATAAATAGACATTTATTTATTGGGCAGTATATATTTGGCCCTCTTCTGTGCTGGGACTTCAAGGATGCTTTTGAAAATAGTATCCTATGAAAGAATTATAAACATAACATTTATTGAACTTCTAAGTGCCAGGTGCCATTCTGAGTGCTTTACATGTATCAGTTCATTTCATTTCTATCACATACCCTTGGAGGAGGTGCTGCTGTCCTCAGTTTTTAGAGAAGAAAACTGGAGAGTTACCTGACCTTTAGTGAATTCATAGAATTAATAAGTGACAGAGTCTAGCTTCAAACTTAGATACCTGGATTGAAATCCAGAGAGTTTGGCCGCATTCTTAATGGTCTTACCCTTTTTTGCCTCTCTGAAGCAGGCCAGACTGATGGCCCAACTTACAGTTATCATCCACTGTGACAAGTTCAGTAGAAGTTGTATCTGGGATAACACGGAAGCTCAGAGATGGGTGTGGTTAGGGTATCTATGCGAAGGTGGTTAGTTTGGTAGAAAAATTGTGATGAGTTCCACATATCCATACTTCTCCAATAGCCTTGAGGAGCTAAAGCTATGATGTATTTTTTTCAATTGTAGGCTTAGAGAGGGATATTAGTTCTTGATATTTTATCCATGAGAGGCAGGATGAGATAATGTCCATTATACTAAGAGGCAGGCTTTCCTGGTCTATGGAGGTACAGCTAGTTTGTTGCTATAGATTAATGACTTGAGTCCTGGAGAAAATAGAGTTAATCCATGACTGTAAATTATAAAGTATGTAATTCTATCAGAAGAGGTATGTTATGGTATAAAATTTCTGGAACATTCTCTTGAAGGCTGAATTCCATAAATTAGTTGGTATATGGAGAGTCAGGCTGGTAAACAGAAAAATGAATAAGGCCAGAAAAAGGAGATTTAAAATTTTAGTTGCTGTTTAAGTTAATTTTAGTTCTTGTAAGATAGGATGAAAGACATCTAAGGGGCTCATGGAGGTAAAATGGTGTCTGGAACATTTATTAATTTTATTATGGAAAATAATTTTGAGTTGTATATAATTTGCCTATAACTTTGTATGACTTAACTAAATTCAGATCTTCCTGCATTAGAACGTGTGGTTTCCTGGTGGTGTCTACCTCCCTGGCACTCATTTCTCCAGTGCCTTCTTTATCAGCCCCCTTTTTTCCATTTGGGAAAGATTTTCTTTCTTAGTGGACATTAATTAGGAAATACGTAGCCTCAACAATAACTGAGAGCTATATTGAGTGTTTAAAGAAAGCTTGTTTAGGAAGATGGTAGTGCCATGAAAAGTAGGGCCAAAAGATGGTTTTGGAAAAGTTGACACGGATTCAAATCGAGGGGAGCATTTGATGTAGATCTGTCTTAATTCTGTCCCAGGGACCACAAGGATGGCATGTGACGTACACTAAGTCTAGCAGAGTGAATTTCTGTCCCATTACTGGGACTGCTGAGGCAAAGATGCTTTTTCTTGTTGGACATTAATTGGGAGATACAAAACCTTAACAGGGCCAGGCATGGTGGCTCACGTCTGTAATCCCAGCATTTTGGGAGACTGAGGCAGGCAGGTCACCTGAGATCAGGAGTTCAAGACAAGCCTTGCCAACATGGCAAAACCCCATCTCTACTAAGTAATACAAAAATTAGCCAGGCGTGGTAGTGGACGCCTGTAATTCCAGATACTTGGGAAGTTGAGGCAGGGAGAATTGCTTGAACCCAGGAGGCAGAGGTTGCAGTGAGCTGAAATCATGCCACTGCATTCCAGCCTGGGTGACAGAGCGAGACTCCATCTCAAAAAATAAAACAACAACAACAACAAAAACACAAATATTAGCTGGAGGTGGTGGTGGGAGCCTGTAATCCCAGCTACTTGGGAGGCTGAGGCACTAGAATCACTTGAACTAGGGAGGCGGAAGTTGCAGTGAGCTGAGATTGTGCCACTACTCTCCAGCCTGGGTGCTGGAACAAGACTCCTTCTCAAAAAAAAAAAAAAAAAAAAAAAGAAAAACCTTAACAGTAGCTCAAAGCTACACTGGGTGTATGAAGAAAGATTGTTTTAGGAAAATGGCAGTGCCGTGAAAGGTGAGGCCAAGACTTGGAAAGAAATCAAGTTCTTACAGCCACTGTAAGGCCACTGGATCAAATGTTGTCCTAAGCAAAACCTCTTGCTGGACTTTTGTGTTGCCCCAGTGGATAAATCCTTTATATTGTTTAAGTCACTGTGATTTGGGTATTTTGTTACTTGGAACAAAAAGTATCCTACTCTTTTGGGGTTTTAATTTGCTTACTATTTGCTTAAGATTTTTTTCTTTTGAATATTCAGAAATTTTTATTTTGGTGTCAAAGTAAATTTAGTGTATCCCCTTTCTAAAATGTCTTGCTTTTTTTCTTCTACAAAGTTTTCTTATTCTTTGTTATTTTACAATTAAAACATGCTTTATATGTAAATAATTTGTTTATGATGTTAGAAGAGGCAGAAAAAAGGCGATAAGGAATGCAAATTTATTTCAGTAACATTTGTCATAAAATACTAAGTTTTTTCTTCTTTGAAGGATTAGTATATTTGTGCTTTTACTCTGCTAACCTCTTAAAAGCAGGCAGGTTGTTTTTTTTGTTTGTTTGTTTACTAAGAATTACTAGGCATGACTTCACCAATGATCAGTTAGCCTCCGTTATTATAATTTTTTAACCTAAATGATTTGACAGTGATAAATAGCTGATGTGGCAAGTCTGCAAAAAGCTTTATATTGTTATTGCCTTTTATCACTTGTGCTCTAAATAATTGTTCTCATCTGTCGACTCTTAGATGCAGTTTTGTGAGGATTAGGATGTATGGAACAGAAAATCCCGCCTAGTGATTTTTTAAAATTCTCTATTTCTTTTCCTTCTTTTCTTCCTAGTTTTCTTCCTCTTCTCTCCAGTGTGTTTACTTATGAAAGTTGTACTCATGATTTAAGATCCAATTCCATAGACCCTCTTGCCAGACCACATGTATGTCTGTAGCTGCAGCATTTATACACATGGCACGAGCAGCTGGGATGTCTGGTGTGCTCATATCAGAAAACTCTGTCAAACATGTGGAGAGGATTGCCTTTTATGCTGCGTTCCCCAGCGTTATGCTCTTCCTGCATCATGAGTTAAAGCGATGGAATTTTGTCCAGGGTCAGAGCCTCTGCAAAACAGGAAACCTGTTGGACTCAGTGAAATAATGACTCTCAATATCCCCATTATGGATGATTAGGGGTGTCCTTGCTCTAGGTTTCCTTGACTCCTTTATGCATCTTTGTATTGTGATGAGGGGGTCATAAGCCAAACTGGGGTTCCATGTCTAGAGGCTGACCCTGTGGCATTGTTGCAGAGCTGATGGAAATTTTGGGGGGTTCTGTCTAGTTTTGTCCAGTTTGTTCTATTCTGGTTCATACCCCAATTCGAAGCTGAGGAAGCAGGCAGAAACTAGAGTCTATCAAGTCTTCGCTAAGGAAACATCTGTGCCCTCCTCCTGAGGAGTCTCTCCGTTTGTTGGCTGGTTCTCCTTCCTTCTGCATCCAGTTCCCTCCTCCTGTCTATTCTCCCCTCCACCTCCCCTTTCCCCTCTCTCTTTACCCTACTCCTCTTCTGCTTTCCTCCCCCCTTTTCTCTTCTCCTGTCCTTTTTCATTTACTCCATCTCCTCCTTTCCTGGAGTTCACTTGAGCATTTCTTTGCCCAGAGAAGTAAGCCAGGGTAAGGCGTTCCTTCTTCAGGGCAAGGCGTTCCTTCTGCAGACCACCATCACCTAGCCGAGCTCTGGTGAGAATCTGTGGAACTGCCTCTTGCCTGTCTCTTTCCACCCTGTGGGTCTGTAAACTTCTTAAGATCAAGAAAATTGTCTTGCCCCCGTTACATCCCCAATACATGGTCAATAAATATTTGTTATTTTCAAGGGCTGGAGTTAGCAGTTGATTTTAATTCTCTTTGTGTTTTTGAGCTGTTCCATTAGGAATCTATGTTATGTATTATTTTTATAATCAGGGCAGAAAGTTTAAAAAGAAATATAATTTGATAAAAGCTGTGTGCACAATAGAGGAGACTCTCTCAAGGTCTGCTTAGATGTTAATGGGGTCCTTGGCAAAAGCATATTACCTCACAGGCATGAGGCAATTATTTATAGTGGTTACATCAGCCAGAATAAAGATGATGAATTCTGGATTCTTGTCCCTGCACATCCTCTGACTCACTGCAGAATTCCAGGTAAAGAATTTGCCTGATTTGCCTTTTATTGCCTCTGTAACTCCTCCAGAGTTCAAGTTTAGAGCTTTTCTGTTAAAAAATAAAAAATAAAGCATTCTTTTGCCTCAACAGCTGAAGCCCGAGGTGCTTTAGAATTAGAGAATTGTAGAATTTTAAGTCTAGGAGAGAAACCTTCGATTTAATCTAGCTTCATTACTTCATCTTTCGGTTAAGAACACTGAATTTCAGAGAAATAAAATGAACTGAAGTTATCAAAATAGTGAATGTCAAAATCAAGGTGTTTTTGTTCATAGTTGTCAAACATTCCTTTGTTTGTTCGCTCTGTCTGTCTACACGTAGCCGATGCTTGAGTTCTTCTGTGTGGCCACATTGAACTACAGGTAGAGCATCTCTTATCTGAAAATCTGAAATTTGAAATGCTGTGAAACTGGAAACTTTTTGAATGCCAACATGATGCTACAAGTGGAAAATTCCATACCTGATCTCGTGTGTGGATTGGTCACAGTCAAACCACAGTCAGCCTGGTTTCATGTACAAAATTATTAAAATTACCTTCAGGATATGTGTATAAGGTGTGTAAGAAGCACAGATGAATCTCATGTTTAGACTTGGGTCTTTTCCCCAAGGTGTCTCATTATATGCAAATATTCCCAAATCTCCTGAAATTTGAAATACTTCTGGTTCTAAGCATTTTGGAGAAGGATTACTTAACCTGTATACTTTTTTTAAAAAAAGGAACTGGTTCTTGCCTAACAGAAATTACTCCATTTCAGAGTGTTCATTAATATCCTTCAGTGTGTCTTCTGATTCAACTTAAATTGCACAACCCTGACCCAAGATGTTGCCACCATTTTAAGCCTTTTTTTTTTTTTTTTGAAGAAAAAAATGCATACATTTGAGAAATGTGTTCTCTTATAATGGAGAGAGGGTTTCTCCTGCAAGTAGAGGCTGCTTAGGCAGTATTTACACTCGGTGCATGCCCAGCAACATTTCCCCATGGATGATAATGTCTTTTACAATTTCGAATGGTTTCAAAACATTTTCAAATCAAATGGGATTTTAGCACAATATTCCATCTTGGCCCTGTTTATTGTAAGAGCCATAATCTAATCTTATCTGTCTATTATGTCCAAACATTCTGTAATATTTCCCAAATCAACTACTTTGAAGTCTACACTCTCTATTTTCTGTCTGTCTGTCTTTGTATCTATCTATTCAAAGCCTCAGCAAAAAGGCTCAGAGAAGAGAAAAAGAGTTGGGTAGAGCATCTCCTTAACCAGGGTTTAATAGGAGGGTGGGCAGGAGCAGCCGTCTAATTTATTAGGCTGCTAGCCAATTTGAGGCAACCTCTTAGTAACAAATTTTTGTTACACAAAATTTAACACCTATGGCAAGAACCATAAGGATGCCTTGAGTAGCCTCAGATGCATTCTTTTTGTGTTGGTCATTGCTCTTAAAGGACAGTTTAATTCATGTGAGATACTGTTGCAGCTTGCTGTCCCTTTTATTCCTTAGGAAATGACTCTTCAGAGTCACCGTTTTCTTAATGTTTTAAAAACCTGTGCTATGTATCTAAATCCCTTTTTATTTTTATTAACACCACATATCAGTGGATTACTATAGTGCATGCACTTCTCTTAGTGGAGCCCCTATTTGTATCAGCGTTTCCTTGGTGCAGACTTCCTCCTGAAAATGAGCAGTAGCTAATTGTGGAATAATTCTTTTTGGGAACATTTTTGTCTATACCCTTCTTTTTGACTGTTTTCAGACTTGCTAAGTGTGCCTAATTTCATTGTGTTATTTATTTTAGAGCTAGATAGGTTTTGGAGGTTCCTTTAGTTTGATCCCCTTATTGTATAATCTGGCGAGGTTATCTGACATTAGCTAAACTCCCAGTATATTTAATGAATAGTAATTTCCATGAACAGTTTTAGTACTGGGTTCAATGTGGTGGACTATTTTGAAAATATATAATAATCTACCATGTTATAATGGAAGTTTACTAAATAGTAAATGTGATAGACACTGTATATATATAGATATATAAGCTGTAATCCTCAAAATAGCTAGGCATTATTAACTCCTTTTTCTTTTTGAGATGAGGTCTCACTCTGTCACCCAGGCTGGAGTGCCGTGGTGCAATCATGACTTACTGCAGCCTCAACCTCCCAGGCTCAGGTGGTCCTCCCACCACAGCCTGCTGAGTAGCTGGGACTACACGCATGCACTACCATGGGCTAATTTTTGTACTTTTTGTTGAGACGGGGTTTTGCCATGTTGCCCAGGGTGGTCTCAAACTCCTGGGCTCAAGCGGATCTGCTTTCCTCGACCTCCAAAAAGGCTGATATTACAGGTATGAGCCACCGTGCCTGGCCTATTAACTCCATTTTATAGAAGAGGAAACCGAGGCTCAGAGATGTTTGACAAATTCCCTGGACACCGTAACGCTTGTCTGTGTGGATACAAATCTGTATCTCCTTGGCTTCACAATTTGTACCATGGTCTGGCCCTTTCTTACCGCAAAATGATTTTGAGGGAGAAGTTGGGCTGGATTTTTGCACAACTGAAATTCATTTAGACTGTACTTTTGGCTACATTTTTCCCCCAAATTAGAAACACAGATAAATCTTTTGTATAGAAAATACCATTGCAATGCAAGTTCTCGGAGCTCCATTGTGTCAGTGGGTTTAAGTAAGTTACAGAGATAGTTGTCAGTAATCTTCAAAGGATATCCTAATGAAATGTAAACTATCTTCCCTCCCTAAATAGAATTCTCATTATATTCCCTTTGGTGCGTGAAGAAAGAGGGATGCAGAAAATATGATGAGCTGAGGAGGAAGACTGTAGGATCCTGTTTGAAAGTGGAAAACAGAAATGACATACTCTTCTCAACAGTGTCATAGTGGATGGTACACCCTGGTCAAAGCCCAGAGTGAGTCTTAAGAGGAGGGTGGTTAATAAATCAAGTCCCTTTGTGATTTTCCTCCCATATATTCTGGTTTCTATTCCTTAGTTCATGGCCTTGTGCCATGACTGGTAGAGTCAAGTTATTGCTTCTAATGAAAGTGAACTTTTGTTCAAGTCATGTTAGTTAAAGTGGATTCTATTAATGGGAAGAAAATAGAGGCATGTTCGAAAAGCCTGCATAACCAGTGTGATAATTTAATCTACCCGGAGTAAGTGTAACTGGTCTAGTCATAGGTTTAATAGGTCCCGTGTGTGTGTCTGTGTGTAGGTCACTGAAAAATCATTTCCCCATATCTTTGTTTTCTATTTATTCTAAATGATCATATTTCTTTATGTAGGATGCTTAGGATTCTGTGGAAAAGCTGATGGTATTTTTAAAAATAAATAGTATTAAAGAAGTGTTTCATGAATAAGTGAGAAAGAACCCTCCTGTTTTTATGGGTTTGTCCCTTCTTGTTAGTATATGGTGAGAGGGAAAAGTTATATCACAGAAGATGGAAGTCTCACCTAAGTAATCTTGTTCAGTAATGCTTACATGTTTATTCTGAGTTTGTGCAGAAGTTACTAAGTCTCATCAGAAAGAGGAGAATGTAGACTTCAAAATAGTTGATTTGGAAAATATTACAGAATGTTTGGACATAAAGTTTTTCAATTCACTGCTTCATGGGTTTTCTGCCTGTGGGAATAGTTTTTTGAATGAATGGAAGGAAAAGACCTAATTCCTGCAAGGATTTTTTGTGGAAAAGGAAATCAGAATTCTTTTCTAAATATATAACTTATGTTTTAAACAGATTGAATAAACCTTTAAGTATCTTGCATCAAACATAAAGTGCATTTAATTTAGCAAAGCTATTTTAATTATATATTTAATAAATTACTTAAAGGGTCAGTAGAAATTAAACATTTATAACAAATCATAGTTTAAAATAAGTTAGGGAAGTTGCATAAATAGATTTGCTACAAATTTTGCAAATTTGCTTTTTCCACAAAGGCAGGGACTGACATTTTTATTTATTTATTTATTATTTTTATAAAAGATGGTGTCTCCTCATATTGCCCAGGCTGGTCTTAACCTCCCCAGTAGCAGGATTGCAGGTGTAAACCACTGCCCCCGGCTGGTGTCATTTTTAAAAGTTAAGCTTTGTGCCTATACTGCCTAGCACACAGTAGATGCTTATTGAATGAGTATGTGAAAGAACAAGAATCAGGTATCAGACACTCTTTGCCTAGACTATTTATCCATATTTTGGTGATTTAATATCATGATTAGTGTGTATACTGGTTATCTATGGAGTTGTGACCAATGACTCCAAAACATATCTGCTTCAAACAACAAATATTTACCATGTCATAGTTTTTGTGAATCAGGAATCCAGATGCAGCTTAGCTGGGTGATCTGGCACCAGGTCTGTTACAAGGCTAATATCAAGGTATCGGCTGGGGCTGCAGCTACTTCAAGGCTGGACTGGGGCACCACCTGCTTTCCAAGCCCACTTAGATCCTTGTCATGTTCTTCTGCTCATAGGACGGCTCATAGCATGACAACTCACTTCCATCAGACGGAGCATGGGAGAGGGCAAGAGAGGGCAGTCCCTCCTTCTTCTTGGAAGGAGAAGTTACAGTCTTGTAACCTAATCTGGGAAGTGACACCTCCTCACTTCCGTTGTATTCTAGTCCTTAGAAGTGAACCACTAAATCCCATACTCAAGGACAGACTAAAAAAAGGTATGAAGGCCAGGAGCCAAGGATGATTGGAAACCATTGTAAATGCTGCCCTATCAGTTAGAAGAGGAAAAAGATGTGAGCTGGGAGCATCTCCACAAGCAGAAGCAGTCACCCTTTCCTCAGTGCTCTGGTATATTTTGTACCCGCCTTGACATTACCCATTGTCACATTTTATGACAAGTGTGTGCGAATTCTGCCTTGCTAGATTTGTGAGTTCCTTGACAACAGAGACTTCATCCTGTTTATTTTTGTGTCTGTGTTCACATGCTGTTTGACACTCAAGTATTTAGAAAGTAGTAGTACTATGGTTTGGATCTGTGGCCCTACCAAATCTCACGTTGAAATGTAATCCCCAGCGTTGGAGGTGGGCCCTGGTGGGAGATGTTGGATTGTGGGGTGGGATCCCTCATGAATGGCCTAGAGCCATCCCCTTGGTGATGAGTGAGCTTTTGTGGGATCTGATGGTTAAAAGTGTGTGGCATCTTCCCCACCTGCCTCTCTCTTGCTCCCGCTATTGCCATGTGAGACTCCTGCTCCTCCTTCACCTTCCGCTATGATTAAAAGCTCCCTGAGGCTTCCCCAGAAGCTGAGCAGATGCCAGCACCAACCTCTTTTCTTTATAAATTACCCAGTCTTAGATACTTCTTTATAGCAATGGAAGAATGGCCCAATGCAAGTAGAATCCACGATTAAGAAAAATACATTTAGAGCTGGACTAGGTGGTGTTTGCTCGCTTCATTTGTGTTCTCTTGAGAACAGAGCTGGAGATGAGAATTTGAAGGCAAGTAGCTTCGGGATGTTGTCAAGAAGCAGGAATGAGGGAGGAGAGATAAGGAAGCAATGCCAGTGTAAGGGTGCTGTGATGGGCAACGGGAATGTCATTTGACTGACACCTCCTGAGACACACTGAAAGAAACACTCTGGAATTGGCTACCTGAAGGACTCTTATTGGAAACCAGAACATGTATGCACCACCAGCTCCTGTGCTCATTGGTTGATGGTTGTTCTCCCAGGGGAATGGACTTTGTTTCACTTCTGGGCCTTAGTAGGCTTACATGGTTTTGGAGAATGCCTGGGGCAGAAGAAGAAAAGTGTGTCTGTTTGAGATGGGATACTTGGCCAGGCCTGGTGGCTCATGCCTGTAATCCCAGCACTTTGGGAGGCTGAGTTGGGAGGATCACTTGATCCCAGGAGTTTGAGACCAGTCTGGGCAACATAGCAAGACCCTATCTCTAGAAAAAAATATTAAAAATTAGCCAGGTGTGGTGGTGTGCGCCTGTGGTCCCACTTAGGAGGCTCAGGTGGGAGGACTGCTTGAGCTCAGGAGTCTGAGGCTGCAGTGAGCCATGATTGCACCACTGCACTCCAGCCTGGGTGACAGAGCAAGGCCCTGTTTCAAAAACCAAAACAAAAGAGAGAGAGATAGGACACTCTTTGCATGAGGTTAGTCTGAGCTTGCACTGAGTCCCCACTGTGGCTAAGGCTGATGTCAAAGGGTGCAGGGAGAACCTGCAGGGTGCGATGCAGGCCTCCCTGACTCCCGATTGTGTGGTGTAGGTGTCAGCTGCACTTGCAGACAGAGCACTAAGGCCTGATCCCAGGTAGGACCTTGATGGTTTGGATGGGAAAATGTGGGAGATCAGAGACATGGTTAGCTTTCACCTGGAACTTAAATGGAGAAATCCTTTTGTATAGTAGTTACTGGAAGTTTTAAGTTGATTTATTTACTGTTTCCACTTGAACAGAAAGAAAAGTGAGATATTGGTCTCAGTTTTGAAGAGTTATTAATTGCCCTCACATGTGCCAGTCAATGTCAGTGCTGTCTGGAGGAAAAGATTAGAAGTTCCTGTGTGTTGCCTTTATCAGGAAGACACATACTGACTGATTGCCTTCCTGATTTTAAATCTGATTTTGCTTATATCTGATTTTGAGTCAAATACTGTGCATTTGCACAAAGACAGCCCTTATGCCCATATTACTGTAGGAAGATCTTTGGATTGTGCTTTTTATTAAATTAGACTGTCCTCTTGTTTTAAATATTGACCTGGACAAGAATTATGGTGATATGGCTATATGTCCAGCTGTTAAATGCAGTCTTTAAAATAATTTGAAAAGGTTGTGAAATGCTGAATAACATAGAGAATGATATAACAAACACCTCTCTATCTGACATCTAAAATTAAAGTTTACATTTTGTCATTTTTCTTCAGAGAGTACTCTTTATAAAAGCAATTGGATATTATAAAAAGAAGAAAACTTAAAACATAAAGGAAATGTAACAGGACCGAAAACCCCTCCTCAGTCTTTTGTTCCCTTCTCTGCCCTCCCTCCCAGAAGCAAACACTGTCATAGATTTGATATGCACATTTCTAGTTTGTGTTTTTATTCTGTCATGTACGTTTTGGAACTTTTTTTCCCCACTCAGAATAGATTTTTAGATATCTACATTGATTCATACAGGTTTAGTTCATTCATTTTAAGTGCTGGTTACTATTTCATCTCATGAATATACCACAGTTTATCCTTTCCCCTAACAATAAACATGTTAGGTGTGTCTAGTTTGGGTTTTTGTTTTCACTGTTACAAACGATACTTCAGTGGACATCCATGTGTGGATTGCTTGCTGTCTGTAGGTGAGTATGATTGTAGGATCTATGCCAAGAAGCAGAATTGCTGGGTTCTATAGTATACACATTTTTAACCTTAATGGATATTGCAGTAAACTTGTCAGAGTTCTGAATCATTGTACACTTCTACCAGCAGATCTGTTTTCTTTTATACCAACATTTTGAGACTTTTTGATTTGCACTATTCTGATGGGTGTGAAGTGATGACTTTGTTGTTTTACTTTAGTTTTTACTAAATTACACCAAAGAGGTTGTGTATCTTTTTATATGTTTAGTGGTCATTTTGGGTTTCATCTATTCTAAGTTGTTGGGTCATATATTTTGTCCACTAATTTTATTATTTCCCTTTTGCTATTAATGTATCTGTTTTAGATATTAGAAATATCTTATTTCAGTCTGCTGTTTTCTTTAAAATTTACTTATGGTGTCGTTTGTCAAGTAGAGGACCGAATTTTAATGCAGTTCAATTTTTCAGTCCTTTTTTATGAATTTTACTTTCTCTACCTATTTAAGAAATATTTTCCTATTTATAGGTCATAAAATATCTTTTTTTCTAAATTTATTTTTTCATTTTTTTATTTTTTTGAGATGGAGTCTCACTGTCTCACCCAGGCTGGAGTGCAGTGGTGCAGTCTCAGCTCACTGCAACCTCCTCCTCCTGGGTTCAACTGATTCTTCTACTTCAGCCTCCTAAGTAGCTGGGACTGCAGGTGCATGCCACCACGCCTGGCTAATTTTTATATTTTTTACATATTGTAAATACTTTTGTATTTTGTACTCTTAGTAGAGACAGATTTTACCATCTCTACTAAAGATGGTTGGCCAGGCTGGTCTCAAACTCCTGGGCTCAAGTGATCCTCCCGCCTCAGCCTCCCAGAGTGCTGGGATTACAGGTGTGAGCTACCACACCCAGCTTTTTTTTTCTAAAATTTTAAAGTTGTGTTTTGACATTGCTTTTAATTCATCTGATTTTTGAGTATGGTGTGAGGTATGGATCAAATTTATTTTTCCAGGCAGAGAGTGAATCTGTGGTGTATCATTTACTTAGTGTGTCTTTTTTTCTTGTTTGTTTCACCACCTCCAGTTTATACTACATTCACATTGGTGTTAGGGTCTGTTTTTCAGTTCTCTACTTGCCCCAGTCTATTTATTCATGAGTGAATCCCACATGATTTAACAACTGCAGTTTTGTAATCAATCTTGACTTTTGTAGGGCACGTCTCTTATTTTTGTTCTTCTTTTATTTAGAATTGATTTAGATATTTTTGGCTATTTATGCTTTTAAGTAAATTTTTAAAATTGTTTAATTTCACCAAAACATATCTACTTATAATTTTGGTTAGAATTACAGTGGCTCTTGAAATTAATTTGGGGAGTATTTGAGCCTTTCCTTCTATGTATATGGTATATGTTTCTGTTAATTCTGTATTCATTTGTGCCTATTAAGCTGTTTTACACTTTTCACTATATAGATGTTGTTCATCCTTTGATAGATGTATCTCTAGATACCTTATGATTTTTATTGCTATTGTGAATTATATCATTTTTCCTTCAGTGTTTTCTAGTTGGTTATTACTAGTATATATAAATACTATTTATTTTTGTATATTGATCTTGTATCTAAAATCTCTGAGCTCTTTTAATCAAAAATAATATGTATATTAATAGAATCTCATGATGTTTTAGTAGAGACATTCTATCAACTGCAAATAGAATAGCTTTCTAGTTATTTGCTTCTTAATTTTTCTTCTATTGCATTAGTGAGGACTTTTAGTATCTTGATAAATCACAGCAATATAACGCTTCTTATTTTGTTGTGCAGCATGAGAATTAAATACTGCCTCTTTTTCTTGTCTCTAATCTTCCTTTCTGTGATCTGTTAGACATACATTAAGATTTCTTATTCTGTCCTCTCTGTTGGTAATTACCATTCTACCTTTTTGGTATTTAGACATTCCTTAATACTATACTACATGTAAGTATTAAAATACTGGAGTTTTTGTTGGTGTTGGTATTTTAATTTAAGACACAGGTCAGTGTCTTCATTGACCCTTGGTTCTCTCTCCAATCCTACCACCCCTGTCCTTTCTTGCCTCCCCATTACCTTAAACCTGTTACCTTTCCCATAAACCCCCAGGACTGTCAATTCATTGACATCTTTAGACTGTGTAACAGATTAAGGGGCATCTGTATTTTACCACCTATTTTTTATCAAATTCAAAGGTAATTAGAAAGCAGTGATACTGAGGAATGAATTAAATGTTCTGGTTTTGAGGAAGCTGGGTGAAGGCTTGTCATTGAGTGCAATATCACATGAGATGAGTGATTTAAATACAAGAGGAAGAATAACTTAATGAAGACAGCACGGTCCATGAGCATCTCACATCCTCAGAGTGTGTGATAGCAGTGATGGCAGAAGAGAGTGCCGTGCTGCCTAAGGGCCCATCATCCTAAAAGTTAGGCAGGCATGCCTGAGACTGTAGGTCATATTGTTTATGGCTCTTTTAGAATTGAACTTTTAATAGAGCAATAGACTTTGGTTTAAGTAGTTACTTGGAAGTCCCCAAAACATCTCAGCATACTTGAGGTCACTGAACTTAAAAAGTCAAACTGATAACTCAGTGCCACCTTAAATAAATGATTTGATATATTTTATTAATCAGTTATGACTAAGGAGAGGCTCTTTGGGGTGGTAGTGAGGAGCACAGACCCTGGCCAAATTAGATTTGAATTCCAGCTCCACTTATCAGCTCTGTGACCTCAGACACATTTTTAAACCTTTTATACCTTTATTTTCTCATCTGTAAAATGGGCATAAAAATAGCATTTCCTGGGGCTGTTATAAACATTACAGTAGTTGATACATGTAATACACAACAGAGTGTAACACATAGGAACTGCTATATGTAACTGCTAACTATTTAAAAAATCACAGATCCACAAGGGTATCTGCTCTTTTAGAGAGCAAATTATTGCCTTGCAATTTTATTGAGGCAATAAAAAATGCTATCCTGGCATTTTATTTTTGCCCATAACAGAGGTTCACAATTATGAGAAGTGGTGCTTATAGCTATAGGTCATGGAATACTCCTTATTCCTTTGGGAATGCTTCAGGATTAAGAATTAAGGAGTTGAAGACAGAAATCTTACAATGTTTCTTTAACTATCTTTCAGCTGCATAAGATTAGCACATTTTTCTTGGCAAAGATCACCTTTTTCGTTTTTTTTTTCTGGAGTATTTTTCGTCAGCAGCCTTTCTTGTTTTTCCTTCCAAACACTTCCTGTGCTTCTATCTTTCTGTCATCTGCCCTTATTCTATTCCCCATGCCTCAGCACTTCCCTCCCACCTCTTCCCAGCCGCGAACTTAAAAAAACAAAACCAAAAAAAAAAAAAAAACAAACAAACCAAGTTTGTTCATTGATTGTTTAGCATGCTTCCTTCCTACTTTGCATGCCACTAGGCGCCTGGGACAATCAGAGTGGAAGTATGCTGACAGCATGGGAAAGGCGCTGTGCATGGCGGAAGCACTTTCATGATGGAGTTGGGATCCCTGGCTGGTGGGCAACAAAATGCAGCACCTGAGTCTGGTGCTCGGAAGGCCAGCTATGGGGCCATCTGCTCCTAGTCTGGAGTTACTGCTCAGTTATTTTCAAAGAGGTTTGCTCAGGATTTGCCTTATAATTGGGTCACAGTAACTGGAGGCACCTATTACATCCTTCTGCTACATGTGATTTATTTCGGTGAAGATGGGGGATCCGAGGTATCAGTGGTCCCACAAAGTCTGGAGCTCATGGGGACCTGAAGCCCCTATCTGGGCTCTAGTGCTTTCATTCAAAAATGTAAAAAATGCTTAAAATCCCTGTGAAATCAATTATGAGGAGTTTGTAACTGGAAGTGAATTGGGTCAGTGTTAAAGGTGATACAAATCAGCAGGTGCTGAGAGCCTTCTTTGTGCCACTAATAACCAACATTTATGAAGTGTTTACTCATGCCACGGATGTGCTGAATATGGCATAGGCATATCTGACAGCCCTATGGAGGTAGCTGTTATTATCCCCATTTTACAGATGGGGAAGCTGAGGCTCTGCTAGGCATGTAGAGCCAGAATACAAACATCTGTGGGTCATTTAGACCTTTTTCACTATGATAGAGAGTGCCTTCCACACATGCTATGTGAGCCCCACAGGGCAAAGCCTAGCAGTGGAACCACTGTGGGGAGCCAAAATGCTGTGTTTTACATTCTCCTGGTAAAAGTAGGTGTTAAAGAGTACAGAATGACATTATGGCAGTGTGACCTAAACATGAATGAGGATGATTTCGTTTGCATTTGTTTGAAATATGCAGAGTTCATGTCTTCTGAGCCTCAGGGCTTTTATTAATAAGAGGGAGGGATAAGATGACCTTTTATCCATATACCCCACCCTAGAATTTATAGTGATTACACCCCGGTAGAAGATGTGATTATTGTTGTGTTATAGATTAACACTGTTCTATTAGGTGTTCAGTGTTGTAATGATGATTGGTGTGTATGTGGGCTCTTCATCTGTTTCACATAGGAACCTGTGTGGTAAGAAACTGCCAGATGAGAGAGAGTTCAGATAAATGCTATCCTACCCCAATCCGCAAAGCCAGGCTGCTTCTCCTTTCCTGCGACCCTGGCCATTCTGTTCATGCCTGCTAGCACAAATGAAACAAGTCAAAACAGGTTTGAGGAGTGTAGCACATCCCCTGCTTAATTTAAACACCAATCAAGTCTAATTATCAGAGCCATATTACTAGTTGGCAATAATTTGCTTTGGGTACAACTTAGAGCTATGTTGAAAATTTTATTCTGCCTTCAGAAAATTGGTTTACCTTTAGATTTCCCCGCCAAATTTCCCAGTGGAAAATTGGTTCTCTTAATTTAGGTATCTTGTAATTTCACTCATTAAAAAATGTGTGCCATGTGATATCATTAGATTTTTTTCTAAACTGAAGGGACATAAGTGGGCTGACATATGTGCTGCAGTATAATTGTGCTGTGTTTTTGGAGCTTCAGTCAGTAATTACAGCCATAAACTTATTGTCTATGGTAAAATATGTTAACTGGTATTTGACATAAAATTCATTAATTTGAATCGATATGTAATGTTTTAAAATGCTCTAACAAACGATCATTGACCGATGGATATAATATAGTCTAAGACCCACACATTTCTCTATGAACAGCAGTCAAGGTAAATGTTTTCTAAATAGTTTGTCAATGCCATGATTTCCAAAACACACATATTATGAAGGCTACCAGAAATTTGAACTATGACATGAGCCCAATAATTGAATTTACTCGTCTATAAAACAGAGTGTCTTGGATATTTTTGATCTTTGTCAAATTGAACTAGCTTTCAGGCAGGGTCTTGGAATTTCAGACTTCAAATCTCCATGCCTAATTACAGATTCGGAAGCTGATGTCCAGGAAGGCTGAGTGACCTGGCCCTGTATGTACCACCAGTTTGTGGCCAGGAGGAGAATTGTGTCAGTTTCTCTTCCTGCTATCCCTCAGAGAACTCCCTTCTCCATGGAATCTGAGTGGATTCTGTACAGAATGGCTTTTCTACTTTCCTAATGTTGAATAACTTTAAAAGGTAAATTGAAGTATAACAGGGTTGGGAAGTAAATTTGAATTCAAAGTAAGAATTGCATCAGGAATCCAATCCCAGGTTTTTCTTTTGAGTTGAGACTGCAGACCTACAAAAATTACAGTAATGTGAAACCTTGACAAAAGAAAAATCCCAGTGATTAGATATGTGGGCTTCACAGATAATATCTAGTTCACCCCTTCAGCATTTCTGGGAAGTGAGAGCCAGAGGAGAAAAACTACTGTACAGCTTCCCCGCTCAAATTGTTTGCCTCTTGTCCCATCAGACACATAGGCACGTCCACAGTGTTTGTTTCTAAAACAGAAAAATTTTGAAGGTGAAAACCACTTGCTCTTTAAAAAACTGGGACTGGGCAGAGAAGGAATAAGGAAAGGAGTCACTGTGGTTGCAGCTGCCTTTGGCCCAGTGATTGTGCAGGTGCCTTCCGGCTTCGGTCTGACCTCCAGATCCCTTTGCACCTTTCCCCATGTCTCCCTCCTCCTTGTTTCCCTCTCTCTCCTCCCACCCCTACCTCTTTCCCTTTTTCTTTTCCTCTCCCCATTTCTCATGCTTTCTTTTCTTCCCTCTGCACCCTTTCTTCTTCTTCCTTTTTCCTTCTCCCACCTCCTCAGCTGCCACACGTCAGGCCTCTGGTGTCTGGTTGGGTTCAGCCCCATGGGGAGATCCTGGCAGGAGACAGGAGACAAGAAGGAGGGAGAATAGAGAATGTGATCGAAATCATTGCTCCCTGGCTCCCTGCTGGTGGCTTTAGCACTGGATGGCTGAATGCTTTACTGAAAAAAGAAGGGCACCTGTCAGGTGACCTCTTCTCTTTTAGGTTCTGGAAGCAGCTTCCTCCCTTTCCTCTTCTGGCCTAGGGGTGGAAAAAGAGCCCTACTCCTTTGTAAGTAATCCCTTAATCAAATTCTTCTCAAGCCACCCAGTGTGAGAGTTCAATGTGTGTTTTGCAGGAATCCTGACTGAAACACTGTGTGTGGTTGAGCTGATGATGGGTAACTATGCATCCCACACACACATATACACTTACTTCATTGATTGGTTTAATAAATATTTATTGAACACCTACTAAGTGCCAGGTAGAAAACAAATGAGACAAAGTTCCTGGCTTTATGGAGCTTACAGAAAGACAAACATACATATACAGTATTATGTCCAGTAATAATAAATGTTATAATGTAAAGATGGGGAAAAGGAGTGATGGGAGCATCCCTCTTTTAGAGGAGGGGACATTTGAACATTCCTGAATGAAGCATGGGCATTCTTTGCAAAATACTTAAGGGAATGTTTTCCAGTGAAGGGAATCCCAGAGATCCTGTGTTGAGAACATTCTGGGAGAGGTTTGGGAACAGCGCAAAGACCAGTGTGGCTGCAGTGAAGTAAGAGCCGGGAGCGGGCGAGCCATAGGAATCCAGACAGGCCGCCAGGCTGGACCCAGAGAGTAGAGGGAAGGGCAGGGGAGGTATGGGAGGAAAGTGACATGGTTTGTCTTATGAGGGCATCTTTGCATATTACGGCATCTTCCCTTGGTAGAATACAGAGAGCAAAAGTAACGGAAGAGAGATATGAGGCTATTGCTGAAGTCTGGATGACTCAGATGGTGTTATGGGTTGAATTATGTCCCCCCCCGAAAATACATGGAAGTCCTAACCCCCAATACTGCGGATGGGATGAAGACACAAGGAGAAGACCGCCATCTAGAGGCCAAAATTAGGCTTGGAACAGTTCCTTCCCTCAGCCAGCAGAAGAACCAACCCTGCCAACATCTTCATGTTAGACTTCTGGCCTCCAGAGCTGTGAGACAGTTTCTGTTGTTGAAGCTACCCAGTTTATGATACTGTGTTACAGCAGCCTTAGCAAACTGACACAGATGGCTTAGATGAGGTTGAGGACACTGGAAGTAAGAAAGGGTTGAATTTGTAATATATTATGAAGTTAAAACCGGTAGGATTTGCCGAGGCATTAGACATGGGGCAGTGCTAGTTGTTTGGCCCATGAAAGAGAGAACAGGAGAGAAAAACTGAGATCAAGGGTGAGACAGTAATGTTGACTCCTGAGTCATTAGAGCCACTGGGTAGATGGTGGTGTTCTTTGCTGGAGATGACAAACACTGGGGAAGGTGGATTTGGTGGGCAAAAGTCAAGAATTGTCAAGGGACGTGTGAAATTTGCAGTCCCTGTTTGACATCTCAGATAGTTGGAAATGTCAAGGAGATGTGACAGAGTCATACATGCCAGCTATGGTGACCATCACACTCTACCACTGCTGCCTCTGAAACTATAAAGCTTGGACCACTCATTTCCACTGAGAGCCATGCTTTAGAATTGGTTTTTCAGAGGTAGGGTGGGCACCACTGGTTGCATGCAGGATTACACTAGTCAGTACACAAATAGTTTTAATTTAGCATTTAATATTTTTAAATATGTATAAGGAAAAATGCATATTACAAAGACATGTTTTCAAGATGTTATTACATAGGCCATCATTAAAATGGAAGTATTTAAGTTTTTTTAAAAAGTCATCTATTTAAATAAAACTATTAAGAAAATATCACATGTAGTATATGTAATAGTACTTGTGCTACATGGATATGGAAAAAATTAATAAATGACTGAAAGTTTAGGACACAACCTAAAGCATTTATAATGAGCTCCCTAGCCCTGTCTCATCACAGTCTAAAAACCACTTTCTTAGGGCTGTTTTTAATTACAAGTCACATCATCAATTCAGTAAGTAAAGATCAGCATTTGTTTGAAAAATCTGGAAATAGGCCAGGTGCGGTGGCTCACGCCTGTAATCCCAGCACTTTGGGAGGCTGAGGTGGGCGGATCAGTTGAGGTCAGGAGTTCAAGACCAGCCTGGCCAACATGGTGAAATCCCATCTTTACCAAAAATACGAAAATTAACTGGGCGTGGTGGTGCATGCCTGTAATCCCAGCTACTTGGGAGACTGAGGCAGGAGAATCGCTTGAACCCTGGGGGTGGAGGTTGCAGTGAGCCTAGATCGCACCACCACACTCCAGCCTGGGTGACAGAGTGAATCTCCATCTCAAAAAAAAAAAAAAAAAATCAGGAAATAGAGTACGTTGCTGGTAGTTGCTGCGAAAAGTATTGGCAAGTATTATTTCATGATGTAAAATATGAACATTAGGGTGAAAAAAGTTAGCTGCCGTCGTAGGGTCTGCATTTCAGCGATGGGGAGATCCCATTTTGGTGACTCACTTCTCAAGCTAATTTGAAAAGTCTGCGTTTAACTGGACTTTTCTGGAGATGAGAGAAAATGATCTCTTCTCCTTACAAGGTTATTAATAATAGAAGTTTCATAAATTGTGATTAGTTCTGTGGGTTTTTAGAAGCCTATGATGTCATAATTGAAAATGTGCTCTACTTCTAAACGGCACATTTCTTTGATGTTCATTTGGGTTTCTGATCCCTATTTTGATAGGCTTGATAATGGTTAAATCTCCCTGTCTTACAGATTCTATCAATTGACTTATTTTCATGGAATATTTTTGACTTTGTATAATCCTGTATGGCTTTACTTACGTTCAGGGATCTCTTTAATAGTGCCTATTTGTAATGGCTTTGTTACATTTAAATGTAGTGTTTAGTAAGAGGTTTGGTTGGGGGTGAGATATAAACTATCTCAGAGGTGAGTAGATAAGTTTATTCTTCTCTGAAAATGCATGTGATTCTTTTCAGAATTAAAACTCTTTTTTATGTTGTTGCTTTTGTTTTTTCTTTTGAGCCCGGGTCTCGCCCCATCATCCAGGCTGGAGTGCGGTGCGTGATCACGGCTCACTGCAGCCTTGAACTCCTGGGCCCAAGTGATCCTCCTGCCTCAGCCTCTCGAGTAGCCAGGACCATAGGCGTGGGCTACCACGGCAGGCTTTTTTGTTTGTTTGTTTGTTTGTTTGTTTTTTAAGTAGGTCTCCTCATATTGCCCAGGCTGGTCTCAAACTCCTGAGTTGAAGGGATCCCCCAACTTCAGCCTTCCAAAGTGCTAGGGTTACAAGCGTGAGCCACTATGCCCAGCTAATTAAAACTCTTTTGAATGGACTTTTAAGAAGCAGGCTGGGAGGCCCTCAAATATATGCTCCGATATATGATTTTCTGGTTTTCTAGGCTAGAAATGCCTAATGACAGATTTTTTTTAATGGAACTAATGCTAAAATTATAGATATACTTAGTTTTAAATTTTCCTTGTGCCTCTCCTTTTGATATACAATAACTTATACCTGATTTAAAGAATTAGGCTTTTATAAATCGTCTGATGTTAGCAACTAAATTCACTGGGCACCCATTATTTCACGCCTGATACATTGTTTTCCATAGAGCATTCTTGTAAATATGTTTACATGATGCAAATTAAGCTAAAGTACTAAGCTATCAGATCTGTAATGTTAGGGGAACAATAATTTATTTAAAAAGTATGATCTGTAGTGTTAAGGGATATTTATAATTTCTAAAATGACTTAATAAGAGAAGGCTTGGTGAAAGCATTTAGCATAGAGATGAAATATGTCTCATTAAGTTTCTTCATTATGCACATGTCAACTCTTCTTTTGTTAGTCTCTAAGAGTTTATTTACATAACTGAGAGTTGCTTCTTTTATTAATGATAGTTATCCCAGCAAAATGATTTTGGTTGGGTTCACATGAGCAATAGAATGTGCTTCCTTTTTCACAAAACTAATGGTGAGGAATCCACCTCTTCCTCAGCCAGCTCCCCTTGCAGTGAAGAGCCCTATTTGCATATGTAAATAAGCCATTCAGTTTAGAGCCCTGTGGGGCTTGCCCAGATCTAATTTGTTATTTTGCTGATGTTGATGGCATTAACCAGGAGGTGAGTGATACCAGGAGACTGATATCTCAGTCTGGAATGACAGTGCCAGAGTCTGAAGGCTGTCATTTAGAAAAAGAGAAACGCATTCTTAGAACTTAGAATTTGGGAAAATGAAGTCACAAATTTTGCCTTTAGTGTTGAGTGACATAATTTAATGTTTTCCTGAACACAGAAAGCTATGTGAACAAACCTGTTATATAGGATCATCAGTTCCCTGTGATACCACTTATGAGAGCCCTGGTTGCTTTTTCAAAAATGCATAAAGTATTACATGATTGAACTGATAATAGCTGTACTTAAGTGACTAAGCTCAAAGGTTTAGAGTTTGTACCTTTCTTGGATGTGTCATAGGATCTGGTAGGTAGCAAGACTGGGAATAGGGAAAGAAAAATATTTTCAGGTAGGATCTCCCTATAGTGAAGAAGCAGGCATGTTCAGCTTCTGAGGAATTAAATTCTTCTCAAAGGTTCCCCTCTTGGTTCTAGCTATGTGCACCTTTCCACAAAGTCTCAGTGTCACCAAACTAACATATATATATGTGTGTATATGTGTATATATATGTATATACATATATATGTGTATATACGTATATGTATATATATACGCAAATAACCATCACAAACTTTTTTTTTTTTTTTTAGCAATAGGATACCAAGTGACTAGTTCATTGAAAATTAAGGTTAGTTTAAGGTATCAGTCACATGGAGAAAAACTTGTGGTGAGCTGTTTACAGTTCCTTTATTTTCACTCCATATGCAATTTATTAAATGACTTTAATCCTCCAGGCTCTTCCTTGTTTCTATGAAGATGTATTACTGGAATTTCTGTGTAAATACATTGATTATTTCATAGCCCTATTTGTTCATTACAAGCAGACTATTGTTACAGATTTATTGTACTTGAAAATAAATTACATAAAATGGACACCAGGTTTCAAAAACCTAACCCTTAAAGGATGTGCTTGCCCTCTTTAAATTAGTCTCCCACCTACTGGGAGTTTAAGATTCAGATCCTGGGTTTAATATCAACATCTGCCCCCTGCCGAGTTCATGGTACAATTAGCTAATTAAAAAATAAAATAACATTTTCACCTTGGAGTCAGAAGAAGAGCAATAAACCACAGGCCCAGGATTTAGTTAATTTGCACATTGACTGTAACTGTGTATTTAATGCTGAGATTAATTTTTTTCCCGATGAGTAGGAGCCTGGCACTGTGCTTTAGAACTCTTAAATCAGTTGTAATCATTCCATAGGGAAGGTTAGTAAGGGCGGTTCTTCACATAGATTAATGAGGATAATTATTTATTTACATTTGATAACTTCTTTTAGGGGGAAAAAAGGTTTAAAATCACCTTCTGATAAACCATTAAGTTGAAAGGAGCACTTTCACATCAAACTAAATAAATAATCCATGATGCTGTTTTTCAAACACTGTATTTCTCATGTGAAAACTCTTGATTCTATGGAAATGGGAAGACATGCTCAGGTTTTTGCTTGGTTTTGTTTTGCTCAATGGTCAGTGGGTCAACGGATAGATTCTCTGTTCTTAAAGCTTTGGTACATTTTCTAGGTCAGCCGAGTTTCAAGACTATTTCCTTGCATTTTTTTCCCAGAGAAGGTAGAGAAAGAATGCATGTTGGCAGGGCGGTTACTAGGAAAAACATAATCCTGACTGGCAATCTGCTACTTATAACATTTCCTTTTTGAAAGGTAAGCATTATACTGTGAACGCCGAAGCAGTGATTATGGGCAACTCAAGTGGGTGTGATTGATACATGTCTTAAAAGTATAGAGCTGTTATTCCTAGACGAAGAAGAAAAAGAATACTTAAGTATTGTAATATAGAAATTGCATTTTTATCTAAGGAGGTCTTTTCACCCTCCTCTGTTAAGAGATCTGAGCAAATGCTAGCCCTCATCTGAGGGTCATTTCGCTGCTGGTGTTGACTCTCACTTGCATGGGGCCTTTAAAGCCAGGGATTTTGTGAGACCATCTCTCGGTTGCTTTCATCAACCTTTCCCTGGAGTTAATGCTCACAGTGGGTAGTACTTGCTTCTTAAGTTTGTTCACTGTTGTCCAGCTCTGAGAGGTGGAGAAGTAAAACTCTATACCATTAATGAGGCCCCATTCCAAACTTCCCTTTTAAAATATAGTACCTTGGGTGGTGTGTTTGTGTGTTTGGCATGGAATGAATAATAGGAAGGTGTTATGCCTTTCCGTGTGACCCATATGTCCAATATGTATATGAGGGCATTAACAGGATCGGTCTTAGGAGAGACCACTCTTTTACATAGGTTTAAATTACAGACTTAATGCTAAATCTCTGTTTCAGCCAATAAAATACAATGTGCATTTAGGGGCATAGTTTTTGGTGGCTGTCAGACACTACGAATTCTGCCAGGATGATGGACACAGGAGCTTCTGAGGCAGGCGACTTGTCATGGTTTGGAGGAAGATTGTGATTTCCACATCATTTTGTTCATATCTAAATGGGTGGGATGTCTAACCCTAAGAAGACTCCGCAGTGCTTTCTGTTATTTCAGGAAGATGGACTTCATATTCAGAGAAATCATGTTCCAGTTTCCCTTAGTATTTTTGAAATACAGACAATTATCAAATAATAGGAAAATGTAGATTTGATGGGAAATATCTTAATACTGGGTTGTGTTTGTGACTTTATTACACACTTGCACATACAAGTTTGTTTATAATAAAATAACTTGCACATCACATGTGCTTTTGTGGGGGAGAACGTGTCTTGTGTTTTTGTTATTGATGTTTAGCTAAAACAAAATACAGTGCCGTTAAACACTGTCCCTCTCCCTTTTCTGACCATTTCTCCATCATCCCACACCCCACCTTCTCCCTTCCCACCTCTCGTTCACTCCCCATCTTCCATTCACTGTCAGGAAGGGCAGCCTCCGAAGAGCCATTTCAACTCAGCCCGACATCGCCAGAGACTAGTGGACCCAGCTGCTTCAAAAGTGAGTGTGTCCTGTTGCCCTGGGCAACGGGTGTGCATGGCGGCGTGGTCCCGCTGCGGTAAACAGGGTGTGGGGTTTTATTTATGCTGGTATATTCCAGGGCTTTAGAATATGGATATTGAGAGGAGTCAAAGTCTTCTCTATTAAATCAAGACCATACACGTCAGTGGTGTTCTGGTAAGTGTTTAACAACCAGTCCTGAAAAATGAAACAAATCCCTGATGGTAGCATTTGCTGGTTTCCCTGGTGTAGATACTCCCACCCTGGCCAGTTTCCGGTACCAGTGTGACATCCCCGAACTCAGAGCTGGGAAGAGAGGCCCAGTGGAACACTGTTATATAGTTGTATTATGTAGTTTTTCCACCGTATAAATACAATTGATGTAAACCCTCTTAAAATGTAGCAAACTACATAGGAAGTGTATCAGTTTTAAGTATGTGTTACCCTTGTTTTCAATGTAATATATTTACTTTAAATTTAGATATTTTTAATTCACAGTAATGGCTATTTTTAACAACTGGCTTGGAAAACTGAAAATTTACCAAGCTGGGATGGGTTGGCTTCAGGGCAGCAGTTATACATGTTATGTACGTGTTGAGAATAGTCTTAAGCCAATTGGTCATGCCCAACTCTTTTTAATAGATAGCAGTAGCCACAGAAAAGTGGTTGAAGTTTTGTGTGAGGATTTGCTCATCCCACACAGCTCAACTAAGTCTCAGGCCAGTTCTGTGTAACAGACTTTAATTGAACAGTTATTAGCAGACAGGCACGAAGCATTCATGAAGCCTGTCCTGTAAACTCAATGAAGTTCCAGCTTTCTGGCGTTTTTAAGTGCTCCAGTCAAATTTTTCCAGACGACAGTTCCACTCCAGGTCAACGTGTCAACTTTCGAGAGGCAGGATTCTCTCACCTTTTGAGTGGACACCAGGGAATGGGAATCCTCTGACCCAGTTGCTGGACATAAGGCCATTTAGCAACTGATCATCAGATGTCCTGAGGGTAAAAGTTGTAGACATCCCTAGATTCTCATGCTCTGTTCATATAAGGGTGGAAAATTTTGCCAATTCACTTATCTTAAATACCACTAGTTTCATTGACGAAAGCCTGTTTTTAAACATCTGCCATGTGAGCAGCAAGCCACTGATACTGATTTCACCAATGAAAATCCATTTGAGTATGCCAATTAGCAAAATCTCTGGTGTTGACTAAGACACAGATACCTCTGATATAATGCTAGTTTACCACCCTTGGGAAGTAAATTCTGATTAGAACCACTGACTGTGTATAGGATATAAATTTTTTGTTTGTTTGTTTGTTTGTTTGTTTGTTTGTTTTGAGTCAAAGTCTCACTCTGTCACCCAGGCTGGAGTGCAGTGGCGTGATCTCGGCTCACTGCAACCTCCACCTCCTGGGTTCAAGTGATTCTCCTGTCTCAGCCTCCCAAGTAGCTGGGACTACAGGTGCCTGCCACCATGCCTGGCTAATTTTTGTATTTTTAGTAGAGATGGGGTTTCACCATGTTGGCCAGGCTGGTCTCAAACTCCTGACCTCAGGTGATCCACCTGCCTCGGCCTCCCAAAGTACTGGGATTACAGGCGGGAGCCACCACACCTGGCCAGGATATAATTTTAATCCATAAATATATTACATTTTCTATGCTGAAGTGTTTGAAACTAGACTACAGATGTCATAGCTCTTTGTCACATTCATTAAGTGTCTAGGGCATCCCTTCCCGCCGAGCCGCAGACAACTCACTTTAGCTCAGTAGCATCGAGGTGAAGTCCCGGGAGTTCTGTTGGTACATGAAGGAAAAAATAGACTAGCTTCGAATAAGTCATATGGTTTCATCATGTAACATGTGAATTTTGCTAATGTAGAGCACAACTCAGAGTACGGCGGGGCCTTCTTGGACCCTACCTAGGAGTTTTCACTAATGAGGCACTAAAATACTGGGTGCATTAAGTACATCCACTGTTATACACAGCATGCACCTCATGATCAGTGGTGTTTTAAGGACTCAGCTCAGCATGTGCTTTTGTTCCCCCTCTTTCTTTTGTCCTGTATTCATTTCATTCTGTCTTGGCATTTGCAGAAATACTGTGCCTCACCATGCAGTGTGTTCTATAGTACACTATAAATTAGCTAACTTTCTTCTACTGGTGGTGAGAGTCTTTTTGCTGTTCCATTTTGTTTTGAGCAAGAATCATGGCTTCTTTTCCTAGACAGACTTTAAGAGGAACTCATTAAACTGCCACAGAGAAGATGTCTGTTGCCTTAATGTGCCGTGTGAATTGGTTCAGCGACATTACCAAATAGGTTTAAAAGGTCACATTCTTTCCTCCTCAAAACACTGCGGTAGTAGAAATTTGAGGAGGGCCTAAAAATGTTTTCTAACCTTAGGAAGCCATAGGAGAAGCCACGGTTTGCTGTGTGGATACATTACTTGGACAGTAAATGGCAAATGGAAATGTGCATGTATGTAGCTAGTGACCTTTCTTTATAAGCACACTTTGCTTAGATTCTGCACTATGTCATTTTCAACTCAATAACCTGAGTCGTAGTGAAGAATTCTTACAAATTACAGGTTCCTATATTCTGGGGGTCAGTAACAAATTACGGTAAACCAGCTGCCAAATCTTTTGAGAACACTGATTTTATTGTGAGTCTACGTTGAAGAAGTGTGTTCCGATAGAAATGTTTAGCTTTACAATGGCAATATGATATGGTGCAAATAATAGACTGGACTGGATTGTATGTTAGGCTTTGTCATTAACCAGCTCTGTGGACTTGGGTGATCATTTAACACTGAGCCCCATTGCTCTAGATTTTCTCATCTATGAGGAGAGTATAAGAAATGTTCTGTTAATCAAATTATGGAATTGTTGCATTTTTCCACTAAGGCTCCTTAGAACTAGATATATCACCATGTAGTCTGAGATTTTCGACTGCTATTTCTCAATCCTAAAAATCTCTCTACACATGTCATTCCTTATTCCTTGCAAAGTATTATTATTAGGCAGTCTTCTCTCAGTATCTTCAGAGGAAGTTAATTTTTAAAAGAGAAATTACTTTAAAGCTATAGGGAAAATATGGGCCAGAAATAAGGGGCTCATTTTCAGCTCAAGGAGTTGGCTTTTTTTTAGCCTGATTTTTTTCTTTGTCTTAGAAAGCCTTTTGTACTTTGAGTATAGAAAAACAAGCTTTTAAATCTGTTTTATTAGACTAAGAGTAAAGGGTTAGGGGGAAAACAAAGATAAGTATTGTGCCTCTGATTGGCTAAGCTTGTCTGCTGGGAATTTCTAAAGTGCCTTTCACTTTGAGAATATGCTCACCTGTACTGTCCCTCAGTATGAGCTCCGTAATACAGCAAATGAACAAAGAATGAAGCAAAACGGGCAATAGGAATAGTAGTTCAAAGACCATGGAGCAGTTATTTGTAGAGCTGGTAAAGGCCTCTGTTAAATAAAAATCTATTTGATATGGGAGCATCAGGGACATGATCTGGTGGACAGAAGGGAACACGAGAGTGTACAGAGGATTAGTTTTCAAATCTGGCATTTCAGCACAAAAGAATAATGATGATTTATTCTAGATGAGCTGTCATTTTACATTGGAAGCTTTGCTGATCCAGAATAAACAGGTTCATAAAGATGGTATGAGATTTTGAGTATGTGAGAGCAAATAGTGGTAGGCATAGCATCTGATCAATTTCAAAACCCGAAAGTGTTGTAACAGTCTACCCTTCTTTAAAAAACAAACCAAACTACCCAAATTCACAGATAATCCAACTTTATATAAACCTGCATATAATTCTAAAATACATGGTTTCGGTCTGCTGTAGGGCTTGAAAATCTTTTATCCTAATTCTCAGCAATTTCTTTACCTTTCTCTAATGATAACAAGGTTTCTAAAACCTGGGCTTTCCTGCTGGGAAAATCAGCCCAGAGCTATCTCAGAGCAGATGGTCTTCTTTTCTCACTACTATAAACCTTTTAGGATTGATCCTTTTTTTCATTTTTACCTATCTGAAGAATAAGTGTCTTTGACACCTTAGAAACCCACTGTTCACAGGGGACAAGAAGCTGCCTTGGCCAGAGTTCATAGTTGCATAGATGATATAATATAAAGGTAATGGAAAATCAAGGAATTGTGTTTCTGTCTGTAGCATCAAAAAAATAGGTTGATTTTTAAGCACTAAGGGGATAGGCTTTAAAATGTCTACATTTTTGAGCCTTATTATGCACTGAGTTTCTGGATGGTAATTAACACCTTCCTAGTCTTAGGAATTTCAAGTGTTAAAGAATAATTTCTTCTTTTTCAGAGGGTGCAATACTAGTTACTATATTTAAGGACATAGAAAGATGAGGAAGGGATTGGAAGACTGGTTGCCATAATTATTCTGGGAGTATTTTAGTCACATAAAATGTTGTACTATGTAAACTTTATAAAAGCCTTCAGGGATGATAAATTTCTAATAGAAAATTCTGAGGCAGCTTATAGTTTTTTTGTGTTTTTACATCAGTCATCCATAAATTATCTTTGGTCCTAACTAAAATGAGCATGAATCTCATTTCTGAAACTTATTAACTATGACTTTGAGTCAATTACTTAATCACCCTGAGAAAACCACAGCTTCCTCATCTGAAAAATAGGGAACAAAAGCATCTCAATCTCATCAGGTTATTTTGAAGATTAAATGAGATAATGCATAAAAAATTTTTACCACATGGTCAGGCACTTAATGAGTACCAAATTATAACAATCTTTTAAGTTATGATTACTGTTACCATAGTTATTTGGTAATCATTATTTTTTCCCCTCATTTGTAAATAAGCAGTTAGTACCACATGATTGTTGAGGTAAAATGTCTGCATTATTAAAAGTCTATACAGTTCTATGTATTTTTTTTATTAAAAAATAATTTTAGAGACAGAGTCTCACTTTGTCACTCAGGCTGGAGTGCGGTAGCACAGTCTTAGCTCAGTGTGGTCTCTTAAGTCTTGGGTTCAGGTGATCCTCATGCCTCAGACTCCCAGGTAGCTAGGACTACAGGTGCATACTGTCACACCCAGCTCACGTTTTTATTTTTATTTTGGTAAAGACAGGGTCTTGCTATGTTGCCCAGAAATGCTCTCAAACTCTGGGGTCAAGCAATCCTCCTGCCTTGGCCACCCAAAGTGCTGGGATTACAGGTGTGAGCCACTGTGCCTGGCCCCAGTTCTACTATACTTTTTAAAAAAATGCTTATCGTACACTCAGCAGTGTGTTAGCCATGGAGGAATATAAATTGCAGTGTTTAATTCTTACCCCCAGAGTGTCGTTTAACTGGCAAAAATAAGTAAATGAAGCAGAGACAATAAATGAATTGCCTGGTAAACACTATCAATGCAATGTTGATTTTTGAGTGGAGGGAGATCTGAGTGGCAGCCAGAGAAGGTGTCCTTGAAGTGGTGGTTTTCCATGTGGGCCTAGAAGGTGAGGTGGGACTTTTTAAACAATATGAGCTTAGGCCTGTCCATTATGTGAATGCATGCAGTAGTCATCGGTTGGGCCAGGAGATAGGGGATGTGACACAGGCCAAGAAGAGGTGGAAGGTATGCTCTTGTCATGGCCCTCTGTGGTGGGAGACACTGCAGCTCCGAGGTCATGTGCCCTATTTTCAAATTGTGTGTACCAGCTATGAAGCCAAGGGAAAATCTTGTATCAGTACAATGGGGGAAGTCACACCATGTACCTCATTAGGAATGTTATAATTAGACGATCTGTTGAAGCCACTCCGTAGAGTGATCAGGCTGTTTTGGTGTAAGTACAGCCAGTACTTAGTTAAATGAGACATAGTCTGCCCTATGACCCAGCGGCCTCAATCCTAAAGAGGGCATGTTTGTATGAGGCGTGTACCCAGGTGCCTTTTGGAGCATTGTCATGACAGAAAGTCAGAGGTTTTGTGGGCATTGACAGTTGTGGGTGGTTGGGTAAATGGGGGAATGTCATAGAGTACCATTTAGCCATTGGAAGCAACAGCCCGAAGGAACACACAGCAATGTGGATAGAGCTTAAAACATATCACTGTGTGGAACCAAGCTTAAAAAATCAATTCTGCAGTATCATACTTTTAATGTCAATCAATTAAAAGTACACACCACATAATGTACATTTCATAGGAGCATGTGCAAATAGCCGAATATCCATCAGATATAGAGAAAGATTGCTTGGAGGCAGGAGGGGAGGGCCTAGGACTGGAAAGTAGCCATGCAGGTAAGTAAATGGATGGGTGATTGAGGAGGAGGAGTCAGCCTACTCTCTCCTCTACACTTGGATCTCCACAAGAATAAATTGGTAAGCAAAGAAATATGATATAAGGGAGGCTTAAATGCTTGAGTGAGAAGTGGATGCAGCCACCTGTAAGGTAAGTACTGCTATGGGGAGCAATGGGATAGCTAATACTGACACAGTATTCCCATGGGTCCAGCCTGCTTCTAGTTGCTTTACACACATGTGAACCACTTTCATCTGTACAGCAACCTGAGGATTTTGGGTACTGTTAGCACCATGTTGCAGATGAGGAAACTGAAGCAGGGTGAAGTTCAGTAACTTGCACAGGGTCGCACAGCTGGTAAAAGTGAAGCCAGGATTCAAGCCCGATTACTCTGGCTTTAAGCCCCTGTTCTTAACCACTAAGCCTTGCTGACTCCTGATGGACGTACCTAAAGTGGAGACGAGAGGTAGAAATGCCTTCCACAGATGGTACCACCGGCACGGGCCTGGCATTCGCAACTGCTTCCTCTTTGTGGAGGCTGACCATTTTCTTTCAGTGTGTGCACATGTATATAAAACTTCTTATTGAAATATAATATGGACTCCTTAGTGTACAGCTTGATGAATTTCCACAAACCGAACAAGATCAAGCAACACAGAACAAGATGGACAGCCCTGAAAAACTAAGGAAAACAAAAACCTCTGTCATTTGTACTAGGTACTAAATTATGATGCTGGAAAACAACGTCATGAAAAACATAAGCCTTTAAAAGCAAAAACAATAGAAATGTAAAACTTTCTGAAATTGCTAGAGGTATCAGGCGTTCCTAAGGCATAGAAAAAGCCCTCTACCTTTTCATTGATTTTTTTACTACAGTCAGTTGCTTCTGTTATGACTGGCCGGGAGGCATGGATGACTCATGAAGGAAAGTGGAAAAATCTCTCAATGAATTTAAAGGCAGCCTCCTGTTATCAAAGGATAAAGCAGTTTGAGCTGCAAGCATTAGTTAGACATAAATAAATAGATAAATACCTATCATGATTGGATCATAAGGAAGACCTTGCAGTGGCCAGATAAATGAATTTTCTTCTCTCCTGGTCATTGTTTAACTCTGTGGGACAACTGTCTTAGATGTTCAATGTCAATTCCTGTGGGCCACGTTTGCCAGTTTGCAGGACAAAGCTATGACAGCGTGTATCACACTAAAAGGATAATGTTTTCCCATATTTCAAATGGCCAATTCTGTGTCCAGAAAAAGTATCATGTTGTGTTTTGGGGCTACTCTTAACACATCTTCTACCTACCTGGCAAATTTGTACACAACAATTCAGCACCTTTGGGCAGTGAGGTTAAATAACTCACACAAGATCCCAGAGCTAGTAAAAGGTGAAGCCAGGATTCAGACCAGTTAATCTCTGTACTTTGCCATCATAGCCTAGTCCTTGCCACCAACATCTAGGAAGGGCTTGGCCTCTTTCCTGGGGCATGGACTGTGCTGGGCAATGCAAGATTTCTCAGGGTTCAAGAGGAAGGCAACCACTATACCTTCTTTTTTTCTCTTTTAGCCTCAAGTAATCGTGATGTTCTTTTTACCTAAATGTCAGAGAACTCTTTTGGCCTAGATACCACTCTTCTGGCCCCTGGCTCCTATGGACCTAGGTAAAGCTGCAAAGCTGATGGAAGAGTGTTCATTCTCCTTATGGTTCCTAGCCCAGTTTACAAGGATTTTTTGTCTCCGTTGGCTTTAAGAAGAACTGCAGACCCCTAACAATTCTATTGAAAAATGGGCAAAGGAAACAAATGAACAGTTCACAGAAAAGCAAATATGAATAAATGGCTCATACGCATAGGAAATGATTCTCAACTACCCTTATAAGAAAAGTACAATGGGCCGGGCGTGGTGGCTCACGCCTGTAATCCCAGCACTTTGGGAGGCCAAGGCTGGCAGATCACGAGGTCAGGAGATGGCGACCATCCTGGCCAACATGGTGAAACCCTGTCTCTACTAAAAATACAAAAAATTAGCTGGGCGTGGTGGCGGGTGCCTGTAGTTCCAGCTACTCGGGAGGCTGAGGCAGGAGAATGGCGTGGACCCGGGAGGCGGAGCTTGCAGTGAGCCGAGATTGCGCTACTGCACTCCAGCCTGGGTGACAGAGCAAGACTCCGTCTCAAAAAAAAAGTACAAATTAAAAATTGTACTGATATATATATATATATTTTATGTGTTTAAAATATATACACACACACACACACATATATATATATATATATACATACACAAATTACCTATTGGGTTGGCAAAAATCTAAACCTGGGAGTATTTCTGGTTTCTAAAACTGGAAATCTAAAACTAAAAGTATTTTGCAGCTATGCTTTCTGGGAAAATAGCTTGCTTTCTTTGTTTTGTTTTGTTTTTTGAGACAAAGTCTCACTCTCTCACCAAGCCTAGAGTGCAATGGTGCCATCACTCACGGCTCACTGTAGCCTTGACCTCCCCAGGCTCAGGTGATCCTCCCAAGTCAGCCTTCTGAGTAGCTAGGACAACAGGCACACATCACCACGCCCAGATAATTTTTGTATTTTTTGTAGAGATGGGATTTCGCGATGACGCCCAGGCTGGTCTCAAACTCCTGGGTTGAATCAATTCACCAGCCTTGGCCTCCCAAAGTTCTGGGATTACAGGCATGAGACACTGGTCTGGGAAATAGCTTTCTTACTTATAATTCTGGTGGGAGTGTAGGTTAGAACAACTTCTGCAGATGGCAAATTGTCAATGTTAATCAAAATACATGTACCTTTTGACCCACCAGTTCTTCTTTGGGGAGTAAAGCCATCAGATAGACCAGTGTACATGCTGAATGAGTCCTGGAAAAGATTATTTATTATAGCATCCTTTTTAATAGCAAAAGATTGGAAACAACCCAAACATCTTTTAGTAGTTAAGTGGATAAACAAATTATGTTTCATTCGTGCTATGGAATACCATACAGCTATGTAAAAGACTGAGGGCTTTGCACTGATATAAAAGAATCTCCTGATCAGAGGGAAAAGTCAAAGGGCCAAATAGTAGGCTTAATATGTTTCATTTGCTGTAAAAGTAGGAGGGGAATAAGAGTATGTACTCATTGGCTTATGTAGTCAGATATTACATATTTGCTCATATTTTGCTCATAAATTCTGGACAAGTTCATTCAAAACTTAGAACAGTGGTTCTCTCTGGGAGAGAAATGTGGGAACTGGGTGAATTGGGGACTAGGATGGAAAGGAGTTTTTTAAAAACTAAATGCTTCTCTATACTTTATAGACTGTGGTAATATATTAACCATTCCAAAAAAAGTGGGTTTTTTTAAACATAAAGAAATCCAGAGCTCTTGACCCAGAGTTTCTTCCTTTCATTCTGAGCCAGCTGCTAAACCTCTGTGCTCACTTCTAACTTCTACTGGATTCCTCCTGAATTGTCTAGCTTCCCCTTAACAATGGACGTTTGAGGACATTCACCATCCTCTAAAGTTTATTGCAACAAAAGGACGAGAAGGAGAAGTAGAAGACTACAGAGCTTATCTCATTTGTTTTCAGCCTAACATCTCTCTACTCAGACCCATACAAGTAATTCTAAGGAGAGTGGATTCCACTTATTTTCCGTGATGCTTTGTATAAGGTATGATAGAAACACAGTATTAAAGCACTCAAAAATACCAAAGGTAAAAAATATCTTTGAAACTCAGTTCCACTAATGTAATATATACTGACATTCACTTTGTGGCCAGGCACTGTGCTAAGTGCTGGAGATTGAGTACTTAGACTGGAAGGTGAGTATAGCCAGCTGCCTTTTGAAGAATCACTCCCTCCCATAGATCTTGAACACTGTTTTATTTCTGTTGTAAGAGTAACACATATCCAGAAAAGTGCAAATATTAATGAACTTTCACAGATTGACTCTACTCATGTAATCAGCACCAAGACTGAAAACAAAACAGCATCACCAGCACCCAGAAGATCCCATTGTGCTATCTTTGTAGCAAATTTTATAATTCTATTTTGAATTTTCTATTGTTTTGAAGTTTTGTTTTTGTTTTCAAAGTCTTATATTTTTCATGATACTGCTTCCCAACATTATAATTTATTATCCAGCAAAATGACAGCTGTTTTGGTTTTTCTGGGTTTTTAAGGAAAGGATGGGATTGAGTTTCAGAACATGCATAAGATAAAGAATACGTGTAAAGATCATACTCATTATGGCTATTAAGATTTCAGCTGCTGGAATTTCTATGTTAAGTCCACTTGAATATTGTGACCAAAAACATCTGAGAGGAAAATTATATTCAGTCCATTTCTCTTTCCTAACACAAGAATGCAGTTATTTTTCTCCTATTTTGCAGCTGGCAAAAGTTGAGTATGCATAGGTGAATTGTGACAGCCCCACCTCTCCTATCCTTATGGGAATTTTTATTTTTAAAGACTTTAAAAAATCGGTGAATTATAATTTGTTGACTTTTCCCAGTCATCAGAGTTGTGCTTGCCAAAGACTTGTGTAACAGGAAATTTGCCAAGATAGGATTAGTGATTTGTTTGGAGAAAGGGTGTAGGAAATATTTTAAATTTAAAGGTGAAAAGATCACAGACAAGGTTAAGTACAAGTTACTCAATTTGGCTTCTATTTATGAAGAACTACTGAAATTATCCCTTTACCTTTAGGGACTTCTGTGTTTCATTTGCCCCCAAGTCCCCTTACCCGTCAGGCAAAAAGAAAAACAAGTCAAAACATAACCAGCAACTCTTTAAACAAAATTAAGCATTTAACCAGGCAAGTTTTATCAAGTTTTGTCCTGCTTCTGTGGATTCTGGAAGGAGTCTGTTTCCCAGTAGTACTTGAGAAGAGAAACCTGGCACAGGTTTTGCTGGCCAGTGCTCAGAGGCTGGTGATAACTTTTAGAAACTGGTTTCAGTATCTTGATAACTCTGTTGCCTGTTTTAACATTTTTCAGGTTAATGTGTTTTGAGATTTTTAAATTTTATTTTATAGATACTCCCTTTCCATTACCTCACATACCTTTATCTATTTCCTGCCTGAAAAAGAGATTTGCCTCTGATGCGCCCAAGTGTGGTTTTCCTTGAATTTATCCTGCCTAGGATTTGCTGAGCCTCTAGGGTATGTGGATTAATGATTTTCATCAAATTTGGGGATGTCCTTGGACATTATCTACTTAAATACATCTTTAAACCACTTTCTTTTCTCTCCTGGGACCCCATTTATATCTATATTAGGAAGTTTAATATTGTCCCACAGATCTTAGGCGTTCTTTATATTTTTGTTTTGTTTTTGCTTTTTTTTCTTGGCAATTCATTTGGGATAATTTCTATTATTTTGACTTAACTGTACTGATCATTTATTTTGCTTTACTCTGCCAGTTAGTAAGCCCATTTCATTGTTAGTAAGCCCATTTCATTCTAATATATTCTTCAGGCTAGATTTTTCTTTTTTGTTTTTATAATACAATCTCTCTGCTAAAAATTCCCACATCTTCTTTATGTTGCCATACATTTGCCACTGTATCCTTTAGCATACTTTTTAGTCTGTCTGATAACACCAGCATCTTGACTACCTCTGTATCTGTGTGTCTTCTCTTGGCCATGGGTCATAACAATATCCAAACCTAGCTCAAGCAGGGAGCAGAATGACTCAGCACCCTACTACAGTGTATGACGCAGAAGAGGCATACCTTTTTCTGAAGCTAAGTAGTATTTATCTCAGCATCAGTTTCTACCGAGATTTAAAATGTTTAGCACCTACTTGAAAAATTACCGATACAAGAAGAAGCAAAAACTCCTATTTCTGAGATTTCCTTTACCACTTAGGAGGTAGACTATGACCAGGGACCATTGCTCTCACTCCTACAGTCAAAATAACCTGGGTAAGTAATAAAAATCATAGTTTAAAAAATCATAAAATATGCTAAGGACATAAATAAACCTTGAAAATGTAAATTCCAGAAATGGGCAAACTCTTCAAAGGAAAGAAGAGGCCCATGGTTTCTCTCACCCCTGGTGGATTGGCAGGAGGAGGAGGAATCTGCTATGGATGGGGTAAGAAGGAATCAGCCAAACTGAAAACCTACTTTTCACTTCTAGCTTTTCTTTCTGTCTTCACTCATATTGTGAGCAGTGGTCTCTTGTGATTATTTACGTCCTATGTGGAAGTCTCAGAAATAGGAAATTTGTTCAAGGAGACTAGGAAATTTGCCAATAGGGAAAAGAGAACAAAGATAAGCCTTGGCCATTGATAAATAGGGCACAGTTGTGTTGTTCTGTCACTGTTTTTTTTTTTTTTTTTTTTTTTTTAGATGGAGTCTCCCTCTGTTGCCCAGGCTGGAGTGCAGTGGCGTGATCTCGGCTCACTGCAACCTCCGCCTCCTGGGTTCAAGTGATTCTCCTGCCTCAGCCTCCCGAGTAGCTGGGACTACAGGTGCGCACCACCAGACCCGGCTAATTTTTGTATTTTTAGTAGAGACAGGATTTCACCATGTTGGTCAGGCTGGCCTCGAACTCCTGACCTCGTGATCCACCCACCTTGGCCTCCCAAAGTGCTGGGATTACAGGCATGAGCCACCGCGCCCGGCTTTTATAAACACATGGACATGGTAACACTCCTTATTTTCTGGGTTTATCTTTCATGTGAACTGCAGGCCTACCTATGGTATGGTAGTCATGTATTTTTATTCCTTGTGTTTATTTCTTTAGCGATTTGATCACTGTAGTACACAAGGGATTTGTTTCTGTAGCTCTTGCTTTTAGTCTTTTTTTTGGATGCGTTGCTGCAATCTTGCAAGTGTACAAAGGGACACTTTATTGAATTACATCGTAAGCCACCTGCCTCTTTCATCGTAGCACAATTCAAGACTGAAATTCTAAGTTACTAAGTACAATAGCTGGTATATGGTGTGGCAATAACTTAGTCTCCATTTTTCTTGTGGTCATTCTATGATTGCACTAAAATTAGGGCTTATTTAAACCTCCATTTCTCAAAGTGTATTCTTTCAGAAGCACATCCTATGTTTTCCCAAAAAGTGTTTCATATTAAATTTGGGTAGCACCAGAGATTATGTTACTTGCTCTTAGAAAATAAAATGCTAATGATTGTAAAAAGTCTTGGGGAAATCTTAAAATAAGTAAATCCTTTAAGCTATTTTTAATTAGGTGTTTCTCAAACTTATTGGATCCAGAACCTTTTAGCAAAGGAACCTTAAGTTTTTCTTGTCAAATAAAGCCATTCACAAAGTGCACAACACTCTTTGGGGAAATGTTGAGTTAAATGGACTCTGTAGCTCTATATTTTGGGGAGTATGAATAATTCATATTGGACTGTCATTCTGTACACCTGGAAAACATCTTCTCCACTGTTTCCTGAGAAGGACCCGGGAAGCTTGCATTTGGAGGAAGGAAAAGCTCTAACCCAGAAGCCTGTTTGATTACCGCGTTATTGCTTAGATCTCCTCATTGTAAGTGTTAATGTTGTAATACTCTGCTACTGTAGGGGTATCCTGGTCTCAGCTGCCTGACTTGTCCAAGGACTGTCCTAGTTTGTTAGTCCAGGAAAATAAGCTAGGTCAGCTATCATATCCCCTCAAATGAAAAAAGACGGCTAGCCGCCTAGACTGCAATTGCAAGGAAAGGTCAATCAATATATTACCTTTCTTTCCATGTGTTCCTTGGCCGCCGGCAGAGTTGTGCCTTCTCACTAGTGGTAATCTCTTCTGCTAAATTTTATTTTAACCTTGCAAATAGGTGAAAGGAAGGGCACAGTTAATAACGTCTTCCCCCATATACCTCTGGGCATATCATTTGGGCTGAATCTTGCCCCTCCTTCCCCTAGCAGTAAGCCCTGCACAGTCCTGCTTCGACGGAGTGTTATGCAAGTAGCTGGTTTTATTTACTGTGGGAATTTCTCCTAGAGCTCTGTCATGCTCTTGCACAGACAGAATGCAAACATTTTTGTGATTTTTGACAGTAGCTGGGATCTATGTGGAATAGGGGGTTTTCAAAACGTTTCTCAGTCAATATGTTTACTCTACTTCACCAGCCATGCAGTGTGATATGGTGCATCACCAATACTTGAAATAGACTGCAACAGGAGGTCAGAATGGGGCATAGATTTTCTCACACAGCATGTTAGATGAAATGATTTTGTGTACTTTGAAGTGGAAAATTCAATCAGAATTTTCCACACTTTTTAGTTAAAGCAACACTTATTCATTGATGAAAGGTAGACTGAGAAAAATACAAAATGCAGAGTCTAGCATATTGTTCCTGGTCATAGCAAGAAATACTTTTTCTCCTGTAATGTAATGAAAGCTATGCAAGATAAAAAGGGTCTGCTTAAAATATACAGCTATGGGATGCTAAGAACATATGCCAATATGTTTAGCATGTGGGTGGATAAAAATGGAACCCAGCTTTGTAAGAAGTTTGTTTTTCATTAAGAAATGGACTTCATGCTTGATAAATGGCAATTCCAATTGCCCAGGTAATCCATTTTGGCTTAGTTTTAAAGTAGCAGAGTTCATTTAAAAGCACCTGAGAGTATCAATAATAAATTTAAGAATAGATTCTCTAAGTTTTCATTGAAGTAGGCTTAGATAATATTTAAATTTATTACTAGTTTTCATCTGTCCTTTGGTGCGCTGAAGATACATCAGCATAACTACCTATTACGTAGATGAGTAATTTATACTTCCAAATTGCAAAACCTTAGGGTTGCAGTGTCAGATTTGTGCATGAATATTTAAGATAGAATAATAATCTAGTATTAGAGTGCTCAGTGTGTGCCAGTTACTTTTCTAGATGCTTTACATGTATTATTTCATTTAGTCCTCACAACAACTCTGACTTCTCAAATCTACAATATCCAGCGATGCAAGAAAGCCACAGAGAGGGTAGGTAGTTTACCCAAGGCCGTATGGAAAGTCGAGGCTGGCACTCACTTTGGCATGCAGACTCCCAAACCAGACTTCTGAGCCACTCTGCCAGGCCATGTACCTGAAGCTCTGCCACCTCAACATTTTCATCCTGATGGTCCTAAGTAGGGGTGAGTAGGCCACTTAATTCAATTAGCGTATAGGACTTTTGTTTTTAGATTCTTTCTTTAAAAGAGGCACAATTCTTCAAGAGTTTGTTTTACTTTAGCTACTGTTATTTTTTTCTGGTTGATACACAATTCAACTCAGTGTAATTCAGTTTTCTTTTTCAAACTAGCATTTAAAGTGACAGAACCATTTAAAAGTATTAGTGCAAATTCATCAACTTGTCCAAATAGTGTAACTTCAAATGATAGGCTGCCTAAAACTTTGTGTTGTTCAAAGTTCCTTTGTTCTAACGTCGATTCTCCCCACCCCGTTTGTTAAAACTATTTTATATCATCAGTTTTTGTTGTTGCTGTGTGTGTGTGTTTAAACTTTTATTCTGAAGAAAGTGAGTCCAGAATCAACTATCAGTTTGATGTATCCAAGGCAGTCCAGTGTAATTCTGTGTAAAAACACATACTTCCTGTGTAATTCGTTAAGCATGCCAATCCAATATGATCTAGTATGCTTTTTATTTTTCAAAAGAAGAACTTGGTTAGTGTAATAGAAACTAAAGTGAAAACCACCTAAATTCATCCATACGTTGCAGATGGCTGCATTCACATGTATTTAGGGTAGGGTCTTCTTGCTTGGAAATGACTTGATTTTTTTGGTTAACAAAAATAAGAGGCCACCTTATGAACATTTTCTTAAGACTTAAAAATAAGTGTCCACTCAGTTGTATAGTCTTTCTGATCCCAAAAAACCACAGGGGATCATTTTGACTTTGAGGGAAGGATTCTGTCTTTGTAGTGAGAACAAAATTTAGTCTTTAGGAAGAAGCAATTAAAACCCCAGAGCCTTTTATTGCTTTTGATGCTTTTTTTAAAAACAAAAACAAAAACGAAACAAAACAAAAATCTCACTGCACTGAAATATTTTGTGCTAATTAACTGTCACAAATGTGATGCCATTAAGCTTGGACTCTCTTTGGTTAACTTCAAAGTCACTAACACACACTGTGCAGCCCTCCCAAATATATTTTAAAAAAGGGAAACAACTTGACAGATCTGTAATCAATGTTTTCAAGGCTTTTGTTTCTCATAGAACCTAAACCTGATTTAAGAACATTTGTTCATTTTCTTTGGATAACATTCACCAGCCTTTATGATGCCAGAGTTGTGTTGATGTCTGGTGTGTATTTGGATACACTGTTCCAAAGCTAATTTGCAAAGTTTATTTAGTACTAGCATTAGCTAGGAATGTACTTAGCTGCAGGTAACAGAAAACCCAACTAATAGTAGGTTAAATAAATAGAGATTTATCTTTCTCATATAAAAATATTTGTTGGTAGAATGTCCAGGGCTGGCGCCATATGGAAACAGCATCATCAAGGGCCCTGGCTACTTTTGTCTTTGCTTGTCTGTTTTTAATATGAGGACCCTGACCTTGGGCAAATCGTGACATAACTTTCCTAATACTCAATTTCCCCATCTGAAAAAATACTGAACATTCTTCCTATAGTTGCAGGATAGTGGTAAGGCTTACATGAAATCCTGTGTGAGAAAATGTCCCTTTCAAGAATAAAGTTGATTTTTAACACTGCAATGGCAGCCACAGCTGTACTAGTTTTCACAGTGGTGATGGGTAGGGGAGGGTGTGAAATAGGAAGCAGAGAATCTTACCTTAACCCATGGTCTTCATTCTCGAAGTTCTCAATTCCTGCATACTTCCAGATGATGTTATTTAAAATAGTACATTGGGCTGGGCGCGGTGGCTCACGCCTGTAATCCCAGCACTTTGGGAGGCCGAGGCGGGCAGATCACAAGGTCAGGAGATCGAGACCATCCTGGCTAACATGGTGAAACCCCGTCTCTACTAAAAAAAAAAATAAAAATAAAATAGTACATTGGAGAAAATACTTTAAAAAAACTGTACCCTGTAACAAATAGAATCTTTACTTATTAAGTGATATATATCTTCTATAAGCTAATTGTTTATTCTGTGACCTCTTTACAATAAATTTCGGTACCATTAGAGGCTTAAGTTTACATTATTGATTATTTGAATATGTGTGTCATTAATCTTCCATCGTGCTCATACATTTTATATGTATATTTTAAGTGTTGTTTTTGCATTTAGATGGAGAGGAATGGCCAGAAGAAAGTAGACTTGTGGGTATTAGCTTCATATAGCAGTTCAAGAGGTCCCTTGAGCTGATTTGCCAGTAAATTTCTACACTAAAATAGGCTTTCAGAATAGGGACTGCTAGATAAACCACAAGGTGTCTGTAGTAAATAAAAATGATTAATCTCAGCAGAGTAAATTCAGTATCACTTTTCAAATAGTCTCATCCAATTCTGTCTCCTGGTTCTATAAAAAGCCTTTTTCTTTTGGTATTAAGGTTGTCTGTAATTTTAATAGAACACTTGAATTATTATCTGATTTTAAAAAATTGGTTCATAAAAGAATATTGATTCTTCAAATTAGGGGCAGTTGAAATGTACATTTATTAGCAAACTCGTCCCCTGATGGGTCCTGGAAAGCCCTGTCAAGAAAACTCATCTTAAATCTATGTGAGAGACACAATTCTTAATGATTGGCTGTGGATTGGACAGTGAGGTTGGTGTGGAAATGCAAGTGAACTGAAAAGTGAAAGTAGAAATCTGTTAAGCAGGGTTCTTTCTAGTTGCTGAGTTTTTATTCCACATCATTGATATTCACTTCTTTCCCAGGGCATTTTCCTGGATAATGAGAAGACTCTAAAATCAAATAAAGCTTTTGAACATTGAAGATGTTTGCCACTGTTCCGTTGAAGAATCCTATAGATTTATAGTGATTCTAAAAGGTGTCTTATATCCACTATATTAACTAGCTTTTTAGAAGCTTATGAACATTGTAGCTTTTATTGATTCTAGGGAATTGGACCCAACAATAAGCAATAAAAGTCGATGGTAACTTTCTTCCCATATAGGGTTGTGCAGATCAATACTTCGAATTTACTGTAATTTGCTGGTAATGGATGGAAGAACTGAAAAAATTGTGGAGCCTTGTGGGGCACAGCTGTGCGGTGTTGCCTTTTTATCTAAGCTCACTGTAGGTCACAGGCTTTCCCAAGTAACAAGAAACATAGTTAAGTGGCAGGGCTGATACGCATATTTATCAAGAGCCTTCATAAATCATTCTAGGAAAAAAAGGAAATCACAAAAGTTGTCCACAATGACTTTAATTTTATAGAGATCCTGAAGGATCTCTAAATTTGCACTATCCTAAAGGCAATTAAAATTCTAAATATGTAGCTAGCATTGGTGTTTGATCTCCTTCTGCTAAAGTAATTTTCTTACTGATTAATAGCAGGGTGTGTGATTTCACTGAAGTCTAATTTGCTTCGAATTTTCAAATGTATTCACAGCCCTTTGCCCAGGTTCAGTATTTAGAGGTGGAGAAGATGTGTGGGTCACATACCCTTGCTCTTTTATTGAGTCGGTGCTGTCTCTTTACCGTAGCTCTGTAGTTGTGCCCTAGATTCCTTCTTCTAATTCAAGCAGTGCACTTAAATAGTCATAGCTAACACGAAGGGTGCTCTTAGGTTTGGGAGCTGTGCCACATGCAGGACATGTGTTAGCATTAATCTTCTCAACACCCCATAAGATAAGCTGTATTATTTTCATTTTGTAATTTTGGAAATTGAATCTTAGGGAAGTTAAAGTTTATGAAGGATGCTTCCTGGCATTGGCTTGGATTAGAATATGGGTATGTCTGAATCCTGATCCTATTTGTTTAATCACTATGAAACATACAATTGACTTAAATAAGGATTGTTTTAAGCTATGAGTTCAATTGATCTAATATGAGTTTTATATTTTAGCTTCTTTTTTTTATGAAGGACTGTGCCTTCTCTAATTTGATCAAAACTAGTTTCTTTAATTTTAAAAACGACGCAGAAACTTTTGCTTGAAAGAGAGAGTTCTTTTGTTCTTTGAGAACAAAGTGAGCACACAAAGTACAATATGACTGTGGGCTGGAAGCTATTAACCTTGATATAATAAATGCACTTCAGTTAGTATATAATAAACAATAAACTAGAGCTGTTATTCATGTAACTGTTGGCTACTACTCAGCAAAACCCTGCAGAGAAGCATGTAAACTTTGACTTAGGAGACATATTCCTCCTAGGTCATACTGACTTGAAAGACAATATGTGTACAAATGTCTGATTCTCAAGCTCGATTTTGACATCAAGGGTATAATGTGTTAGGAAGCATCAAAACCCATAATAATTGACTAGAAAGGAAGCTTGTTTCATTTGTCCGTTTACTTGAGGTTAGCTGATTATTTGACTTGTTACGCTTCTTCTGCTTTAAAAGGTCTGTGTTAAAAGTAACATATTCACAGGGCTTTGGTTCACATAAAATCAGAGTCTCTAAAAAGTGTGAAATTTGCTTAGAAAGAGTTGCCAAGATCTGTGTTGTGTCTCTCCTAAGAGTAATTGACAGTGTGTTACCAACTATGAATGCAGCCTGATAGCCTACAGGAGGGGTCTGTGGTGCAAAAGTATCAAGTCATTACTTGGTGATGAAAAATAATTAACATACTCTGGACTTGGGCAGATGTGGATTCAAAGACAAGCTAAGCCTTCTACCAGCTCTATGACCTTGTGTGAGTTACTTAGCCTGTGTGTGCCTCAGTTCTCTCATCTCTAAAATGAGAATAATAGTGAAGTTTAAATAAGATAATGTATGTCACTGTGCAGTAAATGTGAGATGCCATTATTAAGGTAGTGAAGGTAGATGAGCTTAGTAAAGAAAGACAGTTCCCACTATTTGTGTAAAAAATTTAAAGTGGAAAAGGTGGTTGTCATGAATGATGTTTAACTTTTCATCTAAGCAAAATCTGGGATTTTATTTTACAGTTTGTCTCATATTCCTGCTCATCAGGGACTCGCTGGTGTAACTTAAATCGTTTGCCATCTTTTCATCCACTTTCAGATTTGCATTTTGCTTAACTTCCGAAAGGCCCTCAGTGCTTTTAGACAGTCTTTTCTCCTCATCTCTGAATGGTACCCTGTCCTGAGCTCCACCACAACTATTCTAAATCAGCCCAGGAGTTAAGCATTTCCTCTCAACTCCTGTGGATCCTGTACACACATTTCTCTCCTGACTCTGCCCCTCCTCCTCCTCCTCACTGCCTCTTCCTTGTTCCTGGCCCTCAGCCATGCTTCCTGGATAATTAAAGAAGTGTCCTAACTTCTCTCCCATGTTGCCCTCCCAGAGCCATGTGACACCCTAATGCCAGAGTAATCTTTTTTAACATGTTGATTAGGCCATCTTATTCCCCTCTTTAAAATGTTCCATGAGCTCACCATTCCCTATAAGATAAAGGCAGCCACTTCCAAAACCCTTCTATGATGTGGCCCTGTCCCTGCCTCCATACTCCTGTCCTGCTGATTTTTCCTTCCTGATCTCTGTTCCAGCCATGTTGTTTCCTGAGTGTGTTCTGTTTCACTCCACCCTACCTGACTACGTCTGTTCTCTCTTCTGGAATTCCCCTTTCTCACCTACTCCCAAGGCTGCCAGGCTAATTCCCAGACATTGCAAAAGAAAGACCAGGCTCAAGTATTGTGTCACTTAGGAATTTTTGAATTGCAAAGACTAGAAAACACAAGTTAAACTGGTTTAAACAATAAAGAGACTCGATTGGCTCATGTACCAGAGAAGTCCAAATACACGCAAGGGTAGATGTATTGTTTCAGAGATTTCACCCAAGACCCAGGTTCTACCAGGCTTTCTTGTCTGCTACCTGTGACACCTATTCTTGTGGCTGCCATTAGTTTTGTAGGTTTAATGCTACTTCTTTCTCGTTAGCTCTCTCGGACAAGGGAGGAAGTTCTTTCCCAGAAGCCCTGAGCAAACATCATTTTGCATCTTATGCATCATTATGCATCATTTTGCATTTGCTCAGGTTGAGTCACATGTCATCTTTAAACCAATTACTTTGATGAAAGCAGTGAGTTTTGTCATTAGTTTAATTGGAGCTTATCCTTGAGATTGAAGGTAGTATCAGTTCCACTGTATTTTGTTAGCATGAATAACAAGAAACATTGGGGAAGAAACAGTCCTGACCCTCCTCAGAGAAACTGATCACCCTCCTCCCTTTTGTATTACTGCATACTTTGAAAAGACCTCTATTCCAGGCCTTTTCACACTGTATTTTACAGTGAGTAAAGTCCTTTCTCCCCAGTGTCTGGCACAGCACCAGCCATATCCACCTTTACTAAAAAGTATGTGATTGAATAAAGGAAACCCATTTTGTTGGCTTTAATCCCCACATGTGCCCTTGCCTTTGCCCTTGGTAGAAGACTTTTGCCTTCTGTATTACTGAAATTACAGAACTTCAAGTGAATTGCTTCAGTTTTACTTTGCTTATCTTTGAAAAGTGCCTGTTTTCACCTGTTCCTTTCTTCCTCGTTAGGGGAAAGAGTGCCCTCTTTATTATCAGTACCAGCCCTCCCTGCTCGTGTATTTATTCAAACCTCTCCTTTCAGTTGCTCACATCACCACTGTCTCCCACTCTCTGACATTGCCGTGGTGGAGTATAGGGGAAAAAATTGGAACTGGATGACATAGGTTCATTTGATTCCACTATCTCATGGCTTTGCAACTCTGGTCAATTGCTGATCTCCTCTGGGCTTTCCATGGGAAGACTTGTGTGTCCTGTCCAGGCAGCCAGCTGATTTTGTGATGAAGCTTATAGACGCAGTTTATGATAAAATCTTAATAAACCACACTAGACAGTCATATCATGACTCGGAGACTTTGTCTGTATAAAGGGCTTATGAGAACTGATACCACAGTCTTGTTCATTTAGCTTTATGGCAGAAAAAGCCAACTTGGAAAGAAAGGAATAAGGTAGCTAATTTCTTTATTTTTCAAAGAAAGTGAGTGTTGTGGTTTTGATCAAATAAAATTTACATATAAACCCAGCAAGCATTTTGTTTTAGCCTTTTGTGGTTTATTTTGTTTTTGTTTTGTTTTGTTTTGTTTTTGATGTTGTTTTTTTAAGACAGAGTCTTGCTCTTTAGCCCAGGCTGGAGTGCTGTGGTGCCATCTTGGCTCACTGCAACCTCCGCCTTCTGGGTTCAAGCGATTCTCCTGCCTCAGCCTCCTGAGTAGCTGGGACCACAGGCACGTGCCACCACGCCCAGCTAATTTTTTTTTTTGTGTGTGTGTGTGTGTCTTTTTTTTGGTAGAGACGGGTTTCACCGTTTTGGCCAGGCTGGTCTCGAACTCCTGACCTCAAGTGATCCACACGTCTCGGCCTCCCAAAATCCTGAGAGATTATAGGCATGAGCCACTGTGCCTGGCTGGTTTATTTTGCTTAACTTGACTAGCACAAATAAATATATGAAAGTGCATTATGATTATAGATACAAAAAGAAAATTAAATAAAATCTGTAAAAAGAGAAAGATAATTTAGGATTCTCCATCCATCTCACATTTCCCACAAGGATTTTACTGTTATTTTACAGGCTGTGTGGTTTGACTGTTCAGGCATTTCTATAGGGATCTCCCTACTGGTTTTCCAGCTTGACTACTGTCTTCATTTAGGAAAGCATGTATTTATGAGCAACTTACTGGATTTTTCAATTGTTGTTAGAATGTAGACCATTTTTGCCTTCTGATGATTTACAGCCAAGCCCTGTGTAAGATCTGGTTCTATGGTATGAACTTTTTTGTCCTCTGCTTCTGCCTTTACAAGTGACTCTCAGAAATGCAGACCAGAAAAATGGCACCCAAAGCGTTTCTTTAGGAGATCCTATCCCTGGATGAGCCTGTACACCCAGCTAATTTTAAGCTTTGTCAAGTAGTGAGAACTCCATTTTGAGTACCTTTCCTTGCCTCACACTGCTTCCCACTTGCAAAGGAAATATCTAAAAACCTGAAACTTTACCTCTGTAATGACAGCCTAGAAAATTAATATTCCCTAAAGAGGAAAACAATCCAAAGGCAAATGGTTTATGCAAACCAATAGTCCTTAGGGGGACTTAAAAGTGCCAACCTCTAATAAACAACATACACAAACCACTTTCTCTCTAGATCTCTAGGGGTGGGGCTCAGGCGTTAGTATTTTTAAAAACTCCCTGGGTGACATTAATGTGTTGCCAGGCTTCAGAATCACTGCTTGAGCTGAATTATCTCATTCCTTTTTATTTTCTCTCCTCTGTTAGCATTTACACATTCAAGTAATACTGCATAATCTTGCACCTGGTGATAACTCTTTTGTTTTATATGCGTGTATGTATGTTGCCCCAGCTAGCTTTTAAATGTGTTTTGTTTTTCCTCATGTATCCCTAAAAGCACCTGATATACTGCCTTACACATCTTGGCTTCTTTGAACTCTTTTCCTAAATTAATTGTTAGTGCAGAGTACTTGCAGTAACTCAGTCATAGGATGAGGCCACCAATGACTAATGAAAGAAAGATGATGATGGGGAAGTGCATGAACTTGAAATTCATTGGTGTCAGGAAAATGGTGAGGGAATGGTGTGTACTGGACATTGCCACTCTGTTTCTATGTGGGGTTTGGGAGTGGTGGTGCAGAAGGCAAGTTGCTCAACTTCCAAATTCCCTTTGTTTTTTGGAGGAACTCCCAAAGTGTGGATCTTGGTAGACTTGGCCCTACCTCCCACTATACTAGTGAGGGAGCCAATATTCCTTTTTCCTGCCCACTTGGAAGCTGGGGCAGAGACCCAGGTGTGATCATGTAACCCTCACAGGACACCTGTGAGGAGAGATGAAGTGAAGGTATGTGGGGGCAGTTAGAGATTCTTCCTGGAGGCTGAGCTCCCACTCAGTGTTCAGCTGCAGAGGTGTCCTAACTGGGCTGTTCCCTGGGTGTGGTCATACTTTCTGGGTTTGATTTTTTGGTTCCTGCCCACTTTCTGACGTCGTCTGCCCAACCATCCTATTGCCTTCAGGGGTGCGAGTAGCCATCCATACATTGATTGTTTACTTGTCAGTCTCATTCAATTTCTGTTGCTTTCAAGAACCCCAGCTGCTGGGTATAGCAACAGGTCAGTTAAAAGTGTATAGCACAATCCTCCCTTCTTCTTTATTTTAAATGGCGAAGTCCCTGTGGCTTTGTAACCAGGTGTATCTGTTTTCCTTTTTCTATCACTTATCTCCTGTAAAGTCCCATGGCTTTACATACCATCTTAGTGTTAATGACTCCAAAATCTACTTCCAGCCTTAACCTTTTTCTTGCACCCAGATTCGTTTGTCTAGTTGCCTGTTTGGAATCTTCTACTTGGAATTCTTACAGACAGACATCTTGAATGTAGCATGTCAAAAGCTGAACTGTTTTTCCATCAAACTCCATTTGCTCAGGCCAAAAACTTATGACTCCTTGCTTTCTCTTTCACGCTCCACATCCAGTTTCTGTGTAAATCTTATGAAAACATACCTGAAATCTGACTACTCCTTACCATCTTCATTGCTGGTCCTAGCTAGAATCTCTCTCACCTACAGTATTTCTATAGCTTCCTAAAAAATTGATATTAAATATTACCTTAAAGTAAGCTTAGAATATTTAGATATTTATGTGTTCATTTCTTCTGTTCTTCAGCCCCACATCAGTCTTCCCTTCTCCCTGTCTCCCCCTTTTGATACACTTTCTTTCACATTTTGGAATAATTTTAAAATTTATAGAACATTTACAATACAGCTCAGAAAATTACTGTATACCCTTCTTCCAGTCCCTCAAAATGTTGGCATCATATATAACCTTAATACATTTGTCAAAATCATGACTTTAACATTGGTACATTGTTATCATCTAAAGTACAAACTTTATTTAGATATCACCAAGTTTTCCACTAATGTCCTTTTTCTGATTGAGAATCCAATTCAAGATTTTTCATTTATTCAGGATTCTTTATTGCCTTTAGCCACCCTTAGTCTTCTCCCATCTGTGACAGTTAGTCAATTTATTCTTTTTTTTCACAGCCTTGACAGCTTTAAGGAGCACGGGTCAGATGTTTTTAGAAGGTCCCTCCATTTGGGTTCACCTGAGGCTTTTTCACGATTAGACTGGGGTTCTGGATTTTAGAGATAATACCACAGGCATGAAGTGTTCTTCTCATCACATCATATCAGAGGATAGCAGCATGACGTTAGCGTGACTTACCACTGATGATGTTAACCTTGATCACTCAGTTACAGTGGTATCTGTGGGTTTCCCTACTATAATGTTGCTATTGTTCCCTTTTTCTATTCTATTATTTGGAAGTGAGTCACTAGGTCCCAGCCCACTCTCAAAGAGAGGAGATTTAAGCTCTACCATTTGAAGAAGGGAGTATCTACATGTATTATTTGGGCTTCTGTAAATGTCCTCTTTTAAATCATAAATTTACCCTTAGTTAGAAAAGAAGCGTTCAGAGATTCTCTAAACACGTGCGGCATGTATAGCCATATTGTTTTGTTTGTCTATGAATAGCTGTTAAATACCAAAAATTAGTTTTAAAATTACCACTGTGGCAGTTGCTTGTACATGTAAAACATTACAGTTTTCTCCCCTGTCTTCATGAATGAGATAGTTGCCTTCTCTTTTTGAAGCTAAGGATGGCTGGGTGAAAGGAGCAGGATCATTTACGCTTCTTTCTTCTCAGACTCTCCATGAGTTTTCTTCCTGGATTGGAGGGATCTTTTGGTAACCTCAGGTATATTGAGAGATCTCAAAAACAACAGGATTCTCAGACAAGATTAATTTTATTTAATCTTTATCTTTAATGCAAATATTTGCTAGTTAACACTTAAAAGTCTGGGGGGAGGATACAATATCAAGCAAGTAATGATAAACAGCAACTCTAAAAAATGTTAAATGTCATTGAGTCATCAATATCAATGAAAATCTAGAAATTTTTAATCTTAAGAATTTCTTTAATCCAGTGTCAACAATTAGCATATTGTTTAGTTCAGATGGATACTTCTTGCTGTTTTTTGCTTTTTTCCCTTTTTCTTTCCTCCTCCAATTCTTACGTGACAGTAAATTTTTAACACACACTCCACATATGTCAAGCACAAGCTTGGGTTTATGACCCAGACCAATACCACGTCTTATCTAATTATCTAAGTATGTGTTAGTGACCTTATCCTGACATTAAGAAAATAAAATGAGGACACATACACGAAGTACTGCAGGGACTTTGGCGATAAAATGACTTGATGCCGTTCATTGACGTCTGACAGGTGCAGATTTATCAGCATGTGGCCCTCATCCATTAGGGCAGGAGCTGCTCCCCGCGCAGGCTGCAACCGCTTAGCCCTCCTGGTATTTGCAGACTTTTGCAGCTATTGTTCACAAGGTCTTGGCCACAGCACATTCATTTCTCTCACTTTATTACCATCACATCTGATTCCAATTTGCTACCAAATTGAGTTTCCAGTCCTGAGCCTGACATTCAAGCCATCAGGTGGATTAGCTCCTACAGCTTGGTTAGCGTGGTAGCTTCAGGTCAGTTGACAGTGGCCTATTAAATGTCCTTTGCTCCTCATCTTGGAATCTCGGCTGCCATCCCGTGGAGCAGCAGTGCTGGGTTACCCACTGTAACCTTTCTCCTTGTTTAGAACTCATAATTCTAGACCTACTGGAAAGATTTCTGATTAAAAACAGAGTTGGTTTTTATCCCTTATCTTGCTGTTTCAGCAGCTTTTTCTCAGAGCAAAGCAGCCAGTTTATGCTCAGGTTATTTGGTGGAATATGATTGATGGAACTATTTGGGTCATTCGTTTGGTCCCTTTCCTCTTATATCTTCTGAGTGATCTATTTGCATATATAGTTGAAATAACATCTGATTTATTATTTTGTTGTTATTAATGATAACACCTCAGGTACCTTTTATGCGGCTGTCAGATCAGCTTATTGGACAGAGCAGTATTATTCATTTGGTCTCTAGGCCTTTGCTCTGCACTAGTATCAATGCCTTTCTAGGAGAAATGGCCTGAGTCTGGTACAGTGTGGTGTATTTTGTAATCTCAGCTACTCAGGAGGCTGAGGCAAGAGGATGCTTGAACCCAGGAGTTTGAGATCAGCTTGGGCAATGTAGTGAGACCTCATCCTAAAAATAAATAAAAATTAAAAAATAAAAGATACAGTGTGGTGAGCTATTACTTCTAGGAAGTTCTCTCTTTTTGTTTTCTTTAACCTGAATACAACACTGATTTCTCAATGCTTATGGTAACCAAAGATCCATGTATAGAAAATTACTCATTGGTTTTCTATTTATGTTTCGGTTCCCAAGGAAAACTGTCTTGGTCAGAGACTTTTCTCTTGTCATTAGAGGTTTTAGTAAATGAAGGTATATTTATGTTTCAGAATCAGGGAGCCAAGTTCAGCAAACACTATAATTTCTTGGAGCTAATCAAGGATTAAAGAAAAAAGCAAAGCAAAGCAAAACAAAACAAAAAGCACTTTACCACTGAACCCTAGAGCCCTTGAAAAGAAAAGGTTTTGCTATTGGGTGAAAGAAGACGACACTTCATTCCTAAAATTGCTGATTGTTTTTCTTGCTTTTGAACAGTTATGATTGCTGTAACTCTGTATGGAAATATATTTGCCAGTTAATAAGTAAGTCCTGCTGTGTTTAAAGCAGCAGCCACAGAGCTCTCCTCCCCTCTGGTCTGATGCTCTCACTGCCACTTTCTGTAAGCTGTGCTGGAGTAAGTTGTGCTGTGGAAAAGTGATAGCTGAGCCTGCTGTCCATGACAAACATTGAAATATTCAATAAAAATAAGAGACAGGAAAGGTGAGTTTGAAGCTGATGGGGAAATACCTTTCAAAGGATAGTGCTCAAGCACCTGAAAGGCAGAAAAATAAATGAGAATTATGGGCATGAATAACCAAATTTAGTCATAATGCGCTTCATTTTGAGTTTAAATAGCCAAACGACTCATTGCTTCCTGTTCTTTAATAATTGACAGCAAGTAATTATTCTTGAGCTTTGAAAACTTCATTAGTGGATAAGAGGTATTTCTGAATCTATTTTTGTTTATTTCTTTGGTTGGCTTGTTTTCTTGGGTGGTTTTTTAGTTTTCCACAGCCTCTTGATGATTAGGTAGGTAAGAATCTTAAAATTGAGATAAGTGTGAAGGCACCCTTTTAAAACTATGAAGCACTCTAATAATTGTTGTGGTTGTCTGATTACCTTTTAGAAGTTGATTAAGCTACTTTTAAATATCCCAAGGAATAAATGGATGTTTTGAGAAATAATACCAAAAGGAAATCTTTTCCATTATTATTTTAAAAATAGGAAGTACAATATTTGGTATGCATAATGTTTGCATGAATATATTTCTGTTGAGGGCAAATAGTTTGATTTAATTGTCCTTTACATTGCACCTTTCATTTAATTATAATCCTGCAAAATGTCTCCTACTTCTTATAGTTAAATCCTGTTTGGATAAGTTCTTTGCTTCTTCAGATTTTCCGTATGCTCAGTTGTAGGGCCGTGTAACTCAACTCAGTATTTTACTGTAGTTGCTTTGGGAAGATTGATGGTTTTTCTGCTCTGGAATTCAGATAAGCTGTGTTTGTACCTTAAACACAGTGTGTAAAGAGAACCGTGTAAGAAGGGATCCAGCATAAAATTATGACATTAAAATGTTTTCAGTATAAGAAATGCCAAATCAAGCGTAATGAAGGATGATACATTCTACGTTATCCATTTGGTATCCTAGTAATCTAAGGTTAATGCAGCATTGCTTATATATGGTTTTTTTTTCTTTTGCAGAAGGAGCTGAGTCTCCCCAGAAGAGGAAGTTTGTAAGTAGTAGTATTTTGTTTCCTTGTTTTCTTTTTATTAATATATAGTTTATAGTATGATTCTTCTCTGATTCATTAGTGGCAATTATAAAATGAATGATAATCAACTGAAGAAAACAAAAAACTGAATTTATTTATAAAAGTCAAACAGTAGTAATGATTTCATAATTTCCAGGGTTTGTTCCATATGGGCATTGCAAACCTAAATGTATATTTATTCCTCGGAGAATCTTAATTTTTAAAATGCTGTTATATAATTAAGCAAAAACATTATTTGGTTAGGAGACAGAGTACATTGATTTGAATCAAGAATTAGTGTTCTTTATGTTCTGAAATCCATAATTTTTCTTTATACTATGGATTTTACATGGAGTAAATTATGTACTTTTGAATCTGAATTGGAGACTTTGAATCAGTTAAACTTTCCATTATTAGATCTAGATCTTATTGAACTGATTCATGTAATGACCTTGTATTAAAATAATGGATTTATGAACTTTGACTTGATTTCTTTATAGTGTGTTTTATTCTTTTATTTTTAAGGCCAATAATATATTTGCATAAATCATAATTTTTTCCGTTAGCAAGTTGCAGAATAAAATTGAGGACAGAATTAACTACCCTCAATTAAGGTCGAATTTGTTATCCAATAGTACTGTGTAAGGGCTGGTCTGGAAACATTTACATTTGATGTCTGATTTAAGTTGAAGAAGTTAGTAGATGGAGCACCTCCTTTAAAAAAAAATAGTATTTAAGATAAGTTTTTGCAACTCTCCTCTTGGAGGATTAGAAAAATATATGGCAACTGTTGAAATATAGGATTTATTCTAGGCTAAATTTTGGAAAATTTCAGCCTTTGCATCTAAGAACCAAAAATTCATCAGCTGTGAACATTTCATTACTGTCCATTTTGCTTCCTGTCTTTTGTACAAGTTTAGGCTGCCAGGCAGACACTGGATTATTATTTTCGGAGAATGTGCCCAGATAAATTGTCACTAGCTTTCAGCTTCCATCTCCCTGTGCTAGAGTTTAACAGAAAATAGTTTGCTGTAGGAAATGGACTTAGAATTAACTCTTTCCTCTTCTGCATCATGATTAGGACTCTGTTGCCGAAACTTGGAAAAGTCCAAACTTTTTGATATTTCCCATCATGATGAGACAAAAGAAAAATAGAAAACTACATGAAATACTTTTATAGAAAAAAATCTTATTTTTTTGTACTTTTATTTAAGGCTTAAGCACCCTTTATTTTTTATTTGAAAACTTCAGAACTTCAGTCAAATCTTGCTTTTAGCCTTTTTAATAGATTGCACATGGGTTTTGTTTTTTGTTTCTTGTTTTATCATGTTAGTGTTTCCAACAATATTATAAAGATTATGTTAATTACAGAATTAGATTTCATATTTCTATTTAAGGGTAATTTCCTCTTTTGCACTTGAGTAAGTCAATTCTGTTAATGTTAGCTGATAGCCATGATTTGTTGTGAAAATATGTGATAAGGAAAGTATTTAAGTTTCTTTATTTGAGAAAATGGGATCTTTAGTGAAAAAAGAATAATGACATAAGTTTGTTTGGAGCCTATCCTTTGGAAACATAGTAAGAGAAAGTCTGAATTACATCAGAGCCATTTAAACTCCCCTCCCTATTAAAAGTCAATTGAGCATTCAGAAGATGAGCATGAAGCACACTGTATATGTATATGTGAACACACATCTGCTTTTTTAGTGAATTCTGGGAAAATTAATACTTTCAAGTGAGGTAAACCAAAAATAAACATGCTATTTTGTATTTTCTATTAAGCACAAATATTCCCCAGAGAATTAATGATGCCTCATATAGCTGTGCTAGAACCCAGTGTCACTCAGCATTTTTAGTGAATACTGTACAGAATGCCAGTAATTACTCTCCTCATGCAAGGTTCTTTTATGACTTTGAGAAAGGGAAAATACTTTTTAAAATAAATGCTAGAGTGATTTTATACAAATCTAATGAAGAAAGGCACAAATATATCTTTATTAGTATCAGTTAGCCAACATAATAGTACCTGAGAATTAAACCTGTTAACACTCTCTTAGTTTATTTACTGCATACATGCCTCCTCCATAAATGCTTTGAAATCTTTTTATATCTTCTCTCAGAAAGATTGGGGTTTGCTTCTGCTGTTCTTTTCAGTCTTTTTGTTGTTGTTCCATATTAACAGTAAGCAACTGCACATAGCGTGATGTATTTCTTATTGTCTTTGGTTATACAGCAATGTGATCCAACTTGTTAGAGAGTGTGTACCTTGATAAAGGCTGAAAAGCCCTCTATTTTGATATATCTGCTGCTTCAGATTGTATGTCTTGAAAGATAGTAGCTTTAAAATTGCATTTTCAGCATTCTGAAACTTACGGGGTTTTCCAAATTTTTTTGAAAAATTTGAATATTGCTTTAACTAAGCTTAAAGGTAACTTTTATATCCAGAATCATGGTAAAAACATACATTAAATTGAAAGCTTTCAGAAGTGAAAGACCACAGGAAATTTTTTTGTTATTAGTTGAAAGTATAAAAAAGCAAACTATTCTGTCTAGAAAAAGAAATTCACATCCCCACTAATTTATTATTTACAATCATTTTAATGAGAACTAACTTGAAGACTCTCTTGTTTTATATACATTTTTAAAAGGTGCAGAAGCAGTGATTGTGACTGGGTAATAGACAAGAGAAGTGAGAGAAACTGCTTTCTAGGCAAGATGCTGTTATGAGATTGTCAGGTAACTCCAGATCACTTTTCCAGAGGCATTCCAGCTTCCTAGACAGCTGGATTTTAGCTATTTCTCTTCTTTTTCCATTCAACGAATAGCCATTTGCCAAGGCTTCTTCTGACCCCAGATTCTTCCTGTACTTTCCCCCTCATTCTCCTTGGAACTAAAGTTATCACATTGTCCTATCCCCCTCCTTCCAGCTACCTGTCAAAATCGTGATATAGTCAGATAATGAAATATTATACAGCAGGTAAAGTAACCAAACCAGAGTATACTTATCAGCAGGTATAATTGCCAAGAATAAAATGATAAGCAAGTGCTAAAAGCAAATTCCAGGTACAAGATGGCATTTATATTATAAAACTTAAAAAATGCAAAACAATATGTTGTTTCTGAATACAGGCATTTACAGTAAAGGTGTAAAACATGCATGGAAAGCAAGTTTATGATAAAGGCCACTTACTAGTGGAGAGAATGAAAGACATTGGATTTGAGAGGCCTCTGCAAGGAGTTTCACGTATATCATTAATGTGATAGTGTGTATATGGGTGTTTATATTATAGCCACTATATTTTTGGTATTCTTGAAATATTTTATGTAAAATACTCAGTGATTGTTTTGAAGTAGGATTCAAATTGCTTTAACCAAGTATTTATGTAGATTTTTAAGTAATTTGAATAACAATGATGTAAACATTCTCACACCTGTGTTTGTGTGTGTGTGTGTGTGTGTGTGTGTGTGTATTTGGTTAATTTTGTCTCATAATGAAGATTGCTCCAAATAAATATGATTTGACAATAACTGCAATATCTACAGTGGCAGACACCAATTGGTTCTTCCCAGAACATCATAGAAAAAATTATGATGATAAATTGTGATAATCTTGAAATGTTTTAGTATATACTACCTCAAGCCAGGGGATGAAGCAAAGGAGATAATAGCATTCATGACGGTATATTATTACACTTAGCTTCAGAACTAGATTTGTTGCCTTAGATTTTTATCCCACTTTATCCCTCAAAGAGTTGAGACTCTGAATGCCTGTTCTTTGTGTTCAGCAAGGTGCCCAGTATAATAACTACATAGTGCGGACATTTGTGGAGTCTGTACAAATCTGTCTCCCCCTCCTAGATTGGGAGCCTCCAAGCAGTGGACCTGCCGTGTTCTCTTAGGTTCTGTCACTGTGCCTGCTCCCTGAGCACAAGTGGTGATGCCATGGCTGGATGGCTGGTGCCAGATCCTTCATGGTTTCAATTCAGTGTGGAACACATCAACCTTCTGCATGTTGTTTGATTTAGATTTTTCTAATAACGAATTTGTACTGTCTGTATTTATGAAAGTGCCATTATTGTTGTGGTACTTTTTTTCACCCATATTTTGAATGTAAGTCCTGAAATTACATTTGTAAGTGGAAAAATTCACAGGGAAGTGTTTGTTTTCAGGCAAGGAAGGTGCAAAAAGTGGAAAAGCCCAAGATGTGAGTCCAAGATGATTAGGAGCAAAACCAAGGTGTCCCTGGCAGCCACTATTTATTTTTAAAGGACCCCTTTGTGTTTTGTTAATTGCCTAAATAAACAGCTCTCCAGGACAGAGAGGCTTCTTTTTTCATGGAATTCCCTAGAGTGCCTTGATGGTGTTTATACCCTGGAGAGAGGAGCAGGAAATAGGCTCAGGCTAGCTCCTGTTTTTAAGTGGTATTTCAGATGTCTCCGTATAGAGAAGAAGGAAACTGTACTATGTATTCTTAGCAAATAGATTCTCCCTGCTGCTTAAAATGACCTTTCCTCCACCTTGTTTAATTATAAGCCGTGGTGCATTGTTTCATGGCCTTGTAGGTCCGGGATCTATAAAATTATCTGCAATTATCACTTCATTTTAGTAGAAGCAGTGAATGACACTTGGCAGTTTCTTAGCTTTAAGTTCTCTGGCCACACCTGCTTGATTGCTTGCTTGCTTGATTGATGGATTGGTTTATGATATTTGATTGTGACAGCTGTTTTAAATTTATTTTTATTTAAAAAATTTTTCCAACTCTTTTGAAAAATAATTTCAACTTTTAGGTTCAGGAAGTACGTGTGTAGATTTGCTACAGGAGTATATTGCATGACACTAAGGTTTGGGGTAAAAATGATCCTGACACCCAGGTAGTGAGTGAATATAGTACCCAAACAGTAGTTTTCCAGCCCTTTCCCCCTTGCCTCCCTGCACTAATAGACCTAGTAGACCCCGGTGTCTTATTGTTCCCATCTTTATGTCCACACACATGCTTTAAGGATGCTTTTAAAGGAATATCCAAGGCCGGGCGCAGTGGCTCACGCCTGTAATCCTAGCACTTTGGGAGGCCAAGGCAGGTGGATCATCTGAGGTCAGGAGTTCAGGACCAGCCCAGCCAACATGGTAAAACCCCATGTCTACTGAAAAATACAAAAATTAACCAGGCTTGGAGGCGCATGCCTGTAATTCCAGCTACTCTGGAGGCTGAGGCAGGAGAATCACTTCCACCCAGAAGGTGGAGGTTGCAGTGAGCCGAGATCGCGCCCACGCCAGCCTGGGCAACAGAGTGAAACTCTGTCTCAAAAAAAAAAAAAAAAAAAAAAAAAATGGGATATCCAGCAGCAGGAACCCAAGGCAGAAGCAGCTCCCAGTATGTATAGTAGTCCTGGAAAAGTATGTCTCTGCATGCTGAGGGATTGCTGAGAGCATTCAAATTATCCCAGAGGCAATTTAAAAGGTTTTGCTTATTTTAATTAACTGATCTAGCAACAATACTAGCAGCTGGTAACAGTATTCCTCATTATAGAGTTTGTCAATGAAAGAGTCAAACTCTGTAAAATATTTGAAGGGATTTACTCTTAGCTCAATATGAGCGACCAAGGCCTGAGGTCCTGAGAGGTCCTCAGAACATGTGCCCAAGGTGGTCAGGTTACACTTGGCATCATGCATTTTCAGGAAATATAAGACACCAATTGATACATGTAAATTATGCATTGGTTTGGTCTGGAAAGGTGCGATAGCTGGGTGGGTGGTGCTTACAGATCATAGGTGGATTCAAAGATTTTCTGATATTGGCAATTGGTTGAAAGAGTTATTATCTAAGACCTGGAATCAGTAGAAAGGAGTGTCTGGGTTAAGATAAGTGATTATGGAAACTAGGGTTCTTATTATGTAGAATAGATGGTAAATGTCTCTTGTCAGGCCTTAAAAGGTATCAGACTCTTAATCTCTCCTGAATCAGGAAAAGTCCTGGAAAAGGAAGAGATTCTCTATAGAATGTAGATTTTTCTCCACAAGAGACAGATTTGCAGAGCCATTTAAAAATGTGTCAAAAATATATTTTGGGGTAAAGTACTTGAATTTCTTTCAGGGCCTGCTATCTGTCATGTGATGCTACACTAGAGTCACATTGGAATTTGGTCTCTTATGCTACAAAGAGCCTGTTTTGTCAGTCTTAAGATCTCTGTTTTAACGTCAGCTGGTCGGTTGTGCTGAATTCCAAAGGGAAGGAGGGTATCATGAGGCATGTCTGACCCTCTCTTCTTATCATGGCCTGAACTAGTTTTTCAGGTTTACTTTGGAATGCCATTGGCTGAAAAAGGGGGATTCGTTCAGTCAGATGGGGGACTTAGAATTTTATATTTGGTTGACATGTTTTTATGATTTTTCTCCATTCACCCTTTCATTATTCCTCTGAGAGTGGTTGGAGTCTATTAGGGCTGGCCTTGGAATAAGTGGGCTAGTTATCTACTGGCATTTGATAGTTTCAGGTCTGCTAGGAGGTCAATCCCCTCTGACCGCAAAGGGGATTTCCATCTTAAACACATCTACCACATGTCAAACATTCCAGTATTAGAAATTCATTCTGCTGGATCTTGGAGATGTCTTTGGTACCTCACTGAAATGTATGTACCTTTGGTCAGGGCAGGTTGTCGCCCAAACTAAATTTAGCACAGCAGAAGACAATTCATTAATGGGATGCTTCTGGTGAAGTGGCAAGAAACAAGGCTAGCAGAAAGTTGAGCAGGTATTGAGAACCATTTTACCATATGACTACATTAATAAATGTATGAAAAGAATAATGAACTTATTTTACCACTTTCTAATTTTGCCTTTCTTGGTTAGGCACAGTAAAGGGTGTCCAGAGATGAGATGGAAGATGAGAGTGACCAACAGAGGGAGAAAATATTGTCAAAAAGTAGTTAGGACTACAAAGCAGGGGAACTTGATGGTAGCTTCTGGGAGGAGCTGGGCCTGCTAGACTTCTGAGGTAGAGTTTGTCTTATAGTAGATGTATTTGTTGGAGAACTTTTTCCTTAGTTCAACTAAAACTCGGCTTTTATCACACGACCAGGAAAGATTAAGCTTGTGGACATATAGAAGGGTGGGGAAAATGGAATTTACTTGGTGAAAAGGAAAAATAACTCTCAGCAAAGCGAGAGAGAGAGAGAGAGAGAGAGAGAGAGAGAGAGAGAGAGAGAGAGAGTCCTGCTAGGAGGTTTCCCACTTCACAGATAGAATCCCAGGTCACCACACAGGAACAGAAGAGGCCAGGCTTCTCCCCATTGCAAAGGGTGCAAACTTCCCGAGGCTTTACCTCATCCTCCCAGGGTGCAGGTGGGCATTACTCAGAAAGAATCAGTGGGGAAAGGGTGGGCTTCATCCAGGATCAGCAGTTCGGTATTTCAGCCTCCAGGCTGTTTTATGCTTGAAAGTAGGATTTCGCCAGGGACCCTTGGCTGTCTCCTGTCTCAATCATATTGAATTGTGTGTATTGGATTAGGGTATTTCTAAAATTGGAATTTCTGATTTTGACACAAGATAGGAAGTGAGCTTCTATATAATGAAATGGGCATAGGTTGATGCGTGTGTGTGTGTGTGTGTGTGTGTGTGTGTGTGTGTGTGTGTGTGTGTGTATTTTTTAAAAAGAAGACTTAGGTTCAGGCCTGTTATATATCAGAAAATACTGCCTTGACTGCCTGTCTAGAAAAGTAGTTTGAGTAAAATGAGATTATTTCTAGAAGGCAAGGAAAGGGAATCACCTTGGTTTTCAACTTACTTGAATTGCATTTGTGAGATTTTCAGCAAAGTAAAGGCAATGTTTCCTGAAAGAGAGGGAAAGAGTTTAATTCAAACAAAATAAAGGATGTGTAAACCATATTTGAATAAATTTTAAAATAAATTTAGTTTTCTTCTTAGCATTTTCTGTCCTCCCACCCCCACAAATATTGAAGCAAAAATTCAAAATATCTATTATCAAAGCCACATGGAAGTCCAGTGTCATTTTGAATGTTAGAAACCCAAAAACAAAACGAAGAAAAAAATCGAGTGTCGCATCTGAATTAGCATTTAAAGTGGCATGTTTACATAAAAAGAGAATAGTGTAATCTATCCTGAGAGTAAAGAGAGGATTTCAGACTGTGGAAGAATGTCAATTGCATTTATGTATTCATCGAATAGCCAGTTTGGTATTTGGCACGTATTTGCAGCTTTCCTTATCACACATGCATTTGTCTTCTGTGAAGTGGGTAGGGAAGAGATTTAGGGTATAGAAACAATGTAGGATTGATCTTCTTACCTTTGAAAATTATATGAAGACCTTAGTTTTGTCCCAGGGGAGAGGGTTAGGTTACCTGTGGGGAGGTTTATAAAAATCTATGTGCATTGCCAAACACCCTTGGGAATGCAAATCAGAATCTAGTGTGTATTGAGGGCAGGGTAAGGTAGAGGCTTGAGTACTTTTAACCACTTTTCAAGGTGAATCTAAAATGCCATTCCCAGTTGAGAATTAATGTTCTTAGAGTTTCGGGGGGTGTGTGTAGTGGTGAAGTGTGCTTTTGGATAGCTAAAAGCAGGGGCAGAAGTTCCCTATTTCATATTTACTGGAATAACTTTTTAGCAAATCAGAATAAAGTAGGATTGGGGGAAAGTTTTTTAGTGAGCAGTCCTTTTCAGCAATGCTTATTTAGAGTGACCCATTGAGAGAGGCAGATGTCTGTGCTGTCTCACTAAAAGCCACCTTCTCACATCTGTTAATCAATAGGCAATCAATCACTGAGTAGCATTTTGGAGCTTGGACTCAGAAGTCACACTGCCTAGGTTTGAATCCTGTCTCTGCCATTTAGCCAGCTGCATGACCTTAACCTCTATGTGCCTTAGTTTCCTAAAGTAGAATGAGAATATTATTGTGTCCTCAAATTGTTTAGAGGATTAAATTAATATTTGTAAAGTGTTTATGACAGTACCTGGCATACAATAAGTGCTGTATGTTTTCTTAAATAAATAAAATATATTGGGAATTATGCCCTTCTTTCTCTCCCCCCAGATCATTTATTTTTGTCCTGTTGAGTTAGACAAAAGACCACAAAGTAGGCTGGGGAAGTCCCCTTAAAGCCAGATCATTGGAGTAGCATTTTCTCAGGGGCTGTTCCATTTCCATGAAGAGGTGTGAAAGGGGCAGTTGACCCCACGTCCTTGGATAGATCTTTCACTTGTACCCTGCGTTGGTAACCCTAAGGACACGAGCTCTCTATATTGCTGTGGAGACAGATGACACATGTGTTCTGGCTCAGTATTATTAGGCCGTGAAGGAACTCACTCCCTGTCCTCAGTGGCCCCTCTATCAGATTTAAGCCATCTCTTCTCAGCAGGGTAATCAGGACACTCCTTGAAATTGTGTTTTGGGACTGACAGATGTTGATAGAATAATGCGGTGTATTATAGTGGTCTATATGGAAAATTTTAATCATAGAATTTCAGAGCTGGAAGAAGCCTTAAGACAAGTCTGACTGAAAATATCTTTATTTCGTAAACAAGGAACCAATGACTCAGAGAATTTGAGGCTTGCTTGTGCTCAGGGAGTATATATGTTGATTGCAAACCATGACCAAAATTTAGGGTTCCTAACTCCCAGGGACTGGCAAGCAGCCTTTACTTTTTGAGGTCAACATGCTTGGGTTAGAAACATAGATATCAACAAGGGAGTGGGTACTGATAGCGTTTGGCTGTGTCTCCACCCAAATCTCATCTTGAATTGTAAAAATCCCCACGTCAAAGGTAGGGCCAGGTGGAGATAATTGAATGATGAAGATAGCTTCCCCCACACCATTCTCATGGTGGTGAATAAGTCTCACAAGATCTAATGGTTTTATAAATGGGAGTTCTTCTGCACAAGCTCTCTTGCCTGCCACCATGTAAGACATGACTTGCTCCTCCTTCACCTTTTGCCGTGATTGTTGGGACTCTCGAGCCATGTGGACCTATGAGTCTATTGAACTTCTTTCCTTTATAAATTACCCAGTCTTGGGTATGTCTTTATTAGAGCATGAGAACAGACTAATACAGGTATGTTTTGTTTTATAAAAAAATGTGAGCATCAACACCCACAGTATGGACCCAATAAAGGGTAGACCTCACAGAGTTTGCTTGACTTCACCATGTATGTCATAGTTTCTTTGAATATTTTGGAAAGCAAAGCCTCAAACTTGCCTTAAAAGCATACCCTTAACAGTAGCTGAAGGGGAAACCTGCAGCCACACACCCAGCACTACCAGGATGCTGAGTTTACCTCAGACTAAAGAGAATAGTGACAGCCACACTGGTGTGGTGTAATGGTCCCAGCTGCAGTAACTGGCAGTCCCCAAATATATTCATTATCCAATTACCCATGTGAGCAGAGCAGCTGAATTCTGTATTGTTCTCTCTTTACCCGGGTTGTGTGGTAGCAAGTTGGGCCCTGGTAGCTCTAACAGGGAACTGTGGAGAGGTAGGACTTCTCTTGTGTCCTGGTGTTTCTTGGAATCTGTGCCATCTCCTCTGCCATTTTGACTCTTGAGATTTAAATTCTTCTTTTACTCCATGTGGCCATAGACTATCAGACCTAAGTAACTACAGGAAAATACCACACCAAATGGTTTTCAGGGTTTCTTTCTCTACTTTTCTGAGTTAGGGACCTCACCCTCTGAGTATTTTGGTGGGCCATTTTTTTTCCATCTGAATACACATGTGGTTTTTTTTTTTCTTTTTTTTTTTTTCTTTTTTTTTTTTTTGAGATGGAATCTCACTCTGTCACCAGGCTGGAGTGCAGTGGTGCAATCTTGGCTCACTGCAGTCTCCACCTCCCTTCAGGCGATTCTCCTGCCTCAGCCTCCCAAGTAGCTGGGACTACAGGCGCATGCCACCATGCTCAGCTAATGTTTGTATTTTTAGTAGAGACAGGGTTTCACCATGTTGGCCAGGATGGTCTCAATCTCTTGACTTTGTGATCCGCCCACATTGGCCTCCCAAAGTGTTGGGATTACAGGCGTGAGCCACTGCACCCAGCCCATGTTTTCTTTTAATAAGTTGTTTTATGATGTCACCTCTTCTGGGATGATGTTGAGGGCTTTCCCATGCTTAAGTACAGGAACATGAGACAAACCCATGGAAATGCCAGTAACTGCATACTTCCTCCCAGTGGCCGTGTGAGCTCTGCTTCATCCCGTGCATCACTCACATAACTTTTGACCAGCACCGTAAGGAAATTCTCTGCAGATAGTTCTGTGAACACATTTGCATGAGAGGAAAAAGTTTTACTGACTACAGTCTATATGTTTGATTTGCATGTGGAATCACATGCAAATGGTGGCAGGAACCTGACCTAGCATAGACAGACATATTTAAAACTTTTTTTAGATTGCAAACTCTAATAATAAGTTCAGGCTGGATGCAGTTGCTTACTCCTATAATGCCAGCACTTGGAGAGGCCAAGACAGGGGGATTGCTTGAGGTCTGGAGTTGGAAACCAGCCTGGGCAAAATAACGAGACCCTGTCTCTACAAACAAACAAACAACAACAACCCCCCCCCCCCCCCCCGCAAAAAAAAATTAGCTAGGCATGGTGGCATGTATCTATAGTCCTAGCTACTAGGGAGGCTGAGGCTGGAGGATTGCTTGAACCCAGGAGTTTGAGGTAACTGAGCTGTGATCATACCACTGCACTTTAGCCTGGGCAACAGAGTGGTACCCTGTCTCTAAAAAATAAATAAGTGAATGAATTTAAACGTGTATTATAGAAATATAATCTTTCAAGAAATATTTACATATTTCATAGATGTTTATGTGAAGATGTCCTTTATCAGAAAATGCTAATTTAGCTTATGCTTTATGCTCTTTATAGTGCAGAAAAAATGATTTTTAACTTTTGGTGTGTCATAGAGATAAGTGGGATTAACCTTTTGGTAACTTTAGCGTCGAGTGCCTAACTCTTCCTAAACCCTGATTTTCCAATGCAGTCTTTTATTGTTATTGGGGGTGGTGGTATATGCTTTTACTTAGAGGGGTCAGCTTTGAGGCAGAGAGTATCTTCTAGATTTATTTTATTTTTAGGAAATTGAGCAGGGCATTTGATTTGAGAAATTGGTACTGTGTGCCTTCCATATGTGGCTGCTGTGGAACAAGTGGTAATGTTAATTGCAGGGAGAGTGGGACCTTCCCACTGGACTAGCAGCAGGACAAAGTGAGGGAGAGTTTTGCTCCTTTTCTCAGCTCCTTTTGGCCTCTCTCCCTAGGCAATAAACATTCAAGTTTGCTTTGCATGGGGCACATGAGTGGGTTTACCAGGGGGTTTGTATTTAAGCATATAAACCATAGTGTTTAGTATCTTAACAAATCAAGAATCAATTATCTGCAAGAATAAGCAGAAGGTTTTTCTTATGTCTAGAATAAATTAACTTAAATGCTAAAACCAGTCCTTGTGGATTAAAGAAGCACTTGGAAGCAATGAAGTATATTTTTAAAATGCACTTGACATCATACACTGGAATGAAATTAATAGATCAGTACACAGTTTTCATGTCTTAGAGGAATAGTGGTGGCTTTTTAAGGTGGATTTCTAAGGTACTACCAATATGTATATAGATGTAGTTGAATTTGATAGAATCATGGGGAGAAATGCCATCAAACACCTGGTTAAAAGCATATTACTTAATTATTATCTTTGAGAATTCAGGCCACTTATGTTTATTCTATTTTTTTTCTCTTTTTTTGTTTTGCTGAAAGATGTTGGTTGGTCATACCTTTAAGATGATGGTGGTGATTGTCTTGGGAGGCACTTAAAAGGAGAATTAAAACAAAGAGACTTCAAATTGGTTTTCATAAGGGTCTAAGTCTTTCCCTCCCAACACACACCACATCTACTATTTAATATCATCTAGGCTGTATTATGTTCATGTAACCAAGAATTGTGAATTCTGTTTGTGTTAACCCACAGAGGAATTCAAAACCACAAAACAAAACCTCTAAAACTGCTTCTTTTCATGGATTCCCAAGTAGCATGAACCAGTTTCAGCTGTTCCTACATGGTATAGTAGTGAGGTTTCCCCAATAGCTAGCATTGCATTTCTCTCTTAAAAAAGTATTATTGAGACATAATTGGCATACAATAAACTGTACATAATTTAAAGTGCACAATTTCATAAGTTGATATGTGTATACGCTCGTGAAACCACCAGCACAGTTGAGATAATAAAATACCCATCTCCCCCAGAAGTTTTCTCCTGCCCCTTTGTCATTGCTCCCCCACCCCCACATCCCCAACCAGACAACTACCAATGCTTTCCATCCCTAAAAATTAGTTTACATTTTTTAAAAACTTTACATAACTAGAGTAATATTATATGCACCCTTCTTTTAGGCCTGGCTTCTCACTCAGCATAATTATTTTGAGATTCGTCCATGTCATAGCATATGTCAATCATTTATTAGAGTTGTTTTGCTAAGTAATATCCTATTGAATGACTGTGTCAGTTTCATTAGTCTCTTGCCACTGGACATTTGGGTTGTTTATAGCTTTTGACCATTATAAATAAACCTGATATATGTGATCTGTAAATGTTTTCTCCCAGCCTGTGGCTTGTGTTTTTATTCTCTTTATAGCATCTATTGAAGAGCAAAAGCTTTATTAATTCGTTCTTTAAATGCTTTTGGTATTGGAGCTAAGCCGTCTTTCCCTAATCCAAAGTCACAAAGGTTTTCTCATATGTTTTCTTCCAGAAGTTTTGTAGTTTTAGATTGTACATTTAGGTCTATGATTAATGTTAGTTGATTTTTATACATGGAGGGTGAGATATGGATTGAAGTTCATTTCTGCATACACGTCTCTAATCGTTCCCGCACCATTTGTTGAACAGGCTATTTCTTTCTCCTCTGAAATGCTTTGAACTTTTGTCAAAAATTAGTTGTCTGTGTATTTGTGTTTCCATTTACAGACTTTCTATTTCATTGATTTGTCTTTACATCAATCTACTGTCTTGATTATTATAGCTTTATAATAAGTCTTGATCTCAGAAGCATTAGTATTCCAACTTTGTTCATCTTTTTTCAAAGTTGTTTTGGCTGTTCTAGTTGCCTTAATTGTAGGATCAGTTTGTCAGCTTCTACAAAAAAAAAAGCCTGTTGATATTTTTATTGAAATCATATTGAATCCATAGATCAATCTGAGAAGCTATGAAAAGTTGACCAGTACTTATACTGAAATTCTAGTCTAAGAGATGGATTAAAGAGGACAATGTGTAAGCTGATACAGTGTGGAAAGATGGGATGGAATGGCCCCCAGGGTGTGCTGATAGAGAAGAAGGACCAGGCTGGGGAGATTGAGTGGAGGAATGAGTGATCATAAATGAGCAAATACTTTGTCCAAAAAGCCCCTCAGAGAAGTGCAAGGGACGTAGTTGGGTGGGTGGTTCAGGGAGTAGCTCAAGTAATGATTTGAAGCTGAAGTCAGAAGGAACTAGCCACATTTCTTCTAGAAAGAACTATAATGGAGAGCTCACGCTTAGCATAGAGAGGGGGTAGAAGAGGAAGAGTGTGACCAGAGGAGGTTCAGTGGCTGGGGAGAGAACCACGGGTCCAAAATGTTGTGATGCAGGGGACTCAGAGGGTTACATCATGCTTTAATGATTGCTACATTGCCTGAGTCTGATACAACAATGAAGGTCAGTTATACACTTGAACTGATTGCTTATCTAGGACAGTGGGTCTCAACTGGGGGTGATTTTACCCCCAAAGATGACATTTGACAATATCTAGAGACCTTTTTGGTTGTCACAACTATTTGGGGACCAGGGTTTCTCTCACTGTCTTCTAGTGGAGAGAGGTCAGGGATACTGCTAAACACCTACAGTGAACAAGACAACCCCAAAGAATTATCTGCCCAAAATATCAGTAGTGCTGAGGATGAGAAACTCTGATCTAGAGATCGAGAATCAGAAAAGAAGGTAGAGGCCCGGCGAGGTGGCTTATGCCTGTAATCCCAGCACTTTGGGAGGCAGAGGTGGGTGGATCACCCTGAGTTCAGGAGTTGGAGACCAGCCTGGTCAACATGGTGAGACCCTGTCTCACCTAAAAATACAAAAATTAGCCGGGCATGGGGTGGCACACACTTGTAATCCCAGCTATTCAGGAGGCTGATGCGGGAGAATCATTTGAACCCAGGAGGCGGAGGTAGCAGTGAGCTGAGATCGTGCCACTGCATTCCAGCCTGGGCTTCAGAGTGAGACTCTTGTCTCAAAAAAAAAAAAAAAAAAAAAATCAAGTGGAATGAGAGCTGATTGTTTGCTGTGAGATTTCATGTTTTCTTCTGAGGAGAAATATTTGTTCTCTTGTATAGTGACTGTGGGATGTTTCCCTGGATGATAAGAAATTAGTCTGTGGGACTCCTCTTTGGGGATGTTTTCAGAAGATTTCTAAAAAGGTTATCAAATAAAGCTAGTTTAAAAAAAGAATAGCTTGACTAAAAGTAATTGGAAGAAAATTTTAGCATTTGAACTAGTGTACTTAAGAAAATTATTCTCTTTGGACATGGCATTGTCCATAGATGAGTTTGTCAATTAATGTACTTTTCAGTACAAGTAATAGAAAACCTAACTCAAAGTGATTGGAGGAAAAAAATGCCAGTTGTGTAACTAAACAGTTGAGGCTGCACGCGGGCGCTGGTCCCGAGGGTCAGTGCTGTCTTGGGGACACAGGTCCTCCTGCACTGGGGGGCTAGTCCTGAGGCTCACTGCTGTCTCAGGGACACAGGTCCTCCTGCACTGGCTGCAGGCTTCCTTCCTGGCTCACCCCTTAGTGTCCGCCTGAGGTTTCCAGAGTTAATGGAAGAAGACGAAATTTTCTTCTCCTACCATTATGGGTTTCTCTTCGATTGGACCATTTTAAATTATGTGTTTAATCCTGAACATGGGAGTGTTTCTAGCATTACCATCATTAGCTTAGACCTGCGTTGTCCAGTGCAGCAGCCACTAGCCACATGTGGCTCTCAAGCTCTTGCAATGCGGCTAGGCCAAACAGATCCAGAAAAAGAATGGAAATATCTCATTAGTAATTCTTATGTTAATAGCATGCTGAAATGATAGTATTTGTGGGTATATTGGGTTAAATGTTATGAAAATTATGTTAACCTGTTTCTTTAAAAATAATTTTAATGCGACTACTAGAAAATTTTAAATTGTATAAGTGGCTCTGAATTGTATTTCTGGTGGAGACCAATGGCTTAGAACATTCAGGAGTCCTTGGAAATGGAGTGTAGTCAGTTCCACCCAAACTACATGGCTGATACACAGGGGGGAAAGAGAGATGGAATGGATATTAAGCAAGTAGCCCCAAATGAACACAATGATGAGACTGGCATAGGCAAAGAATGTTTGTTCATTTGCTACTGTTTTACTGAAGATGAATGTATAGAAATACTACTGTACTACCATTTATAAAAGTTAATAACATAGTTTTGAAAATTATGAAATTACTATTGTGCTCATAGTAACTAGTGAAACAGCACAAAGTTATACAAAGAGGAGGTAAATGATCTCCATCCCTTCCAATCCCTGTCTCTATCCACAACCTTAGGTAGTCATTGTTAGACTGGTGTGTATTCTTCCATTCTTCACTTCATATGCATACAGGTGTAGGTACATTTGCATACATTGATTTGTTGCAGTTGTTGCTACTACCTGTCTTAAACAAGATGTTAAGCACCCACTCTTTAGTTTTCTTTTGTCACCTTATCAGTCTCCCAAGTCAGTGGATACAAATTTATCCCATTTATTTTAATAATTATATTATGTTCTACATTATAGATATACCACATTTTATTTAACCATTTTCCTATTAACTGACATTCTTGTTGTTTTCAGTACTCCCTTTCTCCCCTCCCCACAACAAACAGTGCTGCAATAAACAATTTTTTTACCTATATCCTTACGTACTGGTCCTTTTTTCTCCTATAGGATAGATTCCCAGAAGTGGAATTGCTTGGTCAAACGGTATGTGTATTTCTAATTTTAATAGCTATCACTTTACCCAAAAGAATAGAAAATCACCTTCACCCATAAGAATGCCCATTTTCTACATTCTCACCAGCACTGGATGTCACTGCCCTTAATTCTTTCCAATCTTATTACCCCTGGTCATTACTTTAAATTGCATTTCCTTCACTACCACTGATGTTGAGTATATTTTCATATGTTTACTCTTCATTTACATTTCTCTTTTCTTCACTTCATGCTTATTTTCACTGCCCATTTTTCCATTTAGTAGTGTTTTTCTTTTTCAGTTTCTACAAACTATTATGTGAAAGTATTAATCCGTTGTGGTATGTGTGCAAATGTCTTTGCAGTTTTTATCTGTTTATGATGTCTTTTGCCAAATGAAATTGTTAATTATTATTTAATCAAATATGTCTTTTTCTTTATTGCTTCTGAATTATTTGTTTTGCTCAGAGTGGTATTGTCCACCCCAAGGTCATGCAGATATTCCCTTAAATTTTCTCACTATTTTTAAAAAAACATTCAATCTTCAACTTAAAATTTTGTACACGAGATGAGGTAGGATTCTCTTTCTTTTTTTTTTTTTCCCTAGATGGATGACCAGTTACTTAAGTCCTAGTTAATACAAGAAAATTTATTTTTCATGGGATTGAAATGTTGTCCTTGTCACATATAAAGATGCCATATATATTTGGAACTATTTCTGGACTCTCTATTCTACTCCTATCTGTCTGTTTCTGTGCCAACACCATTCTGTTTTGAATACACTGGCTTTTCTAGTGACTTATAATTTCTGGTAAGTCCTCCTTCACTCTCCTTTTACACTTTCATGACTTTTTTTAGCCAGTTATTTTTCCACATTGTTCTGGTTAAATTAAAAATTTAAAATTGAAGGCGTTTTATCGTAAATGCTTTTAAAATGAAAGGTAATATAACACTACTTAATACGTAGAACCAAAAATTTAATATTTCTCAGTGTGGAGATCTCTTTACCTGATGCCACTAATTGGAAAAATATTTACTGAGAAACTAAAGGTTACTACTTCTGTCAGTTTTAATTCTTTAAAAGTGATTTACTTTATCTCTGTGATAATTGTACAATCATGCCAAGATGCAAATATTGGGATATAGCCATGACTTTTTAATTATCTGATAATTATATTATTGCATTAAAGCTTAAGGGGTTAAAGTTTTCAATGAATGTAAGTTTTTAGTTTGCATGTCTGTTTATGTACCAAATTATGAAGTATACCCATATCTGGATTGGTTGAGAGATTTGTAAATATGATGTGAACAAAGAACTATAACTGAAGTGCACAATACACCATGTACTTTGGAATCTTTTGTGACTTAATTCTTTTTAAGCTTAATGTTGAATATTACGTGGACTTTAGAAATTGTCACACTTGAAACTGGATAAAGTTTTCGAGTATTTGATATGCTTTTGGCCATTCTTAACTTTTAATTTATACTGTATATTGACATTAACTTAATTGTTTTTACTGACATTCTTAATTGCTTTTTGGAATTCATTAGCTGGTATAATACTAAAGTAATAAATACGTTGTGTTTTTCTAAAGGCATCTGAAATAGTGGAGCTAAATACTAAAACTGGGATAAAAATAATGGTAATTTTAGCTTACAAATAAAGACAAACAAATGTGAGGTCTCTATTTTACTTATGGAAGTAGAAGGACATCCTCATGTAGGTTCTACCTATGTTTACTTGATTAAGTAGAAAAAATTATTAGTTTATTCTGTAGCCAAAAATAAAATGGTGAAATGATTGGTATATATTATTGAATGATATATATAATGAATGGTATATATATTAATGATATACTTAGATAAAATTGTTTTAAAAATTGAGATTTTGTTCTTGACCAGCTTGGCCAACATGGCGAAACCCTGTCTCTATTAAAAATACAAAAATTAGCTGGGCATGGTGGCACGTGCCTGTAATCCCAGCTACTTGGGAGGCTGAGATGGGAGAATTACTTAAATCTGGGAGGCGGAGGTTGCAGTGAGCCAAGATCACACCACTGCACTCCAGCCTGGGTGACAGAGCGAGACTCTCAACACACACACACACACACACACACACACACACACACACAAATTTGAGATTCCTTCTAATTTTAATAGTCGTATAATTCACATAAATTGATATGGCACTTTCTTGCATGTATATGAATATTAAAGATGATAATTAAGAAAAGAAGGGGAAATTAAGTTACTTGCATTAAGACCAAAAAAGGATAGTCAACTTAGAGTTAAACTGAAACCTTCCATATGAACTTATCATCTTTACTAAATCAAAACAATTTGCCATCTCATTCTAAAGAAGGTAATAAACAGGCCGGGCATGGTGGCTCACACCTGTAATCCCAGAACTTTGGGAGGCCAAGGTGGGCAGATCACTTAAGGTCAGGAATTTGTGACCAGCCTGGCCAACATGTTGAACCCCATCTCTACTAAAAATACAAAAAACTAGCCAGGCATGGTGGCACACGCCTGTAATCTCAGCTACTTGGGAGGCTGAGGCAGGAGAATCGCTTGAACCCACGAGGCAGAGGTTGCAGTGAGCTGAGATCGTCACTGCACTCCAGCCTGGGCAACAGAGCAAGACTCCGTCACAGAAAAAAAAAAAAAAAAAAAGAGAAAAAGGTGATAAACAGTTACCTTCTCTAGTACTCATATAAAAAACTAATAGGCACTTTATTTACCCTGATTTTGGTCTCTAATATTATTCTCCACTAAAGGTCACCAGGACTGTTTTTGGAACATAACTGGATGTCATGATTGAAATAGGCAGAATTTTGTTGGAACATTTTCTTTTTTTGGAACTCTTTCGCTCTCTTTCTCTATTTTTCTCTCTCCTTCCTTCCTTCCTTCCTTCCTTCCTTCCTTCCTTCCTTCCTTCCTTCCTTCCTTCCTTCCTTCCTTCCTTCCTTCTTTCTCTCTCTCTCTCTCTCTCTTTCTAATGAACAAGGATGCTTTTAATGATGTGTGGAAGTTGAGCAGATGAACCAAATTGAGGTAACTTCTGCTGGCTAGTAGTGAAAATTTAAGTAGCAAAGAGGAAAGTAATTATAAGCCATTTTAACAAGTTGAACCTCTCAAAAGCCAAGAGTCAATCGTGATATATTCAGAGGTGACAAATGATACAAACTATGCTAAATAAAAGGCATATTGTGTTTCCAGTATTTTCAAATAAGCTGCATTTTGGTCAACTCAAATTGTGTTTCCCTACTCTCGTTTGAATCATTATCAAAATTGACAGAGTTGATAAAGATAAATATAAAAAATTAGAGTATATTTTAAATATAATTATGTGTATCTGTGTAAATTCCACATTGTTAATTTTAAGGTAAAATTGTTTTAAAATACAAGTAGAATCAGATTTAAAAACCGTAAAAATCAATAAATAACAGGTATCATAAGATTAACACTTGTTTCTTTTATAATACTTGCATTTAAGTGTTATTAATATGTTTCTCTTATAATACCTACACTGAAACATTGAATGTGTGATCTCAGCTCACCACAACCTCCGCCTTCCAGGTTCAAGGGATTCCCTTGCCTCAGCCTCCCGAGTAGCTGGGATTACAGGCATGCGCCACCATGCCTGACTAAGTTTTGTGTTTTTATTAGAGACAGGGTTTCTCCGTGTTGGTCAGGCTGGCCTCGAACTCCCTACCTCAGGAGATCCGCCCACCTCAGCCTCCCAAAGTACTGGGATTACAGGTGTGAAAATGTTTCTTTTATAATACTTATATTTAACCCTTGAATTTGTTCCAGGGCTGCCTAATTTCTAATGACTCTGGAAGATAGAGTCATTAGAATAGAGAACTTTTCTGTTTTTGTGAAACACATAAACATAAACAACCAGAAAGCCTGGGGGTTGGAGTGAGGATTGGAGTGCCCAGACAGTGCTGTGACTGTGGAGTTTATTATTCCCAAAGCCAGAAAAATCACAGCGGCTGCAGTGGACCAAGATGCCCAAAAAGCCACTTACGATTAGAGGGTACAAAGTGATAAGTTGGGATGCACTAGAATAATAAAGCAATGTTCACATGACTTAAAGAATAAGGTCAGGTGGCAGGGGGGTTGCCCTAAAACTGCAACATTGGGTTAAAAAAATCATGTGTGTTGATTTAAATGAATCAACTAAGGTTATGTTAGAGCCCCTAAGTCTGACATAAGGGTACTAAGCAAATGAGTATTCTGTGCTGACTAGAAAACAATAATATACCTCCAAAAATATTTCAGGCCTCATGTTCAAAGCGGTACTCCATAAAGGCCGGGGACATCACTCCTGGACCTAATGAGGTGAGGTAAACTGCAGCCCACCTTCGTCCAGAGGCATTCTTAATTTATATCAAACTGAAATAAAACCCTTATGTGACATTGTAAAAGATGAAAAAATAGTACAACTAAAGATTAAAACTGCGGCCAGGCATGGTGGCTCACACCTGAAATCCCAGCACTTTGGAAGGCCGAGTCAGGCAGATCACTTGAGCTTAGGAATTCGAGACCAGCCTGGCCAACATGGTGAAACCTCATCTCTACTAAAAAAAATACAAAAATTAGCCGGTATGGTGGCGCACGCCTGTAATCCCAGCTACTCAGGAGGCTGAGGTGGGAGGATGGCTTGAGCCTGGGAGGTGAAGGTTGCGGTGATCCTAGATCATTCCACTGCACTTCAGCCTGAGTGACAGAATGGGACCCATCTCAAAAGAAAAATATGAATCAAGATCAATGTTTTGCATGCATTAATTATCAATGTAAGACTTGTAAAGTTTGCATACAAATGGCCAAGATAAAATGTAACTTCATGTAACGTTCTAATTAAATAATATTATCTTCTTGTGAAAATGCTGCCTTTATTCAATATTACTTTCATGTATTTGGTAAGATGGTACCATCTTAGATTGTCTCAAAATGAAATGCCACCAGTCTTCCATCTTTATTTTGCCTTAGTCCACTGCTAGACTATGTTAAGCCTCCTACACACAGGAGGTAGCAGATTACTGACACAACAGATTCAGTTCCTATGCGGGACTTCCATATTGCTGAAATTTTAAATGGCTCTATCAGTGGGAAAGTGTAGCATCCTAAGAGAAGATGCAGTTCTTTTGGAGTATGGATCCACTCTGTTTCTGGGCTCGCTGTGGAAATTGTAAATCTGCTGTAATTGTTACCTGAGTGCTCGTCTTCCCTGCTATCATGTCTTCTTCCTATTAAGAGATGAGTTGAGACTGCTCCATTTATTGGGATGAAGCCATTGGGTCAGGAGTCAGTGACCCTTATTCTCTGTGCCTTAAAGAGAAATAGCCTCTTTCCTTTGGGAACCTATTGTGAGCTGGTGACATGTACTGCCAGCTGCATGTAACTTCCAGGTTAACTCATGTCAAAGGACTATCTTTTAAAGCGACACATTGAATTTGGTCCCTAGTTATGAATCCCCACAATACTTGTGTACATCTAAATGTTTAAATGTCAACCTCTTCTCCGTTTTCTGCTGTCATTTCTGCTAAAAATGACAAAAATTGTAATGAATGAAATAACTACTTGCAAAAAAAATACTGTCTCTTCTAGTATTGCCTTTGTTAAAGGCCAGCTTACTATTGCTTAGAAAGGGATAGGACTCTTGAGATGTATGAATAGAAAACTTCAAAAGTGAAGCTGTCAAAGTAATGGAAAATAAGGATATTTTAAATATAATTGCAGTTGAATTCAGTAGTGAAAAAAAAGTCAAAGGATTTCTACTTAATGCCATCCTGAGGTGTGGAACATTTTGTAAGAATGAGTAGGATATTCACAGAAAGGAGAGCACCTCAGCATTCTCCAATTTAGGGCGGCACATGTTCCCCAACCTCCAATTTATCTGACCAGGTCTCCACTGTATCTGTTAAGACCCCTTCATTTTCATCTTCTCGGGCATCCAACCGTGGAGCATAAGATCACATTTGTTAGGGACACTGTGACTGAACAAATATTTTCTTTTACATGGTGCTTTCAGAAGAATTCTTTTATCTCCTAGATGGCCAGGCTCCTTGGAAGCCTGAACAATAAAATCTGAGCGATCTATTTCAGCACCAGAATCCTGTGAGCTCAACACACTTTGAAGCGGATTGCTCCCCATTGTGGGGCCACAATAAAAAGTGGGGTTTTTCATAGTCCTTGTATTAATGTCTGCAAAGCCAGATGGCTTTGTAAAATGAGTGCAAAAGCAGTATAACTGATTAAAAGAAACGCTGGGTATTTAAAGGCTTCCATACCCAATGTGAGTCTGGCAGAAAGCATTGTCGTCTTGGGATACGTTAATATTGGGGAATCTCACTCTCCCATCTTCAAGGGTCAGCCGAAGATAATCGAGACAGGTGTTGGTCACAGGAGCCTTCAACATGAAGGCTGAAAAAATATGTCTAGCTGGCCATTGAGAGAATTGCCACAAAACAAAATCATGCAACTGGTTGGTGAGGGAAGTGCTTTCTGTAGGTAGAAGTTTCTGAGGTTGTGGCTATCACGTTGTTCTCTTTTTCCTGTTTTTTTATTGTGGTCCTAAATCTACATCCTCCTGTAACCCCCAGGTTCCATTGTCTTATACCTAAGGGTAACCAAACTCATGCTTCTTCTCAGTATAGTCTAAATGACTCTTGAGGTTGCAAAGATCTTGCTTTTTGGTTGCTGCTCTAGAAATCATCCTGCCTGTGTTTGTAACCCTGCCTGCTGACCTTAACCTCACAACACAGTCATATATTTCAAGTTGTTTGGGGAGAAGGGGGTTGATGAAACCTGGCCTTGTACATAAAGGGATTCAGAGATGTGGCAAATTGTTCTCTGACTTTAAAAGCTATCATTCAATTATTGGGAAATGGCATTCAGGACCGAAGGAGCAAAAAGCTCATCTTAAGATGTGTTTTAAAAACCTGTCATAAAAGAGTTAGGTGGCCCCTGGTTTAGTTGCTTTTCCATCATCAGGAAACCCTTTAATCTTTCAGTGAATGACATATGATAGGGTTTTAAAAACCAAGCCACCTTGCTGTTCCATTTTCTCCTTGTTGCCATCTCATCTTCCTGACTCATCAGATTTGGTGCTGATCTGCTTGCAAAGTAGGAAAGGCAGAGGGCCTGGCACCTGTGTATTCAGTTGAAATAGCCAATTTCAGAAGAGTTTGTACATTTTGACCTTTCTGAACTTCTTTGGATCCTTTTGAAGAGGGAAGTAATTCTAACCTGGAGGCATTCCCAGTAATTATTTTGGAGAATAAACTGATATGTGTATCCCTATTATTGTGGTCTATCTTTTGAGTAAAAAAATAGAATTTATAATATTTTAATATGACTACTTGGTCTTTGTAGAAAATAATTTTTTTTTTTTTTTGAGATGGAGTCTGGCTCTGTCACCCAGGCTGGAGTGCAGTGGCGCGATCTCGGCTCGCTGCAAGCTCCGCCTCCCAGGTTCACGCCGTTCTCCTGCCTCAGCCTCCTGAGTAGCTGGGACTATAGGCGTCCGCCACCGCGTCCACCACCGCGCCCGGCTAATTTTTTGTATTTTTAGTAGAGATGGGGTTTCACCATGGTTTTGATCTCCTGACCTCGTGATCCGCCTACCTCTGCCCCCCAAAGTGGTGGGATTACAGGTGTGAGCCACCGCACTGGGCCTGTAGAAAATAATTTAAACAATATTTAAATTGATCATGTAGGTGGTCATTTTAGAAAAACTAGAAAATACAGATAAGAAAAAATGCATTTAAAATTACCCCATATTTTATCACTTAGGGAAAAGATAGTTTACAAAGCAGAAAACTGAGCTTTTACTTCTATCTTTTGATGCATTAAATAATTTTTCCTTTAAGTACTTTCAGTGTTACAGTCTCAGCATTTAAGAAATAGGATAACATTTTATTTTACTGTGAAAATTCTTAGATCATAAAGCATGGATCGTTTTTTCTGAGTATTTATATTATAGAAAAATACAGAAATGTGAAGAATAAGATAGTTTTTACCCATAATCTAACCATGTAGGATAGTTGGCACAAATGTTTTTCTATATACTTTTAGACTTTTTTTCTAAATTCTTATTTGATAATTATTGATTTTTGGCATGTGTTTTCTTTCCAGCTGGGAAGTACTTTCTGCACAGACCAGTTATGTATTAGTTGAGTGCTCTGCTTGCCCACAAAATTTGCTGCATCTTGAAACAGAAAAAGCCAGGAGAGCTAAGTGTTAGACAGTTTTTAGTGGTCATGTGTAGTTGTTTAAGGTACTGAGGCATTTCCTCAGTTTCAGTAATTCATTTTATGAAATTTCAAAAGGTAACATTTTTCCTTCAACTGTTGGTGATATTTGTTTAGGTTCAGGAAAGCTTTTACATTTTATGTGCAGGAAATCACTCTAAACAACACATTTAATAGGTTCCAGTAGTCAACAGAGATGCTATATTCATTTAGGGAATATAACAGATTTTCTTTGTTTTGCCTTAACACTTGGGGCTTTATAAGATTTCCCCAGAAACCAGGACTGTAGCCATTCTTAGCCAAGTTATGATTTATAGAGTGATTTATTGATCATGGAAGATTTCCCAGAGTTCCTCAGGATATATCATTAATGTAACTTTGTATATGCTGTCCTGCTGGAGTGGAGGCTCCCTAGGGGTAAGAAGTTTGGTTCCCTGCACTGTGCCTAGCATGTAACAGGTGTTCCATAAATATTTGTAGAATATTGTTTTGTGTGATTTTTAAATCATGTGTCTCCCTTATTGCCTAGCACTCTCATTGACTAACCCTATAATTGATCAAGTAATTATTGAATTCCTACATTAAATTGCTCCAACTTTTAATAAGAACATGCTATGTTCCTAATATAATGGTGAATGTTGAGTCCTCCATTTCATGAGCTTTCAGCCTAGTACAATTTTTTTTTTTTGCATTTAAGTCTTTTATGAGAACAGATGAGTGATGGATTCACTACTGATTAATGTTTGACCAGTCTTCTATATAAAGGAATACAATTTAATTCTCATCCATTTGGGCTTTTTGTCAAGGAGAGGTTTCGGCATAGGTGATGTAGGCTCTCATTTACTGGTATGAATTAAGGAGTTCCAGAAATAGATGACTATGCAAATTATTTCCAATTAGTCTGTCTTATGTCACAGCCTTATTGGTGGTGGAGATGGTGAGATAATACAAGTAAAAAATAGATATCAGCTGATAGGAATAAAATTAAATTATTTTCTGGCTGGGCGCGGTGGCTCATGCCTGTAATCCCAGCACTTTGGGAGGCCAAGATGGGTGGATCACCTGAGGTCAGGAGTTCAAGGCCAGCCTGACAAATATGGTGAAACCCTATCTCTACTAAAAATACAAAAATTAGCCGGCATGGTGGTGTGCACCTGTAGTCTCAGCTACACAGGAGCCTGAGCCAGGAGAATTGCTTGTACCTGGGAAGCAGAGGTTGCAGTTAGCTGAGATCGTGCCACTGCAGGCCAGCCTGGGTGACAGAGCAAGACTCCATATCTCTTTCTCTCTTTCTCTCTCTATATATATACACACACACACACATATATGTATATATGTATGTATATGTATATATGTGTGTATATATGTATATATATGTGTATATGTATATATATGTGTGTGTGTATATATATATATTTCCATTATTGTTCCTATGGCTTGAATACATTGATAGTTTTTTGTTGCTTTTTGTTTTTTTGCTATATGAAGGAAAAAAGGAAAGAAAATGTTAAAACAAATGAAAGTGATAGGACTGTGGCCGAGGAGCACCATCATTTTGGGTGGGTTTTCTTTGTACTAAAAGTATAAAGACATGCTAGAGAATAATTACCAAATTTACATCAGTGGTTACGTCTGAGGGGAGAGAGGGAAACTGAGATCAGAGAGAGTTGCCAGAGCCTTCAGCTATGTTTATGTATGATTTATCAAGTTGGGTAGTGAATATACAGGTAGGTATTCGTTATGTGATTCCCTTCCTATGTTTTTTAATTTAAAAAAATAAAATCTGGAGAATGGATATGCATGGAAGTGAGATTTCCTCTCGTTTTCTTTTATCATTAAAGGGTTTGGCTTTCTTCTCCAGCTTTTTAGCCTCTTCTATTTCCTATGTCTTCCAGACAGATCCTGTGGCAAGATGGCCAAGGAAAGAGAGATGTTATGGAAGCAGAGAATTACATTTAAGAGACAGTGACCCATAGAATACACTGAGATATTTGACCTTGTTGAATCCTCAGAAGTGAGCAGTTGTAATACCTCCAGATATGTAATTATTTACTTGTACTCTTGTTTCACTCAGTTGGTTTCTATTTCTATATAAGCCTTTGACAGCTACATATCCAGGTGTTAACATCACATGTGCAGGTTTTGAAATTTAGGTACCCAATTTAGCAGCATCTGACTTCTCATTTTCTTGCTCATAGTAGTATATGATCCCTATCAGGATGGAGGGGCCATGTGCCTGTCCCTTACTCTCAACCAGGAATATGCCTGGAACCACCCCTGAAGTCTGCACGGCTGGAGCCCCATGTGTGTAAATGATGGTGGCTGAAGGGGCTTGAGAAGTAACTTGGTGGAGACAGAGAGTAGGCAGAGAGTCACACACAGTGATGTGGACAGACACTTGAGAGGAAAGGAAGCAATGTACTGGACCCAGGAAGGTGCTTGAAGATGCGCCATCTGCCTCATGTATCAGTTTCCTAGGGTTGCCATGACAAAGTATCACATATCAGGTGGCTTGAACAACAGAAATTTATTATCTCACATTCCAGAAGCTAGAAATCCAAGATCATAGTGTTTGCAGGTTCGATTCCTACTGAGGACTATGAGGGAGAACCTGTTCCATGCCTCTTCTAGCTTCTGGTGGTTTGTGGGCAATCTTTTGCTTTCCTTGGCTTTCAGAAGCATCATCTCCATCTCTGCTTTTATCTTTACATGACATTTCTCTGGTCTGTACGTCTATCCCTGTGTCAAAATTCCACTTTTTTATAAGGACACAGTTATATTGATTTAGTGTCCACCCTAATGACTCCATCTGACCTTGATCATCAGCAAAGACCCTATTTCCAAATAAGGTCAAATTCAAAGGTACCAGGTGTTAGGACTTCAACAGCTTTCCAGGGGCACAATTCAGTGCATAATACCCCTTCTGTTCTCATCCCTACTGCTCAAGTCTAGAAGGCAGATTCTATCTGCCAGTAGACATGGCCCAATTGAGCATGTTGTGGTTTGTGGAATGTCTCCTCTTTTCTTACTGAGTTCTTCAGAATGGGGTCCATAGTCCCATTGATAGAGAGTGAAAGGACTGTGGAAAAACACAGGGATAAGACAAATTACTTGTTGGGGAGAGGACAATTGAAGGGTTCATTTGCCAGTTTGCAAAGTCAGAAAGAAGTACGAGTTGCTCTTTGCTGCTGTTTCTTTCACGCTCAATCCGGGCTTTCCTCCACAGCTCATTAAGGCAAAATCTAGTTTATCAAAATCCAAACAGTTCCACTTTCAATAATGGCAAATAAATACCATCTCTACTACATTACCTGTTAAATTGGCCTTTGTGGGTAAACCTAGAAACCTCCCAGCTGTTTATAACATTGTTTCTCTGAGAATGTGGTCTGGTTTCTCAAACTTATAGATGCACCTTCAGAGCACAGCTTTGTATGTTGTGGAGATTAGCTGGGGAAATAGGGGTTGGTCAGGACTAGGGGTCATACCAGCCTTAATTCTTTTTCCATGTTGAGTGCTTCTGGAAAGATGCAGAGGGACACTCTGGGCAAGAGTGCTCTTCTGTGCTAGAAGGCCATTGCCCGCTCAGTAGTGGTGTCTCCTTGGTGAATGATGATTCCCCTGAAGTGAAGGACTTCATGCTCTTGCCCAGAATTAAAACTGGCTGGGTGACTGGGAGAAGCATCAGCTAACCCAAAGTCTGTGTGTATTAGCTGTGTTCTCCAGAGAGAATCAATAGAGGATGGATGGATGGATAAGAGGGGATTGATTAGGGAAATGTGTTTACATGATTATGGAGCTTGAGAAGTCCTACAACAAGCTGTCTACAAGCTAGAAACCCTGGAATGACAGTAGCATGGTTCAGCACAATACAAGTCTGAAAGCCTCAGATGCAGGGAAACTAATGGTGTAATTATCAGTCTGAGGCAGAAGGCCTGAGAACCTTGGGGGCCATTAGGGTAAGTCCTGGATTCCAAAGGGTGGAGAGTCTGGAGTTCTGATGTTCAAGGGCAGGAGAAGACACATGTCCCACCTCTAGGAAATGGAGAGGAGGAAATCACCTTTCCTCAGTCTTTTTTGTTCTGTCTGGGCCACCATCTGATTGGGTAGTGCCTGCCGACATTGAGAGAAAATCTTCTTCACTTAGTTCATGGACTCATATGTCAATCAGTCTCCTCTGGACACACCCTCAAAGACACACTCAGAAATAATGCTTTACCAGTTCTCCAGATGTTTCTTAATCCAGTCAAATTGACACCTAAAATTAACCATCACACTGTACTTCCCCTTTGCTTTAATGATAAAGCTCTGCTTTTTGTCAGGATGGTAATGTTTTCAGCTAAAAGGATATACTTATCAGCCTCCCTCTCTCACAGCTAGATACAGTTATGTTACTATCTGCTGGCTGATGAGATGTAAGCAGAGGGAATTAAATTCAAGGGATAGACAGCTGGTTGGGCACCTTTTTCCTTTTCTCCTTTATCTGGAATGAATTTGTGTTGGCCAGAGCTCCAGCAGCTGTATTGGTCCATGAAATAAACATGAAGGTAGACTCTACATGCTAAGGATGATGGAACTGCAAGGTGGAAGTAGCTTGAGTCTGATGATTTGGTAGCTACCAAACCACCCCTGCTTCTGAACTTCTTTTACCTAATGAAGCGATAAACTATTTTGCTTAATCACTTATTTGGCTTCCCAGTTATCTGCAGCCAATTCTACCTCATACAGAGACCTTTCCATAGGAACCCCAATCACTATCCTGTAGATGATATAGTATGTTCAGAAATAAAGGCCAACCAAGTGGAATGAAGAAAAGAGAATTACTTTCCAAGACCTAAAGAACAATGGGTCTGCTATGTGCCATGGTATCTTTTCCCCAAAGCATCTTGAATGAGAGCAGGAAGAGACGACTGAAACTGTGCCCCCTTTAGCTACTTCCTTATTTCATCAAATTTCGCTTTTATCTAATACCATAGATAGTGTTGGCCATTACCATTTTCTGCTACCTCACATTGAGTTACAGCAGCAACAACATCTTGGCAGTAAAACACTGTTTTGAGTACTTCATTGCTTTTTACTGTTGTTTCAGAAAGGTGAGTAGAAAACAGAAGTATGTGCTGATTATCTGGTAAGAAGTGTAGTTCCCACAAACTAAATGCAGCTGACACCACAGGGAAATTACCTGGCTTTCCAAAAGGTCTGATCTTTAGCTTCAGTAAGACGTTCATTGTATTTGGTCCAGTGGTGTGTGTATATGATTGTGAATGAGAAGAACAAAGGTAAAGGATTTGAACAGATTGGAAGTATATCAATGAGGAGTATATGAGGAAGAATTAGGAAGTTTAAAATTTTTTATGTCTCAAGGAATAAAAACTTCCCTGACAATATATATTTGACCCTTTGACATGCTTTCAGGAATGTGTGAAGCAGGAAAGTAAAGAGCTGCCTTTATACCATTCTATCTGGGTTCACTGTCTTTCAGCAACTGAGCGATTCTCTGACAGAACATCGTGGATTGAGAGGAAATAAGAATGGGTGTGCCTGCTTTAGGATTACACAGTGCTGGACCTTTGAGGAAGGAGAAGCAGAGATGGATAGAATTGTTGTGGCAGAACTGAGCTTGTATACTTGGTCCTGTGGAGGGTATCTACTCTTCTTCCAGCTGCGTAGGGTAAATAAAGGTTTTTGTAAAGCTTCTTTATCTGTCTTGAATTATTCATGTTTCTCTGCATCTTTGGATTTACAGCCCACCCTCAGAGATGAAGATTTTCTTGGAGGACCAAATTTAGGGGAAATATAGCTTCTGAGAACTTACTTTATCTGTAACAAGGCCAAGTCAGTTTCTAAGTGTCTCATTTTAAAGTCACAATGATATGAGACCCTAAGTAGTATCTACTGCTTGGGGAACTGAGAAGGCAATTCATGCTATGCATTTATACTTACCGAAGTATATAAAATGACATATTTTCTCACTGAATATGTTTATCCTTATTTTTATGGAGTTTCAGACATTTACAAGGGTTTTTTAAAGGTTTATTTCTGATCGCAGGTCCTAGTACCCTGTTTTTCCCTCAAGCTATTAATTTTTCCAATTGTGAGTTTATTTTTCTTGTTGCTTATCAGGAACCTAATTCTTTGTTGTGAGGGTGGAATTTCTGTACTGGGTTTGTGGAAATTTCTTCTTTCCTGTATCTTTTGCTGGGAGGGAGAGATGTTGCAATGAGGTTTGTGAAAGGAGCCGAGCTAACTCTGATTCTAACAGTTTTCTTAATATATTTCTAATGAAGTTATTATAGTTGTCACTTGATGAAACAAGATTGAGCTAGACATTATGTTGGATTTCATTTATTGATTTCTAGTTATTCCATGGCAATCTAGAAAGTTTGGAAATGGTGTTTTCTTTTTTCATGCAATACCTGGCCTCCATCACAAAAAATATTTAGCTCATATTGAAGATAGCGTTGCTGCCTGAAAGGCATGTATATATTAGTACACTGTATTAAAAAAAAAGAGGAAATAGCATCCAGTTTCCCCAGCGCAGGACTATAATAGTTTCCTACTGAAATTACAACCAGAATAATACTGACACCTGGTGATCCCGTAGTGTGATCTCACCAAAGCTTTAAAAGTACATGGAAGGAGCCCTGAAACCACGTTATCTTCAGGGAATTATAGTTAGTATCCAGTTTTGTTTTTTCAGGGGTGAGGAGGAATGGTATGAAGTATATCTTCAATAGCTTAGCTGGTAAGAAACATCACACTGACTTCCTCCTTCAGTGAACGATCCCTTCTGAATTGCTCTAAATAAAATCTTAAGTAATGAGGGCTTTTTATAGATAATCTGTTTGTCAAACTGCAATTTGAATTATTTGAGAGGTTTCTGAGGATGAGTAGGTAAAAAGTCTTCATCAGGTCTGTCACCGTTATCAGAAACATGCCAAAACCTTATCAGTTTATATGAGGTTGGCCTTTTCATTGGGAATTCCCAATTGGGCATGGAGAGAGGGGTTCAGTCCTAGAAATGAATGGCTTGTTTTATCTTCTAGTTTACTTACTCAAACAGTAAATTCATAAGATGGCTATTCCATAGAAGACTTCAGTTTCATTAGTTTATTTTAGCTGGATAACATGTGATTGTGGAAGTGGAGGTGACTGAGATCTCAAGGCTACCCCACAGGTTGTATATTTCAAGAAATAACAGTTTGTTTTCTCATGAAAATTGAAAGGGAAAAGTAGAGAAAAAACGATATGAGATAAACACGTGTTGAAATTGTGCTTATGCTTTGAATTAAATTCCTTGCATGGCTGATTCTTATTTAAGGCCAGAAATGATGAAACCTTGATCTGAAAGCTGCATTATAAACTGAAGAGATGATGAAAGTTTTCTCCATATTGGGGTTGGTAATTAGCTATGCGTGGGTCATGGGTTGATGATTAGTTCTGTTCCTCAGAGCATGTCTGCAATCTTTGACATCTACTTAAGCTATGTAAATAATTTACACAGTTTTTATTCTGATTTTTCTATTAGTCTTTGATAGAGTGAAACCTGATATTTTCTTTGACAAACCATGAAATTTAGCAATTAAATCTTTTTATTCATCTGAAGTCTGTACTTGGTGAAAATAAGTCTCAACAAAACATTGTGTTGGGGCTTTCAAAATATTATTTAGTGGTTCTTTGGCATCTAGTAAACATAGCTTTTCATAATTATTTCTAATCTCCTCATAGTTATAGCCTTTAATTCTCACCTAAATAAGAATCATATTTTGAAACCCATAGACATTGGGAAACCAGAGATTTTTTGCCTCTTCAACACCTTACTTTTGCATATCTCAAGTTTATTATTTATTACTACATTTAGTCTTCCATAGATTCTGTTCATATCTCTTTAACTAAAGTAAGCTAAGTACTTACAGTTCTGATAAACTCCCTATGCCTTCATTGCACTTATATGCCCCTTTTATATGGAAACATCTCTAGTAAATATTTCAGTGGTGACGAACTGTTTTCATAATTTGACTCACTGGAAGTGAGATCATGAGATTTGGAATTGCAGATACATGCATTTCAACTTCCATCAGCAAAACCTATTAATAATTGTTCTACATTCTTTTATTGCTGCAGGAAAAAAATTATTTTTGGTCCCAACTTATTTTTCTCTTGATTGCATGCCATCATCTTCTCCTTATTAATTAAATAATGCACCTCTTACAAACTATTCTTATTCTCTCTTGTTTGGGTATTCTTATCCTGGAATCAGTGGATAGCTTTCTGAACTCTGTGAATTCCCTGAAATTGTATATAAACATGTGTGCATGTTGCTCTCTCATGGACCTTCTCCCTCTTCCTAAATCTTAGGCTTCTTGTGGTACTGTGATCTGCCTGACACTTGTTCATTATGGAGTACCTAATGGCAAAGTGGCCACATGTGGAGATTGCTGAGTTCAGTGCTTCCCAAACCAAGTGGTAGTAGTTTGTCTTTATATTTAGAGGCATTCTTCTAATTTAAATAATGTATGAATGTCTTTAAAAGAAAAAAATCCATACCCACAATGTTGACTTATACAGTTTTTATTTTAATGATACTTTTTTTGCTTTTATCTATTTTTTTGAGATGAGGTCTTGCTGTGTTGCCCTGGGTGGTGTTGAACTCCTGGCTTCAAGTGATCCTCCAACCTCAGCCTCCTGAGTAGCTGAGATTACAGGCATGAGCCACCACACCTGGCTTTAATGCTACTTTGTTTATAAAGAAAAAAGTCAGATATAAACTTCTGTGTTTAACAGTTTTTCTGCTAAAACAATTTAAAATAAATACAACATAATTGCAAAAAAAGTAGCATGTAAAGTAACAATATGAATTTAATATTGCATATTAATGATGATACTCTGCTGAGACTAAATCACCCTTTACAATGTGAATATACTATTGACTACTCTGGCAGAGGCTTCCTTTATTTTATTTTATTTTATTTTATTTTATTTTTTGAGTTGGTATAGTTATCATAGGCAATCTCAATTCTCCTATAACTTTTCTGATACAAAGCCTTTAGTGATGATTCCATGGTATTCCATAATATCATTTGGTCCTCACTTCATTTGTGTATTAGACCACTGATCTTTTCTCATTAGCTCAGGGAAATTGAAGTAGTAATATTTAGCCAGCTTGATTATTAGCACATATGAAACATGGCACTGAAATCATGGGGCAGTCTGAAGTTAAAGGATAGTAATCATACATTTCCTGTTTTGTAAGCCTGTTAACGACACGGCAACAAAATTTTTAAAAATGTATTAAGTATTCATATATCCCTGAATTTTTTTTTTTCAGATTGCAGTTTGAGGAAGACTGGCATAGCATATACTAAGAGTAAGAATTGGTGCAGATTACTTTTAGTGGATTAACTGCATAAACCTAAGCTTTGCATTTTTTGGTATTTGGCTTTGGCTGTCTCTTTTTCTAAACCCAGCCTTGCTCTTAGCTGTGTCATCTGCTACAGGTAAACTAACCTGGCAGCAAAGGGGGAATTCAAAGGGTGGGGTGGCAGAGAATGTTGTCAAACCATGAGCTCTGATGAGTAAAAAGGTCTCTGCCGTCAGTGGTAACATGGTACTCTTTACTGGGTGATTCTATAATTTCTGTAAATATGTTTCCCAAAGACATATGCATTTGAAAGTGATAATTACTATAGTTAGGATCACGTCCACAGTGTTTTTTCAGTAGGTAAGGATGTCTTCCAATCTAGTTCTGCCACTTAGTAGCTGTATGACTTTGCCTCTGCTAAAATGGGAATTGTGGAAATAGGACCAATCTGAGGCTTTCGTGAGAGAGTGTATCAAAAATGCTTTTCACAGTTCTTGGCTTACACTTGGCACCAGTGGATGTTTGCTCACTCCTAATGCCACTACCAGTACTACAAGAAAAATATTCCCAGTAACGATTCTTTGAATTCATTTAACATGCAGAGAATACAAGTAAAGGTCTGAGACAGGCATCCCCATTTCTCAACTTGCGGTTAGTCGTTAGATTTTGATACTATGTGGTATGATGTTTTTAGCGTAGAAGGTGGTGTATTATCATTAGCTTTTTTATGAGAGTAATTACCATCTTCTAGGGTACCTATGGAGGCCAATTATATTGGAACCTTGCAACCTCATTACTACCCTCTGAATCTGACCTTTTGCCCTTTTCCAACCTGGTTATCCCTCCTTTAAATTCCCTCAGCTGTCGTTCTAGTGTGTCCTTTCTTCCCTTTCTGTCCCGGAGAAGCCTGAGGGAAGCCTGTCAGCTCAGTACTCAGTGTCCCACTTATTGCCAAAGCACTTGTAGCTGCATTTGCCACCATTGTTCTAACTGTGCTCCTCAGTTGTCAGATGCTTCTCCATAGACTTTTTTCTTTCTTTCTTTCTTTCTTTTTTTTTTTTTGAGACAGTCTCGCTCTGTTGCCCAGGCTGGAGTGCAGTGGCACAATCTCAGTTCACTGCCACCTCCGCCTCCCGGGTTCAAGCAATTCTCCTGCCTCAGCCTCCCAAGTAGCTGGGATTACAGATGTGTGCCACCACACCCAGCTAATTTTTGTATTTTTAGTAGAGACGGGGTTTCATCATGTTAGCCAGGCTGGTCTCAAACTCCTGACCTCAAATAATCCATTTACCTCTGCCTCCCAAAGTGCTGGGATTACAGGCATGAGCCATCGCACTCGGCGCCCAGTCTTTAATCCTAAGGTCAGGTTGTGGTGTCTCCATTTAACTGATGTGAACACCAAGGCCCAGAATGATTATTTAGCCTGTCCAGGGTCTCAAAGCTAGTAACTGACAGAGGATCCAAACTCAGTCTTTATCACTTCTTTGACAGTTCCCCTATTTTCTTGTCTTTGTGTTATTCTGGTTTCAAAACGAGAAAGTGTGAATTTGCGTTGGGCAGGGTCATGTGTTTCAAATGGACTCTATCAATGGGAACATATTTATAACAGTCTGAGTTTAATTCCTGGCTTTTCCATGTAATAGTTGCATGATCTTGGACAAGTTACTTAACATCTCTGGTCCTTACTCTCTTCACCTGTACAATGGAAATGGTCATAATGGCATGCTTATCATTTTCATGTACGTCCCTGTGAAGAGACTACTGAACAGGCTTTGTGTGAGCAATAAAGCTTTTAATCACCTGGGTGCAGGCGGGCTAAGTCCGAAAAGAGAGTCAGGGAAGGGAGATAGGGGTGGGGCCATTTTATAAGATTTGGGTAGGTAAAGGAAAATTACAGTCAAAGGGGGTTGTTCTCTGACGGGCAGGAGTACGGGTCACAAGGTACTCAGTGGGGGAGCTTTTGAGCCAGGATGAGCCAGGAGAAGGAATTTCACAAGACAATGTCATCAGTTAAGGCAGGAACAGTCCATCTGGATGTGTACATGCAGGTCACAGGGGATATGATGGCTTAGCTTAGGCTCAGAGGCCTGACAATCATGGGTTGTTACAAAGATTAAATGAAGTAATATTTGTAAATGCACCTTAAACAATACCTGACGAATATTACCCTTTATGTGGGTATGTTAAATAACAATACAAATGACTTCAAATTATAAATCAATGAAAAACTCTTTTTAAAATTTCTTTTCCCAGCATCATCTTTTTCTTAGATAACCTTCAGCACTGAACTCCTTATTACTCAGCCCTTTCTCCTGGATGCCCTCTCTCCTCCTCACTACAGTGCGGCTTTAATTATATCTCCCACTGCTTTCTTTCTCTTTAATCACTCTGCAAAGGACAAATTCCAGTAAGCTTTCACTCATTGGAGGTGGAAGGACAAGAATCCAGGCTTTACCATGGGAAATACAGAGAGGTACTCATGTTATTTTAAAACACTTACGGTACTTTACTATTTAATAAATATTTAAGCCCCTACTGTATGTCAAGCACTGCACATTTAGGTGTGAAAAATATTGGGGAGGTACAGTGAACAGGACACACATGGCCCCTTCTAAACTTCATAAGTACTCATTCAAATTAGGAGAACAAAATCCCTCTCACCAGAAGGACTAAAGGGTACCTCAGTGCACGCTCATATGTACTGCTTCATTTATTGCACTATCAGACTGTCTTCCCATCTCTGAATCTCCAAGACCTCAAAGTATATGGCACCTAGTAGGCATGGAACAAATGTTAATGGTGTAATGGATCGGGCATTTATTTTGGTGCATAGTAGGATAACATTTTCTTCCCCTTTTGCTAACCACTTTCTCCTCCAATTACTTAGTAATCCTCCTCTCCTCACAGAAATTCTTTCAGGTTTTGTGGTCTGTATTTTCTTTAGCCATTACTACACTATTTTTAACAAGGGTAGACATATGTTTCTATATTTGCTCTTCTTTTACAGGTTTTTATGTAGTACGTTCATCTACTCATTTTTTTCAACTATTCATTTTTTTCTAGGTAAGTTAGAATCATGGTTGAGGTTCTCCCTTCATGCTGTATTTCCCTAAGGTGCATATTAAAAGTATACATTTTACTTAGGAGAAAGTGTCATCCTGTGGCATCTAATTTTTTCTTCCAGAAACATTTTTTATATTCAGTCTAATGATTCTGGTATTAGTTTCTCTTTCTAAAGTGTTTTCTTTTCCTTGTAGTTAACCCATATTTTTTTATGATTATACCCTTTATTTTAGTTTTGTTTTTATGTTAATAGTTTCTTCTTTTATACCACCTTTTCTTGTTGTCATTGGCAGCAAAACTGGAATTTTATATTTTTCTGTGGGATCCATTCAGGGCACTTAGCTGTTATATTTATATTAATTCTAATAGTTTTTCAGTTGAGTCTGTTTGGTTTTCTAGATACAAAATTATGTACAAATAATGATAATTTTTCACCTTTTTCAATACTTTTACCTCTTTTAGAACTGTCATATTGCCTAGAATCTTATTCCAAATCAGCATTACATAATGATTATGGTAGATGTTTTTTCTTATAATGCTTTTACTGCCTTATTAAGATAAATCTAGACTGTTAGTGTAAAATATGCTCCCTAGTATAAGAAATATTAAAATTTAAAATGCCATATAACTGAAAATTGGTTTTTAGTTACATGGTAATTTTGTCACATAGTGCCTTGTTCATATTTAAGTGAAAGCTTCTTGCTATCCAGAAAGAGAAAATGGCTTCAAGATATGAAAAAATTGCCGGAATTTAATGGACCTGTATCTTTTAATCAGAAGAACACTGTCTAATTGGCTTTACAATGGTAATGATTGTGTTCTATTCATGAGTTTAAAGAGGAGTTGGGCAAAGGTCCACCAGGCTGTCTGTTGAAAACCCAGGGAAAACCTGGGAACAGGGCCGAATCTGAGATACACCAAGTTATACCTGAACCGTAACCAGCCTTTACTCAGCTCAGCCATGACTGCACTAAGGTGATCAATTCTCTATCTGCCTATATGAGGAAGAGTAACACCCTCTTGTAGAAAATAACATCCTTTAGAGCATGTGTTCTCAGTAGGCACAAGATTGGTTCTTCCAGTGTGAAACAAATATTAAATGGTACAGTGATTTGTGGACCTTCAAAAACCCACAACACATAAACAGATACAACTGGCAGGTTGGGGAAATTAGTAACAAAAAGTCTATTAAAGTTCTTTATAGAGATAATAGTGAAAAATAAAGGTTGGGGAACACTGATTTAGAGCCTTTTCAGTTTTTTAGTATAATACCTGATAATTAAAAGTTATAGATATTCTAAAAGACAAAAACATGTGACCAAAAGACAGTAGACAGACAATATAATGTGCATTTGCAATTTTGCTCCAGAGATTGGAGTTAGAACATATGGACTTAAAAATACATAATTAATGTTAACTTATATTAATCAGTTAACAAAATAGGTAAAAGAAAAACAGATGGAAATTTGGAAAATTTCATCAGAGAATTGAAATTTGTGAAGAGAGAAACAAATAGAAAACTGAAAAGCATAGTATCTGAAATTAAGAACTCTCTGGATGGGTTTAAAGTTAATTAAACACAGTGGAAGACAGGATTAGTAAACTGGAAAACAGGTTAATAGAAAATAAACTGAACCAGAGAGGAAATAATATATACACGTATTCCACTTGCAAACTGTTTGCAAAGTACCATCTTTTTCCATATCCTTGCCAAAAATATGTATTTTAACAATGTTTATATTTTGCCAATTTCTGTGTAAAGTGATATCTCATTGTTAATTTAATTTGAATTTCACTAACAACGTTTTACCTTTTCATTGTATTTTGCTAGTTAGTTATTCTTTTCTGAGAAATACCAATTCATATTTTGCCATTATGTATCTGGGGTCATTTGTATCAATTTGTAATTGTTTTCTGAGGTAATCTTTTGTCATTTCTGTTACAGATAAATTTTCTAGATCTATATATAAAACATTTGTGATGAATATACTGTTTTATTTTACAACAAATCTGGATTTATTTGTATACAAGATACCTCAGAGATATTGCTGGGTTTTTGTTTTTTTTTTTCCCCAGACCACTGCCGTAAAGTGACTGCAATAAAACAAATATCACAATAAAGCAGCACACAACTTTTTTGATTTCCCAGTGCATATAAAAGCTATGTGTAAACTATACTGTAGTCTATTAAGTGTGCAATAGCATTCTGTCTACAAAAACAATGTACATTAGCCAGGCTGTGGTGGCTCATACCTGCAGTCCCAGCTACACAGTAGTCTAGGGCAGGAGGATGCCTTGATCCTAGGAGTACGAGGCTGCAGTGAGTTATGATCATGCTCCTACACTCCAGTCTGAGCAACAGAGCAAGACCCTGTCTCATAAATATATATGTATGTGTATATATATGTATATATGTATATGTATGTATATACACACACACATATCTTAATTTAAAAATACTTTATTGCTAAAAAACAAGATCCTGTGAGCCTTCAGCAAGTCATAATCTTTTTGCTGCTGGAGGGTCTTGCCTTGATGTTGATGGCTGTTGATTCATCAGGGTGGTGGTTACTGAAGGTTGCGGTGACTGTGCCAATTTCTTGAAATAATTCAACAATGAGGTTGCCACAGCAGTGGACTCTTTCTTTCACAAAAGATTATCCATAGCAGTCAATGCTATTTGGTAGCATTTTATCCACAGTATAACTTCTTCCATAATTGGAGTCAGCCTTCTCAAACCCTGCTATTGCTTTATCAACTAAGTTTGTGTAATATTCTAAATCCTTTGGTTTTATTTCAACGTTGTTCATAGCATCTTCATTAGGAGTAAATTCTACCTCAAGAAATAACTTTCTTTCTCATCCATAAGAAGCAACTCTTCATCCATTCAAGTTTTAACATCAAATTTTAACAATTCAGTCACATCTTCAGGCTCCATTTCTAATTTTCGTTCTATTTCTACTATATCTGCAGTTCCTTTTTTCATTGAAGTCTTGAAACCCTCCCAGTCATCTGTGAGAGTTGGAATCAATTTCTTCCACACTTCTGTTTAGGTTGCTATTTTGACCTCTTTTTATGACCTTTTTAGAAGGTTTTCAATGTACTTTGCCCAGATCCATTAGAGGAATCATTATAGCCGCCATAAACTTAGGAAAAATATTTCTTAAATAACCCAACTTGGGAATCAGAATTACTCCTTAATCCATGGGTTGCAGAGTGGATGTTTTGTTAGCAGGCATGAAAACAATATCAATTTCTTTGTACATCTTCAATAGAGCTCTTGGGTGACAAGGTATGTTGCCAAAGAGCAGTAATATCTCGAGAGGAATCTTTTTTTCTGAGCACTAGGTCTCAACAGTGAACCTAAAATATTTCATAAATTATGCTGTGAACAGATATGCTGTCATCTAGGCTTTGTTGCTCTATGTATGGAGCACAGGCAGAGCAGATTTACCATAATTTTGAAGGGCCTTGGGATTTTCAGAATGGTAAATGAGCATTGGCATCAACTTAAAGTCACCAGTTGCATTAGTTCCTAAAGAGGGAGTCAGGCTGTCCTTTGAAGTTTTGAAGTCAGGCATTGACTTCTCCTCGCTAGCTATGAAAGTCCCAGAAGGCTGTATTGTCTACATTGATAACATGTTGTTTAGTGTAGCTAGATCTTCTGGATATCTTGCTGCAGCTTCTACATCAGAACTTGCTGCTTGCACTTTTATGGTATGGAGATGGCGTCTTTCCTTAAACTTCTGCTAGCTTCCATCTTACACAGCTTCCTCACCCCTCTTAGCTCTCGTAGAATTGAAGAGAATTAAGACTTTGCTCTAGATTAGGCTTTGGCTTAAGGAAATGTTGTGGCTGATATAATCCTCTATTCAGACCACCAAAACTTTCTTCATATCAGCAAGAAGGCTGTTTCACTTTCTTACCATTTGTGTGTTCACTGGAGTAGCACTTTCAATTTCCTTCAAGAACTTTTCCTTTGCATTTACAACTTCGCTACCTGTTTGGTGCAGAAGGTCTAGCTTTCCGTCTTGGCTTTTGACATTCCTCATGAAACATAATCGTTTTTAGCTTTTGATTGAAAATGAGAGATGTGTGTCTCTTCCATTTTCACTTGAACACTTAGAAGCCATTGTAGGGTTACTAAATGGCCAAATTTAATGTTGTTGTGTCTCAGGAAACAGAAAGGCCCATGGAGAAGGAAAGAGATGGGGGAACGGCTGGTCGATCAAACAGTCAGAACACATAGAACAATTATCAGTTAAGTTCATTGTCTTATATGACACTGTTTGTGGTGCCCCAAAACAGTGATAAAAATAACATCAAAGATCATTGATCATAGATTATCATAAAAGATGTAATAATAATGAAAACATTAGAAATATTGGAAGAATTACCAAAATGTGACATAGAGGCATGAAGTGAGTACATGCTGTTGGAAAGATGGTGCTGATAGATTTGCTCTATGCAGGGTTACCATACATCTTCAATTTGTTAAAAAATGCAATTTTCTGCAGAGCACAATAAAACTAGGTATGTCTATTCTGAAAAATTATACTGGAAGACTATGATAAAAAATTAGCTTTCACAACATATTCTAAACAACATTGATAAGCATATAGTTATTATGTTCTATATTCCAGACTGTCATACATGTTTGTATGTGCATGTTTCTGATAGTACCCATGGTAATTTAGCTTGATGACAAAAGCTGTTGGGGAATCCCAGTTAGGTTTCTTCATGACCACCTCCTTGGTCTTGGATTGATTATGTCAGGTTACTTTATGCTTAAAAATTAATATAACCATTGTCTGACTTGCAAATTTAAAAGTTATTTAGGTATAACTAGCTAGTGGCTGTCATGCAGTGTGAAATATCACTGTTGATGCTGATATGAGAATGTGGGTGAAAGAGAGAGTGAGCATGTTGTACCCTTCCAGATCTAAAGCTGTTTGATTATTGGCATACATGTGTACAAAAAAATGTTTATTGATCTCTTCCTGTCATGATAAAGTAGCCATGATCGATGTCATGCTTCCAATGTTTGAATAAGGGTAGTTATGTCATGAATGATAGTATAACATAAGGATTAGTTCTTTTGCCTTTGGAGGTTGACTTTCTTAGTCCATTCAGGCAAGTATAACAAAATATATAAGCTGGGTGGCTTATAAACAGAAACTTATTTCTTACATTTCTGGTGACTGAGAAGTCTAAGATCAAGGTGCTGGAAGATTCTGGTGAGGGGCTCTTTCCTGTTCATAGATGGCCATCTTCTTGCTATGTCTTCTTCATATGGCTGTAGGTAGAAAGGGGTGTGGCAGCTCTTTGGGGCCTCTTTTATAAGGTACTGATGCCATTTATGAGGGTCCTGCCACATGACCTAATCACCTTCCCCTTCCAAATACCATCATATTGGGGGGTAGGATTTTGGTGAAATGCAAACATTCAAACCATAGCACTGGCCATCTCCATTCTACCTCTTATCAACCCACTTAACATTAGAAAAGTTAAGTATCCCTTCTATGTCTTAATTTCATTACCGGTGAAATGAGGTTGATAATAGTATCTACCTCACTGAATTAAATGTGATAATGCACATTGGGTGGTAGCCCAGAGCAACCATTTATAAATGGAAGCTATGGTTAGTATTTCTAGCAAAAATGCATGTTCTCATTGTGTTTAGTGTACAGGTTATTAAACAAGGCCCTGAGATAAAGGAATATTTAAAGGTGCTTCCCCATTTTATAAAGTTAATTTTTTTTAAGCAAGCATTGAGTACAGGGAAGTTTCAGGAGCCTAAATAGATCTTTTCGTTATCCCATGTACTCTATAGCATACAGTTGAAATCTATTTATATAAAATTAAGATAGTAGCAAATTTCAACAGGCTCATTTGTTTAATGGAACAGCTTGGTGAATGCCTTTCTCCAACTTTTGTGTTTAAGCAAGAATTATTACTAATAGTACTTAAAACTTTTTAGTATTTATTTGAATAATTTTATTATCTCTTCAGGAACACTAGGATATCAATTACAGTGCTGGGAAATGTGTGTTCAGCGAAAAAAAGTGCTGCCTTTTCCCTGTGGTAGCGTTCTGAAAGGTTTTGAGGCTACACTTGATGAGCATGCCTTTTTTCCCCCAAAGAATCAAAGTTAGAGCATGATAAATGAAAGAAATTTCAAAATCATTATGCAAGGTGTGTTTTGTATTCACTGGTCTTCTCTGATGAGTCAATTTCCATTTTTAAGGAATCTCAAGCATTCTTATAACAATCTTGGGTTTGACATAGAGGTTGAGACTTCTTAAAGTACAGGTAACCATCTCCCCGTTCTTTGCTCTATTGATTTGTTAGAGTTGACGTGTAAAATTCCTAGTTTTAAAACATTTCGAGGGTATTTTCTGATTTTGCTATTTTTAAAAAATAGTTTACAATTCCTATTTCCTTCTGAATATCTTTGGTGCAGCTATTTGCTTTCTGCATGGCCACATGAGTTGCATTGCATCTGTTTCTAAAATAATGTGTTTAATTTTCCACCAGTACTGCAAGTTGGTCCTGAATTGCCTTATATGATAAACAAACGGGTTTGTAAAGTTGCTTCAAAGGTCACCATCTTCTACCCTTTGGTGGTGGTTCTGAGTACTTTTAAAATAAAAATCTTCAAAGCCATCTTTAGATGATACCCTTGCTTTCAATCATGATAATGAAATTAAAAATGTTATTAAATTGGTAGTAACTTGGCTTTAAATTGAAAGTATATTAGCATAATAGAAGGCTCTAGAACTTCTTTCTAAATAAGACTTTCTTTGCAAGAGACAACATTTATAAAGCATCTACCAGAGTGGCATAATAAATCTCAAATCTCTTGCCTTATTTTTCTTTTTCGCTTTCTAATATGTACTTTGTATTACTTCTGATGTCTCATCTCCCTGTAGTTATAGAAACACATAGACTTATACCTAGGTTCTGTTATTAGTTTCTTATTGCTGTGTAACAATTTATTATAAACTTAATGGCTTAAAACACCCATGTATTATCTCACAGTTCTGTCAATCAGAAGCCTAGACAGGGCTCAGCTGGGTCCTCTTCCAAGCTCTCCTGGCTGTTGGCAGAATTCATTTCCTTGCGAGAGTAGAAGCGCTTCCATGTTCTTTGGGGTTAGCAGTTCTCTGATGCTTCCCCTTCTTTTAAAGGACTTACCTGATTAGGTTAGAGCCACCTAGTGTAATCTCCTTTTTGATTTAGTCAAAGATGATTGACTGATAGCCTCATTTTGGGAGTCATATCCCATCCTTTCCACAGGATCTGCCCACAGTTCACAGGACCGTGGGGATTATACAGAGTGTCAGTCATTGGGGAGGTCTTAGAATTTTGCCTGTCATATCCTGGGTTTTAAAACTTTTATATGGGGAAAGTCATTTAAGGAAGAAAGTAAATGAACATCTGTTGACTAGGTTGCTAGGTACAATGGTATGACTTCCATTTTATAAAGGAGTAAAACTTAAATTTGCAGAGACTGATTGGGTCAAGATATCACTGACTTAAAGGGCTGAACAGACATTCTTAGAGGCAAAAGCTCCAGTTGAGTGAGAGTCTGGTTTTTAGTTGGTTTTTCCTAAGCAGTTAAAGTTTCAAATGAACTCTTTTTAAACAGTTCACATTCCGGGGTTGTTTAAAACCTATGAACATATTTCCCCACGGAAATCATGCTGTAAATGATAAGTCCTCAGTTGGCTCCACAAAATCCAACTTTACACATACTATCAGGAAAGTTATCTTCAGATTCATCCAGAACGTCTTGGGGCCTAATCCCTGTGCCCCATGAAGGTAACTGAGGTCTTACAGCTGCCTTTTGTGGGGACTGCCCCTCAGAGATGAAAGTAAACTATGACTCATCCAGGGACAAGGAGAAGCGCATGCCGTGCCCTTAGCTGTCTCTGTGTCTGCTGGAGGTAGGTGAAGGCACTGGCTGCATCCACTCTGATTTGGTAGGGAAAGCTTCTAACACTGAGCATTGGGATCATATTTAATTTGTCAATTAGGTAATTGTGGTATACCCTATATACAGAATCTTCCTGGCTGAATGATCTTTTATACAGAATCATTATGTAGTGATAGTAGGTTTTTAAATGGTGCCCATTAAACTTGCACATAACTTGCACAGCAGGTTATGTGCTAAACTATTTAACGAGCATTTTTATCCTTCAGCTAGTTTCTTCAACTATGTCCCTTTGAATCCGTATAAAGAGATGGCTTATAAGGTTTATTTCAAACAGATATTTGTGTGTTAGGTAGAAGGGTTTCAAAATAACGCAGCCTCTCTCTTTCTCTTCTTCCCATCTTGAGTTCTCTCACGTTCTTCCTGTCTTTAAAATGTGCTTGAGAAAAGAGGGAGAAACATGAACAATTCCCAGGGAATCCCCACAGGAAGGAGGAACCACTCTCAAACTGAAATTATTGAAGAGAACCATCATGCTGCTCATGACTGGAATACAGAGGAGCTGTGTGTGTGGAAGGTCAGGCAGAAGGTGACTGAGAAGGAAATAAGTCAGAGGAAGGAATATTTGGTTTTATTTTTCTTTAACTCTTTTTGTTGCTTTGGTCTCTATTTTTATATCTCAGTTTCATGCTTTGTGACTTAGATGAAATTATTGAACTTCTTTATAGCTCTTACGAACAAGATATTGATGTTTGCCTAAATTTAGACCTTTCCTAATTCTAAATTTTAGTTTCTTTTCATTTACCGCCTCAGGTAAAATAAATAAATAAATGAATTCTATTCCCTTTTGATCTTCATTTCAGGTTATTCAAAATGTATTGCTGACAGCCTTCAAAGGAATGATACAGGCATTGGATGTTTTATTCAGTATATTGCTGCTCTGCCCTTTTGTGCAGCTATTCAAATTGCTATAGAAGTGCCTGAAAGGTTGTCATGGGTTTTGCCAACAGTAAATGACAAGCGGTAATATATATGGTGAATGTTCCAGGTGTATTGGAAATTACCATTGCAGCTTCTATTTCATGGAAGTTTGTTTTTCACGTAATGCTAAAAGTTCAGTCTAAATTCTTTAGTCAGATAGATTCAGGTCTTATCTCACATGTAATATGTGGAGTAAAAATAATTCAGAATGCATTACGAGTCGGGAATGCATAAAAGCACATAGTAACTTTTAAAACAGATTGTTTTTAATAATTCTGTGCCTTTGGGACAAATGACATTCTTTTTTTTATGCCCTCCCCACTTTAGACGTCCACTTTCTTTTTCATTGGCTGCAGTGAAACTTTGGAAGATCATTACCTTAGTGCCCCCTAATGAGATGTAAATAAAATGAATGATTACAGCTTGATTATGGTCCAGTATTTATGAGGCTCCTGGTAACTTGCTGCATAAATTTAAGTATGTGAGTAAATTCTCTTAGGGACAGTCAATGTGAGAGTATTTTATTTTTCTTTCTTATTTTTTATGATGTACTAATTCTTTTCACCTCTGGATTCTTTATTGTTGTTTCTGCCCTAGAAGAAGTAGGACCGTGGAAAATGAGTATATTTTTTCTGCATGACTTTTATGGTCCCTGTAGGGTTTGGACCAGACCTGAGTTGCTGCCTGATCCTGACATGTCAAGGAACACTGAAATAAAGGAATATGGTTTGTTTTCTTTTCTTCCTGTGCCCTATCCATCTCCCTACAAAGAAAAATGTATGAACATTTCTCTCTTCTGCTTTTTCTTATAAAGCACATCAAGTTTCAAGTCTGAGCTTTTGTGGAAATCACAGTGTAATGGGTTAACAGTCTTCTCTGATTCTTCGAGGTTTTGAGTATTTTAAGCTTTTTACTTTGCCATCTAGATATTGGAAGCTAACCTCCCACTCACTTTACTACTCAACACTGCTTCTCTGTGCAGCCTCTTTCTAGAATTGTTATTATAGTGAAATATCCATAGGAGTCTCTTCCTTGCCTTATATAATCCTCCTCCGACCTGCAAAGCATTTCCCCGTGGCAGGAGACAGATTTTTCCTAAAGCTTGCACATGTTGGCAAAACCTGGTTGGGTAGTGTATCCCGGACCCCACAGGAAAAGTAAGTTGATTTTTTATTTAGATTTGAGATCATGGGTATATTTTAATTCTTAATGTTGGGTCTCAAGAATTTCCCCTCTTTAGAGTCAGTAGCTGATGATGTGAGGAGGCAGCATGACACTGAAATTGGTGAAGATACATTAATACTTATTTAATAATCTCACATTGCCTGGAGACTTTTTAAAAAATCTAATCTCTTTCCCCTGCAAAATACAAAGGAAAATAGAGTGTCTGGATGACAGTATTCTCATATAAAGTGGACTGTCTCTCTTATGCACAAGCCAAGTGTCACAGGTTCCATTCCATCCTGCATACCCTGCATATAAAGAAGGAGTGGGTGATGAAGGAGGCTGGCAGCTTAAAGACTTAAACAGGCTGAGGGACTAAGTTCCCAAGTTGGCTGAGCAGTTAGAAAAGGAAAGGCAAGACGAGAACCCGTGCCACATTCCGAATTGGATTACCTGTTACGGAGCCAAAGACCGAGTTCCAAAGGACCAAAGTTGGAGTGTGAGGATGATAAGATACGTGTGCAATCTGATTCCAGATTTTAGATTATCTAGAGAGGGGGAAGGCATTACTAGCGTTCATATATAAAGTCTCTGTGTAGTATCATCAGAGATTGCTCTTCAGTAGCTCTCTGCTTGTTTGGTTACCGAATTATCCAAACATGTGCTCTTATACTTCTTTTCCACCTCCTGAAACCCAGAGCCTTTTGTTGTCCCCCTCCTCGCCAAGCTTAGGTAGGGCACAGCAAAGTCCCTCAGCCTGTCCTTTTCAGGGCAGCTTGCACCATTCCTCCACAGCACTTTCCAAGCCACATAACTACTCTTGGTACTCACAAGCCATGTCGCTGGGCTTTAAAATGCCATCTGTGTCCACTGGTGCGGCTGGAGCTGAGTAAAACATGGCAAGCTGGACTTCTTAAGATGGCCCAGAGTAATTTGAATTTCTCTAGTCAAGAATGGGTAAATAAGCCATCTGGAAATAGTCTCCCAGTTGAATTTAACACCCCTTGTGACTATACTTTTAGTAATCTTTTTTAGCTAATTAGCTCTTTGCTTTGTCAAGTATTTATTGAGTGCCCACTCTGTGTGCGAGCATGGTGTTAAGCACTTAATATAAAACAGTGACTATAAAGATGTGTGACTCCTGCCTTCATGGGGCATTTAATTCACACCCCCCCAACAATTTTTTAATAGCGCTTTTGAAAACATTGCATAAAGTCAGATATATATATATTAGATATACATGCCAAAAGGTAAGCTGGAGTTACTTGTCAAAGAACTATGAATGCAAACAATAACAAATAGACAAAAATATTAAATTAATGAATACATTACCTGGAAAAATACTACTGGAATTGTTTTGTCAAACAACTTGTCCATACTATGATCTGGAAAAGCACAGCTTACTACAGTAGAAAGAATGCAGTAGTTGGAGTCAGAACTGATTTCAAGTCCCAGCTCAATCACTTATTAACTGTTGATGTTGGGCAATGATATGGTTTTGTCCTGTGTCCCCACCCAGATCTCGCCTTGAATTGTAATGATCCCTACATGTCAAGGGCAGGACCAGGTGGAGATAATTGCATCATGGTGGTTTACCTCATGCTGTTCTCATGGTAGTGAGTGAGTTCTCGTGAGATCTGATGGTTTTATTATATAAGGGGCTTCCGCCTTCACTCGGCACTTCTTTTTCCTGCTGCAATGTGAAATAGAATGTGTTTGCTTCCCCTTCCGCCATGATTGTGAGTTTCCTGAGGCCTCCCAAGCCATGCTGAACTGTGAGTCACTTAAACCTCTTGTCTTTATAAATTACCCAGTCTCAGGTATGTCTATTAGCAGAGTGAGAACAGACTAATACAGGCAAGTATTTAATTATTTTGGTCACAGATAGTCTGTAAAAATTATCCCTTTAAGATTCTGTGTTTTCTGTTATACTTAGGGTTCTATATTTTCCCATGGATTTGTCTTTTAATCCTATTTTTCGTGGTTCTGATTTAATTTACTTTTAATTTTCTACTTTGCTTCATTTGTTGGTTTAACAAAAAGTTACTGAGTAGTCTGTGTATGTGTGTATTCTTATGTATTGCCTCAAATCCTAGATGGCATGATGCTGAGTATAAATAACTTTTTAAAAGAGGGAGTATATTTGAGAAGTGTCTGAAAGCTGTAAAACCTCTAAAATAGATTCTTTGCTTTACGAGAGCTGCAGCTTGAGACTTTGAGGAATCCCCAAATTCACAAGCTTGGAGAATTTTCACAAACTGCAACCAGCACATAGGAAACAGAACATGATTCTTGCCTTAGAACTCCCCTTTGAAAATCCTGCCACTACCTCACCCCACCCTACCCCATATTCCACCACCTTAACCACTGTCCTGACTCTAATAGCATAGGTTGCTATTAGAACTTGAAGTCGTATATATAAGTAGAGTCATAGGGTAAGTAAACTAGTATACTTTTTTTTTCTTTTTTTTTCTTTTTTTTCTTAGTTGTGGGGAATATACCTAACATAAAATTTTTGTTTTAGCCATTTTTAAGCATTCAATTCTGCGCCATTAAGTACATTCACAGAGTTGTGTAAGTATCACTGCCATGCATCTCGAGAACTTTTTCATCTTTCCCAACTGAAACTTTTTCCATTAAACACTAGCTTCCCATTTCCCCTTCCCCTAGTCTCTGACAATAGCCATTCCACTTTGTCTCTATGAATTTGACTACTATAGACAAGCCAAAATAGAGTAGTACCTACCCAGAGTAGCTAGCATAACAATATTTGTCCTTTTGTGTCTGGCTTATTTCACTTAGTGTAATGTCTTCATAGTTCATCCATGTTGTAATATGTGTCAGAATTTCTCTTCTTTTTAAGGCTGAATAATATTCTATTGTATGGGTAATACCACATTTTGCTCACCTATTCATCTGTTAATCGAAGCCTGGCTTGCTTCCACTTTTGGCTATTGTGAATCATGCTGCTGTGAAAATGGGTATATACATATCTGAGTTCCTGCCTCCATTACTTTGGGTATATACCCAGAAGTGGAATTGCCAGATCATATGGTAATTCTATGTTTAAGTTTCTGAGAAGCTGCCATACCATTTTCTGCATCGGCTGCACCATTTTACATTTCCGCAGTTATACTTCCTTTTGCTCAACATTATGCTTAACATTATGTTTGCAAGGTTCATCCACATTACTGCATGCAGTTGTGGGTCATTCAGTCTCATTGCTGTGTAGTGTTTTGTCATGTGAATGTGCCATAATGTACTTAGCCATTTTACTATTGATAAGCACTTGGGTAATTTTCAGTTTTGGGTTATTACAAGCAGTGCTACTATTAGAGGGCATTTAAAAATTAGGCCTTAAGGTTCTGTAGCTTTGTTATTTTCTTATGGAAAGGAAAGCATTAAATCGAAGACATTATTTGAACAACAACTCATAAAGCTTTCAGGTTGTATCACTTGGTAATTTTTGTAGCACAAGTGATGGAATACCCAACCCATGTTATCCTAAGAAAAGGGGACTTGCTTATCCATGACTGGAAAGTTTAGTTGTCCAGCTTCCAGCAACACTGACCTTATTCCTTGCCTCCTGGCCACATCAGTCCAACCTCTGCTTTTGTCACATCTTCTTCTCTGTATCTCTTGAATCCCTCTTTTATCTTATGGGAAATCATGATTACACTGGGTCCACACAGACAATACAGAATAATCTCTTCATTTCAAGACTCTTAATCACATCAGCAAAGCCCCTTTTGTCATGTAAAATAATACATTCACAGGTTCTGGGGATTGCTACATCTTTAGAGAGGCCATTATTTTGCCTCCCATGATATGTGTGTGTGTGTGTGTGTGTGTGTGTGTGTGTGTGTGTGTGTGTGTGTGTGTGTATTTTTTCCCACTGATGAACCAATGATAATGTTCCTCTCCTTTATAACTTTGTGCTTTTCTTTGGAGTTAGTAATTGGGGTGTTTTTCTCCTTTTTAGATTTTATGTAGCTGTCATGAATCCTTTCCACACTCTTCAATAGAACTATAAAACTCTTGTTGGCACTTTCTATGTTATCAAACATATCAGATAACCTGTAAGTTTTTTTCTCAAAGCCTCTTCCTGGACCCTCCAGTTTTTCTGTTCCAAGCTGGACGGTGTGCTATCTAGGTCTCCTGCATGGAGGCAGTTTTTGGTGATTTTCCTCACCCTCATTAACATGGTAATTCCCTTCGTCTCTCTCCATGTTCCGCCCTTTCTTTGATCTCATGCATTTCTCTTAAATGGTTTATTTCATTGTTCATGTGGAGCATATCCTGCAGGAGCTTCTTGAGAAGAGGTGTACAGGTGGCAAACTTGACACCTTAGATGACAATGATGAACCCTCTCTGAGGAGAAAGGGACCCATGTTGTCTGGGGAAGGAAGAGAAGCAGGAGAGAAGGATGAGAGAGAGACAGATGAGGAAGAGAGGAAGATGTTTCCACCCTGATCTTTTCTCATAATGCCTCTGTAGGCCAAAGTCATGTCTTAGTAATTTTGCTTCTTTAATGCCTTGCCCACAGTGAACACTTAAGATATGTTCTTCAGTGAATGAACACATACAGATAGCCTCATATTTCCTGCTCTTTGAAGTGGTAGAGAGTCCTTAGAAGCCATTAGCCAGCTTCTTATAAAGACCTGCTTGAAAAAATGAACTCCAGTTATTAAAAGATGCCACCAAAATTATATCTGTTTCTTACCTCCTCATCATATAGAACATAAATCTGATCCCCTCCCCCGCCATTAACTTTTATTCTACTCTCCCTGCTTCGCCAAATGATACAATCCTTGAGACCCAAACTTGCATATGGTTCATCTTTGCATCCCTGATAATGCCATGCATTGTATAATTCTCACTAAAGATTTGTTCAATGACTTCATCACACACACGGCCTTTCTGATGTGCATTGAATGAGCCTGCCTTGTTCCACCGTCAGAGACTTTACAATCGCTGCTCCCTTTGCCTGCAGCACTCTTTCCCCGACTCTCATGACCTGGCAATTTTCATCCTGCAGATGAAGCTTGCCCATCATCTCATCTTCCCAGCCCGATCTAAAGATACTGTCTGTTCCCTGACCCACTGCCCATCATCCTGTGATGGGAGTACCTGTCATTATCAGAAATGACCTTATGTGTGTCTTTATTTATTTTCCCTGATAAATGGAGACTCTATAGATGTACCTTTCTGTCTCATCCACTGCTGTATCACCACACCTAGAACAGGGGCTGCTGAATAAAAGTGTATTAAATGAACGATATGAGCTGTTGAGACAATGACAATGTTAATAACTTCATCTAACCTTTGCTGGCTTATGTGAGTGGTTAGAGAGCACATACACATTCACCTTCTTTGAAAGTTTTCCTCAACCATGCACACTTTTTAAGAATATATAAATAATTGAACATTCAGGGAACACGATTGCCCTAAGATTTTGTGTGTTCCTTATGGATACCTTGGATCTAGAAAGGAAAGAGGTGAGAAAATATTGCATTGGGGAGATCTGTCCCTTGAATTTCATCTGAGAAATCAAAACTCGTACGTTTAAATCCTGTCTGCCCAGGTGCCTCAGACACATACAACTGGCTTTACTCTTATGTCAGCCTATTTAACTGTGCCCTCAAAATAAGCAGTGGTGAAGCTTATTTTGTATGTAGTTTGGATCATATTGCTTTTAAGAATTCCATATCTAGGTTGCTGTTCCTGTATGGCATGGAGACCCTGATAATTAGGTTTCTGTAACTTAGAGACAGTCTGAGGCTCTGTCTATAAAAAGCCATTCCTCCTGAAAACGGGACAGAAGTATATACATACACTAAAGTAATATTCCCCGAGAAGAAATGTGGCATGAGAAGCAAAACAGTTCGAGTGCTCCTCCCTTGCCCCATTTAAGTGCAATGAAATCAGAATCGACATGTTAAAACTAGTCAGTGATGCCGAGGGTCCTGCAGAAATTGACCCTTGTCTCTAGAGCAAGATTTCTAGAATAGCACTTTTGATTTGGGGCTGGATAATTCTTTGTTGTGGGGCAATATCTGTGTGCTATAGGATGTTCAGCGGCATCCCTGGCCTCTACTCACTATATGCCAATAGCAGCAACCCCCTTATTCCCTGCTGCAAAGGGTAAAACCAAAAATGTCTTCAGACATTGCAAAACCTGGTTGAGAACCACTACTCTAGAGAATGCATAGAAGAGATCTAGCCTTAAACCATTCCTCTGGGTTTGTTTAAACCCCATATTTCCACCATTAATGCAGCAGTGGTAGGGAAGACTCCTTAACTTCCACCTTGTCATATATATATGTCTTCTCAGTCATATCGAAGTACTGTGGTTTAAACCAATGTCCCCCCACAACCCACCCACCTCTACTGATAAAAATATATCACACTACTCTAGTGTAGCCTTAGGTTCCTCTTCTGCACACACATGTATACAGCTAGTCCATGATGTATGCCTTCCAGCCGGCAAAGGTCTTTTCTGGGTCTTCATGTGGTATCTGAACATGTCCCAATTCTCCATTTTCTTAAGACCACTCTTTGAGGTCATTGCTCTGACACTGTTTAGTTATGTAACACTGTGGTGAGCTACAATTATTTAAACAATGAAAAATCTCCTGAATTGGTGGTTTCTGCAATATAGGGAGGGTCATTCATTCATTTTCAGCACATATTTATTGAATATTTATGTGGGCTGCTCTTGGCACTGGGATTAAACAGCTATAAACAACACACAACACACTTGCCTTCTTGGAGCCTACACTCTGATAGGGGAAGACAGACAATAAATAAATATATGTTAGGTGAAAAATACATCAAGATGAGAAGAAAGCCTGGGCGTGGTGTCTCACACATGTGATCCCAGCACTTTGGGAGGCTGAGGCGGGAGGATCACATGAGCCCAGGAGTTCAAGACAACCCTGGCCAACATGGTGAGACCCCATCTCTACTGAAAATATAAAAATTAGCTGCGTGTGATGACATGTGCCTGTAGTTCCAGCTACTCAGGAGACTGAGATAGGAGAATCGCTTGAACCCTGGAGATGGAGGTTGCAGTGAGCCGAGATCACGCTACTGCACTCCAGCCTGGGCAACAGAGCAAGACTCTGTCTCAAAAAAAAAAGGGAGAAAGGCCAGATATACTGGCTTATGCCTGTAATCCTAGCACTTTGAGAGGCCGAGGTGGGTGGATCACTTGAGTCCAGGAGTTTGAGACCAGCCTGGGCAACATAGTGAAACCCATCTCTACAAAAAATACACACACAAAAATTAGCTGGGCATGGTGGAATGTGTCTGTGGTCCCAGTTGCTCAGGAGGCTGAGATGAGAGGATTGTTTGAATCCAGGAGGTGGAGGCAGAGGTTGCAGTGAGCCGTAATAGTGCCATTGGACTCCAGCCTGGGCGACAGAGTGAAACCTTGTCTCAGAAAAAAAAAAAAAAAGAAACACTAGATGAGGGAGCCTTGTGTTTTCAAATAGGGTCAAGCAAGATGTAAAGGAAGTTCAGGAGCAGGATGTTTGGACATGTCAGGGGAGAAGAGTTCTAGGCAGTGGGAACTGTAAGTGCAAAGGGCAAGAGGCAGGAGTGTGCTTGGTATATGTGAAGGGTAGTGAGGAGTGTCAGGGAGGGAGCTGTAGAAGAGGGGATGTGGAGGTGTGGTATGAACATACCATATGGAGCTTTAGAGGCCTGGTGAGACTCTTCTTCAATTTTTTATAAGACAAAATTTCAAACATACACTGAAGTACAGAGAATAGTATAATGAACCCCTTATTTGCCTATTACCCAAGTTTAATAAATAGTAACCAAAGCCACTTTAATTTTATATACTCTTACTCTCCCTCCCCAGATCATTTGGAAGCAAACTCTATATGTATTACTTCATATGTAAATATTTTTGTATGTGTCTATGAAAGGGAATTAAAGGTGATCATGGTCCAATATTATACTTTAAAATGATTGGCTAGTTTTATCAGATATCCAAACCATGTGTGTATATATATGCACACAAGTATATACATATACTCAATATATATTTCAGGCTGAAGTGTGTACATACACAATATCATGCTGATTATTTCCTAAATGCCTGATTATGTGTGTGTTTGTTTATAGTTTTATTAGTTTGATATCAGGACCCATTAAAAAGTTCATATATTACAATTAGTTGATATGTCTTTTAAGGTTTTTTTTTTTGTTTGTTTGTTTGTTTTTTGGTAAAGACAGGGTCTTGCTATGTTGTCCATGCTGGTCTCGAGCTCCTGGCCTTAAGTAATCCTCCCACCTCAGCCTCCCAACATGCTGGAATTACAGGCATGAGCCACTGTGCCTGGCCTTCTTTTAAACTTTGGGTTCCCTTTCCATCTTCCCCCTCCCCCATTAAAATTTTAAGAAACCAGGTCATTTGTTCTGACTTTCGTATCTAGCTTTTGCTGATCACGTCTCTGTGATATTGTTTAACACATTCCCTTGTCTCTAACCTGTAACTTGATATTTCGATGTAGAGGCTTAGTTGTATCCAGGGGTGCTGGAGTCTTTTTGGTAAGACTACTTCATGTGTGTTGTCTTGAGAAGTTCACAACGTCCAGGGTTTCTCTCTTTGTGATGTCAGCAGTCACTGATGATCATGGCTTAGATTCCCTGGGGTTCTTTAGAGTCTACAAAATTTTGATATTTTACGACCGCAGTTCCCCCTTTATTCACCAATTGGAATGCATCTATAAAGTGAATGATTTCCCCATCTGTGAGGTGTAACTCATAGGGAATGCAGGGGATGTGCTTGATTCTTCCCCTGTATCAGTTTTCAAGATTACTGCAGCAGTTCTCTAGCATCCCCTCAAGGTGACGTAATTTTCTCTTCTTGAACTCGTGACTTTAAACATTTGATGTGTTGTAATACATTACCATTGTTGTTCCTATTGATGCTTGATTATCCCATATGGGGCCAAATGTCCTAAATTTGTGGCTTTTACTCACAGGGAAGCTGTTGGAGGATTTTGAACAGAAGAGTGACACATTCTGAAAGAGATCACTCTGGAGTTTATGTGGTCACCAAGGTGTAGAGGGTACCAGGGAGGAAGTAGACCATTTAGGAATAATCTAGCCAAGATACAATGTATTTTGGGTCAATGTATTTTGACATTAGGTGGAAAGAATGGTGGCATTCTGGATATTTTACATTGAAAGGAGGCTTATTTTGGAGTTTTGGAGGGCAGGATGGTGAGTTTTCTTTTGGGTATGTTAAATTAGGGGTAGTAAAAGGAAACTGAAGTGAAAATGTATTGTAGTCCATTGGCTATATGGAACTGAAGTTTACTTCAGAAGATCTGTGTGTAGAAGGCTATTGAATAATATTCTAATGTGTTTCCTGAGATGAAGGTCTACTTTAAAAGTTAAAGAATTTGTGGATTTCGCTTTATTTTTTGTTATAGGGTGGTAACTGATTTTTTTCTTTTCTTTGTTTATCATAATCTGGCTGTGACACCCATGCTTTCGAACTTTCCCCGACCAACTTTCCTAAGGAAAGTTGAGGCCTCTTTTTTGTGTTCCATTATATCTTGTTTGTTTGTTTGAGATGGAGTCTTGCTGTGTTGCCCAGGCTGGTCTCAAAACTGCTGGACTCAAACCGTCTTCCCGCCTCAACCTTCTGAGTAGCTGGGATCCATTATATCTTTTTAGTATTTCCTTTTGTGATGCTTTTTTCTACTAAATTACAATTACTTTTTACATCTCTAGCTGCCTCTCTGTGGAGTCAGTGACTATATTTCAAGTATGGATTTGTTACCTCCAAAGGATAAGAGGATTGGTTGGTTCTGTGAGCTCACACTGAGAGATAAGCTGGTACCTAGTTAACAATGGGCATTAACAAATGCCCCAGAGCAAGTTGATAGTTAAGGATGTAGAAAAGAGTTCTGAGAGTATCCTATAAACCTCCACTGGCCCATATGCACCTTTGTGGAGTTAGAAACAGGTAGCCCTCCAGAAGGGCACAGAGCTGAGGGAGACTTCGTGAAAATGAGAAAAATGGAGTGGAAGCAGCCCAGAGCCAGGTGCAGGCATAAAACCATGGAAAGCAGACCAGATGTTGGTTCCTACTTCCCTCCTTGCCCAGGGCACAACCTGAACAGCTACCTGTGGCATCCCTGCTTAGGCAGACCTCTGGGATAAGAGTAAATTTACAGACCAGGATCTAATCCTATTATAGCCGCCAACTGTGTGCCCTCAGTTTCTTCATCTGTAAAAAGACAGAGTTTGACTTCATAGCCTTTGAAATATAACTGCTTGAATATACTTGCTATTTTACCGCAGTTTGGCTCTGTCTCTCTCTCTCTCTTTGTGTGTGTGTGTATGTGTGAAAGAGAAAGAGAGAGAGAGAAAGAGAGAGAAAGAGAAAGAGATGCCTTGTAGTACTTGAAAATTAGAATTCTTGATAAAATAAAGCTCTAATTTGTTCTAGTGTTTCTTTTCAACAAACCAGGGGTTGCCAAGTTTTAAAACATTTTAAAATGCATTAGAGGAAGTGAGTCAGTTACGTTCTTCATACACTACAATGGAAGTACACTTAGTTCCAAGTTATGAATGCTGTGAAAAATTAGGTTCTTTTAATAAATACAAGATGAAACTTTCAGGCTTTCAAAATTCATGTTCTTTCTTTCCCTCCTTATTCATATTAGATTGCTTTTGTAAAGTATACAGCACTGCGATCTTAAAAATGAGCTTTTCGAAAATAAAAATCCAAGTGCCTATCTCTTGCATTTCCAGTTGGTAGTTTCCTATCATCGGGTTTGCCTGTTCACACAAGTCTTTGCGGCACAACGGAGTCTGACTTCCCCCAAATTAATGCAGTTAGTTTATTCCTCGTTCTGATGATTGCCATATATAGAGAAAGATCTAATTATTTTTATGTGGCACTATTCCTCATTTATTTCTTGGGGACTATGAGTGATTTAGTTAACTCCACCAAGGGAAGTGTAAGATGAGCCTCCTCAGGGTGGCTGAATTCTATTCGAGAGCATCACAGGGAGGTGGGGAATAGTTGACGTGTGCTGAGATAAACTCTTTTACAAGTATGACACTGTTGCTTTATTTTTTTGCCCCAGTCTGCAGGGTGAAAAGGACTTTTCATTTCACTGAGGTGAAAAGTGGGTCTGTGAGTAGAGCGACTTTCTTTAAAAAAAAAAAAAAAAATCAGAAACCAATTACTTGATATGCAGAGCTGCAAGCCTCGTTCCTTTAACAAAATCAGTGCAGTGTGCACTGCCGTTAACCTGAGGAAAGCAGCTGACATCTCTTGATTACGGCTAGAGGTGGAAGGACCCAAACTTGCAGCCTCCCCCTCCCCCTCGAGAGAGTGTTAGTCCAGTCCTTTAGAGAGGTTCGGTTTGGCTCTCTGTCATCACCGGGACGCTGGCAGGGAGTGTGTGTCATGGTTACAATAGAGTGTGCTAACATATAACAACCATGAAAGCCCAGCGGGAAAGGCTACAGATTCCGGGGCTGACCTTGGAGTAAGTATTGTCTGTCTTTAATATTTTAATGCTTTCTGCATGGCACTCGCTTTCTGGCGACCAATAGCTATTTAGCATTTGTTTGTACTGACAGCCTCAGAGCACTGCAGTGTGAGGTGGAGGAACATGTCTTAAATGCATGGCATTTGGTTTCAGCTAATGTGGACACCCAGACCAGCATTTTGCATTGCAGTCAGAGGAAAAGCATTGCTGCATATTTAAAGTTACTAAACCCCAGTTCTGGAAACATCTTAACAGCTCATTGTGAAAGAATGTATCAGTAGGCCATGGTGTATCTGTCTTTTTCTCCTTCTCTCTTACTGTTTGTTTATCCCTATGTTGCCTTTTTCTAAAGAAAGGCCTCTGTCTGCATTGAATAATAGAAGACATTACAATGGATTAGAGTGCAAGAGAAGGGTTATTTGTGACGTTCATTAGATGTGATCCATGTTTTATCTGTGCAACAGAATATTAATGAACTGTGGTACATTTAGAATCCTCTCTGCAGAATCTCCAGCCACTGCATGCAATGTGTTTACCTAGTTGAGCTGTGTGTTTGCTTAGCTGTTTTTTTTTTTAACCCATTAACTCATCTGACTGCCTTGTGATGTGATGTAGCTACATGAACATGTCCACATCTAATTTGTGGCGCAGAAGTTAGACATCTGTGATGCAGGAAGTGTCAGCAAATTTTTATTTTAAATCTGTTAGTCAAAGATGCAGAAGCTGTGAGTTAGTCTGTGCTGTCACACTTAAAATAATAAACAGTAAAATATAAATCCGGTAGACAAACATAAATATCCCTCTTTCTAACTTACAGCACAGATATAAAATTACATTTCAGTGAATTCTGTACAGTCCCAATAATCTCATACTGGACTGTCTGCAGAAAGAGACTGCAGAATGAGAACTGTGCTTGGTTCTGAGGATTTATTATTCCTCTTGAATTTTGTAGATGCATCATACAAGAGAAATTATTTCCTTAATTAATAAAAGCATGACATTCTGAAGTGAATACTTTTCTAATCAGTCCTTGCTCTAAAATTGTGCCCTGATTTTATACTAATGAGGGACTCACTTACAAAAAGTTAGAGGGCTCTCACAACCTTCTTGCTAGCTGTGACATTCTTCATATTAGAGGTACGAATAGTATTTACCCATTGCCCTAACATTTCTCCCATCTCCACCCCCACCCTAACATTCAACTCTCACCATCTGTGTGGAATATTTTAGTGGCATGCACTCATTCTTCTACTTAACCCTCCTCTCTCTAGCTGGAAATGCATAACTAAGCCATAGCTCTGTGTTTAAAACCCAGGGGCATTAACCTCCCGCTTTGCTTTTGCCTCTGTTTTTTGTTGTGCTGTTTCCTGGTTGTTTTCTTTGGACTTAGTAGATATCATTTCACATTAGGCTTTTTCTTTCTTTCCTCTTCTTCCTTTACTTTTTTTCTTTCTTTTCTCAATCTTGTCTACATTAAGAGGAGACACTTCAAAGTAACTTTTTAAAAATATGAACTCAGCTGTGTCAAACATTCCATTTTATGATTAGAAGGACTGAATTATGCCACGAGTTTTATGACCTTGCCAGCGTCGACACAGGACATAACAGTCAGCTAAACACAGGGGATCTTTGGATGTTGTTTTGGTATCAGGCCACGCCCCCTCCTTCTATCCTCTTATCTTGGTAAATATTACTGTGCATTTAAAATAGGTAATTCTGTTTGCCTAGGGAGCGTGAGAGTGGAATAGAGAATCACTCTTAAATATCATTGTAGTATTAGTATGTGATTTACTTTGAACATTTTGTTTACCTTGAAATGCAAAATTACTCTAAAATGGACATAGCTAACTTTACATTCACTCATGGAGAAAGCTAATTCTGCAGTCTTTGAGTAAATTCAACTTCTAGCCACTGCAGAGGAATGTTATAATGGAAAGTCTTATCACAGATTCTATTAAAAGCAGATTTAATGTATATAAATTTAATTATCTGGGAATCTTACAGTCTTAACTCACACAGCAAATGTGTAGAACAGCTTTTGAATGTTCATCAGACATTACTGTTTTTCTTTCAGAAGAGTTTATTCCATAAGCACTGCAGCTGTGGAGTATTATATGAGCCTATTTTATGCTCTGTAGATGCAATCTAGAATTTTCCATTGGATTTATCAGTAAACACAGGGCAGTTTCTGATTCCTGTTTCAGATATTGAAATCTTAGGTGTGAGACATCAAATATATATTTCAGAAATTAATAAGTTGTTAATTTATACAGAAATTTATGATGCCTAAATAGCCTATGCCTGGCTTTCCAGTTTCTGAGAAAGGTAGATTTTTTTGTTTTTTCTTTTTTCATTGTAAGTATAGAATTGGGTACATAGACACTTCGTAGCACTCATCATGTGTGTTTCCGCATAGAGACTGGGAATGGTGTTAGTGCCTATGCATGCCGATTTTAGGACAGGAAGGAATAGATAAGACTGTACATAGACAAAATGATGGACATATCAGGGGACATTCCTGAGAGCTTTCCAATGAGCTGCTAAGTTAGAGTACAGCATGTTTAAGAGCAGCAGCTTTTGAATATGCTCTGAGTGTATAAGGAAAATAATTCCTTACTAATTACAAGTGCTGGTACCAAATCAGAGAATGGTCTTAGAAGATATAAAACTTTACTCTGTTGAAACATTATATTTTTTAATTAGAGCATTTGAGCAATAATTTAATATTTTAGTTTAAGACAAATACAGCCAAGTCTCAATTATCCATATAATGGGAGACAAGGATGGCATTTAGGATTTGCAAACCATAGTAAGCCCAAATCTGATTTTAGCCATCATTGCCAACCCTCTGTGCCAATGAAGAGCACAACCAGCTTGAATCAACCAAAATGCAGCTCTGTTTCAAGACCTCATTCTCTGAGATAGGAAAACATGATACAGTGTAGAGCCATCGTCCAGCGGAGAGGCAAAATAACATTCTTTAAGAAACTCTCTGCACTAGCCAGGCACGGTGGTGCATGCCCATAGTTCTTGCTACTCAGGATGCTGAGATGGAAAGCTCTCTTGAGCCCAGCAGTTCAAGTTCGGCCTGGGAGGCATATGGAGACACCATCTGTAAAAAAGTAAAAAGGCAGCCATGGTGGCTTACGCCTGTAATCCCAGCACTTCGAGAGGCTGAAGCAGGAGAATCACTTGAGCCCAGGAGTTTGAGATCAGGCTGAGCAACATCTTGAAACCCCATCTCTACAAAAAATACAAAAATTAGCCAGGTATGGTTGTGTGTGCTTATAGTCCTGGCTACTTGGGAGGCCAAGGTGGGAGGATCACTTTGAGCCCAGGAGGTGGAGGCTGCAGTAAGCCACTACACTCCAGCCTGGGTGACTAGAGTGAAACCTTGTCTCAAAAAGAACAACAACAACAACAAAAGACAGGAAAGAAACTCATTGCACTATAGCAGGAGTTTCTATTGCTCACTTCAGTCTTAGAGTTGGGGCAAGAATACCTACAGAATACTTAGCTAATTTTTACTTTGATTTTGCCATGTAAAAATAGTTGGTAACTGACTAGCATCAACTCCATGCTTTAATAGATCTATTAGATCTATTGGTTAAATTGTTGTACTGTATCTAATTTAAGTTTTATCTCCCTAAAAAAAGAGACATGAGGCCAGAAAGAAAAAAGATGAATGAACTCTATTCCAACCACACTGTGATGAATATTTGAGAATTGGCTGGAATAATCATGGTGGTTTGGATGGGTGGGTGGGGAGTGGGGGGTCAGGGATTATAATGGTTCATTGACAGTTGGATTTGAGAAGACCTCTCTGGAAGATAAAATAATATATAACTACATGTAATAATTTTTGAAATTATTTATTTTGAATATATGCATAGGAACACTTTTTATCATTGCCCCTGAGGATTAGATAAAATATTGGGTCTTTGTTATAAGGAAGACTTGTTTTTCCTTGCAAAAGTGCTTAAAAACGCATCTTCCTATGGGGAAATGTTAGTTGCTTTGCTTTGTAAAAACTACGATATTTCACCTAAATTTTTATTTGCATTGTCTTCTTAATCTAGAATAAAATATACTCAATATAAAATGGCACTGGATTTTCTTTGATGCAAAAATCACATGTCAAAGTTATCTGCCAAGTTGCTTTGTGACAAAGAAAAGGCTCAAATAAAAATGGCAGCTGTAGTTTTTAAAATGTAAATTTCAGCAGGAAGCATTTTACTTGTTCTGTATTTTAGAGCTGAAAAGGGCAAGTGATTAGATGATTACCTAGTGGTGTAGATAAGCTTGCCATAGTGATTCTGGCCTAAAGGGAACACAGTCCCTTAACTGAGCTATGCTATTTTTACTGCAATCAATTCTCCCACTTGGAATGACGTTATTTTAACTTTCAGTCTCACTCCCAGGAGCCTGAGTCCAACCCCATCCAGCCCAGGCAGTCCTTGTAGTCCTCTCTTGGCCTTTCACTTTTGGAGGTAAGCATGCTCCAGGGCCTGCCCAGGGCTGCTTTGTCTTTCTGTTGCCCCATTTCCCACCACCAGCATTTGATTACTTCAGACTCTGCAATCCACAATCCACAGGGTGAGGAAACTGGTTGAATTGTTTACTTGGTGACTTACTTGATCACTTACTCTATTTAGCATATTTACTCATATTTCACTTGGTGTCTCTTGACTCATTGTTCAATGTGTGTGTATATGTGACAGTTTTTCATTTTGCTTTCTTAGGGAATGATCTGCACTGAATTCTGTAAGTTTTGATCAATATAAAGATATAATTTATTGGTTTCTAGAAAACATTTCCTAATTCCTATGAGAGTATTATAATACCTGTTGCCTCAAACTATTTTATACACTATTATTTACAGGATAATGTATTTAAATTGTCTAAAGTGTTAATATTTTTTAAATCATTTTTTAGAACTCCAAGGTATATACTCCTACCCCCTCACTCATAGGCTGATTATATTCACTCTTCTCTGTTTGTTAGAGAAATATCCCCAAGGAACTCTTACATTTTAGCATAGTTTGTTATAAGAATACACGATAGAAAATACTGCTACTATAGTATCTATGGTATGTATATTCTAATAGACTTTTCATGAATTCACTATTTATGGATATAGTGAATCTTCCTGTATCTAATCGGAAGACACACATAGTGTACCCAGCGTCCCTTTCCCCTTTTTAAAAATCCTAATCCTATGGGGCTGGGCACGGTGGCTCATGCCTGTAATCCCAGCACTTTGGGAGGTCGAGGCGGGCAGATCACGAAGTCAGGAGATTGAGACCATCCTGGCTAACACGGTGAAACCCCGTCTCTATTAAACATACAAAAAATTAGCCGGGCGTGGTGGTGGGCGCCTTAGTCCCAGCTACCCCATGGGAGGCTGAGGCGGGAGAATGGCGTGAACTCGGGAGGCGGAGCTTGCAGTGAGCTGAGATCTGGCCACTGCACTCCAGCCTGGGCGAAAGAGTGAGACTCCGTCTCAAAAAAGAAAAAATCCTGTGGAAGAAAGTAGAATCAAATTATCCGTTGATGCAAAGGGCAACTTAAATTTTTTTATGAATATTTTTTATTTCATAAACGCAAATGAATGACGAATTTGCCACTTATGGCCACTTCCTTAAAAATATTAACTTACAAGCTTTAGATGATATCAGTGGGACAATTTAACAAATTTGTTTCTTTCATATTTCTAAAGTAAGGCCGAACTGAAATCTGCAAAGAATAATCGACTAGGGAAACAAATTAATGACTTGGAACTTTAGTTCTACTCTTCTGCTGATGGGATTATACTTATTATTGTAAAAGTGACTTTCAACATGAGAGTTTTGTGTAATAGCTTTTATACAGCATCCCCTGAATTTAATAGGTCCTAAAACATAAGAGTAGTTTTTTTTTTTTTTTTGCTTTTTTTTTTTTTTTTTCCCTATCTGGAGAATTCCTTTGCTCTTCTAATGTGTCCATTTTGGTTATCCAACTGCAAGAAATTGAACTGTGTCCTGAACTTTTTTTCTTTAGTGTAATATGTTTTCATTAAATACAATGCTTGTATTTCCTTTTCTTTATTCTTCCTAAAGGCAATAGGCTATTCAATATGAAGATGGCATCATTAGTAGAAGAGAAAAGAAAATTAGATTCAGTGCTAAGGTAGTGCAGAGGAGGATGAGGTTCTGAAGAGTGTTTTGGGGAAAAAGTTTTAGGGAACTGGTTGCGTTTGAGCTGGACCTTGAAAAATATTGGAGGTTCAGTGGGGAGGGATTGGTGGGGGCGGGGGGGGGGGCGGTGAAGGATAAAACCAGACAGAGAAAAAAAAATCTAGGATGTAAGAAAGCATAGTATATGGTAGAAATAATGTGTGTCACTAGGACATAGGATAGGTGAAATAGAAGAAAAGTTTGGAACTGTATAGAGATTGATATAAACTTGAAAATTAATTTGGGGGCATGCATGCTATGTAAGGCCTTGAATACTAAAGCTAAAAAGTTTGACTTTCATTTTGTAAGTGTTCAGGAGTCAGAAGATGTTTTGAATAAGGAAATGACCAATCTGAGTTCAAACTGAGGAAACGTACCTTATCAATATTAAGAATAGATTGTATTTTAGGCAGAAACTCCAATGAGGATGCTAGTACAATCTATAATGAGTAACAGGTCTGGGAGTAGGACAATTGCAATAAACTAAATTAAAATTTGCAGAGTTCTTTATAGTTGGCCAACTGGTTTTATGTACATGGTTTCATTCCATTTAATCCACCCAACACTACGTGAGACAGAAATGAATATTGCCTTTGATTACAGATGAAAATGCTAACCCATACAGAGATTAAATAGTAGCCTAGGACTGAAAATGAAGTCTCAAATCTTTCCACTGTGACTAACTTAAGACATACACATGTTGCTCTGAGATCATTTATATTGAGTTTTAATTATCTGGTTTAGGTAGACCTTGTGACCTTCTTTAGTCATTTTTATTTCCCCAGTGCCTCACTCTGTATATGGAATGTACTAAGTGTTTGAAAAAATGCTTATTAAAGAATGAATAAATGAGTGAATAAGAAATAGAAGATGTATTAGTTACAGTGCTGCTAATATACCAACCACCAAATAAATATACAATGGCTCAAATACAATGGAATTGCATTGTTCACTCATAGATGAAGGGTTTGCAGGAGGATCTGCTCCATAGAGTCATTAAGGGATCCAGGGGGATCTTTAACCCATGGCCTTCAAGGATGCCTTGGGCATCAACATTTAGCTGGTGGAAAGGGAAAGAGCATGGAGGGTGGTGCACTGACAGACCTGAAGGTGGCACACATCACTTCCATTCACATTTCATGGCCTAGAAGGTGGTATTCTGACTGTATCTAACAATAGGGAAGCCTGGGAAATATGGCTGGCTGGTGCCCAGGAAAAGGAGGAAATAAGTTTGGTTAAATAGTTAGCAATCTTTGTTGTAGAAGTTGATGAAATAAAGGTGCCCCATAGCAGGTGTTCAGTAGATAATTTTCAATGAGTTGACTTACTTACACTGCAATTTCTAGCATTAGTGACTTGAACCCCAAAAAACAGAGTTGGTGAGGGAGGAAAATGTTGTAATGATGAGTCTGGTCATAAACACAGTGAGAAAGTTGTAGGTAGAGATATCTGGTTGGCAGCTTGGAATTGGGTATCCCTGATAGTGTGCCCCAAAATGATGGTCTAATATTATAAATTGCAAGACTCCAAATATGTTCATGCTGTTACCACAGAAAAAGCATGTTTTGTATCCCTGCACAGATTTTGTTTTCCTACCATTGATTGTGATGGGTCAGATTTGTTCTTTATTCCTTTTTCATGGTGGGGCTTAAAGGTCTAGGACAGAGTGGTGGTGGTGAGTATCACAGTGTCTGTGCCCTTTTGAGGTGATGACACACAGAGTTTCTAAATATGACAATGGAAGATTCTATTCTTTTCATAGTAAAACCCTGGAGGCAGGCTGTACAGAGACATGAGTCAGCTCTCCATCTCCAGCGGAACTCCAGGGGCTTCTCCAGGCCAGGCTTCCTGAAGGTTGGCCAGAAATAAGACATCTGCAGCTTCCAGGACAGCTCAGTTGCTAAATAGGACTTACGTTTTGTTTAGTATGTCTGGGTAGTAAGACCTTGCACTGCCATATGGAGGTTGTGGTAAGACAAATTTGGGCGCAGTATGAAGGAAAGAATTTTCTAAGGAAGATTTCTGAACTTTTAATGGGCTGCCTCATCAGACCATCAGGAAGGCCAGGCACCCAGTGAGCTGGAAAGATGCAGACTGTATTCCTGTACTGAGCAGAGGATTAGACTACGTTATTCTCAAAAGCCCTTCCATCTTGAAAATCTCACACTCCTTAAAAAAAAAAAAAAAAAGAAAAACATCTTCCATCAGGGCTGGAGAAATAGGCAAAATACACACTTTGTCTACAAACTAAATATATATATATATATATGGCCCTAAATATCAGTTTATTAGTTACCAGTGTGACAGAGAGCATCTTCAAGACCTTAAGTGGAATTTATGTACAACTTTGCTTTCCTCCTTCTGAGGCAACCATAACCACTCAGAATTTCTCATGACCCCCAGTACTTAATAAATTGGCTACCACTTAGGAGCTGTTTGTATAATGGTGACATCAGTGCCTCCTGAGTAATATAGATGTGACTCGTGCCAGCTCCTAATCTGGACTGTGATTAGATAGCAAGATTCCAGAAGAAGCTATCTCATTTCACATTCTCAGTGGCTTTCTTGGCACCGAGCACGCCTTGCCATCAATAGGGACCCAGTAAGTAGCTGTAGGCTGGAACACCATTACTCAGTGGCCAAGTTTCTATTATGCCGTAGTGATGTTCTTTTGTACTTCTGCTTCATCCCCCAACATCTTCCTGGATGATAACCACTCAAGAGCCTGCTGGCTGCATGTCTTGTGTTCCTTGTATTTTACTTCTTCCATCTTTTTCTTTGCATCTCCCTTTGGTTTCTGGAGTCTCAGAGTCATAAACACACAGTCAGCTATGCCAGAGTTGGCAGTAGAGAAGGTATGCTGTTTCTTCTCCTTCCATCTCCCAAATCTCTCTCTCCCTGTTTCAGCTGTGACTGAAAACACACATGCCATGTTGCTGGTAGGATATAGTACTACTTCCAGAGAAGAATATTATCACTGTGCCATCAACTCCACAAGGACAACCATTTTTGTCTACTTTTTCACACATATATCCACAAAACCTAAAATAGTTCCTGACATACGTAGAAGAGGCCCCATAAATATATATTGATTTAATGAATGAATGTATTATTCCCTGGGACTCAAGCCTGTTCTGATGTTTTCACCTGTGCTTAAACATGAGATCGAGTTATATAGAAGGTATGTTTTGAGAGCAGTGCTGGCACCTTGAGAAAAAGGACTTATTTTTTATTCTTCTATAAATAGTAAGTTATAGCCATCAAAATGTAAAAACTGAGTAGATATCAATTATCTAGGACAAAGTAGAAAGTCATTGTTAATTAAAGTTAGACCCCAGCTTATATTAACAGATATGCCTAGCTATGGTGAGGGACAGAGAAAATGATACAGAAGTCATGGCAGATTACACACGGAAGAGGATAAGTCACTCTAAGGAGGAGTAGTAGAATGTAAGTTCTGGAGGGCAAGACCTGTCTATCTTACATACTGCTGTCTCCCTAGCCCATGTAGCATAATGTGGTACTAAATAACTAGGTACTAAATAAATTATTTAGTTGTCATTAAATGTGCTTTGAAGCAATAAGAGAATTGTGAATTGGGGGCTGCTTTTACAAACCCGAAGCCCTTCAGTGAGTCTGTGTTCCTTTGCAGCCACATTCTGTCTGTGGCTGGGTCCCTGCGGCACCTTTTAGAGCTGCCATTCTCCATTTCAGCATAGACCCCACCTAGCTGGCTTCATTCATTCACAGTACCTGAAGTGGCCCTGGAGATACTTGAGTTTGGTACTTCACAGACTAGGAGTTATGGTGCCTGAGTCTTGGTCACAGACCTCACCACATGTAAGCTTTGTGACCCTGGGCAAGTGTTAAACTTCTTGAACGCTCATTGTCTTTATCTATGAATCCCCTACCTCGCTGGCAATGTAAGAACAGTAGCTTATGGGGTTTTAGTGCAATAACTTTTTGTGAGCAAGAATGGAGCATATGGTGGTCCTAAGAGTGATGGGCAGGAAAGGTAGACAGCACCTTAACAGGGAGGGCATCCAGCGTAATTCTCACCTAGTCCCATTTTGCCAAGAGCTGGCCTATTTGTCCTGTTGCTGCTTGGAAAGGTTACTGGGTATCCATGGCTGCCTGAATCCCCCTCACTTCACTTGTTGCCATGGTGAGGGGCAGACATCATAGGCATTTACCAAACACATGGCAGTATGTTGTGATTTTGTGTCTCCTTTTCACAGGGAACCTGTAAGACTGGGAAAGTCACCTGACGGCTAAACCACTAAACCCTTTTAGTTTCTTTCGCTTTTTACAATGAGAGGTCCCATTTGTCTTTTTTATTCTATTTTTCCGCCTTTCACTTTGTGGAGAACATTGAAAAAATCTGAAGATGCTCGTACCAGATGGTAATTTCTTTGTACTCTACAGACACCAGTTCCTGTGCTTTTGTGAATGTGATGGTTTAATGAATTCCTGGAATTTTATTTCTGAATTGTCATATAGGATCAAATCTGTGTCATGCAGGCACTCTTAGGAATGGCTCAGCCAAGCAGAGATGAGCCTGATTATGAACACGGTGCCAGCCCTGTGGGTGTGGGGCTGGGGAGAGATGAGGAAGATTGGCAGTCTCAGCTGTCACTGGGGTGGTGTGGACAGGCCACTTAGCACTTCCCTCCACCCTACCCTTGCTGGTTTCTGCCAGTGCCACCACCTGGAGGCTTCCCTTGCTTAGTAAGAAAGAGGATGTGTGTGCGGTGCTCCAGAGGAGGACAGGGTGGGGTAGGAGACTTCAAGTGGGTAGCAGTAATGGGGAAGGGCAAGCATAATAAACTTACTGCAGAAAGGTTGTTTCCTTTGATTTTTCTGAAATATAGTATTTTTAAAATGGGTATTATAAGCTCATCTTCTATAAACTTGCAGAACCTAGGGGATGAAGTCTTGTGAGGTCAGATGGCAAGCAGAGCTTTTAGGTCCGTGGGGTCTTGGCACAGCTGAGTCTCTGCAGCGCCTTGACTCATCCATGTATAGACACCTACATGTTCCAGGCCCAGACAGCCATTCCAGGGCCATGTTGTTTGTCATGATGGTTTGTGTTTTTTATCTATGCACTCACCTTTTCACATTAACTTTTCTGTTTTGTCTACTGACTTGAGTTAAAGGCAGAAATTACTAAGCTAGATATTTGCATGTGCAGCGGCTTAGTGTCCAGCATTGATGGGAGCTTGCTACATGCCTGGCACTGTTCTTAGTGCTGCACGTATGTTAACTCACACAGTTTTCACCCTGTGGCTGGGAGGCAGGTACTGTCTTCATTTTACAGATGTTAAAACTAAGGCACAGAGACAGATTTATCTATGGAGCCCACACATCTCAGTTTGCCCAGATGCGGATTGATGTATGCCTTTTTTTCCAGTGTGATGCTCAAAAGCACTCCCCTTTCACTTTCAAAACCTCCAGGTTTGACCAACAGATTATGCCCTCTTCCCAATGTCTAGAAAGTGACCTGGTCTGGTTCAAGCTCAAGCATCTGGTTGGAGAGCCTGTGCCTCTATTTCTTCGGGACTTCAATTTGTGGTCATTTTCATTTGCATTCACAGTGTAAGATTCCATTTACTGGCAGGTGGATTTGTTACTGTGTCTGGAGCTTTCTTGCTTGGTTCCCTAGATGTTTTAGTCCTCTGTTAAGAGTGCATTCATGGGTATAAGGAGCATGTTTTGACTTGTGGAGCCCGATATTACTTTTTTAAAATTTTGTTTTAGACAGAGCCTAGGTGATGCAAAAAAAGGTTAAATTGGGTTTGCTTTGGAAATCAGGCCGTGGGCCCCAGCAACTCCAGTCTGAGCAGCCTGTGCCTTGTTCCCTCAGCCTGGGCCAGCCTGCTACTTCCCTGGGGGTGACAGTGTTCTCACCATTGCGGTGTTATTCAGAGGGCTCTGGGAGCCCTTTTAGGAAACCAGCCTCTTCAGGCCTGAGTAAGGATTCCTCACCCCGTTTGCAAGGAGCCCGGACACTTTCTTGATACTATCTACTCTTAAACATTTCTTTGGGCCTCACAGCTCAAGATGATTGATTACTGTGTAGTCTTTTCTGGGCCACATATTGTGACTACTTTACTTAAGTAACTTATTAAATTTTTGTTTTTGAATATATTGAAATTATTCTATGGAGGCTTAACAGTTATCTTTTTTTAGTAGATCTTCTTGAGGTGAATAAAAATTTACTTTGCTGTGTGTGGGTGCATGTGTATGTGTGTGTTGGGGAAAGTTATATCCTATGTTCCATTTTGTTAAGGCATTTCTTTGTGACAGGAGAAAAACACATTTCACATCATTTTAAAAATCCTATTTCCAACATTTAAAATATGGATACAGCCATTAACACCCACCCTGTTGATATGAGAATTAAGTTGTGATTTCTTGGAGAGCATAAGATGGTGATGATAATGTGAAACTCAGAGATGCCTCAGTAAAAGGAGTAATACAAATGCGAAAACTTTAAAAAAAAAAGTCATTTCTCCAGCAGTAACATAGATAATAATGCCTCTTGGAGGTGGTGTAAGAATTAACTAGGCAATGTATGTGAAATGTTCCAAGAAGAGTGTTCTGTTTTGTTATTATTAGTGTCATACCATTCTTGCAACCCAGCATTCAAAATGAACTATAAAACCTGACCTTTGTATCAAGGATGTTGCCTATTCTAATTGAAGTGATAGTGAATGATGAGGTATTATGAAACTGGGAGAGCTGTACTAATAGTCTCGGGTGAAAAAGACGTGAGCTAAATTTCATGGATTCTTAGGCTTTTCTACTTATTTCTCTGACAGTTTGCTTAGCTGAATCATTACTGGCTCCAGTTAATAAAACATTATGGAGATACCCCACATTGAGAAGAACATTTACTTTCTCACAGTGGTATTGTTTTTTTCTCTCCTCTTTATATAAAATACAAGTTTGGCTCAACTTTAATCAAGCTCTGAGTCAAAAGCCACCTGTAATTCTTCCCTTTAAAAAATCTTTGCAGTGTGCACATGTGTAGATTTGGGGGCATGTGCCATCATCCACTAGGAAGTCCTGTTGATTCTGCCTTCTCAATATGCGATGCTGACCACCTCTCCTATCCCACCTTAGTCTGAGCCGCTGCCATTTATCCCTAGATTTGTGTAGTAGTAGCCTTCTAGCATGTCTTCCTGCTTTAGTTCAACCTTTGCCCTCCTATGATCAGTCTCCATCCAGCTCTCAGAGTGATTTTTGTGGGGTGTGAGCTGCTCCTGCTCAGAACCTTCCAGTGGATGCCCACTGTCTTCCGTGATCCGGCTTCCTGCCGTGTCTCACTCATTCCCTCTAGCCTCATTGGACTCTGCCTTTTCTTGAGCACTTCAAGCATGTTCCTGTGTCAGGGCTGATTATTCCCTGTTTCTAAAATACTCTCTTCCTACCCCTTCAACTTTTTTTTAAATCCCAAACCTGTTTTTAAAAAGTTGAAAAAATTGTACGACCATGTTCATCTTGATTCACCAGTTAACACTTGCCACATTTGCTCTTTCTCCCCTTCCTTCTCTCTTAGCCCCTAGATGTATTTAAACATTTTTTTCTCCTGGACCATTTGAGAGTAATTTGCAGACATTCAGGCACTTCACCCCTAAATACTTAAGCATGTATCTCCTAAGAATAAGTATATTCTCCTATATAACTATATTATTATTATGGCGTTAAAATTGAACATCATTATATGGGCTATGTCAGCTTTCTCCTGCTGTTTCAAAAAATGTGTCTGTGAAAGTTTTTTTTTTTTTATGTCAGAATCCAGTTAAAGATCATATGTTCCATTGAGTTGTTGTATCTCTTTCTTTAGTCTCCTTCAATTGAGAAAGTTATACTGTCTTTCTTCTTCCCTCAGTACTAGACAACTTTTCTGTTGAACATCCCACAATTTCAGTTTATCTGATGGCTTTGTCATCTTTAGATTCAGGTTAAACATATTTGCCAAGAACAGGTGATGATGTCCTCCTCATAGCATCACACCAGGAAGTCCAAAAGCTGGTGTCTGCCAGATTTTCCCTTTATGGTGACTATGCCTTTACCTTATTAAGTAATCTCTGGGGTAAAATTTTTAGTCCATATGAATATACTCTTCACAACAAGATTTCACCCAGTGGTTTTTGCTTTCATTGATGACCTTGCTCAAATCATTTATTACATTGCTGTTTGTCACAGTTGTTTATTTCTATTAATTGGTGTTCTTCAGTTGAAGAATATTCCCTCCTTTCTCTCCCTTCATTTTTAGGAAGATTGACTCATACATTTTTCTATAGAATAAAATGGAAGACAAATACATATTTGATGTGTAGTAATCTATAACCAGCATTCCTCTTTTTGTTGGTCAAGTTGTCCTAAAATTCATCAGTGGGAAGCAGAAGCTCTTTAAGCTGGCTCCTGGGTCCTTTTAACATGATGCAATTAATCTTTGAGCACCTCCTCACTTTCTGGCACAGGATGTTCTAGCTGTCCAGAGCAGCTAAAGGAACACTGAAATGATACCTGAGTGGCGCTCTCCTTCACTTCCTTAGCATCTATAGTAAATGTTACTGTATCAAAGGCCTTCCCCGGCCACTCTATGAGAACACCACCACCATCTTTTGGACTGCTTCATGATGTTTCTTATAGCGAATATCTCACCTGATATATAACATTTATTTATTTGTTTATTTATCCTACCCAACTAGCATGAAACCTACAAATTACAAGGGATTTGCCTATTTTGGTTATCATTGAGTCCCTAGTATCTGGCACATAATGTGACCTCAACAACTACTTGTTATAGAAATGAATGAATGAACGAATTCATCCCCACCTTGAGCCTACATCAAGCTTTTCCAGATGAGCTGCCACTGCTTTTCTATTTCATGACACTGAGATGAATCAGACTGACTGCAAGGGGTTTACAGATGTTTGTCTGGAGTTCGTTGCAATTTTGCTTCTAGTAGTTTTCCTGCCTTTGGGTTCTGGTAGTATTCAGAAGTATTACTAACAACGCGTTACAAATGACACTCACTGCAAGGCACTTGTCACGGACAGTGGAAACATTTTATGATGCATTTCCTTCGTCTCCAGCTTCTCTGAACAGAAGGTTTGGCCATTTTAGAAATAAAAAATGAAACACTTGACTATGTTAGAACTTTTTACCATGGAATCTAATGCTGGCCACTAAAAATTGAGTAGAGTAAGGGTTTTATTTTCTAAATGGAAAAAAATAACTATTTGTTCTGTACATAATACCTTGAAAGCTTTCATGGGATTTGCAAAGTATAAGAGTTGTTTCTTATTTTCAGAGAATTTCTATTCTAGCTGAGATGATAAGAATTAAGAGTATGGGTTGGGAATTGTGCATTAACACTTAATATAGCTGATGTATGTCATGGGCTGAATGGTGGCCCCAAAGATATCAGGTTCTAACCTCTGAAACCTGTAAACATTACCTTACTTAGGAAAAAAGGAGTCTTTGCAGATGTGATTAATTTAAGGATTTTGAGATGGGGGGATTATCCTGGATTATCTCAATAGTTCCTAAATTCAATCATAAGTGCCCTTGTGAGAGAGGCCAAGGGGGATTTGGCCCACAGAGAAGCCAGAAGATGCAAGGAGCAGATTCTCCCTGAGAGCCTCACAGGGAGCCTGGCCTATTGACATCTTGATTTCAGCCCTTTGACACTGATTTCAGATTTCTGGCCTCCAGACTGGGAGAATATATCTCTATTGTTTTAAGCCAACAAGTTTGCTGTCATTTGTTACAGCTGCTGCAGGAAGCAAATGCAGTGGTAAACTGCATTCTCTTGTTTTTCCTGGGACCCTGAAATGACAAAGTGAGGACAGTGTGGTGAGCACTTTCACGTTCATGTTACAGAAGAAGGAGCCCAGGAGTAAGGGAGCCCAGTGACTTAAACCAGCTTTTCCAACTCTGAGCCCAGTGCGCCTTTCACTGTGGCCCCCTGCCTCCTCCTAGTGACTAGAACCAGTGCTCACAGAGTGCTCATCATGATAGTTTAAAAAAGACAGACCACTGTGGCAGGAGAGATTAAGGACAAGTGTGTGTAAGGTAGAAACACAAGGGCATCCTTAAAGGAGAAAAATAGTGAGAGAGTCAGAACATGACCAGTCCTGCTTCCCACAGTCCAGGGATGTATTCCCTGTTTAAATGCTGTTTAGGCCGGGCACGGTGGCTCATGCCTGTAATCCCAGCACTTTGGGAGGCCGAAGCAGGTGGATCACCTGAGGTCAGGAGTTCAAGACCAGCCTGGCCAATATGGTGAAACCCCCTTCTCTACTAAAAATACAAAAATTAGCTGGGCTTGGTGGTGCATACCTGTAATTCCAGCTACTCAGGAGACTGAGGCATGAAAATTGCTTGAACCCAGGAGGCAGATGAGGTTGCAGTGAGCCAAGATTGCACCACTGCACTCCAGCCAGGGTGACAGAGCTAGACTCCATCTAAAAAAAAATGCTGTTTAACTTTCCAGGTGTTGGATGCCTCTGAGCATTGTATCCATGTGTCTGTCTGTGCATGGAGAAGAGAATCCCTTGCCATGTAGTTGACAGCACATTTTAGCTTTACCTCATGGGATCATTGCGTCTGCTGTTGCCATGTGCATGTACCATGTACATGTGGGTAACACTAACATGAGACTCCAAGAAAAAGCCATGGGATGAACTGGATGGTTCCAGCCCTGCGAGGCATTACCCCTTTCTGGAACGCACTCAGATAGGCTCACTCCTTCTTCCTGGCAGCCATCAGAGTTCTGCTGCAGGCCCTGCTGTGAACTGCTCCAGGCCTCTTGATCTGCACTGCTGCCACCTCTGCATATATGATTGGGCCTTCCTGTTCTCTAGTTTACTAAACAGTCATTTTGCTTCTGTGAGCCAAGCACAATACTGGGGAGATGAAGATTAAAAAGGATTCCATCCCTCCCCTCAGGGAGCTCTCGGACTTGTATGGGAAATAGAAAGGGAACTAGCTTGACTGAAGTGTGATAGCAGAAGTATGGAGAAAGTAATCTCATGCTCTCCCTCTGCCCACAACTTTGGAGAAAAGAACAATGTGTTTAATGCACAGGTCTTTGCAGGCTCATCTGGGAACCAGGAGATAGAAGGGATTCCGTAGGCTCTAGCATTCAGGAGGGAGATCTGGACAATTAACATCCCCACAGTGTTGATCTGGAGATTTTGGTGTGATGATTATAATGTGTTATAATTCTTTACCCATGACCTTTATGAGACTTGTAAACTACCTGGGAGCCTTGATCCTGTGGGCTTCCTATTTAGCTCAGTTTGAGATTAAATAGAATATGGATAACTAAGTACCCTTTTTAACACTTCTAGTAGCCACTGACCCCTATTCTCAACTTCTTTGCATCTATAGTTTTCTATTGATGATGATTGGAAATATAAAAGGAACTAAATTGTATAGACATCATGTAGAGAGTGGCAGGCCAAGAGCTTTAAACCAAGCGACAGATCTCTGTGGCATTGGGGTGTAGGGTCAGCATCAGGGCTGATATAGAAAGTCTCACCTTCATGAATATGGGGATCCTTTCTATTATCAGACTTTCTTTTTGAGACAGAGTTTTGTTCTTTTTGCCCAGACTGGAGTGCAATGGTGCGATCTCGGCTCACCGTAACTTCCGCCTCCTGGGTTCAAGCGATTCTTCTGCCCCAGCCTCCCTAGTAGCTGGGATTACAGGCATGCGCCACCACGCCTGGCTAATTTTGTGTTTTTAGTAGAGACGGTGTTTCTCCATGTTTGTCAGGCAGGTCTCTTAACTCCCAACCTCAGGTGATCCACCCGCCTCAGTCTCCCAAAGTGCTGGGATTACAGGAGTGAGCCACCACGCCCGGCTATCAGACATTTTTAGAACACCCCACATGATCTCTTGATTGAGAAAGTAGAAAAAGCAGAAAATGACTGCAAACTCAGAGCATTTAATTTTTTTATTGATCACAACAGCAGTTGTACACATTTGGGGGGAAAAGAAAACAAACCTCCTGCCCCTATGCATGATCTTGTTTATTCAGTTTATTGTCAGTGTTTAGACCCATAAATCCCTCATAATAGCTTCTTGGGCATGAGTCACTGTTCCTCACCTTGATGGTCCCCATCAAGTTCTGCTCTTGGGTTTACATTAGCTGTTGTTTCTTTCCAAAAGGAAAAAAGATTATATATGACTACAGTTAGAGAAATCAATGAAATGTCATTTGATTCTGTTAGTTTTTTGTGAAAACAGAATCGAAAGGCTTTGGCATAAAATGTAGTTTATTGTTTTGTCAGTTCTGTGTATAGGTTTGTGCATTCCAGTGGCATCTTAGAAAATACTGGCAACTACACAGGATTCGAACTCAGAACCTAGAACCCAGTGATCATCCTGTCTCCAAAGGCATTTTTATTTTTATTCTCTGCTTCTTTGAAGCTTCAAAGTAGATTTTCTTTTTCAGTGTAAAATCAGCTGCCTAAGGTACTGTTGCTGTAAAATCACACACATAAATTTTTATATTGATTGCTTATTTTGAGGCATTGTTTTGTTATATGCACAAGTTTATGAATTTGACTGTGAATGAACATGAAAGAAGATATACTTTGAAATCATTGTGGTCACTTTAACACAGAACTAAAAGCTAAAATCAGAAATCTTTCTAGTAAAGTAAAATGCACTCCTCTATTCTCCCCTTCACTTTCTGAATTTTACAGTTTTTTAAGTACATCCAAGGTTGGGTGAGTTGTAGTAATGAGAGTAGGGTTTACTAAAGGAAGTAAAGACCTAAAATGCTCCTATTCTAGTTATTCTGTGTTTTAAAATCAGTCTTTAGGAAGTCTTCTTAAAACATTTTGTAAGCTACGGCATATCAGCAAATATAACCCACTTTTGTTAGGTTGCTGTACTAATGCTGTGGGAAGGATACCAAGAAGAGAAGATGTTCTTCTTTTAGTTTTAAGTAACAATTTAGTTAAGTTAGACACCTGAAAAAATGTACAGAGCTATGAATGCTACATGAGTGGTACAACCAGAGGCCATGAGAATTTAGGATCAGGATTTAAACTGGACTATGAAGTTTGATTCGGGGCTAAGTACATGGAAAGGAGGAGAGAAGATCACTGGGGATGAGCAGAAGGGTAGGAGTGAAAGGGATGATGTAGACATGTATGTTCAAGGATGCTAGGTAAGCCAGCTTGCCTGAGAGCTAATATAAAGTCAGCATGAGGACAGAAGGGATTTTTGTGGAAGAGGAACATTGGAAATAGACTATAGTGTTTCACTTGCTAGTCTTGAGCTTTCTTTTTTCGGTGTAGGACATGTCTGGAGGTTTTTTAACTAGCAAAATAGAATAACATGGTAGCTTAGTAAGATTTCTGCATAGGAGAAACTTGGTCTGAATAGAGTAGAAGGAAAGTGCAGAAAAGGAATGATGAAGAGCTGAAGAAAGGCAGGCTTGAGAAGGGGAAGGAAGAATGGAAGGCATTGTGAAAGAAGAGTTGACAGGACCTGCTGAAGGATGGGAGGCTTTTTACGCAGATTGGGAGAATTGCTATATCTCAGATAGAAGCAGGGATAACAATCCATTTTGAAGATAACAGTTTCACTTTTAGCTATGGTTAGTAATATCGAACCTAAAAATGATGGCACAGCAGCCAAGTAGAAAGGTCCAGCCTGCTGTTGGAGATGCACCCTAGGGAGAATGTTCGGAACTTCATATATAATGTAGATGAAGGTGTAGGAGGTGTCAACAGAGACACTGAGTCCTCTTTAAAATTGTGAGTAGCGGGGGCAGATGCTCGGCAAAATCCACCTTGCTCCTTGTTCCTGTGGTTTAGGTCTGGACTAAGAAAAAAAAATAGTCATTAGTTTGGGGAAGCATGTTCAGCTGCAACCTGCAACTGAGATTTCTTGAGTTCAGTTAACTAGGGAGTAAGCCTGGTGTTCTGCTTTGGAGAAACACCTGAATGGCCTTAAGGTCCAATTTGGGTTCACCCTCTAGATCCGCTAGAGATGCCCCAGAAGCTAGAGAATGATCCTTGGTTGTGGGGCAGGGACACATTTGTTTTTTCTTTCTACTACTAGGATTGGGCTACTGGAATTGAATGTCGTTAATACATCAAACTGGCTGTCAAGAGACCAAATGAGCTTGCTTTTGAGGTCCTTTTCACACTCCAGACACACTCCAGAAATTTCAGGCAATAATTTGTCCACCTTGCAGGTGCTCTACATATATTTTTAGAAAATGTCATTGAACTTTGTGAGAAACAATGGTTATTGGAGCTCTTCTAGCCCCGTGGCTCACAGTCATTAAGTGTGTAATTCACATGTGTATAGAATACATTTAACTCAGAACTGTCTGCCTAATACGAGTACAGACAGTTGTTATGGATCTGACCAAATTTTGCAGAACAATTCTGAATGATGTCATCTTTAATTTGTCGAGGGAAAATCCTCAGGCACCACTATTATTGCAAGATTTTTGTGTGTAGAAGTTATCTGAGGAAGAATATATGCCTTCCTAACTTCAAGCTACTTGCTGGATGCAAAATTCTTTTTGGATATAAAGAAATGTTTTATCAGTTCTGAATAGCTGGGCTGGGGGAGTAGATGAAATTTACTGTCTCTTGCGGTGGCTGAGATGTACATATCTGGCCAGAGATAAGTCCCCCAGGGGTCAAGGATGGCCTGGTGAGTAGAGCCAGCTGCAGCCACAATGCTAGATGCATGACAACGCCTCACACTTGGCTGTGTGTTCATCACTTATACCCACCTCCTTTGAAAAGGATTTAAGGTAGTTTACAATAGAAACATATATGAAATTAGTTAAAAAGGATAAGCAAGACCTCAAACTCTAAGATACTTTTATGTGGCACTTGAGTAAGATAACTAATCTAATTGAGGTCTGAATTTAGCTAAGTTTCTGCTAGTCAAAGCTAAAAGGGAAACAGGATTGATCCCACTGACTAAAGAAACCATGTGTGGTTTTGGAGCTCTATGCCTTGTCCTCACGTGGAATTTTACAAGAAATCTTTCGTGAAATGGCTGATGACCTCAATTCATCAGAAAGGGTGAAAATATATTTTAAACGAGTCCTTTTTAGTATGGTTCAACAAAGAAGGTTGTAAGTTCTGTGTTTGTTGCAAGAATATTGCTTTCCAGCAATGATCTAATTCATCTAGGGCCAGAACTCAGAGATAATGTTTACGTAGCGTGTCTCTCTTTGCCTTTCAGTTATCACTCTTCTCCACCTAATTTCGATCATTTCCAAGGAATCTTCAGTTTTAGAATAAATGCTCTGGCTGGGCCTAGAAAGTGTAGGTATTCTGGGGCAGTCAAGAAGAGAGCCTTCTGCTTCTGACGTTGGCAAAGAGCCTGAGGACTGGCAGTAACAAGTCACCCCCTCTTACCCGAGGAAGTGAACTGCAGGGATGTTAGCTGATCAGGACATTTTTTTTTCTCATGAAAGAATAAAGACTATGCTAAAGAAAAAATAGTGCTGGACTGAGACTCCAAAGCTCTGCACAGTGGAGTATGGGAGAGATCGTTTGGGCATAGAAATTTTAAAGTCATAAGTTTGTAACCCTGTGCCTTTTCCATTTACCTCATAATATGGTAAAACATGTGACTTTGAGTGGCACCACTTATTTTTAAGCCTCCAAGTGGGATTTTTTTTGCAAAATGTTATCTGAAATAGCTGAATATATTGATTTGATGAATACAGCTATTTAATAATGTTCTTATTTATTGGAAATTATCCGCTCAAAATAGAAATTTGTTTTGGAAAGACATTGGACTATGCAGTCAATTGTTCGTTTCTCTACTTTAGGAATGGCTAATAATAGATACTTTCTGACCACATCCACTCAGAACTTTGTGTTGAGAAAGATTCTGAGGCTCCGTCTGGGACTTAGTGGCTGAAAACTGTATAATCAATCAGCAGTATTTACTGCGGTGATGGAAGGATGGGGGTGGGGATGGCAGCACCTGCGCCAGGGATTTGCCAATGGAAATTGAGTTCAGAAACTGGCAGAGTTGCATTGAATTTATTTTGTCAGAAATTGGCCAGAAGCTTCAGATGCTTCTAAAAACATCCTTAGTTTGTTGTTCTTGGAGAACATGAATTTCATAGCCCTATAAACAGATTTGGGTTTTTGACAGAGAATGCAGACTAGGGCCAAGCTTATTTTTGCCCCATTTAAATTTGAGATTTCATTTTTCAAGAGAGGCTCTGACCCACTTTGATTCTGAGGGCTGTAAAGTAGTATTGCTTCTGGAGGAGCATTAAAAACTCAGTGTCTCTGCCAAGATCAGTTGGCTCAGTAATTGTTAAGTGCTCTCTAATTTGAGGACACTTCTCACACACAAACTCTTGATTCTCATAAAAACCCAATGAGATCATTCTTACTCTTTGTTTATTTGAACTTTATCCCATGATTTTTTATTGTGTTTGAGGCAGCCATAAAGTGATTTGAGGCCTCAATTTTGTGGGAATAGGTAGAATAGGTAGAGTTGTTTGATGATGTTATTCTTATTTTAAAGATGAGGAAATCAGGATTTACAGAGAGAGATTAACTTGTCCGGAGTCTTACAAACTAGGAAGTGGCAAGGCCAGGATCCAGTCTGCTCCTGTATAATGGCCTTGCACATCTCAGCTTTCTGTAGGTGACATGTTCTTTTTTCCTTTTACATCATCGGCCTTATCCCATTCTGAAACATGAGCATCCTGTGTTTGAGAGTGTGTGCTTTCTTTTAACTTCTCCATTTTTCCTTACTTAGGGAGACTAAAGTCGATTCTAATAACAATTTGGTAAAGTGTCTCACTTGGCATGGAGGGTCACTTAGAGATGTAATATCGAGTGATCTGAATGTGTCTGGACACCATGACCTGCCTAACTAGGAAAATTATGTCATAAAAGAATATTTATTTATTAAAGTGTGTATTTCTGAAGCCACCGTGACAATCTATTAGAATCTCCTGTTGGTAGTCAGGGATAACTAGCACATCCTAAAACAATGACATCAATAAAAAGCACTTAAAGAGCTGACATTAGAAACAAAACTCATGTTCCCCTTGAGAATGTCATATTGCAGCTTAAGCCCATACCCTGGGCTGCCTTGGCTTAGTAACAGCATCTTGCTTTGACAGCCTTTTGTTCTCCCTAGCTGATATTCTGGCGGCGGATATCAGCACATCAGTTAATGTGCTTTCCCTCCTGTAGGAACTGATTTGACTACAGTTATGTTACCTCATATTTTCTCCCTCATTAAAGTGCCTATTTGCAATTTGTTCGAAGGAGGTTGCCAGCCTGCAACCACTGTTGGAGCGTGGTGCCCTTTTACTGGTGATTAATTTACACAACTATACAGGGTTCATTGTCTAGCTGGATTTAGTTTTCATATCAATCTGAATTACACTAAAATAGATATCAAGGAATGCTGCCCCATTCATCAGGAGAGTTATAGCTTTTATTGAGCACATAGCATTTATATAGGATTTTTATTTAGGAAGCTAAGTGGTGAATATTGCCTTGACTATGTAGCTGACTTCATTTCGTGGAGGTAGATACATGGTTTCAAGTTCCAACCCTTTGCTGCCACTGAGCTTTTCTTGTGCTCATCATACCTATATGTACCTTCTTCATTAGGAGGATATGAAATGTCAGAAGTAGTCAGTTTCTGCTCTAGGCAGCATTTGTGGGTGAGATCCCTGGTCAAACCAATGCATAGATTTAGTTTTGGAGACAATAGTTAATGTCACTTATTTCTGAGGAGCTGCTTTTCCATGATGACAGACGGCCATCCCTTAGCTTTGTTCCAGAATCTGTATGTGTGACTTTGGAGCTGATCATTTTCATGATTTTGATAGAAGCTAGAATTTGGGATTCTGCTTTAATGGTGAAGAGAAGGTTATTTTAGTATGCCTGGATCTCCCTCTGAGATATTTTAACCTACCATTTGCATGACACTTGCTTTAAGGGACTTGGGGCTATTTGTGTAGTATCTCTAAGTGCCAGTTTCCTCATCTGTATATTGGGGAAGTTCACATTAATCTTTCCATGTTTGAGGATCATTAAGTACCAGGCACAGGGGAAATGATTAGTAAATAGTTTCTACAAAACTGAGGGGGAGGGGAATGGGGAGGGATTAGAGGTATTTGCTTTTGTCATGTTGTGATTTGGTTATTTCATTGTGTAATGTTGTGATTTGTCAACAGAGGTTTTATGCCAGTGTTATGACTTTACACAAAGCCTTAGTAGAGGTGGAGCTCCTGAAGGAATACAAAGATGTAACCTATGACTTCAGATAGTGGGGTTTACAGAGTGAAATATTGTTCAATTCAAACAGAGGAGGACAGAGAAAGAAGTCCTGGACCATGCCTCTCAAAATCTTTTGGCTGACAGTGCTTAGTGGTAACACAGAGGAGGCACTGTATTCATTCACACAATCTTCATTTCAGCAAGTGTTTTTGAGAAGCTACCACCAGCCAGGCTGTGTTCTAGGCTTTAGGGATACGGTGACAGACAGGATAGAGAAAGTCTCTGCTCTCATGGAGCTTATATCCCAGTGGGGTGCAGGGATTTGGAGAAGAGGATGTAACATAAACCAGAAAAACACTGGAGGAGTGACAAGTGAGCTGCAGAGAAGTAAAACAGGGGAGTCCATGGCTTCTTTCTTCCTGAAGGAGTGGCATGCGAGCTGGAACTAAATGACCAGAAGGCAACAGCCATGAGAAAACCAAAGCAAAAGCCTCCCAAGTAAAGAGGCCACCCAGGGCAGAAGCAAGCTAAAGAAGAGTGGTGTGGGCACAGGGCACACATGTGGATGAGTGGGCAGAGAGGCAGGGCCAGGTCCACAAGACTTCATAAGTTGGAGTAAGGAGATTGGGCTTTCCTTTAAGCAGGATGGAAAGAAAGCACTTGATATTTTTATTTTTTTGTTTTAAGTTCCGGGATATAAGTGCAGAATGTGCAGGTTTGTTACATAGGTATACGTGGAAAACACTTGATATTGTAAAGTAGGGTAATAACATAATCTGATTTGCCTCTTTAAAGTTTCCCTGGTTTCTGTGTAGAGGGTGGATAGAGCTCAAAAAGTAACTTAGAATGAGAGAGAATGTTGCCTTGGACTACAGGGGTAAATAGTGAAATTGGAGAGAAGTAGATGGATTCAGGCTGTGTTCTGAGGGGGAAATGTGTAGGGCTTGCCAAGGGATGAGTTGGAGGATGGGGGCGGGGCGGGGGGCATTGAGGGAAACAGCAAAAACAAGGATGGGTC